>NC_000007.14:128756779-129381779 GCF_000001405.40 Homo sapiens | reverse complement strand
AAATAGATCCAGATGAGGGTAACCAGGACAGTGGGATACCCCTAAATCAGGCAACCAAAGCCAGCAAATTTTAAATAAAATCTTTAAATTCCAGGGATTATATAAGAACTTATCAGGAGATAAATAACTATGTATAGTAAGTAGCACCCTATGTTCCAAAGAGGTCAGCAATTAGAGGGAAGCAGAATGAGATCTTTAAGTTCTTTTTCATCTCCAGGATGTTTTGACTTCCTGTGCCTGAACTTAGTATCATTAAACAGATACATTAGGTAGACAATTTTTGACTTATAAAAATGATAATTTCATATAGTTTAATCTAAAAGGTCCAAGTTTACCAGGATGATACCAGTCTATATCATTCACCAATGAGCTATGCCAAGCCACTATGTGCTCACTTAGAAACTAAGAGCATTAATTACTCTCTTCCAGGTAAATAGATATTTTTTAAAGTACCCTCCCTGCCTATGGGGACTGGGTGGGAAGGCAGGTATTGGTTTCCTCTGCAGGAATATAGTTGGATATGTATATCTAGTGTGTAGGGGAGAGACTGAGCTGGAGTTAAAATTTGATATTATTATTATTTAGTATCAATCTTTAGATAACATGCACAAACCCACAGCTTGAAATGTTACAAACTATTTTACAATTCACATTTTTCACAATTATTGTGGTTTCCAGAGTTACATTAACCAGTTTGTGAATTTTCAACACTGCTTATTTCAGCAGAATAAGATAGGTTTCCTGGCCTGGCGCAGTGGCTCACGCCTGTAATCCCAGAACTTTGGTAGGCTGAGGAGAATCATTTGAGCTCAGAAGTTCAAGACCAGCCTGGGCAACATGGTGAGATTCCATCTCTACAAATAATTTTAAATTTAGGCAGGCATGGTGGTGGGTGCCTGTGGTCTCAGCTACTCAGGAGACTGAGGTGGGAGGATCACTTGAGTCCGTGAGGTCAAGGCTGCAGTGAGCTATGACCATGCCACTTGCACTCCTGCCTGGGTGACAGAGTGAGACCCTGTCTCAAATCTTGTGCTACCCCACAAAAAAGGTAGTACAAGATTCTGTATCTTTAGATAAAAATCCATAGGAAGTGATATCATATGCTTTACATCATTCACTGTTACTGTGGGGGGAAAGTAAAAAGACAAATGTAAAAAGTATATAAATAATCTACCCAGCCTAAAAGCTACAGCTTCCCAAACAACTGTTTTTCAACTTTATATAACAAATATTACTTTCCTATTTGTACGAAGAACAAATAAAATTTCAGGTCATAATAAACATTTTCTAATGAATATTACTATTTATAATGTGAAGAGGTAACTAGGGCAAGCACTCAGCTCCCTATCACATCCCAACACAAGAGCAAAATAAACTAACTCCATATTAAATCCGACTCATACTAGGCAGCGTTTAGCATACTAGCCGATGCCTTCAAGGGGTCCTACACAGTAACAGCTCACCTGGCATTAAATGATAACTCAGTCCCAGGGCACATGTATCTGAGTTAATGCCAGTGCAAAGGATGGGAGGAATAACAAGAAGTCCAATGTCACAGCTTAGGAGAGAAGGCAAAGGGCTCACTTGCTTGAACTAGCTACAGTGTGTCATTACTTCTTGGGGCAATTGAGGTTTCCCTGTTAATTTGCAAGTACCAGATGGAGGGATGAAGAATTTCTTTTTTATTTTCAAAGGATGAAAAAAAAAAAAGACCACAAGTATATACACATACTGTTCCGGAAAGATCATCAATGACATATTCCCACCCTTCTGAGTAGATTAAAGAATTCAATTTCCTTAATCACCCTCTTCTGACTCTATTGGAAGAGGAGGCCTCTATTAAGCTCCACTCTGAATTGCCAAGAGAAATCCAAATATTCCACCCAGCATTTTAGTCTAAATTTTGACTCGAAGTATTTATTCAAAGCACAGTCTTGGTCATGCTTAATTAGCCTTGGATAGACAGGAGGGCCCATTGAGATCGTACTTATTAGCCTCAACAGCTGGGTCCACAGCAGTTCAGTACTCACCTGAGCTGTAGCTGTCAGTAGATGACTGAGAAATGGAACGAGACAAAGAGCGACGTCCAATTTTGGTGGGACGTTTGTTGAATTCTTGCTTCTGGTCAGCAAACTGGATCTGCTAAGAAAAAGAAACCTAGTTATATAAAGAAAAAGAACCTCCATTTTGAGACAGCAATTCAAGGCTTGTATTACAGGCTTTCACCTTCCCTAACAGTTGATCTGATTGTATCAACCTATGTTTGGGATATTAAGACCCTTTGAAGATAAGAATACTTTTTCATTCTTCTTTTTTTTTTTAAATAGAGATGGGGTCTTTCCATATTGCCCAGGCTGGCCTTGAACTCCTGGGTTCAAGCAATCCTCTCACACAGCTGGGACTACAAGCATGTGTCACTGTGTCTGGCAATGTCTCATTCTTTACCTACTATGTTTCTAATCAAATTTAAATCTTTGATACACTTTTTTTTTTTTTTTTTGAGATGGACTTTTACTCTGTCACCCAGGCTGCAGTGCGGTGGCACGATCTCGGCTCACTGCAACCTCCACCTTCTGGGTTCAAGTGATTCTCATGCCTCAGCCTCCTGGTAGCTGGGATTACAGGCACACACCACAATGACCTGCTAATTTTTATATTTTTAGTAGAGACAGCATTTCACCATGTTGGCCAGGCTGGTCTCGAACTCCTGACCTCAAGTGATTCACCCACCTTGGCCTCCCAAAGTGCTGGGATTATAGGCATGAGCCAGTGTGCCTGGCTACTCTTTGACTATATGCTTTTTACAATAAAATTGTGACACCCCACTCCCCACAAATAGAGAATGGGATATTCTGGTTAAATTTTTAGAAAATTGAGTCATATTCAGAAATATTTTATACAGTTTCACTGAAAAGTAAAACTGGAAAGAATATTTCAGATTATCATATTTGTAAGCTCCATATATCTAGATGAGAAAATTGCAAGGTACAAGAAAGAATATTTGAGATTATCATATTTGTAAGCTCCACATATCTAGATGAGAAAATTGCAAGGTACAGGAAGGCAAAATCACTTGCATTCAGGTTTCAAGAATCTCAGGAAATGGTAATGATTTAATAATTTTTAAAAAGCCTTTTCATTAAGAATGAACATTCTGAAATTGCATTTAAATTCTGGCTATGCCACTCATTAGCTGTGTAATGTTGCTCAAGATGCTTTAGTGAGTCTCATTTTTCCATAAATACAACAGAGATAAAAGTACTTACCTCACAGGTTTTAGAGAGGGTTCAATGAGACAATGTGTGTAAATTGAAACATAGCAGGAAATTCAATAAATCTACTCCCTACCCAACCCCTACGGTTCAATGCTCTCGTAACTCTTGCAGGTAGCCACTCTAATTTGTTAAAGCTTTTTAAAATATATTAGTTAGCTTTCCAGTACTAGTAAGTAAATTTATTTTTTTTTTTTTAGATGGAGTCTCACTCTGTAGCCAGGCTGGAGTGCAGTGGCTTGATCTCGGCTCACTGCAACCTCCACCTCCTGGGTTCAAGCAATTCTCCTGCCTCAGCCTCCCAAGTAGCTGGGAGTACAGGTGTGTGCCACCATGCCCAGCTAATTTTTGTATTTTTAGTAGAGACGGGGTTTCACCATGTTGGCCAGGACGGTCTCAATCTCTTGACCTTGTGATCCACCTGCCTTGGCCTCCCAAAGTGCTGGGATTACAGGCGTGAGCCACCACGCCTGGCTAGTAAGTAAATATTAATTTATTTTTAAATATTTGATATTATAAAATACCTAAAAGCAGTAAGATTGATCATTAACTATAATAGATGTAGAAGGAGCAGATTAATTGAATGAATATGTATAAGCCTCATATCATACTCTGGACATTGCATTTTGGATGATTATTTGATAATGATTTTCTTACAATTTTATCTTTCTCCTATTGTTGGAGGTTCCAGCTGATACTTTATAATACTCTACAAATCAAAGGTCACTTGTAAGCTATACTTGTTTGGGGAAAAAAAGCTCATACAATTTATTGAACTAATAACTTTTTTGTTTTCTCTGTTTGTATAATTGCCTATTCTGGATCCAAGGTGGCATAGAGGAAGGTCTAATGAAAATGATCAAAGGTCTGACAAGTGACTCTACCTTTAATGATAAAAAGATGGTTCCTTGATGGGCAGAACATACAGTACACCAGAATGAAAGCAGGAACTGACGGCTCCACTTCCTGCAGTTAGAGGTAACTAATGAGTCACTTGAGTATTGCGACAAGGGACCAATGCCAAATTGAAATAGCTTCACATTGCCTTTTAGGGGGATTCATAGCATTTTCATAGCTATAACAACAAATAAAGCCTACAGAGTGCTTTAGGGCTTGCAAATTGTTTTCAGCAATAGGAAAACTCATCGGATAAGAAGTTCTTCATGAACTAAAAAAAATGACAAAGATGATTATTTTGCTCAACTAGCAATTTATTCCAAAAAGATAAAGTGCCCTTTCTATGTACTCCCATAGGACGTACATGAACTTTCATGTATTGCATTTCTCCTAGCACAGCACTTACCACAATGAATGTAACTATCTGTCTACTTACCGGTATTCTCTATAAACTATAGGCTCATAAAGGGAGAAGCTGTGATTCTTATTCACCCTTATATCTGCAGGCACAAATCCTAGGCACTCAATCAAGTGCTGAATCAATATATCTGAAGTAGCCTATTCTATCTTCACTGTCTATACTTGTTTGAATACTCACTAAATATGGCAAACATAAACCAAGTCTAAAGTTAAAATGATTTTTAAGGGCAAAAAGAGCTGGGAAGAAGAGGGAAGGTGGAAAGCTGGGGAGGTGGACAGCAGTCAGGATGCAAACTCTGGCTTCCGTTTCACCAACCTTGTTCAAAACAGTCACATGTCTTTATTCTTTTTTAGAAGCCCATCCAGGAAAAGGAATAATAATGGAACTTTTCCAGTGTCCCCTTTAAAGAAGAATAGATAAACCGTGTTTCAGATGCTCAACACAACCCCAACACAACCACACACCTGCGTACATGTACATGTGGGTGCATATGCACACACACCATGTACACACACCACTAGAGGGGGCCAGTCACTCTTATACTCTAGATTGTAGGCTCAAGGTGAATAAACCATATAGCTATCTAGCTGCATTATCATCTCAAACCAGTTTATCTGAGCTGAGCTGTCTTCTCTATAGTGTTTTCTATTTACAGCAATCCCTCCTTCCTGGGACAAGTTCATGCTATCTTTTAATACTAAAGAAGACTAGGTTGTACAAGGCTTTCTCCACTTAGAACATAGGGTTCTAAAACCTTGCTTACTGGTTAGACACCGAATTCAAGTTTCTTTAAGACAGAAAAATATTAGAGTGAGATTAACCACTTAAATATAAGTTATGCAATTTTCCGCAAGAAACGAGTATCTTTCTCTGACGACCAGAACATGAGTTAAGTGGCTCCCTGGTGTTTACCTCCTCTTAATAATTAAACACCAATATACAGTCCATTTTGTAATGGATTGGTTTTGTAATCTGCCCACCCCAATTGTGGTACCTTAGTAGATTCTACCCCTAACTTTCCTACCTTGTCTGGAACCAGGGTCTTTTAAGGTAATCCTCCTTTTCCATTTGAGAGAGAACTGCCTAATTCCAACAGGCATTAAGGCAAGGGAGGGAAAGAGACTGTTAAAAGAGGGGTAGCTCACCTTATGCCAGAGGGAGGGATGAAAGCAGGAAAGGAGGGGAAAAAGAGTATAAGCAGTCGGCCTTTTACAATAATGGCTATAGCAGCGGCAAGACTGGTAAATAAGAGCTTAGCCTCACCTGGGCCTTAATCCCAGAGTTGCCATTAACAATGTATTTCTTCTTGCTGCCCAGCATAGTGACATTACCAGCCCCACTGCCACCTCTGTGGTCCAGGGACCCTTGTGATCAGGCCTTTAAACTTTCCTCATCAGCAATTCTGTTGGCTCTGGTTCCAGCCAGCTTTTTGGGCTGGGGAGTGGGGGACTACTCTTCCTTGGAATCCCTGAAGCAGCTCCAACAACCCCTTCAGCAGTACAGCCCCAATTTAATAAGGCATTTCTGTTAGTGGCTCAACAGCCATTCCTAATTCTAGTGGCTGTTTTGCTTTTACTTGTTTTTTTCCTAAACACCTAATTACATGGATCCTCTGACCTCTAAACCTTGCAAGTCCCTTGACAAGGCCCAACTTGCATGCGCATAACAATAGCTTATTTATATAACCACTGCACTTTTTTGCTCGCTATAATTAACTTGCTAATTAGGTTCCTTTTCAACCTTACCTCCTCCTTTTCCATGTCAGATGATTTTAGTTAACCTAGTCTCATTAGAAAAAAATTAACCACAGAGCCACTTAAACAATGAGAGACTTCATTAAAGGAGTAAGAAAAAAAAATTAATGGTGCCAAGTACTCAGGCAGGCCCTACCCTACACTCTGTGTCCTTGGATTAGCCAGACTGGGGACACTGATTTCAGCTCTGTCACCAAGGAAATCAATTTTCTCAGTTCACTGCTTTCCTCTGAATTGTGCATCTTTTATACAGGTTTTGACATTTGGTTTCTAGTCCCAGCTCAAGATTGTTGCTGATTTGGCACAGAGTGACCCAGTTTGCTTTTTTCACAAAATGTGTGTTCATGGAAGGGACGACTACAAAGGGAAGTTTCTTATCTCCTCAGAGTCCCCCGAATCACAACAATCTTACTACGTGCCAAATATTCAAGCAAAAGGGCAAAGAATCACATTATTTATTTGCTGATTTCTGAAAGAGACATAGTGAGGAAGAAAGCTACACTCAACTGTCTGCTACAGAGATTGGGGGGAAAGTGATGTCAATTCTTCCTTAATTAAAAAAAAAAAAAAGACTGCTTGTTGAGCACAAGAAAGGACATAAAATGGCAGATTTTTTTTTTTTTTTTTTGAGATGGAGTTTTGCTCTTTTTGCCCAGGCTGGAGTGCAATGATGCGATCTCGGCTCACTGCAACCTCCACCCTCCGGGTTCAAGTGATTGTCCTACCTCAGACTCCCAAGTAGCTGGGATTACAGGCATGTGCCACCACGCGGGCTAATTTTTTGTATTTTTAGTAAACATGGGGTTTCACCATTTTGGTCAGCTGGTCTTGAACTCCAGACCTCAAGTGATCCACCTGCCTCGGCCTCCCAAAGTGCTAGGATTACAGGCATGAGCCACTGTACCCAGCCGGCAGATTTTTTTTTTTTTTTAAGGATAATCTTTATTTAGAGAGAGAAGGTCACATTGCATACTGCTTATTGACATCTCTGGAAGAGAAAAGTTTGGTAAGTGCCTATTTTCACAGTTCTGTGTATATGTTACTTCTATTAATTTGTACAAGAATCTTAAGAATTAGGCAGTATTATTCTCACTTGACAAAGCAGGAAAGTTTAACTCTAAGAGAACAAATGATTTGTCCAAGGTCTCACAGCAAGTAAGTGATGGGACTGGAATTTGAGCCTGTGTTTATGCTAGAGCCAAAGCTCCATCTACTATACCATGCCTCATAATATTAATCAGAAGACCAAAGGTCCTAGTCCTAGGTGTACTAGCCTCAAATCATTCCTTTTATCTTTAAATTTATTTAATTTAAAATTACTCTTTAAATTCATTTTCGTATCAGATTACATCTTAGAAATGACATCATCCCGGATAATCTTGGGGCCCTGATCAAGTCACAATTCTAAAACACCTAATTATATAAGAATTAGAACTCTAACAGCTCTTTAAGGCAACTTTGCCCAATGTCACTACCAGAAATGGAAACAGAAATTAATTGAACTCAAATATGAATATTCACCATCACCCACAGCAATTCTGATCTCTTACTCATAATTTCACAAAGTGAGACAGATCATTTGCTTGCTTGATGAATCTCTCAACTTTTGCTCCTCCTAACAAGAATGTTCACCCCAGTCCGCATGTACTAAGCTGGTTCCCCTTTCCCTCACTCAGGTAAAAAGGAGCTCCTTGGTCCAATGACTTAAGTCAGATAACTTGAGCCAGAAGGACTGGCATATCTATACCAAATAGAACCAGAAGACATTTTAGGAGACAGGAAAAGCCTTACCACTTAACAAGTTTTGTCTGTTTGTTTGTTTTGGTTTTTTTTTTTGAGACTGAGTCTTGGTCTGTCACCCAGGCTGGAGTGCAGTGGCGCGATCTCGGCTCACTGCAACCTCCACCTCCCGGGGTCAAGTGATTCTCCTGCCTCAGTCTCCCGAGTAGCTGGGACTACAGGCGCATGCCACCACGCCTGGCTAGTTTTTTTGCTTTTTTGTTTTGTTTTGTTTTTTTTAGTAGAGACAGGGTTTCTACTAAAAAAAAACTTAAAAAGTTCCATCACTTACTTCGTGTTAGCCAGGCTGGTCTCGATCTCCTGACCTCGTGATCCGCCCACCTCGGCCTCCCAAAGTGCTGGGATTACAGGCGTGAGCCGCCGCACACAGCCAATAAGTTTTTATAGAACACAGTAACTTTCAAATTTTAGCTGCATCAAAATCACCTGGAGAGCTTATTAAAGCACATTGCTGGATCTTAACCACCAGAGTTTTTGAATTATTAGGTCTGGAGAGGGCCCAAGATTTTGTATTTTGTAATTTAAAAAAAAAAATTTTTTTCAGCTTCCAATTCTCTGGTTGAAGATTTTGTGTTTTGAGTAACTCCCCGGGAGACGCTGATGCTACCAGTCTGAAGACCACACTTTGGAAACCACTGCTCTAACACTTTCTCCAAGCGTGAGTAAAGCAGCCCTGATTCTCTTGACTCTACTTAACCAACCATTCTATCCTATCATGGCTATAACCATGGAGGCACGTTCACAGGCAGAAAAGTAAAGGTTATTTGAAAGGTCAGAGAATACAATGAGGTGATCCTTTCTTTTCTTTCTTTTTTTTGGGGGGATGGTGTTTTGCTCTTGTCTCCCAGGCTGGGGTGCAATGGTGCCATCTCGGCTCACTGCAACCTCCACCTCTCAGAGTTCAAGTGATTCTCTTGCCTCAGCCTCCTGAGTAGCTGCGATTACAGGAGCACACCAACCATGCCTGGCTTATTTTTTTTTGTACTTTTTAGTAGAGATGGGGTTTCGCCATGTTGGGCAGGCTGGTCTCGAACTCCTGACCTCAGGTGATCCATCCACCTTGGCCTCCCAAAGTGCTGGGATTACAGGCATGAGGCACCACGCCCAGCTGAGGTGATCTTTCTTTACACCCAAAACAGGGTCTAAAGAAAACTGGGTCTAATTCTGCTTTCCGTAACTTAAGGCTCTTAAGAAGAGACAGGTAATATATTAAGAAAAACAGGACTCATGGGGAGGACAGAAGATCTATTTATCCTAAAGAGGATCAAGGCCAAGAGAAACCAATTAATTCCTTTTCAAGTACATAAAGTAATACTACAAAGGATGTATCTGTGTCTCTACTTCCTAAGGTCTGTCATCATTTCTAAAATAGGGATAATCATATCTACTTTGCCTATTTAAAATGTATGCTGAGATAATAAGATGTGAGAGGGTTTTGAAAACTACATATTGATATGCAAGTCTAAAATATTAATATTTCTATTCTTTCAAATTAAGTGTTCTTAACCTATATTCCATGGATGTCTAGAACCCCCTACAACAGTATGCAAAATTTTGTGTTTTTAATATCCTGGGGAGAGAGCCCATAGTTTTCATCAGTTTTTCAAATGGCTTTCTGTTTTAAGCACCAATCCTGACCTAGAGTGATAGTCAAGCTACCTCTACCACCATTTATCAGACACTTTGGAGATTTTTGTCTCTACTTCCAAGTAGATATGGTTCAGATATTCCTCAAAACACCTCTCTCTTCCAAGCCAAATGAGCGGCTTGAACTAACTCTTTACCTATGAAAAGGATTACTTCTTGCCAAAAGAATATCGGGCATCAAGCTGGCTGGATACTCATGAAAGTCAATCAACCAGATTTCCTATGGAAAAGTACAGAGAGCTGGAGTGGGAGGAGGAGGAAATATTAAAATGTTGAAACACAGAAAAAGTTATTGCTGATCTCCATGCATGTCAGTCGAGGTTACTACCAGAAGGGACTAAAGATCTCTCAGGGGAAGTAAAACACATTAATAAAGACAGTCTTTAAAAGGAAGTGTTCCCCAACCTTTCAGCAGTAAAGCTGTCTGAACAGGGCTAAGAAAATCCTTCACATGAAAACAGCTGAGGAGCAGAGGCTCCAGGAGAAGTTTTCCAGTGATTGATGGAACGTAACCTTGAAAGTCTACCTCGTCAGTTCTTGAGATTGGGGTTCTTCAGGCTTCATCCCGGCTTATTTCCCTGCTGGAAATCAGAGATGTGAGTACTGTCAGCTGTTATATGTGGTGTGAGTCCTATTCTCTGAGGGATATGAAGTCCCTTTTTGCTGGTGATTTTTAACAAAAGGGAGATGTTGTAATATACCTTCTCTGCTAAATTTTTCTCCTGAAAGAAGATTTGAGAGACTTCTCATATTTCCTTTGGTGGCAGGGATAGTTTCAGTGGAAATTTCATTACACTAATATGTAAATGGGAACATGAGTAAGACACTCGTTAAAACTTTAAATTGAAACTTTGGCCCAACATGGGAGCTGGAGCAACGGTTTTTTTCTTGGGGATTAAAAGACACTTTAACATTTTACAAGTAAGGTCTGGAAATCCATCGGCAATACACTAGAGGGTGCTCAGAGGTTAGCTTTCTTGGCTAAGTGGCTATCAGTAGCAACCTAATGAAGTACTTTCAGACCAAGTCAGGAGTCAATGACTTACGTGGTATCTGAAAGAAAGCCTCAAAAGTCTTTGGCAAAGAAAAGCTAGCAAATGAGACAATCGTGTTATTGAAGACTAGCTCCTCCCTATTCCTTTTTATTGCTGTTCAAAATACTGAGCAAAGGTATTTTCCTGCTATTTAAGAGAGAATGGCTGAGAAATTCCTAAGTGAGAGTAATACCTTATTAAAAACAGAACAGAGCAGAGCTGTGCTTTTCTAAATTATTATTTTGTTTGTTTGTTTTGAGACGGAGTCTCACCCTGTCGCCCAGGCTGGAGTGCAGTGGCGCGATCTCAGCTCACTGTAAGCTCTGCCTCCCGGGTTCATGCTATTCTCCTGCCTCAGCCTCCAGAGTAGCTGGGACTATAGGCGCCCGCCACCACGCCCGGCTAATTTTTTGTATTTTTAGTAGAGACCGGGTTTCACTGTGTTAGCCAGGATGATCTTGATCTCCTGACCTCGTGATCTGCCCGCCCTGGCCTCCCCCAAAGTGCTGGGATTACAGGCGTGAGCCACCGCACCCGGCTGCAAATTTTTTTATTTATTTTTTACCAACCAAGACACAACACTAAAGAGCTGTGTTTTATTAAATAAAGAGTGTTTTCTAAAAGCTGGGAAGCCCTAGATCATATCCCTTATGCAGTGGTCACACCAACTCCTTTAGGGCAGTCTTCCCATTCACATTAACTAGAAAGAAGGTAAATGGGTGAAAGTTCAGCAGGAGCCACTACTGAACTTTGAGGGGATGTGCTAAGCTTGTAAGACGGTGAGGACTATGACAGAAATAAGAATTATTATAAAACTTTGATTGATTCTGAGTTGGCACACTAATGTTCAGTAGAATTCTTCTGTAATATTCCTTTATAGAAATACCAAAGTTTGATACCTTAACGTGGCCCTTCCCTTAAGAAAACCAAATTTCTTTTTCCCTCTTCTTGTTATTAGTGAGTAGCAAGAAATTCAAAAAAACTCAACCCAATCAGAAGTATTACATAAATCCTTCCATTAATTCTAAAACACTATGTTACTTGGAATAAGCTTGTAGATGGATAGGTTTTCTTTCCACAAAATGTTTTAAAATTGAACACAAGACTGAGCGTGGTGGCTCACACCTGTAATCCCAGCACTGTGGGAGGCCGAGTTGGGTGGATCACCTACGGTCAGGAGTTCAAGACCAGCCTGGCCAACATGGTGAAACCCCATCTCCACCAAAAATACAAAAATTACCCGGTATGGTGGTGCACACCTGTAATCCCAGCTACTTGGGAGGCTGAGACAGGAGAATCACTTGAACCCAGGAAGCGGAGGTTGCAGTGAGCTGAGATCACGCCACTGCACTCCAGCCTGGACAACAGAGCCAGACTCCATTTCAAAAAAAAAAAAAAAAAAAACCTGAACACAATGTTCTGAAACGACATTAAGAAGAACAGCAATAACCTCCCCCAAAACAATAAAAAATAGTTGTAACAATGAGTTGAAATGTAAGTTCCTCAGGGGGCCTTTGTTAGGCCTACTATATATTCTATCTCATTATCAATAGTTATTTCTTCAAATCCATAATTCTATAAACACTAAAAAGAACTTGAAATATGTTTTAGAGAGTCTAACTAGTTTTCCATAGTGGGGAAACACAAATCTGTAAACATAAACCTGTGTGGGCTGTAAGAAATCAGGCTAAATCTAGAAGAAACTATTTAGAAACATAAGGATGGTTATTGTCTTTAAAAGTTGAAATTCGATCCAATATAATAGGTTTATATGCTAGTTCTTATCAACAAATAAGTCCTTATTATCATTTTAGTAAAACTACTGATCAGGCAAACATGGTATTCTGAAGAACTGTACCAAGAGAGCTGCAGTTCCTGCCATAGAGAAATATATATATAAAGGATAGCTGGGGGGGAAATAGGGAAATGTTGTGACTGAAGGGAAAAATACGGGCAGGGAGGGGAGAAATGTTTGCAATCTTTGCAGACTTCAGAGAGCACCATTTCTGTAAGTTCTGTTTTTGTTTTTTCTCCTCATTGTTCTTTTTCTTTACCCCCAGAGAAACAAATGAAGCATCAGGTTGAAAACAGAAGTGCAAAACAGTCACAGGAAACACAACCCATACATCACACCAGCAGCCGGAGGAAAGCCCCTGCCCACCAGAGATGACCAGGCAACAAGCCCTGGCCAGGCAACTCTCACACCTTTCCCAGCTTCGTGGATAATTAAGAAACAGTGGTGACCTAGTACCTAGGAACTAATCAGAACGTAGAGTAATAACTGTTTTTCCAACCACGGATCTTGGTAGGAGCTTCTCAGAGGTGATCCTTGTCACCCGTCAGAAATGGTTGCCTCTCATTATCAAGAAACAGAAGGAGAAACAAAACGACCAGTGAACTCACCATCCACTCAGGCATGTGAAAAGCTGAGGTGCCCTCATTACCGTCCCACTTCTCCATAGTGCAGGCTTGGGTAAGATATGTCCTGAAGCAAAAGGGAAAGCTGGTTTGGAAATACTGGGGTTATCTGAGTGCCCCAAAGCAGACCCAACCCTAGTGAGATTCAGAAGTTCACAGTGGCTAGCAGAAGCTGCATCCCTTTTCACAGCAGCCTCCGATTCAAATCAAGAGCATTAGTCAACTGCCTGACAACCCCTTACTGGCCGGCTTCAAAGCCTTCTGTGTCTGATTTCAAAATCAGAGCTGATGCAAAGTGCTGCACCCAGGCACTGTGCTTCTCACAGGGCACTCACTGTTTTAATGCTACCCAAACACTCTACCCGCACCTCCCCAGTGGGGACTTTCTGCAGCAATAGTTGGACTTCCTTCTTTCCCTGTGTGTGAGGCACTTGTGAATTCTCTCCCACCCTTCAGGACACGTCACTGGAGGTGCGGATACCAAGATCAATAAAGACTGAGGTCAGGAAGGCACTCCCATTTCTCAAGAGTTGCTTGATTTGGATCAGTAAACAGGCGTTTCCTTGAAATCAAGAGCTCCTAGGGCTTTCAAGTTTAAACAGCTATGCAGAAGCTCCCCATCTGCTCACACCAGGGGTCTGGCACCAAACTCTCGCATATCTCAAGTTAGAGTCTTATTGCATGGGAGGTTCGGATGGAGCCTAGGAAGATCTTTTTCAAAATCAGAATTTCTTAGCAGCTCTAAGAAAGTTCTGGGACGACAGCTCCCTCTGCTGGCTCCCTGTGCTACATACACGAAGGCCTCAGGGCCCGCAGCTACAGACACACAGGTGCTGATTGCAAAGTGACTTCACTGAGGCTAGTCAGAAGCCACCACAGTGTAGGTTTAGAGGACAGCCAGGGTTTCCAACCAAGACTAGTGCTGCCTCAAAGTCCCTAACCAATGCTGGATTTTACACACAGATCTGGTTTCAGGAAGAAACAGGATGCCAGTGCAGTAGCCCTGTACACTATCACCTTAAAGGACCTCCGAAGTTGTTTCTGCTTTATCTCTCCATACCAACTCCCTCCTTGCTGCACACTTCAGAATTTTGGAAATAAGACATAACTAGAAAAAAGGTAAGCTAGCCTATCTCACCTGCTTAGTTCATTCCTAGAGTATATTATCCAATAAGAGTACCACAGGTTTCAGGCACAAAGGAAGCCTAACAAGATATGCCTGCTTTGGTCCCTTTAAGGACCAGGACTCTTTACAGTGTTAATTCCCATTGAAGAGGATAGTTTCTCTACAGCTAACAGTGACAATATTATAATTATGATTATAGGCTCTGTGAAAGGAAAACATCTTGGGCCCCCAAAATCACTAAGCCAAAGGGAAAAGTCAAGCTGGAACTGCTTAGGGCAAACCTGCCTCCGATTCTATTCAAAATCACCCCTCTGCTCACTGAGATAAATGCACATCTGATTGCCTACTTTGAAGAGGCCAATCAAAAACTCAAAAGAATGCAACCATTTGTCTCTTATCTACCCATGACCTGGAAGCCCCCTCCCTGCTTCCAGATGTCTCGCCTTTCCAAACTGAACCAGTGTTCATCATACATATGTTGATTGATGTCTCATGTCCCCTTAAAATGTATAAAACCAAACTGTGTTCTGACCACCTTGGGCACATGTCATCAGGACCTCCTGAGGCTGTGTCATGAGTGCACATCCTCAATCTTGGCAAAATAAACTTTCTATAAACTTTTTTTTTTTTTTTTGAGACAGAGTTTTGCTCTTGTTGCCCAGGCTGGAGTGCAATGGCGTGATCTCGGCTCACCGCAACCTCTGCCTCCCAGGTTCAAGCAATTCTCCTGCCTCAGCCTCCCGAGTAGCTGGGATTACAGGCATGCACCACCACGCCCGGCTAACTTTGTATTTTTAGTAGACAGGGTTTCGCCATGTTGAGGCTGGTCTCAAACTCCTGACCTCAGGTGATCCACCTGCCTCAGCCTCCCAAAGTGCTGGGACTACAGGCATGAGCCAGCACGCCTGGCCAACCTTGGCAAAATACTTTCTAAATTAACCGAGACCTGTCTCAGATGTTTGGGGTTCACAGTTCATCACCCTGTAAGGCCTTCATTACTTAAGAGAATGGTCCTTTGGATTTGGAATGGAGGAGAGGAAGGTAATATCTATGGAAGAGGTACTGTAAGATGCCAGAGAGGGCAGAATTCAAATGAATGGCCAGAGGTTTGACTGGAGAGAAAGGCAGGTGAAAACAGGGACTGTTGAACCAGGTGCATTCAGACGTATCAAGGGATCACAGGGAGGGTGGAGAGCAGGCGAAATAAGAACAGCAGAGGTAGAAGTAAAGGAAGCTGTGGTCATAGAGGAGCTATGGAGTTGAGGCGACTTGAGTGATGTCAGGACACAGGGTGATGAGATGCAGGGAAAATAAGGCCCACTGAAGTCAGAGTGTCAACTCTGATAAAGTCTTAGCTCCTAGCAACCTCTAATTATTGTCCTCTGTCTTCCTTTAAACCCAGAGGACTTCTTAAAATGAGAAGTCACATCTGTTACCTAAATTGCCAATGGTGTATTTCATCTGTGCTTTAAATGCAACACATCTACAATCAACATTATTGCTGTCTTTCCTTTCCCGCCCCCCTCCAAACAACACTTTCTTCTCCTCACTTTTTGTGTTTGTGATGCCACTGTCCTCAGGCAACCATATATGAAACCTCAGGCACCTTTGATTTCCCCCTTTTCCCACAGTCCCCAGAACAATCACTTGGATATTATTTCTGTGCCCTCCTCCACCAAACCTTTCATCTATCCCTTTCTGTTCATTTTCACTGCCTCTTAACCCTCTACAAATCCTTTCCCAGAAGACAATCCACTTCATACCCATATATATATATATATACTCTATCCTCCAGGTAAACTGTATTATCTGCTACTTCTTGAATGTAAAGACTACACAGTATGGTGACCATGAACACTGGTTTTGGAATCAGACAGAGTTAGGTTAGAATCCTGCCTCTGCCACTTACTTGACCTCTCTATATAACTCCAATTTCCAATTTGTATGGTGGAAATAATAAGAGCTACCTACCTAACAGGACTGATGCAAGGATTTTAAAAGGGTACATACTCTAAGGAGTTAATTAATGGTAGCTCTTAATTATGTTATTATCATGCTGTGTTCTTTCCTACCTCAATGCCTTTGCTCATGTCATTTTCTCAAATCAAAATGCATTCGTTTCTGCCTTCACTTCCATTATCTTCACTTTTTCAAATATTTAAAGGAATGATAGTTCTACCATGAAACCTGACCTTAAAAAAGGAATCTCCCCTTCATCTAATATTGTTCTTTGGCTATATCACTATTCTCACCATTCCTCAAATTATAGTTCCTATGTATGTGTGCTACCCCTTGTTAGTCTCCAGGCTCTTCAGGGGCTTAGCCTACTTTGATTTGCCTACAATACCTGCGATATAGTAGGTGCTTAAGAAATTACCAAATTTAAAATTTATGTATGCTGTACGTATTCTTAATTATACTTTGGGGGCAACTTGCATACTCAATGTATTCAATATGTTTATGTCCATTTTATAGAATTTGGAACACTGTTTTATATTTATGAGGCTTAGTTATATTACTGACTACACCTATATGACTTATTTGACGAGAAGTCCTTAGTAGGGTTTTAGTCCTTAATTATATTATCTCTGCAGGAATATATAATCCATTTTCCATTGCTCGATCTGCACCCATTGTAATCCATTTTGATCTGCATTATAATGAAACTTTTAGGAACAAATTAAGGCCAAAAGTCTATTTTATGGCTAGAGTGAAGCCCAACCGTTAGAATATTTCAGTGATAAGAAAATTACTAGATTATATTGATAGTGTAGACTAGTGTGGTAACAATAATAATTTTAAAAAAGAAAAGGTAAAAGAAGCTGGGCGCAGTGGCTCACGCCTGTAATCCCAGCACTTTGGGAGGCCGAGGTGGGCAGATCACCTGAAGTCAGGAGATCGAGACCAGCCTGGTGAATGTGGTGAAACCCCGTCTCTACTAAAAATGCAAAACTTAGCCAGGTGCAGTGGCCCGTGCCTAAAATCCCAGCAACTCAGGAGGCTGAGGCAGGAGAATTGCTTGAACTTGGAAGAGGTTGCAGTGAGCCGAGATCGCGCCACTGCACTCCAGCCTGGGTGACAGAGTGAGACTCCGTCTCAAAAATTAAAAAATAATAAAAAGTTAAAAAAAATGTTTTTAAGGTAAAAGAAAAAAATTAATATTCTATTCTATTCTATTCTAACCTAAGAGGGTCTCACTATGTCATCCAGGCTGAGGTGCAGTGATGTGATCATTGCTTGAACTCCCAGGCTCAAGTGATCCTGCCACCTCAACCTCCTGAGTAGCTGAGACTACAGGTGTGCACCACCACACCTGGCACATTTTTGAATTTTTTGTAGAGATAGCGGTCTCACTGTGTTGCTCAGGCTTGTCTTGAACTCCCAGGAGTTCACCTCAAGTGATCCTCCCACCTTGGCCTCCCAAAGTGCTGGGATTACAGACATGAGCCACCGTGCCCAGCCTATTTTCTCTATGTAATGATTTATTAAATAAATAGAAGATGACAACCTTCATGATAGTGTTAAACCACAGAAGAAAATGACTTTTAGAGAAACAAGATTAAAAATAAAATAGGCCAGGCATGACAGCTCATGCCTGTAATCCCAGCACTTTGGGAGGCCGAGGCGGGTGGATCACTTAAGGCCAGGAGTTTGATACCAGCCTGGCCAACATGGTGAAACCCTGTCTCTACTAAAAGTACAAAAATTAGCTGGGCGTGGTGGCGGGCGCCTGTAATCTCAGCTACTCAGGAGGCTGAGGCAGGGAGAACTGCTTGAACCTGGGAGGCAGAGGTTGCAGTGAGCAGCCTGGGCAACACAGTGAGACTCCATCTCAAATAAATAAATAAAAGAATAAACACAAGTAAAATATATCACTTTGGCAGGCTAAACTAAGTGTTGTTTTTAGTTATGACTTTTTTTTGTTTCCTTACTGTAGGTTTTAACTAAAATAGACTATTTGAACACTGCAACCTCACTACGTCTTTCTGCAACAATTCTGAAATGGAAATAAAATAGTAGCTATTACATTTGAGAACTGAAGGCCTATTAACTGACAAAGACTGTGTAAGGCATAAGGTATAGGTATAAGTACTAGTTATAAATTCGTTTCCAATATAATTCCACTTTACCATAATGTGCCTTAGAAGATACACCTATAGCCAGGGCAGGAGTGAGACCACTGCATATGATTATATTACCCTTAACATGTAGGTGAGGAGTTGGCAACTTCAAAAAAAAGTTATGCAAACTGTATCGGCTCCTGCGGCTTTCTGTTGTACAAAAATTGACCAAGTATCTGAATAGCTTAGAAGAATCTTAACTCCAAAAACAGCTCAAAATCCTCTGTGCCAGTTGTATTCCCACAAGTATTGACTCGATACTATCGTCATCCATGAGGGCATATGGCCTGCCGGATGATCTGAAGTCAGTGAGTATGTGCTTAGGGCCAAAGGGGAAGGGACAAAAAGTTACTCTTTTCAGGGCTCAAAGCTAAAAAAACCCCCAGGCAGTGAAGATGTTACTATAATGGCAGAACAGTTTTAATCAAAAGGTGATGAATCTGGAACCTAGAGATAAGGCACAGGGCAAGGAATACAAGAATGTGACCCTGTCTTCTTTTCCTGGCTTTGTTTTATTGGACTTTGGCAAATCACCTAATTACCCTTCTTCAATCTCCTTATCATAAAATGAGAGGGAGGTAAGGAAGAGTGAACTGTGGAAGGTTAGAACTGGTTCCTTCCAGTTCTAACACTATTTCCAATCCATCTAGATTCTCTGAGACCATAAAAAAAAAAAAAAAAAAAAAAAAAAACAAGAAAACCAATAACTATTCCTTAGTCACCTAAGTTTCAGCTTATTATGGAGGCTAAAGTTCCTAACCACCTGAGTTCAAAGCTCAATGTGGTCAAGTATGAGACTGGCTGGAATTGCTGGACCTTAAATCTCCTTTACTCCTTCAAACTCAAAATGCCAGTGCTATCACAGACACCGGCATTGTTGAGCCCTTCTCCCTATCTCACAACCTAAATGATGTTAGGTATCTTACTTATCAGTTCCTCAGTAATCTAAAATTCATACCTCACAGGTATTTTTTGGACTCAACATGGAAGCATCATCATTACAGGTAAAGACTATAGGCTTTTAAAGTTGAATAGACTTGGGTTTGAAGGCCAGTTTCATCACTTACTAGCTGTGTATCCTCAGGCTACACAACCTTTTTGAACCTTTGTTTCTTTGTCTGTAAATCAGGATAACAGTATCTTCTACACATTGGTTTTATAAAGATTAAATAACTAATACATATAAAACACTAAGCACCAGGAAGCTATTTTGTCCAAAACTAGATAGAGCAGAGTAGTACTCAACTGCCTGGTTTGAATCTCGCTTCTTACCAACAGCATAACCTTAGGCAAATTACTTATCCTTTTTGTGCCTCAGTTTTCTCATCTGTAAAATAGGGCTATTAAGAATATCTATCCTATAGGATTGCTGGGATAATCAAATAAATTAATATGAACAAAGCACTTAGCACCTGGAACTTATTAGTGCTATTTAAAATTTACTATTATTCAGCCTGAGCAACATAGCAAAACCCCATCTCTTAAAAAAAAAAAAAATTAGCCAGACATAGTGGTGTGCGCCTACAGTCCTGGCTACTGGGGAGGCTGAGATGGGAGGATAGAGCCCAAGAGTTTGAAGTTACAATGATCTATGATCATGCCACTGCACTCTGTCTGGGAGATAGAACAAGACTGGGTGTCCAAAAATAAACACACACACATACATAAAATAACTATTATTGTTAATAATTACAGCATGTACATCCTTCTCTCTAGCATACCCAAATCCATTTTCTCTTCTTATACATGAAGAATTCATTCATTTAATCAAATCACAAATATTTACTGGGTGCCTACCATGTGCCAAGTACCACAGAAAAATGATCTTTATCTTCGTGGTGCTTACAGTACAAGGAGAGAGGCAATTAAATAAGTATATAAAAGTGTGAGAAATGATAATATAAGTACATGGGAGTATATGGCAAGGGCACCAATTATGTGTATTGGGGCCGTGGCAAGAGAGAAGCTCCATTTAAGCAGAAAGGTAAAGGATAAGCGGGGAGTTACCTGGTGTGTGTTGGAGGGGAATTGAGAAGAGTATTCCAAATAGAGGGAAGAACATGTACTCCGTAATATCTCTTGCAATCTGTCCTATCTTCCTCACACCAGCTGTATAAAGCCTGACCATCATCATTATCTGTCTAAATCGGTGCTTTTCAAACTTGAATGTGCATATAAATCATGTGAAGATCTTGTTAAAATAAAATGCCCATTCTGATTTAGAAAGTCTGGAATAGGTCCCAAAATTCTACATTTTGAATAGCTCTGAGATGATGACAATATGGCTGGGACAACACTTTGAAAAGTAAAAGTTTACCTAGATAATTCCATTCATGTAACAGCCTACTTCAATTCATTAAATTCATTTATACATGCCATATCACTTCCTTGTTTATAACACCCCAGTTACTCCTCACTATCCTCAAAATAAAATTGAAACTCCTTAGCATGATGACATATAAGACCTTTCATGACTTGGTCTCTGCCTATCTCTGGAGCCTTGGTGCTCTACATTCCCTTACCTTCCCACTCTGAATGAAAGCACACATAGGCATATGCATGCACACACATACACACACACACACGTCTTTCAAAATTTATAGATTAGCTGTAATTTCCTTCAGTAGACATTTCCAGTTCCTGGTCTAGGTTAAGAATCAATTACACGAATTACTGAGTAATCCCCCAGACTGATCTCTATCACAGTGCATGTCAGCATTGATACTATAATTGATCATTTGTCTCTTTCCACACTGGTACTGCAAGCAATCTGAGAACAGAAGTTATATGTCCTATTTTTGTATTCCAAGTGCCCAGCACATAGTAAACAACCCATGAATATGTGCTAGATGAATATATGATTTAAAGAATAGTGGCCGGGCGTGGTGGCTCACGCCTGTAATCCCAGCACCTTGGGAGGCTGAGGCAGGCAGATCACCTGAGGTCGGGAGTTCGAGACCAGCCTGACCAAAATGAAGAAACTCCGTCTCTACTAAAAATACAAAATTAGCCGAGCGTGGTGGTACATGCCTGTAATCCCAGCTACTTGGGAAGGCTGAGGCAGGAGAATCACTTGAACCCAGGAGGCAGAGGTTGCGGTGAGCCAAGATCATGCCATTGCACTCCAGCCTGGGCAACAAGAGCAAAACTCCGTCTCAAAAAAAAAAAAATTAAAATTAAAAAAAAATAGCTAGCTAGCTCAGGGCAAAGCCTAAAATGAATTAAATATAGAACAGGTAGCTGAAGAGTAAAAGGAAGGAAAAGAGAACAGGGTATGAGTAAAAATTAACAAAACTATTATAAATAGAAACATCACTATAACAAAATTATGCTTAGTATAAACTAAATGTACCTCCTTGCCACTGACTAATCCAGTGTTTCTCAAATAAACAATTAAGTAATACAAAGATTACAGTATTCTAAAGCAGTCACTAAGCTACCTTCTCTACTCCCTAAGACCTGTAGAATCCAGGAGTGGAGTATGGACTTAAATTCTCAATTTCCCTGACCCGGCTAATTAGAGCTCCACTTAGGTCAGGGTTCAGTTTGCTGCATAGTTAGCACCTCTAGCTAAAGCTGTTCTCAAAGAAAAGTCAAGCTTAAACTTGAAAACTTGTTCTTAAACTTCAAAACAACAAGAATAAGAGTGGGAAGGAATTTGCATTTAGGGCCCTCAGTTTTATCACTGAGCTGGAGGTTGGGGGTTAAATAATGAAACATAATGCCATTAAATGAATGTAGAATGTGTGCTTCTCGCTATATTCTTTTTTAAAATAAACTTTTTATAGAAGCATAACTTAGTTACAAAAGTACACAAATAACAAAGCTACAGCTTGATAAAATTTCAAAAGTTAACACACCTATGCAACCACTACACAGATAAGAAACTAGAACATTCCCAGTACCCTAGAGCCTTCTCATAGGTCGCCTATCAGTTGTTACCCTCACTCCTCCCCAAAGGTAATCTCTGTCCTGACTCTTGTCACCACTGATCAGTTCTGCCTATTTTTGAACCTGATATAAACATCATAAAATATTTAAGGTGTCTTTTTTTCTTTTTAATGTATTTTTAAGAATTGTCCAAGTTTGTTGCATTTACTAGAAGTTTTATTTATATTGTGGGAAAGTATCCCATTGCATGAACAGCCACAATTTACTGAATCCACTTTTTCTGTTGATGGGCTTTTTGGTTGTTTTCAGCTTGGGGACTATAAAAAAATAATGTTGCTGTGAACATTCTTGTATGTCTTTCGGTACCCATATGAAAATATTTCTACGGATATATATCTAGGAGGGGAACTGCTAGGTTATGGAGTATGCATATGTTCAGCTAGATAATGTCAAACAATTTTCCAAAAATACTTGTTCTAGTTTATATTCCTACCAGCAAGATCTCAGTATTCCAGTTGCTTCAGATCCTTGGCCTCTGTCATTTTAGCCTTTCTAGATAATGGTGTCACACTGTGGTTTTCATCTATATCTTGCCACCACCACTACCATTACCAACACAACCACTTAAAAAAAAATTGTGGTAAATGTACATAAGAGTTACCACTTTAACCATTTTTAAGTATACAGTTCAGTGGCATTAAGTACATTCACATTGTGCAACCATCACCACCATCCATCTCCAAAACTTTTTCATTATCTCAAACTGCAACTCTATACCCATTAAACAACAATTCCTCATTCTCCCTTCCCTCCAGCCCCTGGTAACCAAGGCTCTGCTTTCTGTCTCTGAATTTGACTACATTGGGTAACTCATATAGGTGGAATCATACAATCTATTTGTCCTTTTGTGACTGACATTTCACTTAGCATAATGTTCTCAAGGATCCTCCATATTGTAGCATATGGCAGAATTTCATTCCTTTTTGTTTTTTTTTTTGTGTGTGTGTGAGACGGAGTCTCGCTCTGTCTCCCAGGCTGGAGTGCAGTGGCGCGATCTCTGCTCACAGGAAGCCCCGCCTCCCGGGTTCACGCCATTCTCCTGCCTCAGCCTCCCGAGTAGCTGGGACTACAGGCGCCCGCCACCACGCCCGGCTAATTTTTGTATGTTTAGTAGAGACGGGGTTTCATCGTGTTAGCCAGGATGGTCTCAATCTCCTGACCTCGTGATCCGCCCACCTCGGCCTCCCAAAGTGCTGGGATTACAGGGGTGAGCCACCGCCCCTGGCCTTTCTTTTTTAAAGCTGAATAATATTCCATTTTATGTCTATGCCACATTTTGTTTATCCATTCATCTGTCGATAGGCATTTGTGTTGTTTCCAGCTTTTGGCTACTGTGAACAGTGCTGGTATCAACAGTGATGTGCAAATATCTATTTGAGGCCCCACTTTCTTTTTTTTTTTTTTTGAGATGGAGTCTCGCCCTGTCACCCAGGCTGGAGTGCAGTGGCCTGATCTCAGCTCACTGCAAGCTCCACCTCCTGGATTCACGCTATTCTCCTGCCTCAGCCTCCCAAGTAGCTGGGACTACAGGCGCCCGCCACCACGCCCAGCTAATTTTTTGTATTTTTAGTAGAGATGCGGTTTCATCGTGTTAGCCAGCATGGTCTCGATCTCCTGACCTCGTGATCCACCCACCTCGGCGTCCCAAAGTGTTGGGATTACAGGCGTGAGCCACTGCGCCCGGCCCACCAAGCACATTTTTATATGCTTATTGGCTATTTGGACATCATCTTATGTGAAGAGTCTTTCAAGTCTTTTGCCTGTTTTTCTATTGGGTTGTCAGTCTTTACTGATTTGTATGAGTTATTTATACATTCTGATTTTGAGTTCTTTGCAGTTATAAATCTTGCAAACAACTTCTCTCCCTCTGTGGCTTGCTTTCCCACTCTTATTAATAAAAAACATTTTCTTTTGAAATAATTTTAGACTTAGAAACAACTTGCAAAAATAGTACAGAGTTTCCATATGTACTTCACCTAGCATCCTCTAAGGTTAACTTCTTGTAAAATCACAGCAATTATCAAAACTAAGAAATTCACATTGGTGCAATACTATTACCTAATAATACTATTAACTATTAACTAAACTGCAGGCTTTAGTTGGATTTCACCAGTTTTTCCACTAATACCCCTTTTCAGTTCCAGTATCCCATCCAGGATCCCACATCGCTTTTGGTTGTCCTCCTTGGTATCCTCCAATCCGTGATAGCTTCTCAGTCTTTCCTTGTCTTTCATGACTGTGAAAATGTAACTGACTGAATCCCGAAATAACACTATACGTTGATTTGATTAAAAAACTAGCAAACCTATGTTTGTTATCTATTCATCTCTTTTGATTTTTAGTAGAATGTAGGTACCAGCCTTTATATATTAAAAGACAATAATTTTAAAAATCAGTTAATTCAATTCCTTATTTTAAGGATAAAGAAGCCAAGACCTAGAGAAACTAAATACCTTGCCAAGAGTCTTACAGTACTCCTTTTCCCCATGGATTTTATGTGGAAGGTGACACTTTTCTTCTCTGTGACTTTTGACAAACTTTTGGAGTATCTTCAAGGCCTTAAGTAAATCAGAGACCCTCCCTTCTTAATCAACATGAACTAAGGATCTCTGTTTCCATTAGGAGATCAACAGGGCCTACACAGTTCCTAAATTGCTGGTCTGTTTTCTAATTTTTCTGGAATGAGGATACATTGCTCTTATATTGAGAAGAAAAAAAGAAATGTGTGGTAGACAAAATAATGCCCCTCATCAAAGATGCCTATGTTCTAATACTTCTTTCCTTTGTAATGGAAGGGAAAAAAGGAATAGACACAGGCAGCTTTATAGATTTGGTTATAAGATGAAGGAATTAACATCTAGAGGTTCCCCTACACACACAATGAATTATGAGATGACATCAATTACAGGGGATAGGGTGGAAAGGCTGTAGGAGAATTGAGGAACATGAAGAGACAGTGGTTTATAGTAATTTAAAAATAGACAACTAGCAGCCACTGAAAGTTTCTAAGTAGGGCAGTAATATGTCTGCAGAATGTGATAAAAATATGCTTAAGGAAGATGGTTTATTACTGTGTAACTCTTACATTCAAGGGAAAATGTGGCTGAAAGAAATGAGAGCAACTTTGAGGTCAACTTTGAAAATGGTTAAAGTCTGGATTTCCAGATTATCACTATATTAATGAAAAAGAAGGAACAAATTTGAGAAATCATATAAAGGAAGAATTAGCAGGATCTAGACAAAGGTTTGAATGCCGAGTTGAAGGAGAGAAAAGTTCCTATAATATATATGTGAGTAGCCATTTTCAACATAACACATTCAAATATGTATCCAGCAATTTATATCCTTACCTTTTTTACATTTGTGATAATAACCACTATGATTATTTCTCTCTACCTGGTACTTTTCTGCCAAAAAGTTCTGACTGCTTTCCAAAATGCTTTCTTTACCTTTTAACCTTTCCCCATTGAAGTCAAATAGGGAATATTCCAATTAGTTCCAAAGCAAATCAATCAAACATAACCATAATTAGCAAGCAGATCTTTTTACATCCAAGGGTAAAATACTGTCTACTTAAGAAGCAAAAATTGTCCTAGAATACAAACCTTAAGGGAGACCTACAGAGTGAATTTTCCCTTATCCTCCAAATAACAACTCATTCTCTAGCAGCTAATTTCTGGAAGTTGTGTTGATGAATGAGCTAATGTCTGTGAGATACTTTAAGGTCCTCCAAAATAAATATATAAAATACATTGATTCTTATTATTTGAGGTAGTTACATTCTATAAAGTTGCCATGAACACTAAATTTGCCAACAGTGAACCACTGCTCCTAGGAAAAATACACGGTTAGGTGCATGTGATTCTCAGCATTTGTGTCAATACATAATCTTGTTTTATATGTATTTCTGTTTAAAGACATCTTATTTAATGTATTTTGGTACATTATCATTGAACCCAGAGATAACAGCACTATAACTCATGTCTGAACTAAGCTGATCTAACACACATTTTCTCAGTAACACACATCACAGCCTTTTTGAGCTTAAGAACACTAGACAACACTTTACCATGACACCTGGGGACAATTTTACACAGTGCAATCACTAAAACAAAGCACAAAAATTCAAAAATATATGGCACTAAACAGATTATGAACAGGACACGTGTTTACAGTATGAGGGATGAAACAGGAAGGCAGACCATTGTCATGTTTGACCTCAGCTCTGTAGGTCTTCTTGAAGGTTTGTATTCCAGGACAATTTTTGCTTCTTAATGCATGTCAGGTGACACAAATTTTTCACCATTCTATGCATGTCTATGATCCCAAAAGGATCGGGGGTATTCATTTGGGGTTACAAATAAATTTTACTGACTAGGCAAATTTGCAAATATGGAATCTGAAAATAATGAGGACTGACTGTGCTGCTGTGTTCACTCGCTCTGGATGACTCCAAGGCAAATTTCCTCTAATTTTAAAGGTCATGAGCCAATTATTTCCTACGGGAGCTATAAATCCCTTCTGTGAGGTCCATAAATCACTTCAACTTTGCTTCTAAGTGCAGTTCTCTACAAGGTAAAGATGCTGTAGTCAAAATCTTCTGCCAAGTCTAGCAGTGACAGAGAAAGTGGAAGGAAGTTCAATCTATCTTCTTAATGCAATGCTGACATTGTAGTGTTAACCAGAGTCTATGTTCGGTTGCAAGAGCAAGTCTTACTCAATGTCATCCACAGTGAAGACTTGCAAGGAACCATACATAGGCAGACTACCATTACCAAATGGTCATGCCTACGCCTGGACTGTTCTGCTGCTGAAAACAACCCAGATACACAGGTCAATACAACCTAGTAATCCTGTTACATTTCCTTACTCAGCCCTTTCTTCTTGTCTCCATACCAGCTGTCATAATGTTCTATACTTTCTCAAATGTCTGGCTATAACATCCCTTACTCTCAGTATATTACTTCTACTCTTATTTTACAGAAAAAACTAAAATCATTAAATGGAAACAATTTCTTTTCCAACTTCTCAATACTCAAACCTATAAACTTCCCCACATCCATCTTCTCCTATCTCCCTCCTGTTTTAATGGAAGATCCTCTCTTCCCATCAAAATCTATCCTTCCACCAGTGCTCTGGATCAAATTCTCTCTCACCTTCTTGGGGACTGATTGCCTTCAATGCCAAACTCCTTGGCTTTCTAAACTTATTACAGTATATCCACAACTCTTCACCTTCCATTCAGTCCTCAATCTATTATGGTCTGTCTTGTCTTGCCAATCCACTGAAATTATTCATGCCATGGTTACTATGTCCTTATTGCTACGCCTATTGGATACTTCTCAGCTTACTTTACTTCTCAGGATTTTGACACAGTTATTAATATTTCTTCCTTGAAAGACTCTCTTCCTTTGGCTTTTCTGATATTATACTCATATTTCCTTTGATCTCCAAAATATCTTCATTCTCAGTTTCCTTTGGGCTTCTCTTTTTGGTCCCTCAAATGTGGGAATTCTTGAAGATTCTATTCTAGTCTCTGTGTCCTCTTCAGTCAAATCTTCCTCTTACCTGTATCCATGGCTTCATTTACTATTAACATACAGGTAATTTCCAAAACTCTGTATCTATTAATAACATCTCCCTCTGAGCTTAAGTTCCAGACAGTGGCCTACTAGATGGCGTCACTGTATGATATTCCTATAGGCACCTCCATCTTAACACATCTAAAATTATTTGCTTATTTTTATCTAATAAGGGAGACGGATAAAAAATTAAGTAAATAGATAGATGAAATAATTAAATTTATGCTGTTATACAGGAAATGACCAAGAGGCTAAATAAGGTATAAAAGGAAGAAACTACCTTAGATAGAATAATCAAGAAAGGCAGTTTTAAGGTGATAACATTTGAACTAGGACCAGAGGGATGAGAGAAAGCTTGCTATATGAAAGAAAGAAAATAGTAATTGCAAAACCCCTGATGTAAGAAAGAACTTGGCATGTTTAAGGAATAGAAAGATTACTTGTGTGGCTGGAATTTAGTGAATGAAAGGGAGAATGAGGTTGTAAAGAATGTAAAGAATGTAAAGAATGGCCGGGCATGGTGGCTCACCCCTGTAATCCCAGCACTTCGGGAGGCCGAGGCAGGTGGATCACCTAAGGTCAGGAGTTCGAGACCAGCCTGGCCAACACGGTGAAACCCCATCTCTACTAAAAGTATACAAAAATTAGCCAGGTGTGGTGGCAGCCATCTGTAATCCCAGCTACTCAGAAGGCTGAGGCAGGAGAATCGCTTGAACCCGGGAGGCAGAGGCTGCAGTGAGCCGAGAGACCACACCATTGCATTCCAGCCTGGGCAACAAGAGAGAAACTCTGCACCAAAAAAAAAAAAAAAAAAAAAAAGAATGAGGAGGTAAAGGCCTAAACATGAAAGGCCTTATAAGCTAAGGAATTTGAATTTTATTCTATGTATAATGGGCATTATTAAAGGATTTTAAGCAATGGAGTGACATGAAATAATTTCTATTTACATCTGCTGCTGTGTGGAAAATGGATTAGAGACAGGCAAGAAGGGAAGACCAATGAGATACCTGATGCAGGAGATCAAGTGCAAGATGATGGTAACCTGGAATAGGCTAATGGCAAAGGTGGAGAAAAGCAAGCAGATCTGAGGTTATCTTAACAGCAGAACTCAAAAGACTTGCTAACGGATTGGACGTAGGAGGTGAGGAAAAAGAAATAATGACTTCAATTCTAGTTTGAACAACTGGGTTGGAGGTGATTTACTAAGATGAGAAAAATTGGGGCAGGGTGAAAGAGAGAAAGTTTTGTGGGAGAAATAAAAAATTCCATTGTGGACATGTTAAATTTAGAATATGAAACATTTATGTGGACACAGTATATATATAGATAGGTAGAGTGAGAGTCTGGAGCTCAAATACGAGGTCTACACCGGGGACAGCTTGACTGGAAGCTGTCAAGCTCATGGTGGCGGGTTTGGGTTTTCCAAAATTCTAATTTCCATTTGAAAGCTTGAATTTTATCATTGACAACAAATACTGTCAGTTTCCTTGAGACAGGCTCACTTCGTTCATTTTCAAGAAAATATCTGCCAGATGCCCAAACCTGAATAACCATGGTCTCTCTGTAAAGTAAAAGAGATACATGATTAAAAAAAGGAGCCTAGTGCAGTTTGCAACTCAAACAATCAGGAATGCTTTCCCTCAAGACAACCATTATATTTCAGCATGCAGCCGAAGTACTTTATGTGTACTTCCCAGTTCATTAAAAAAAAAATTATACTCCAGGATTGATATTTAATAAAACTAATCATTTTAATGGCTTCATCAAAAACATTCTAAGTGAAACTGGAAGAAAGATGTTATCTGCAAGTACACACCAATGACAAATACAATAACTAATGGTTATTAATTACTTACCTATCATTGCTTATATACCATTAGTGCAAAATGTCAACACCATAGAAAAGGCAAACACCTTAGTATTATTATGAAAACAGCTCTGACCTCACAGACCTTGAAAAACAGTATCAGGGACTCCTGGGAGTCCATGGACCACATTTTGAGAACCACTGCTTTAAGAGGTGCTGCGAGACCACTGTGAGGTCTGGTGATTAACAAAAGCTTTGTGGAGAAAGAGGACATGAATGTTTTTTTACCTGCAAAGGGGTGCCTCAGAAGGTCTTCTCTTCAGAAACGTCTTCTAATAAATTTTGCAAGACCCAATCTTCCATAGCCTCTACCATTGCCAATGGCGATTTCCTTTTCACCTTTCCCTTTGATTCAGGGGCTTTTGAGGTCAAAAGCATTTTCATAATACTAAAATGTCCTTTGTCTTTTTCACTTTTCATTCTCTCTTGAGTGTAGAGTGGGGTTTTCCAGAGGCTGTATGTGTGATGACGTCATCAGGCTGAATAAATGGAATGTATGCTTGTATATTTTTGTGTTTTCTAAAGTTTTCCAAGGAGATTGGTTACAGTATAAATAAAAGTGTTTTTGGCTTATTATTTCTACTATGTTCCTGCTGGTATCTCCAGGTATACCTACTATAATCTCTGTAACTTCACTATCATCCAATAAGTTGTTATTTTTAAAATCCAAAAGTGTTCCTTATGCCTATGCGGAAACACCAAAAATAAGTATATATCTTTGACTTGTTTTAAAATAAAATTCAAAACTTTTTTCAACTTTCATAAATTTAAAATTATTTAAAACTGCTATTTTAGAATTTAATAATATTCTAGAATAAAATAAAATTTATGCTATTTCTAATACTTAAGGATGAATTGTTTGCTTTTAAAAAAGAAATTAGGCCGGGGCCGGGCGCGGTGGCTCACGCCTGTAATCCCAGCACTTTGGGAGGCCGAGGAGGGTGGATCACCTGAGGTCAGAAGTTCAAGACCAGCCTGGTCAACATGGTGAAACCCTGTCTCTACTAAATATACAAAAATTAGCGGGGCATCATGGCGGGAGCCTCTAATCCCAGCTACTCAGGAAGCTGAGGCAGGAGAAGCACTTGAACCTGGGATACAGAGATTGCAGTGAGCTGAGAGCCTGAGTAACAGAGCAAAACTCCATCCCTAAAAGATAAAAAAAAAAAAAAAAAGAAAGAAAGAAAGAAAAAGAAAATGAAGGAGGCTGGGTGCAATGGCTCACACCTGTAATCCCAGCACTTTGGAAGGCCGAGGCAGGAGGATCACAAGGTCAGGAGTTCGAGACCAGCCTGGCCAACATAGTGAAACCCTGTCTCTACTAAAAATACAAAAATTAGTCAGGTATGGTGGCACAATGCACCTGTAGTCCCAGCCACTTGAGAGGCTGAGGTGAAAGAATCCCTTGAACCCGGGAGGCAGAGGTTGCAGTAAGCTGAGACCACGCCATTGCACTCCAGCCCATGTGACAAAAGTGAGACTCCATCTCCAAAAAAAAAAAAAAAGACTACATTTATTGAATGCTTTCTACATTCCAAATACTATGTTGCTTTGGCATGTATTATCTCATTTAATCCTTATAATGCTATACAGTAGGTGCTTTTATTATCACCATTTCACAACTGAGGAAACAAGTATGGACAGGATAAGTGACTGACCCAAGATCAGAGCTCATAAGACACAGAGCTAAAACCTGAATCCAGGTACCTCTGCATGCTTTATCTGAAATGCCCTTATCTTCACATGCTTGTTGAATGGATTAACCCTGAACTGCCTTGTAAGTCAAGAATCCCATCTTCTATAAAGCCTTTTGAAGCAATAGGCAAAAATGACCACAGTATAAATTTGGGACAAATGTTTCTGAGTAATTGAGTTGTACAATAATATGAATAACTAAATGTACATCTGAGTTAAAGTATGCAGATTGGTTTTTCATAAATAAGAACTATGATCTGGACTTCAATCAAGTAACAGATAATGATCAATATTGATAGAGGCATTTTTTATTAGTGTAGAACTACAACTCACTGGTTCTACTATTCTCCCCTTTTCCCAAAACAAAGCAGAGAAAAGACCTTGAGATGGGAGAGGTTTTACAGAGATGTCAACAGGACTACCAGGGCATCTTACATAGCCCTATCTCTTTAGTAAGGTAGCTTTATTGCTAATGTGAAAATAAACCATGGCTGTTCTATATGGAATCAGGTTGGCATACGCTTTTTTTTTTTTTTTTTTTTTGAAACAGAGTCTTGCATTGTTGCCCAGGCTGGAATGCAATGATGCCATCTCAGCTCACTACAACCTCCGCTTCCCGGGTTCAAGCAATTCTCCTGCCTCACTCAGCCTCCTGAGTAGCTGGGATTACAGGCATGTGCCACCACGCCTGGCTAATTTTTGTGGGTTTTTTTTTTTTTTTTTTTTGGTAGAGATGGGGTTTCACCATGTTGGCCAGGCTAGTCTCGAACTGACCTCAGGTGATTCTCTCGCCTCAGCCTTCCCAAGTGCTGGGATTACAGACATAAGCCACCATGCCCGGCCTGACATAAGTTCTTATATTTGTATATACAAACCTCCAATTTTATCCCTCAGTCAAGATTTAGGTCTCTACCTAAAGATTATTCTTAGCATAAGGGTTTTTCTTGGTTTATGACAATATTTCTAATTTTTAAAGCCCATACAGAGTAAACCTAGATAGAATCAAAACATTTTCAAGATGAAGGGAACCTTTGAATTTGTCCAGATCAATCACTTCTTTTTACAGTTAAGAAGTTGAGACCTAGAAAGTTTAAATTACTTGCCTAGACATGATATATTTAGAAAAGATAAAAGTTGTGAGGAATAAAAGTCAGCCAGAGTCTCTTCCTAGCTGTAAAGAGAAAACGATCTGACAGCAGAGTATTTTCTGGTGGAAAGAAACATAAAATAGCAAAACAGCTTAGGTTAGTGTGTTTTAACTTTTTAGGGCCATGGGACCTTCCCTTCCTTAGCAAATCTGATTAAAGTCACAGACCCTCTTCTCTCTAGAATCTGGAAAGTCTGGAATAAGCATATGCTTATACAAAATTTGCAATTTCAAAGGTTCATTGATCCATTCAGGTTAACAATCCTTGGCCTAGGTGAAGAAAATAAATCCTGTGAACCCTCCAAACAGCAATTATGGAACTGGAGGGGAAGGGACAAACAACGGCTAGTAAGTATCATATTTAGTAAGTATTATATACTTAACTACATGCCAGACAATGCATTAGATTATATACATGACTCATTTAATCCTCATGATAATCCCATAAGATAGGTTTCTAAAATCTGAATTTTATTTCTTCATTTGTTTTTAACTATGGCACAAAGTTCAAGAGATATAAAGAGTATATGGTGAAAAGTCTCTACCCTTTTCCTTCAGCACCTGAATATCCTCTCTAGAGAGAAATCTTACTTGTGCATTCTTGTAGAGACATTCTTTTCATAAAAGCATGTATGTGTGTGTGTGGGGGGGGGGTTATTGTTTCTTTTTCTACACAGATGGTAGCATATCATACATGTAGTTCTGCATCCAGTTTTCCCCCTCAACATTATCTTGAAGACTTTCACTATCCATATACAGAGTTGCCTCACTCTTTTTAACTTCTGCACATTGTTCTATTTTATAGATATACCAATATTTATTTAACCAGTTCCCTGCCAACGGACATTTAGATTGCTCCTACCTTGTGCTATTTGTTTATCACCATGATACAATGCTGTAGTGAATATCCTTCTACATGTGAATGTAATGCATTCTACATATGAATGTATAATGCTGTAGTGAATATTCTACATGTGTGAGAATATCTGTAGGATAAATTTCCAGATGTATCTTTAATCCAGACATATGCTATTTTGTATACGTGGGTATAACTGAAGATCCTTCTCCCATATTTTCAGAAATTGTTTTGGAATCCACAGGGGAAGGAGGTCCTGGTACCCAAAGTAGATTGGTACTGTAATATCTATCTGAAAAGCTTTCAAGTATGAAATGCCACTTGGGTGTAAAGTAAACAAGGTAAGGGATACAACTGAAAGGAGATTCAAATATTCCTTAGAATAGTGAAATAAACGCCTTTTAATTGTGGGGGTTGCATGTTTTCCCTCGTCATTTCTACCCCTGGCAATATAAACATCCAGACATTTGTATCTGTACATTCATTAAGCTATAATTCAGTCTTTCCAAGGACTGTAATTGTTCACTATCACTGTAAAGAAAAAAACCAAAAAAACAAAAAACAGAGGTGAGGAAGGGAAGCAAAACTTTCCCATTAAGCAGCAGTAAGCTAAGCCACAAGTGAACACATAAATACCTATACAGCTGAGGGTGATTCTGAATTTAGACCAGTAGTCCTTAGTTATTTGACCTGTCTCCATGCAGTTTCATATCACAGCTGTTCTGTTTTTAAAAATAGACGTTTAAAGAGCAGTTTTAGGTTCACAGCAAAATTGAGGAGAAAGAGAGTTCCCATATACCCTCTGCCCGTCAAAGACATAGTTTCCCCCACTGTCAACAACCTGCACCAGAGTGGTACATCTGTTACAGTTAATCAATAAGCCTACACTGACGCATCTTTATCACCCAAAGTCCACAGTTTACATTTGGGTTCCCTCTTGGTGTTATACATTCTATGAGTTTAGACAAATGTATAATGATGTGTACCCATCATTGTAGCATTATACAGGATGATTTCACGGCCCTAAAAATCTGTGCTTTGCCTATTTATCCTTCCCTTCTCCCAGCCCCTGGCAACCACTGATCGTTTCACTGTCTCCATATTTTTCCTCTACCAGAAGGTCACATATTTGGAATCATACAGTATGTAGCCTTTTCAGGTTGGCTTACTTCACTTAGTAATATGCATTTCAGCTTCTATCATATGTTTTCACAGCTTGATCACTAATTTCTTTTTAGCACTGAATAATATTCCATTGTCTGGATGTACCACAGTTTATTTACCCACTCACCTACTGAAGAACATCTTTAAAATTGCTTCCAAATTTCGGCAATTATAAATAAAGCTGCTATAAACACCTGTGAGCAGGTTTTTGTGTGGATATAAGTTTTCAATTCCTTTAGGTAAATACCAAGGAATGGAATTGCTGGATTGTATGGTAAGAATATGTTTAGTTTTCTAGGAAACTACCAAACTGTCTTTAAGTAGCTGTATAATATTGCATACCCACCAACGAATCAGTTCCTTTTGCTCCACATCCTCATTAGGTGTTGATAACTTGGTGTTATCAGTGTTCTGAATTTTGGCATTTTAATAGATGAGTAGTGGTATTTCAAATGATTTTAATTTGCACTTCCCTAATGACATATGATGTTGAGCATCTTTTTAGATGCTTATTTGACATCTATATATCTTCTTTGGTGAGTTTTCTATCCATGTCTTTTGCCCACTTTTTAATCAGGTTGTTTGTGTCCTTATTATTAAGAGCTCTTTTCATAGTTTGGATAACAGTCCTTTATCATATAGGTCTTATGCAAATATTTTCTCTCCGTCTGTGGTTTGTCTTCTCATTCTTTTGATACCACTGTTTTTAACAGTTGAAAAAACTGAGGCTCTGAGAAGTTTAACTACTCAAGGCACATAGTAGGAAACAGCAAAGACAGGACTTTAACTCTGCTCTTACCATCATTCCATGTTGTATTTCCTAGGATTTATTTGAAAAAGGAGACACAATACTGAAGGAAAAGGAACAAAACCAAATACCAACCACCACCACAACCACTCTGGTTGTAGAAAAAGGAAATTACACACCCTTACCTTCTCTTATCCCACAAATCCTCTCTGATAATCTTTTCTGTTACCATGTTTCAGTTATCATCTATATGCTGATAACTGCTAAATCTCTACTTAGACAGCCCAGATCTCTCAGATCTATATACTTAATTGCTCATTGGACATCTCCACTTATACATCCCACAGGTTCCTCAAACACAGCCTGTCCAAAACTGAACTCATCATCTTACCCCCCCAAACCTGCTCTTCCTCCTCTAGGATTACCTATGTCAATAATTGAGCCTCTATTTCGGAAACCTGGAAGTCACTCTGAGATCACTTCATCCTATCCTACCACTTCATTTGCAGAAATGGCCCCAGTATATAATTCTGTGTTCTCCAGCCAATGATCCTATCATTGTCTTCCTATTCATGAACTCTTTCCCAGTTTCATTTTCCTTCTTTTCTAGCCTAGATTTCCTGTCCATCTTGATAATGTGACTCTAGAAACACCTTCACTCAGTCATCAACGGTCTAGACTAAAGCAAGCCAACCACAACAACACCTTCACTCTCTTCATTATTTTTGCCAGGCAAAACCTAAATTCTGATGACATATACTAATTAATTCCATGTTTGGGCCCAAGCAGTTACATGTTGCAAGAGAAAAACCATGTGTGACTAAGCTGACAGGTTTCATATTAAAATCACCTTCCTAAACATCTAATGAGCATCGATAGTTCTTCAGTCATCTTACAAAGTTTCTTTAGTAGGCACATACTCCCCTATCCTCTCCCAAAAAGAATACTGTATGTTTGTCCCCTCAACTTCTTCACCTTCAGGTGGCAGACTTACTTTATATATAAAAAAGAAAATAAATGTAAGAAAACAGAAAAATGTCTGATGTAAACTCTCTCCCTTTCCAATCACCAGGCAAACCTCATATGCACAGCTTCCTTCTTACCCTCTCCCACTGAAGGCAGAATTTTTCTTTTCTTTTTTCTGTGGCCCAGGCTGGAGTGCAGTGGCATGATCTCGGCTCACTGTAACCTCTGCCTCCTGGGTTCAAGTGATTTTCCTGCCTCAACCTCCCGAGTAGCTGGGATTACAGGCACCTGTCACCATGCCTGGCTAATTTTCGTATTTTTAGTAGAGATGGGGTTTCACCATGTTAGCCAGGATAGTCTCGAACTCCTGACCTCAGGTGATCCACCCGCCTCGGCCTCCCAAAGTGCTGGGATTACAGGTGTGAGCCACCATGCCCAGCTGAAGGAAGGATTTCTATTTGAGCTACAGTCTGTTCCCTGTCAAGTTAGTAAGAACTCTTTTTTTTCCTCCCCGCTTCCTGCCCCTTTTAAGGACTCTTTCCGCATGACCTGGTAGCTTATTTAGCTCTCCCACCACTCACTCCTTTGTTCACTATACTCCATCAACAGTCTTCTTTTCCAACTTAGGGCCTTTATACATACTGCCACCTGCTTTGTTTCCTTCATAACACTTATAATTTTTGGTTACTTCAGTTTATTTTCTCTTTTGTTGCTGACTCATCTCACTACTATCACAACCCGAGGCAACCACTGATCTGTTCTGTTACTATAGATAGATTTGCCTTTTATGGAACGTCATACAAATCATATGGAATCATAAAATACTCTTTTATATCTAGCTTCTTTCATTTAATGTTTTTGAGATTCATCCATACTGTTATATGAGTAGTTCATTCTTTTTTACTGCTGAATAGCACATTACATGGGTGTACCATACTTTATTTATCCATTCATTTATTGATGGACATGTGGTGTTGTTTCCACTTTGGGGCCATTATGAATCAAACTGTCATGGACACTTGTGTATAGGTCTTCATGTGAACAATGGGCTTCATTTTCTTGGGTAAATGCATAGGTAAGGGTGAAATTGCTGGGTCACCTGGTAAGAATATATTAAATTTATAATAAACTGTTTCACACCAGCAATGCATGATCATTACAACTGTCCCACACCCTCATCAGTAGTAGCTATTGTCACTCTTTTTAATTTTAGCCATTCTAGCAGGTGTGCAGTATCTCACTGTGGTTTTAATTTGCACTTCTCTCGTGGTGTTGAGTATCTTATATGCTTATTAGCATTCATATAGTATGTACTGTGCTATGTCTGTTCAAATCATTCCTCCATTTAAGAAACTAGATTATCTTATTACTGAGTTTTAGATTCCTTTATATGAATTCTAAATACCAGTCATTTTTCTGTATATGTATTGTGAATATTTTCTCCCAGTCTGTGCTTGCCTTTTTATTTACTTACCTGTGTCTTTTGAATAGAAGTTTCTAATTTTGGAGAACTCTATCAAAACATTTTCTTTTAGAGTATTTTTTGTGTGCAAAGAAAGTTTTGCCTACCCCAAGGTCATGAAGATTTTCTCCTTTGTTTTTTTCTATAGTCTATGATCCATTTTGAGTTAACTTCTATACTTGGAATGAGATCAGAAACAAAGTTCACTTTGCCCCCAAACAGTATTTAGTTGTTCCAGCACCATTTGTTGGAAAGAAAAATTTTTCCCCACAGAATTATCTTGGCTTCTTTTTCAAAATCCAGTTCATTCTATAGGTAGAGGTCTATTTCTGGAACTTCCCATTGCTCTAAGCTCCCCCTCTCCCTTTCTTCTTAAGTATTAAGCACAAAATAGTCTTCGAAGTCATAATTGATAGCAGGGAAGGTGCCTTAATTGTCCATATATCGCTAACAAAGTGACATCAGCATGACAATTTAATTCCTATTATAATGCAGGACAAATAAGAAAACATATGAAAATTAATGCTAAGTTCATCATAAACAGACCACTAAAAACAAACAATATCCTAGTGCCCTCTAGTGGGAGGAAACTGTACGGATATGCCAAGCAAGAAAGATGAGCTTTTAATAAACACTACTCACAGGAATATTGAATACCAAGAAATGTGACTAATATTTCCATGCCTTCTCCTCATGCTTTTTAAGACAAAAAATTTTAAATAAAAAAGGAAAATGTTTTGCTATTTTAAGCAACTTTAATCCAATGTGAATGCAATGAAATAGAAAATTGGATAGACAAACAAAACAGGTATTTGGAATTTATATCCCCATAGTATACTTCCCTATATAAAGGAAATGGGGCCAGAGGCCAAAGGAAAAGAGAAAAGATTTCACATAATTAAAAGATGTAAATGAAATTGTTTCAAGATACATAGTATAAATACATTATCAAGATATGTATGTTAATATATACTTGTAACACATAACGTGTAATATTATATACATATATGCCAAATTTTTCTAGAATGAAGCACAAGATGATGTCAACAATGACTGCCTGTGGTGAACAGAGGTGAGTAGGGAGAAAGGAAAGATTTACATATCCCTTATTTTAAACATGTAAAATAAATGCTCTTACTTTAAAATAAGGTCTACCACTTTGAAACAGTCTAATGGTAATTTTATATGCTTATACATGAACTCCCAAAATAGGTGGCAAGTGAATAATACTGCGTTTAGAACAGTGTGTTTCAACAGTTGATTATAATTAACCCTTGTTAAGTCCCTCAAGGTACAAAGCTACATAGCCGCATTCTCTAACACACAGAAGGGAGATTACTACAAGTTCCCTCATCTTTTAATTGGAAGTTCTTGGTATATTCACCTACCTTTTGCTTCTTTATTCCTATTTTAAAGGAAAGGGTCTCTCTCTTCATTATTGTCTCCTTCAAACTACCTCCCTACCCATATATTTTTAAAATCTATTATTCTGGTCACTTAGGATCAAAACTGAGTCATGACTCTTACTCTCCTTCCACAAATGTTCTTTGTTTCTTCTGGATATTACCTTTGAGTTAATGGGGAGGAGGAGTCTAAGAAGACTTGGGTTTCTGGTGCTCTCCTACCAGCTGATAGGGTGAATGATGATACCAACAAGTAACAGGAATACTTCAACACTGGTGTCCCTTCCCAACTCCACCCCTGTACTTTTGCATATAATTTCCTCAGTTTAAAATGCCTGCTCTGTCTCCTTCTTATTAAACTCTTTCTATTTACTTTCTGTTCTCCTTCCCTTCTCTTAATGCCAAAGTACATGCTGGTTCCCACATAAAGCTTTACCTTTATAACCCTGGAGATAAACCATTCTTCTGAGTGGTTTAATGGTTGTAATTACTGCCTGTACCACTTAACAGACTTGTAGTCCATGCTCCTTTACACTGATATTCTTCTCTTTAAGCACTTGCTATTTTTTCCCAAGTGTTGGTAAATTCTCAAGATCGTGGACAGATTACACAGTTTGTTTTATTTCTACTATCTTGCCACAAATAGGTTTCATATGATAACCATGAGTGTGTTATTCCCACCCTCGAAATTCACAGGCATTCGACAAGAAAGCTTTGGGGACAATAGTCACTTTTACTGCTATCAATGACTTACACATACTCAGTCCTCCATTCCATCTTCATCTGCCTCCCACCTCCATCACCACCCTGCCAGCCACTGCCGCCGCCAGATCTCTTCATTCCTATACTTTCCCTTTCTTTCTCTGGTAAGTGGTACCAAAGAATTATATGCTATGCTTTTAGTTAATTCTAACGAAGGGGTTCAGAGTATGCTACCCTGGCATAAGAACTATTTCACACTGAAGGCAGTTGAGAAAAAGCAGACACAGAAGTTCTCAGCCTCCCTCCCCACATCCACCTTTCCTCTACCCTTGTGAAAGTGTCCCCCAACCACTTCCCTTACCAGGAAGGAGATAAAAAGCCTCATCACTGGAGAAAGGATGGCACTGAGAGTCAACACAAACAAACCTTGCTAACTAGCCTTTATCTACCTAGTTTCTCCATATATTTGTGTTCCCACACTTGCTACCCCTAGAAGCTCAATGTCCTTTTCCTTTGTCTTGTCACTTCTCTAAAAAATTTCTATTCTTTGCTAAGATGCTATGTAACCCCAAGTTCTAACTACCTCTTTGAGTTACTCATCACTGAGCTCTCCTTATGTATGTGCCATGCATAAACTTTGAAGAAAAGAAAAGAAAAACTTTGTTTTTCTCTTGTTAATTTGTCTTTTGTCAGTATAATTTGCAGCCCCAGCCAACTTTTGATCAAACCAGCATAACCTTGATTCCAAAACCAGACAAGGGCAGTACAACAAAGGAAAATTATATACTGATTTCAATCATGGACACAGATATATATACAAAATATGAGCTCATGAACAAAATAGCAAACTAACACAGCAATGTAAAAAAAGCATGATCATATAAGCTTATCCAAAGTATTCAAGAGTGATTAAACATTTAAAATACTACTTTGTAGAATTACCACCATAATGGATTAAAGGAGAAAATATCATATGATCTCAATAGATATAGAAAAAGCATTTGATAAAATTCAACAATTCATAATTTTTAAAAAACTCAAATGGGTAAAAGCAGTTCTTAGAAATTAAAAATAATGGAATTTAAAATTTCAACAGAAGAATTGGAAGAGGAAGTTAAAAACAATTTTATAAACAGTAGATAAAACGACAAAGGGGAGAAATTTTTTTTTTTTTTTTTTGAGACGGAGTCTCGCTCTGTCTCCCAGGCTGGAGTGCAGTGGCGCGATCTCGGCTCACTGCAAGTTCCGCCTCCCGAGTTCACGCCATTCTCCTGCCTCAGCCTCCGGAGTAGCTGGGACTATAGGCAACTGCCACCACGCCCGGCTAATTTTTTTGTATTTTTAGTAGAGACGGGGTTTCACCGTGTTAGCCAGGATGGTCTCGATGTCCTGACCTCGTGATCCGCCCGTCTTGGCCTCCCAAAGAGCTGGGATTACAGGCGTGAGCCACCGCGCCCGGCCTGAAAAACTATTTTTTTTAAACTGGCAGATCAGGACAGAAAGTCATAAAGAACAGAGGAAAAGGGGCCAGGCGCGGTGGCTCATGCCTGTAATCCCAGCAGTTTGGGAGGCCAAGGCGGGCGGATCACAAGGTCAGGAGATCGAGACCATCCTGGCTAACACGGTGAAACCCTGCCTCTACTAAAAAAAAATACAAAAAATAAGCCAAGCGTGGCGGAGTGCGCCTGTAGTCCCAGCTGCTAGGGAGGCTGAGGCAGAAGAATGGCGTGAACCCGGGAGGCGGAGCTTGCAGTGAGCCGAGATCACGTCACTGCACTCCAGCCTGGGCGACGGAGCGAGACTCCGTCTCAAAAAAAAAAAAAAAAAAAAGAGCAGAGGAAAAGGAAAAAGAGAGCAACAAGAGCAAAACTGGATAACAGTGTACTCCTTCAAAATTCTAAAAGAAAATCAATTAGTGGCCAGGCGAGGTGGCTCATGCCTGTAGTCCCACACTTTGGGAGGCTGAGGTGGGAAAATCACTTGAAGCCAGGATTTTGAGACCAGCTTGGGCAACAAAGCAAGACCTTATCTCTAAAAAAAAAAAATAATTAGCAAGGCATGGCAGAATGCACCTGTAATCCTAGCTACCAGAGAGGCTGAAGTGGGAGGATTGCTTGAGCCCAGTAGTTTGAGGCTGCGATGAGCCAGCCTGGGCAACAGTGAGAGATCCTGTCTCTAAAAATGAAAAGAAAAATGGCAAAAAATAGTCCCCAGAATGGTGTGAATTTTAATGGCTGCATTAAAGGCATGGAAACATAGATGGATACATAACTACTGAAAAATATAACAAAGATAGTTACCAGTCTTCTTCTATCACAAACACTGCAGTAACTTATATCTTTGTATATACTTTTCATATATGTTTGGTATATCAATAGGGTACATTTCTAAAAAGTGAAATAATTTGGTCAAAGACTACATACATTTTTAGGTTTGAGAGATATTAACTCTCAAACTGCCCTCCAAATTGACTGCACCAAGATTGCACTTCCACCATGAACGTATGAGTGTCTGTTTTTCTACACCTAGAACTGGTTCTTTAAAACAAACAAATAAGCAAACATAAGAGACAAGAACCTAAATGGCTAATGTGAAGTTAGAACCGAGGGAGAAGTTGAAGAATCAATGTGGCAACATCACTGAAATATAATAAGGGCACTGAGAATTAGATAACAAATCAATACCAACTTAGGAAACAGGATGCCTTTCCAAATAAAAGGAAAGGAGCAAGTTGAAAGTCTTAATAGCTTCTATTTTTCCATTAAAGTAGGAAGTGAGATCCGAACACAAAGGATGTGCAGAAATTTGAAAGAGACCCATCACTTAAAATAATCGTAAAGTGGACAGGGCCTATATGTGACACAAACTACATAAGACACTATTAAGAAATTAAGCTCTATTAAACTACATTAAAATCAAAAGACAAATGACAAATTGGGGGAAATATTCACAATTCATATTACAAAGGACCTTTTTCTTCAATATACAAAAAGCTCCAACAAATTGATTTTTTAAAAGACCAACAATCCAACAGGCAAGTACGCAGAGCATGTCACCAGTTTACATAGAAAGAGAAATAAATACAAATGGCCTTAAAGAGAAATGTAAATTGAAACTTCAATGACATACCACCTTTCATCCATCAGAACAGGAAAGATCCGAAAGTCTGATAACACAGTGCTAATGAAGTTGCAGGAAACAGCTACTCACATCCACTGCAGGTGAGAATATAAACTGGTTTCTATTCTCCATGAAAAGCCATTTAGTAATATCTATCAAAATTTATAAGGTAGGCCAGGCACAGCAGGTCACTCCTGTAATCCTAGTTCTTTGGGAGGCCAAGGCAGGAGGATCACTTGAGGCCAGGAGTTTGACACATGCCTGGGAAACAGCAAGACCTCCAGTCTCTACAGAAAAAAAAAATTTACAAATTAGCCAGGCGTGGTGGTACACACCTTTAGTCCTAGCTACTCAGAAGGCTGAGGCAGGAGGATTGCTTGAGCCAAGGAGTTCTAGGTTATAGTAAGCTGAACTCCAGCCTGAGTGACAGAGCAAGACCCTGTCTCTTAAAAAAAAAAAAGTACAATGCATACATCCTTGGAATCAGCAATTCCACCTCTAGCAATCTGTCCCACAGATATACTTCCCCATGTATGAAATAATGAAGATATTCATTAAAGCATTTTTGTTGTAAAGAAAAACTGGCCAGGCGCGGTGGCTCATACCTGTAATCCCAACACTTTGGGAGGCCAAGGCAGGTGGATCACCTGAGGTCGGGAGTTTGAGGCCAGCCTGACCAACATGGAGAAACCCCCGTCTCTACTAAAAATACAAAATTAGCCAGGCATGGTGGCGCATGCCTGTAATTCCAGCTACTTGGGAGGCTGAGGCAGAAGAATCGCTTGAACCCGGGAGGTGGAGGTTGCAGTGAGCCAGGATTGTGCCATTGCACTCCAGCCTGGGCAACAAGAGCAAAACTCCATCTCAAAGAAAAGAAAGACTGAAAATAATTTAAATCCTTATAGAAGACTGACTTAAATTATGGCATGGACGGGCACAGTGGTTCACACCTGTAATCCCAGCACTTTGGGAAGTTGAGGCAGGTGGATCACCTGAGGTCAAGAGTTCGAGACCAGCCTGGCCAACGTGATGAAACCCTGTCTCTGCTAAAATACAAAAATTAGCCAGGCGTGGTGGTGTGCACCTGTAATCCTAGCTACTCAGGAGCCTGAACTAGGAGAATTGTTTTAACCCGGCAGGTGGAGGTTGTACTGAGCTGAGATCACGTCACTGTACTCCAGCCTGGGAGAAGAGCGAGACTCCATCTCCAAAAAAATAAAAAATAAAAATAAATAAATAAATTACGGCCTATCTATACAATGGAATCCTCTATAGTTAAGACAGCAAGGCAGCTATATATGTTTTGATATAAACTATCTCCAAGATATATTTTAAGTGAAAAAAGCAAGGTACAGAATAGTGAATACAGTACGATAAAAGTAAGTTTGTATATGCATAGAATCTCTGGAAATACACTCAAAAAAATAGTAATAGTGATAGCCTTAGGGGAAAACTGGGCAAGTAGGGGAGAAGAGATGATAAAAAACTTATTTTTATTATCTATCCTTTTGAACATTTTGAATTTTGTTCATTTATTTACTAGCTATTCGAATATAAATAATTTCTTTACAAATATGTTAGCCAGCATGTAGTGGTTCACACTTGTAATCCCAACATTTTGGGAGGCCAAGGCAGAAGGATCACTTGAGTCCAGGAGTTCGAGACTAGCCTAGGCAACATGATGAGACACCCGTCTTTACAAAAAATTAAAAATTAGCCAGGCACGGTGGCTTGCGCTTGCAGTCCCAGCTACTCAGGAGGCTGAGGTGGGAGGATTGCTTGAGCTCAGGGGATTGCGGCTACAGTGAGCTGTGATCGTGCCACTGCACTCCAGCCTGGGTGACAGTGAGACCCTGTCTCAAAAAAAAAATTACGTTTTATTAATGTTTTACTATGTCTTGAATTAAACATCTCTCTATCCCAACTGCCACTGCCCCAGTTCTGGATCTCACTGCTCACCTGCACTGCTTGGGGAAGAAAAGAATTGGCGCTACTCTTTTTGCCTCCAGTCTTACCTATTTCTAATCAACTTCTATACTTCCTGCCTCAAGTGATTCCCAACTGTCTACAGAATAAGGTCCAAACTCCTGTGCATAATCTCCATACAAGAGAAAGGCAAGAAATTAATGTATGGGTTATTACTATCTGGATTAAGTTACCACTGAAAAATTTGTAACACTTATTCTGTGATCATAATTTTAAACACATTTCTTTTGCTTGGTTGTGCTTCAACCAAGCAAAAAGAAAGAATAAACTTCAGGCTGGGTGGGGTGGCTCAAGCCTGTAATCCCAGTACTTTGGGAGGCCGAGGCAGGTGGATCACTCGAGGTCAAGAGTTTGAGACCAGCCTGGCCAACATGGCGAAACCCTGTCTCTACCAAAAATACAAAAATTAGCCAGGCATGGTGGCATGCACCTGTAATCCCAGTTACTTGGGAGGCTGAGGCAGGAGAATCGTTTGAACCTGGGAGTAGAGGTTGCAGTGAGCCAAGATCATGCCACTGCACTCCAGCCTGGGTGACAGAGTGGGACTCCGTCAAAAAAAAAAAAAAAAAGGAAAGAAAAGAGAAGAGAAAAGAAGAGAAGAGAAAAGAAAAGAAAAGAAACTTCAGTACTTATGTGCTATTCTCAATAGAAGCCATCTACTCTATGAAGAGAAAATGTGGCAGTTTTAAACACGTGGCCCCCAAATTCTCTGACATTCTTCTCACGGAAGTGGGATTTAGGACCTGTCCCCTTGAATCTGGGCATGCTTGTATCTGCTTCAACCAATACAGTACAGGGGAAGTAATGCTACGTAACTTTCAAGACAAGGTCAGAAAAGTCACGCAGTTTCTGTCTGGTCTTCTTTGGGACACGCTGGTAGAAGAGAGCCACCATGTAAAAAACCTGACTATCTTGAGACCATCATGCTGGAAAGACTACATGCAGACACTCTGACTGATGGCCAAAATCAACTGCCAGCCATGTGAATGAGCCATCTTGGACATGTAGCCCAACTGAGCTTTCAGATGACTGTAGCCCCATCTGACATCAGCCTCATGAGAAACCCGAAATGAGAATTATCCAGCTGAGCCATTCCCATAATCCTGACCCACAAAATCAGAAGCAAAGTAAACGATTACTTTAAGCCCCTAAATTCTGGGAATAATTTGCTATGCAACAACACTAACTGTAATAGGTATTTTTCTTTAACAGACAAGCTCTCCTCTTTATATTATTTAATAACAATATGGATTTTTTTTTTTTTTTTAGACAGGGTCTCACTCTGTTACCCAGGCCAAAGTGCAGGTATGTGATCATATAGCTCACTGTGGTCTTGAACTCCTGAGCTCAAGTGATTTTCCTGCTTCAACCTCCCCAGTAGCTGGGACTACAGGCATGTGCCACCAGGCCAGGCTAATTTTTTTATTTTTATTTTTTGTAGAGACAGAGTTTCACCGTGTTGTCCAGGCTGGGCTCAAGCAGTCCTCCGCCCTGGCCTCCCAAAGTGCTGGGATTACAGGCATGAGCCACCATGCCCGGCCTGCTGCTTTACTTCTCTTTTCTGCCTTAGAATTTCAGACAATTTTTAAAAAAATTCCAAACCACTAATTTCATAGGTCAAAAACTTAGGACCAGAGAAGTGAAATCACAGACCAAATCATTAACAGAATATAGATCAAATCACAGACCAAATTAGTAACAATACAGATCAAAATCCATGCTTCTTGATTCTCAATGTAGTGTTTCTTCTCTAACCTGAATTTCTTTGTATCTTCTTCTTCCTTTCTTTATTCTACTCATATTCCTTGTGGCAGAAGAGCAGCCAAAATGATATTAATCAATCACCCCTTTATGCCTTCCTCCAAAGAACCCAGATTTAAATTCACAGATTTAAACAGCATTTCTCAATTCTGCTTGTCTCTACCCCTACTGAGCAGGAAGAAATTTTGACATCCCACCAGCAGTAGCAGGTACCAGCCTCCTGGGGCAGTTAAGTATCACTAATACAAATTTGTTACCAAGTGTACTTTGTTAGCAGGGAAGCAGTGATAGTAGAAGTGCATTATCCAAGTATTAAGATTTTCACAGAGCTTCCGGCAAGGTAGATAGGAGGAATCCCATCATCATCTAGACTGAAAACTGCTATCGTCTGTCGACAGTAAAATCCAAAGATCTGCATGTCTAACAATTTTCTAACAAAGCTCTAACTAGGAGTTAGGAAGGCTGGTGTATTAGATAGGATCAGGAAGTAACCATGAAAGAAAAATTAGAAGACAACAAACCAAACATCACCAAATACATAGACGGCAGCAAAGAAAAACAAAATAGAGAGGACTGCATGAAGGTAGCATAACTTTGAAGTTAGGCAGCCATCTTCCCACAGCCCAGATTAGAACTAAAGTTGGATTTGTAGTTTTTTACTTATATTCATTTGTTTTCTATATACTAACTTCTGTAGCCTGGCCTCAAAGTGGGATTGCTAACAAAAGAGACTTAAAGTCAGTAAAATTACAGCTTAAAATGATTTGAAACAACTCAACTATCCACTAACAGGGTTCTGATGGCATAAACTGAGGTACATCCAACAACAGAATATTATACAGCTATAAAAAGAGGAAACTTTCTTTGTACTCATATGGGAAAAAAGCAAGGTTCATATTATACTACCCTATTGTGTAAGAAAAAGGGGATAGGAATAAATACATGCATTACTCATATGTGTATAATTAGACAATAAGAAATGAAGACTGGGCCATGAAAAAAATGTTTTTTCAAAAAAATGTTTTTGGATATTTACACATAAGTTCACTATCAACCTTACAGCCCAGTGAGAAACTTAAGATTATTACAATGTTTCTTCTTATTTAATTTTTGCTCTTTCCTAGCTTAAGGATGAACTGGACCATCTGAAGGAGAATATTTAGTTTTGGGTGGCACTATAGGGTCTGAGGATTGGTGTATCTGATGCTGATTGACTTCCAAAGTTTCCTGAGCTCAGAGAAGAGATGACTTTTTTTCCCCATATCTGAACTAAATGAGTAACTGCCACACTCACTTTTCTCTTCTCATAATAACGTATTACCTCTACTACCCCTAATCAATATTTATAATTTAAGCAAACACCTCATTGTCTTTTCATTAATGATTCCAAGTACTTACCTAGTTACTACGTCATGTGATTTAGGCCTCAGCTGTCATGTCCTTTCAATTGTGAGTGTAAATACTTGACAGTCACTGACCACCTATATGTAGTCTTTGCACAGTGCCTCTAGGGCACATTCAATTAGACACCTTGGAACTTAAAAAAAAATTTTTTTTTTTTTTTTTTTTTTGGGTAGAGATGAGATCTCGCTAAGTTGCCAGGGCTGATGTTGAACTCCTGGCCTCAAGCAATCCTCTGGACTCAGCCTCTTAAGGTGCTGGGATTACAGGCGTGAGCCACCGTGCCTGGCCCCTGGAACTACTTTTTAATGCCAGTACCCAAAGCGTAACTCTTTGAAACAAAAAATCATAAATCCCATGCTATTCCCTACAACCATTCATTTTCCAAGTTTTCCAGTTCTGAAATATAGCTTAGACTCTATTAATTCCACCCCTCAATAGTAACCATTTCCAACATGCAAACAAATAGAGAAAAAATTATTAGTCACCCATATCTCTCAGCTGCTGGGAAGAATGACTAAGTCAACTATAGTCATCATATTCTAAATAGCCAAATAAACAGAGTGAGAATCAGGACCAGAAATGTAAATAGAATACTCTCTTCCCTCAATTTCTACCCTTCTTATAGTCCTTCCCAATTACCTTCACCACCCTTTCCCTTCCTCTAGGGAAGGAGGCTGCAGGCAGCAGCTGGTTTGCTCACAGCTAGCTTTATTTGGTTTACATGGCAACAGAAATGCATAAAGTCAGGCAAAAAAGAGAGCTATTTGTTTATGATCGGCTCAAATTATGTTCATCCAGGTTAAAAGACTCTTAATAAAAAGGAATTGGGAGAAAGGAGAGGTGAAGAAGGATTTTCTAGTGAAAAGCTCAAAGAGACGAGTCTGGGGAATTGCTCACTGTGTGGTACTGTGCTTCTGGCTTCTGAATCCTGTTACCAGTGGCCCCGGTCCCAGATCTAGGAAACTGAATAATGGTTAAAATGTCATTATTTAAACATATTTCATCTGCCTACATCTTCAGATCTCAGAATAACATCACTGTTTCAACTTTCTAGTTTTTATAAACTAGTGCCAAGAGGCAATTACATGCAACTTCAGGAGTGAATACACCCAAACTCAGAAATATATCTCAGAAATACACCCAGAAACAGAGGGGAAGAAGGAATATTTATTTTTTTAATACACTCCACCCTTCTGCTATGAAATGAGTATCTCTTAAAAACTGTAGTTATGAAAGTCATTCATGTTCACTGTGGAAAACAATAATAAAAGAAGAGACAAAAATTAACCATTATCCCAATACTCAACTATTTCCACTGCTGACATTTTAGAATAAATCCTTCTTCAAAACAATGATATCATCTTATAACTTTTTTTATGTAAGTATTATGCCATATTTTTATATTTATAAAATCATTAAATATAGTAATTGAGGTATGAATTTTGAAGTCAGGCAGATAAAAGTGAGTCCCAGCTTTCCCACTCCCTATGTGATTTTAGACAAGTTATTTAACCTCTCTCAGTGCCCAAGTTACTTTATATGTAAAATGAAATAAGAAATGATTGTCTCACTGCTTATTCTAAGGATTAAATTATATATATATATATTTTTTAATTAAATTAAAATTTTTTTTTGACAGGGAGTCTCACTCTGTTGCCCAGGCTGGAGTGCAATGGTGCAGTCTCAGCTCACTGCAACCTCCACCTCCCGGGTTCGAGAGGTTCTCCTGCCTCAGCCTCCAGAGTAGCTAGGACTACAGGTGTGTGCTACCTCGCCTGGCTAATTTTTGTATTTTTAGTAGAGACGGGGTTTCATTATTTTGGCCAGGCTGGTCTTGAACTCCTGAGCTCGTGATCTGCCCGCCTTGGCCTCCCAAAGTGCTGGGATTACAGGCATGGAGCCACTGCGCCCGGCCAGGATTAAATAATAATGTACTTAGAACAAATCTGGTAAATAGTAAGCACTCAACAACATACGTTGCATCAATTTTACACTTCTACAATATATTATGTGGCTAGTAGTCCACTGAATAAATGTATCCTACTTTATTTAAAATCCTTTATTGTCAGATATTGTTGTTTATAAATTTATAATATTATAAATAACAATGCAATAAATGCTAAATCTAAATCTTTATGTCTGTGATTGTTTTTCATTAAAATAAATTCCTATAAGTAGAACTCTACGTCAAAAGAGATAACATGTTCTCTATTGCCAAAGTACCCGCCAGAAAAGCACCGATTTATATTTCTATCAGGGTGTATAAAAATGTTCGTCTTCTCACCCCTTCATCCGCACAGAGTTTTATACATTAAAAATATGCAAATCTTTTAATAATCTATGTTTTAGAATGAAAAAATATAGGATTCTAATAGAAAACCCATCAATTCAGAACTGCTGGAAGTTTCCCATATTTGGAGGTTAATTTTTATGTAAATAATGTATTGGTCTTGTGAATAATGGGTTTTATATCATATTTAGAAAACAATCTCTGATGGCTTCTTACAGTACCTTTTCAGTCTCATTTTTATTTATGCAAGCCTAAGGTATAGAAGTTGTTTATGATGACTAACGATTTGAAGTTCACCCTTCCAGACCTTTATCTATGAGTTCATAGACATGTTCATAACATAATTTTTAAAATACAAATATGGTCATACACCATCCTACTACAAAAGTGGTTTATTAATTTCCTTTTTTAAAAAATGTACCAGAGGCCGGGCGTGGTGGCTCACGCCTGTAATCCCAGCACTTTGGGAGGCCAAGGCGGGTGGATCACGAGGTCGGGAGATGGATACTATCCTGGCTAACACGGTGAAACCTCGTCTCTACTAAAAATTAGCCGGGCGTGGTGGTGGGCGCCTGTAGTCCCAGCTACTCAGGAGGCTGAGACAGGAGAATGGCGTGAACCCAGGAGGCGGAGCTTGCAGTGAGCTGGGATGGCGACACTGCACTCCAGCCTGGACGACAGAGTGAGACTCCGTCTCAAAAAAAAAAAAAAAAAATGTACCAGAGTATCCTGGAAACCTTTCCATGTCCAAATATATAGATCTGTATCATTCTTTTGAAAGACTGGAAAATATTTCATTGCATGAGTGTACTACATATGGTTCATTTAATCATTCTTTTGTTACTTTATTGTTTCCATTTTTCACTATTACAAACAGAACAGCTTTTGGGCAGGGTGCAGCGGCTCACGCCTAAAATCCCAGTACTTTGGGAGGCCAAGGTGAGAGGATCACTAGAGGCCAGGAATTTGAAACCAGCCCAACATAGTGAAAACCCACTTGTACAAAGAAAATAAATTAGCCAAGCACGCTGGTGCATTCCTGTAGTCCCAGCTACTCAGGAGGCTGAGGCAGGAGGATTCCTTGAGCCCAGGAGGTGAGCTCAAGCTCACCTATGATCGTGCCTCTGTACTCCAGCCTCGGCAACAACAGAGTGAGACCTCATCTGTCTTTTAAAAAATTAAATTAAATTTTTAAAAAAGGTTTTCTATTCCCAAGGTTCCAAACATCCAAGTAAAAAACCCTATACTCTGTTGATCCTACATGCTATATTTATACTTATTCAGAACTATTCTCACTAAATTTCCTTGTTTGCTTTGCCCCTTCTCCAATTTATTAACATTATAACAGATTCTATCCCCATCTTCCAAGATGGTACAGAACAACAATAAAAGTGGATAAAGAAATTTATACCTTATACGTCTTATCTGCTCTTCACAAAAACCACACAAAGTAGGTGTCATCCTATTCATTTTACAAATGAAGAAACTGAAGACAAAGAAATTAGGCAACTTGCCAAAGGCTACTCAGCCTAGCAAAGGCTAAAACTAAGATTTTAACCTGATTCACAGATTCCAAAGCCCCATTCCCCTCTCACAAAATTGCCTTCATTCCTGCCTTGGTGTAATATCACATCCATATTCATGATTAACATAATCTCTACATCATTATCTAAGAAATCAATCTACAGACATTAATAGACCAGGCATGGTGGCTCATGGCTCATGCCTGTAATCCCAGCATTTTGGGAGGCCAAGGTAGAGGACTGCCTGAGCTCAGGAGTTTGAGACCAGTCTGGGCGACATAGGCAGACCTTATTTGTACAAAAAATAAAAAAAAATTAGCCAGGCATGGTGGCACTTGCCCTGTAGTCCTAGCTCCTTGAGAGGCTGAGGTGGGAAGATTGCTTGAGCCCAGGAGGTGGAGGCTACAGTGAGCTGTGATCGCGCCACTGTACTCCAGCCCGAGCAACAGAATGAGACCCTATCTCAAACAAAACAAAATAAAAAACATTAATAGCAGTTCCAGGACCAGATCCTGCAAGGTATTCTCTCATTGCTTTGGTTGCATTTGGTTGTAATTCTTTTACTGCATTCTCTCATTTGGTTGACCATAAGCCTTTGGTAATCACTGGAACCCAATCCTCTGGCCTAGCTTTTCAAAGGGTGTCCCAGGCAGATATTTCATTTTAAAAAATTTAAAATCCACATTCAAGTCAGTTTGAGAACACTATATTAGAGGCATAATAAAAGATTCCATGTATTTAAGAAAATAAAGGAGAAAAACAAATTATCTAGGCAAAACAGGAGAATAAACATTCAAAGCTTAAATACTGATTAGGGATGTCATAAAATAGAAGAAAAATGTTAGGTATGCAGCAATAGCATTAGAAAGCCAAATCAGGCTGGGCATGGTGGCTCATGCCTGTAATCCCAACACTTTGGGAGGCCGAGACGGGTGGCTCATTTGAGGTCAGGAGTTCAAGAGCAGCCTGGCCAACATGGTGAAACCCTATCTCTACTAAAAATACAAAAATTAGTTGGGTGGTAGTGGCACACGCCTGTAATCCCAGCTACTTGGGAGGCTGAGGCAGGAGAATCACTTGAGCCTGGGAGGTGGAGGTTGCGGTGAGCTGAGATTGTGCCACTGCACACCAGTCTGGGCAACAGAGTGAGACCCTGTCTCACAAAAAAAACAAAAAACAACAACAAAAAAAGGGCGCAGTGGCTCAAGCCTGTAATCCCAGCGCTTTGGGAGGCTGAGACAGGTGGATCACAAGGTCAGGAGTTCAAGACCAGCCTGGTCAGCATGGCAAAACCCCATCTCAATTAAAAGTACAAAAATTAGCCGGGCGTGGTGGCCCATGCCTGTAATCCCAGCTACTTGGGAGGCTGAGACAGGCAAATCACTTGAACCCGAGAGGCAGAGGTTGCAGTGAGCGAAGATTGTGCCACTGCACTCCAGCCTGGGCAACAGAGTAAGACTCTCTCTCAAAACAAACAAACAAACAAAGCCAAATCAGGAAATGCAGCATAACTAGCCAAAGGGAATAATGTGATAGTTTCCCATTACTTTTAAAATAGTTTTCTCAGCTGGGCATGGTGCCTCATGCCTGCAATCCCAGCCCTTTGGGAGGCAGACATAGGAAGATCACTTGAGGCCAGGAGTTCAAAATCAGGCTAATCCACACAGTGAGACTTCGTCTCTACAAAAGAAAAATTAAAAAATTAGCTGGGTGTGGTGGTGCATACCTGTAGTACCAGCTACTGGGGAGGCTGAGTCAGGAGGATCGCTTGAGCCTGGGAGTTTGAGGCTGCAGTGAGTAATGATCACATCACTGCACTACAGCCTGGGTGACAGAGTAAGACTCAGTCTGAAAAAAAATAATAATAATAAATTAAAATATTAAAATATCTTTCTTCTTGGCCAGGTACGGTGGCTCACGCCTGTAATCTCAGCACTTTGGGAGGCCAAGGTGGGTGGATCACCGGGTCAGAAGTTCAAGAACAGCCTGGCCAAGATGGTAAAACCTCGTCTCTACAAAAAATACAAAAATTAGCCAGGCAAGGTGGCGGGCACCTATAATCCCAGCTACTCAGGAGGCTGAGGCAGAGAATTGCTTGAACCTGGGAGGCAGAGGTTGCAGTAAGCCAAGATCGCGCCACTGCACTCCAGCCTGGGTGACAGAGCTAGACTCCGTCTCAGATATATATTTTCTTCTTTATCACTTCCTAGATGTTTTAGTCTGCTTGACCTGCTATAATAAAATACCACAGACTAGGTGGATTAACCAACAGACATTTATTCCTCACAGTTCTAGAGGCTGGGAAGGCCAAGATCAACGTGCAACAAATCTGGTTCTCAGCAAGGTCCCACTTCTTGGCTTGCAGACAACTAGCCATTGTTTTGCTGTATCCTCATATGGTGGAGAGGGGAAGCTCTGGTGTTTCCTCCTTTTCTTATAAGGGTACTAATCCCATCATGGAGACTCCACACTTATGACCTCATTTAAACCTAACTACCTCCCAAAGGCCCCACCTCCTAATACCATCACACTGGGAATTAGGGCTTCAACATATGAATTTGGGAGGAACACAGACATTCAGTCCATAGCAGTAACATATGTTAATATATATGATAAAGTGATCGAGAAATAGTAAAGAATCGTATCTTCTAGCTGGTCATCCTGCTTCCACTCTTGCCACTCTCTAAACCACCTTCCTCTACACAACACCATAAACTCCCCAGCTTACAGCCTTTCAATGGCTTATCATGGCACTTAGAATAAAGTCCAAAGCATAGTTGCCTTGACCCTCAGGGTCCTACATGATCCAGTCCTTGCCTCTCTGCAATCTCCTTTTAGGACAGACTCTCTTTCTCACTATGCTCTAGCTACCCTCGGTTTCTCTCCATTCTTCTAACATCCCTTGTATCTTGAGGCTTTGCACTGCAGTTCATTCTGCTTGTAATTATTTCCCCTATTCTTCATATGGTGAGTTTCTTCTTAGCCTTTAAGTTTCACTTTAAAATTCTGATATACTGGTGTCAAGCAAGCAATCCTGGCCCTCCTAAAGAATAGGAGTTCAAGTAGTTGAATGTTCCCCTGCCATTAAAACTAGCAGTTTTCATAGGAGGATTTTTGTTTGTTTGTTTGTTTGTTTTGAGTTGGCGTCTCACTCTTTCACCCAGGCTGGAGTGTAATGGCATGATCTCAGCTCACTGCAACCTCTGCCTCCTGGTTCAAGCGATTCTTCTGCCTCTGCCTCCCAAGTAGCTGGGATTATAGGCGCCTGCCACCACGCCCGGCTAATTTTTTTATTTTTAGCAGAGATGGGGTTTTACCATGTTGGCCAGGCTGGTCTCGAACTCCTGACCTCAGGTGATCCACTCACCTCAGCCTCTCAAAGTGCTGGGATTACAGGTGTAAGCCACTGTGCCCAGCCAGGAGTTTTTTGTTTTTTATGTGATACAAAAATATATGGACAGCATTTTGCAACACATATTAAAAGTCTTAAGGAGAAATTTATTCTAAGAAAATGATCACAGATGTATACTAATATTTTTGTATACAAATGTTCATCACACTATTATTTCGATTAATGAAAAAAAGGAAGAAAATCTTAGACATTCAGCCAAGTGGAACACATTATGGAGTCATTTAAAAATCACATTTAAAAAACTTAAGCCAGGCGAGGTGGCTCACACCTGTAATCCCAGCACTTTGTGAGGCCAAGATGGGCGGATCACATTAAGTCAAGAGTTTGAGGCCAACCTAGCCAACATGGTGAAATCCCGCCTCTACTAAAAATACAAAATTAGCCAGGCGTAGTGGCACGTGCCTGTAGTCCCAGCTATTCGGGAGGCTGAGGCGGGAGAATCGCTTGAACCCAGGAGGTGGAGGTTGCACAACTACACTCCAGCCTGGGCAACAGAGTAAAAGTCAGTCTCAAAAAAAAAAAGAAAAAGAAAAAACAAAACAAAATAAAACAAACCCAGAACATTCATGAACTGGAGGGCAACTTCAACTGGTCTAATTACATATAAATGGAATCTCCAAAGGAAAGGTAAGAAAAGGGGTATAGAAAATAGAATAATGGCTGAAAGTTTTCTAAATTTCATGAAAACTACAAACCCATTAATCCAAAAGCCTCAACAAACCCCAAGCACAAAGGTATAAACAAAACTACACCAAGGAACATCACAATCAAATTGCTCAAATCTAGTGATAAAGAAAACTTAAAAGCATCGAGAGGGGAAAAAACCCCACATTATGTGCAAATGAAAAAAAGTATGGTTAACAACAGACTTCTCATAGGAAACCATGCAAGTGACAATAAAGCAATGAAACATCTTTAAAAACCGAAACGAAAAAACCCTGTTAACCTAATATTGTATACCCAGTAAAAATATCCTTCAAAAACAAAGGCAAAATACAGACTTTTCCAGATGTATAAAAGCTGGAAAAAAGCATCACTACCAGGCTTGCAGTACAAGAAACATTAAAGGAAGTCCCTCAGGCACAAGGAAAATTATACCACATGGAAAGACAGATCTACACAAAAGAATGAAAAGTACCAAAAATGGTAAATACAAACATTTTTTACAATTATTTAGATATCCTTGAAGGTTTTTATAAAAAAATAAATAAAAAGGTACTGTGGAGTTATGTGCAGAACTAAAATGTATGACAATAATAATGTGAAGGCTGAGTGGAAAGAAATGGAAGTACACTATCATAAGATTGACATACTATATGTGAAGTGCTGTAATATCACATGAAGGAGGTGTCTGATAAGTTAAAGATGTACACCATTTACACCACAAACCCTAAAACAATTACAAAAAAGGAAACAGAGTTAGAAGTAATAAGCCAGGCCGGGCACAGTGGCTCATGCCTGTAATCCCAGCACTTTGGGAGGCTGAGGCAGGTGGATCACGAGGTCAGGAGATTGAGACCATCCTGGCTAACACGGTGAAACCCCGTCTCTACTAAAAACACAAAAAATTAGCCGGGCGTGGTGGCAGGCGCCTGTAGTCCCAGCTACTTGGGAGGCTGAGGCAGGAGAATGGCGTGAACCCGGGAGGCAGAGCTTGCAATGAGCCAAGATCGCGCCACTGCACTCCAGTCTGGGTGACAGAGCAAGACTCCATCTCAAAACAAAAATAAAAAGTAATAAGCCAATATGGAGGTAAAACTGAATGATTACAATATGCTTAATTAATCCAAAAGAAACAGAAGAAGAAAACGAGAACAAAGAAGAGGTGGGAAAAATAGAAAACAAACAGCAAGATGGCAGATTTACACACATCCATATGAATAATCACATCAAATGTAAATGGTCTAAACATCCCAATTAAAAGGCAGAGATTGTCAGACTACATAAAAGCAAGACCTATCTATATGCTGCCTATAAGACATCTACTTTACATATAAAGATAAAATCATTCTGAAAGAAAAAGAATGGAAAAAGATATACTATGCTAATATTAATCAAAAGAAAGCTGGGCAGGGCACGGTGGCTCATGCCTGTAATCCCAGCACTTTGGGACACCAAGGCGGGTGGATCATCAAAGGTCAGGAGTTCAAGACCATCCTGGCCAACATCTACAAAAATCTACAAAATCTACGAAATCTACAAAAATACAAAAATTAGCCAGGCACAATGGCGGGTGCCTGTAATCCCAGCTACTCGAGAGTCTGAGGCAGGAGAATCTCTTGAACCTGGGAGGCAGAGGTTGCAGTGGGCTGAGATCTCGCCATTGCACTCCAACCTGGGCGAAAGAGTGAGACTCTGTCAAAAAAAAAAAAAAAAAGCTAAAAGGGCCATATTAATATCAAGTAAAGTATATTTCAGAACAAAGAATATCACCAGGACTAAAGGATATCATTTCATAATCATAAAGAAGTCAATTCATCAAGAGGACATAATCCTAAATGTTATGTATCTGATAACTAAGTTTCAAATACATGAAGCAAACACTGACAAAACTGCCAAAAGGAATAGACAAACCTACAATTCTAACTACAAATTTCAATACCTTTCTCTTATTAATTGATAGGACAAATAGAAAAAGCAGGAAAGATACAGAAGACTTCAACAACACTAACAACCAACTTGACCTAATTGACATTTATAGAACACTCAACCCAACAAGAGCAGAAAACATATTCTTTTTGAGGGTACACAGAACATTTAACAATATAAAATATATTGTGGGCCATAAAACGAATTTAAATAAATTTAAAAGAATTCAAGTCATACAAAGTATGTTCTCTGAACACAATGAAATTAAATTAAAAAACAGAAACATGTCTGGAAAATCCCTCAAATATTTTGAAATTATATACAATACTTCCATATTACCCAGGAGTAAAAGGAACAAGAGAATTTAAAAATATTTTAAACAGACTAAAAACACAGCAAATCAAAAATGCACCTAAAGCAGCACTTAGAGGGAAATTTATAGTACAAAATACCTCTATTAGAAAAGAAGAAAAGTCTCAGATAAAAAACCTCAGTTTCCACCTTAAGAAACTAGAAAAAGAATCAACAAACCATAAGCAAACAGAAGATTTTTTTCCACAGCAGAAATTTTAAAATAAAAAAGAGAAATGCAATAGAGAAAATCAATGGAACCAAAGGGTGTTCTTTGAGAAGATCAATGAACTACATAAACATTTAGTCAGACCGATCAGGAGAAAAAGAGAGAAGATCCAAAGGAATAATATCAAGAATGACAGAGGTAACCCTCACTAGAATTCTACAATTTTAAAATAAAAATAAGAAAATAGGCCAGGCATGGTGGCTCACACCTGTAATCCCAGCATTTTGGGAGGCTGAAGCAGGTGGATCACTTGAGCTCAAGCTCAGGAGTTTGAGATCAGCCCGAGCAACCTGGCAAAACCCCACCCCTAAAAAAATACGAAATTAGCCTGGCATGGTGATGCACGCCTATAGCCCCAGCTACTCGGGAGGGTGAAGTGGGAGGATGGCTTGAGCCCAGGAGGCAGAGGCTGCAGTGAGCAGAGATCATGCCACTGCATGCCAGCCTGGGCAACAGAGTGAGACCCTGTCTCAAAAAAAAGAAAAAGAAAAAAGAAAAATTATGAACAGCTTTTTGCTAAGACATTCAACAAATACTTTGAAAGGCACAAAGGTCATTCAAGAGTAAATCTAAATAGCTCTATAAATATAGAATATATAGAAATATTTATTAAAGATATTAAATTTGTGGTTTATAAAACCTTACCTGGCTGGGCGCAGTGCGCCTGTAATCCCAGCACTTTGGGAGACCAAGGCGGGCAGATCACCTGAGGTCAGGAGTTCAAGACCAGCCTGGCCAACATGGCAAAACCACGCCTCTACTAAAAATACAAAAATTAGCCAGACATGGTGGCAGGCACCTGTAATCCCAGCTACTCAGGAGGCTGAGACAGGAGAATCGCTTGAACCCAGGAGGAAGAGGTTGCAGTGAGCCAAGATCACGCCACTGGACTCCAGCCTGGGTAACAGGGCAAACAAACAAACAAACAAACAAAAAACCTTACCTTCCTATACACACACACACACACACACAAAACCTGGCCCAGAAGGCTTACTTGGTGAATTCCAAATATTTAAAGAAGAACTAGCCTGTAATCCCAGCACTTTGGGGGGCCAAGGCAGGTGGATCACCTGAGGTCAGGAGTTTGAGACCAGCCTGGCCAACATGGCGAAACCCCATCTCTACTAAAAATACAAAAATTAGGTGGGCATGGTGGCATGTGCCTATAATCCCAGCTACTAGCAGAGCTGAGGCAGGAGGATCGCTTGAACCTGGGAGGTGGAGGTTAAGGTGAGCCGAGATCGTGCCACTGCACTCCAGCCTGGGCAACAGAGTGAGACTCCGTCTGAAAAAAAAAACAAAAACAAAACCAAGACCAAAAAAAAAAAAAAAAAAAAACAAAGAAAGAATACAAATTCCATACAAACGCTCCCAGAAAACTGAAGGAGAAATACTTTCTAACCCATCCTACAAGGCTTGCATTACCCATATACCAAAACCATAGAAAGACATAGTAAGAGAAGAAAACCACAGACTAATGTTTCTCACTAACACAGATGTAAAAGTTCTTAACAAATTTTTAGACAATCTATTCCAGCAATATATGAAAAGAATAATATCACAACCAAGTGGGGTTTATCTCATAATGCAAGATTGGTCTGGCATATGAAAATCAATCAATATAACTTACTATATCAACAAACTAAAAAAGAAAAACCATACAGTCATCTCAATAGGTGCAGAAAAAGTATTTCCAAAATCCACCATCCATTCCTGATAAAAATTGTTGGAAAACTAAGACTAGAACAGAACGCTTTTACTTGATACAGAACATCTACAACAAATTACAGTTAACATTATACGTAAGGATGAAAAACTGAATGCTTTCTTCTTAACATTGAGAACAAGAATCTTCTGTGTATTTTTATTTAACACTGTATGGCAAGTTCTAATCAGTGCAATAAAAAAAGGAAATAAAAGGAATCAAATTGGAAAGAAAAAAGTAAAATTGTCTTTACAGGTGAAACAATTATGTATGTAGAAAACCTATGGAATTTACAAAAAAAACTGTACTAAAGCTAATATGAGTCTAGCTTGGTTGTAGGATTCAAGGTTAAGATACAGACATTGTGTTTTACAAATGTGCATCAACTGATGACTGGATAAACAAAATGTATATCCATACAATGTAACATTACTTGGCAATAAAAAGGAATGAAGTAATGATATGTGCTAAGTCAAAGAAGCCAGACACAAAAGATCATACATTGTATGATTCCATTTATATGAAAGTCCAGAATCAGCAAATCGAGAGACAGAAAGTAGGTTAGTGGTTGCCAGGGGCTGGGGGGAGGAAAATACCACCACTAATGGGTAGGGGAATTTATTTAGAGGATGGCAAAAATGTTCTGGAATCAGATGATGCTGATGGTTGTACAACCTTGTGAATATACTAAAAACCACTGAACTTCAAAAAGGAAGATTTTATGGCATATTATTTATATCTCAATTTTTTTAAAAACTGTGATAAGGCCAGACGTGGTGGCTCCCGCCTGTAATCCCAAGACTTTGGGATGGGCGGTGGATCACTTGAGGTCAGGAGTTCGAGACCAACCTGGCTAACATGGTGAAACCGCATCTCTACTAAAAATACAAAAATTAGCTATGCATGGTGACATGCACCTGTAATCCCAGCTACTTAGGAGGCTGACACAGGAGAATCGCTTGAACCCAGGAGGCAGAGGTTGCAGTAGCCGAGACGTGCCATTGCACTGCAGCCTAGGTGACAGAAGAAGACTCTATCTCAAACAAACAAACAAACAGTGATAAAAAGACACTGTGCCAAACAGACTGGTAGAAAATATTTACAAAATATATTATGTGGCAATGTATTTATATATTTAGAACATATAAAGAACACTTACAACAAAAAGACAAACAACCCAATTAAAAATTAGGCAAAAAGACACCCACACTTTTACAAAGATAAATAAAAATAAAAGCACATGGATTTATCATCAGACATTATGGAATTGCAAATTAAACACAAAAACCACTACACACCCATTAGAACGACTAAAATGTGGAGAAATGGGAATTCTCACATACTATTGTCATGAATATAAAACAATACAACCAATTTAAAAACCAGTTTGCAGTTTTTAATAAAAGCTAAACATAAATCTGCCATAAGACCCAGCTATTACACTCCTTTGTATTTACCTAAAAAAAAAAATGAAAGCATATGTATATACAAAGACTTGTTCACGGATGTTTACAACAGCTTTATTTGTAATAGCCTCATATTGAAAACCACCCAAATGTCCATCAACAGTAAACCTGATAACAAATTGCAGTATATCCATTCAGTTATAAACGAATGAACTATTGATACGTGCTGTAACGTGAATGAATCTCAAAATAATTTTGCTGAGTGAAGGAAGCCAGATAAGAGTTCATATTGTATGTTTAAGATTCTAGAAAATGCAAACAAATCTATTGTGGTAAGACAGCAGATAAGTAATTGCCAACATGCGTCTGCTTCCCCACATATTCTCTAATAGAGTTTATTACCAAATTTCCAGGTACTTGCTAATCTGAGACATCAAAATAGTATCTCTGAGTAGTTTTTATGTGCATTCCCCTAATCAAGAGTTAGACAGTGATTATTTTCTTTTTTCTTTTTTTTTTTTGCGACAGAGTCTCACTCTGTTGCCCAGGCTGGAGTGCAGTGGTGTGATCTTGGCTCACTGCAACCTCTGCCTTCTGGGTTCAAGGGATTGCCTGAGCCTCCTACGTAGTTGGGATTACAGGTGGGCACCACCAGGCCTGGCTAATTTTTATATTTTTAGTAGAGACAGGTGTCACCATGTTGCCCAGGTTGGTCTTGAACTCCTGACCTCAAGTGATCCACCTGCCTTGGCCTCCCAAAGTGCTGGGATTACAGGTGTGAGCCACTGTGCCCAGCCTGTGTTTATTTTCATGAGTTTAAGTGACATTTGTATTTCATTTCTTCTAAACTATCTGTTCACATTCTTTGCCCATTATTTCTACTGGATTATTCTTGTTTTTCTCACTGATTTTTAGAGTTCTTTATATATTAGGGAAATCAGCCCTTTGTGAGTTGCAAATATTTTCCCCAGTTTCTCACTTGTCTTTTAACTTTGCTTATAGTAGTTTTTGCCATGCCACCATCCCCTACCCCCAAATTAAAAAAAAAAATTATATAGTCGAATTTACTGTCTGGCTCAGGTGATGGGTGTACCAAAATCTCAGAAATCACCACTAAAGAACTTATCCATGTAACCAACCACCACCTGTTCCCCCAAAACTTACTGAAATTAAAAAAAAAAAATACAGTCTATTCTTTTGTGGCTTCTGGAATATTTTATCACACTATACTATACACAATTATGTTTTTTAATTCTCCCATGGTTTCTTTTAGTACTTTACTAGGACCACAGTTCCATTTCTTACATTTAATATTTGATCCATTTGGAATTTTTCCTAATATAAAATGTGAGGTATGGAGACGAGTTTATTTTCCATATTGGCTACCCAAATTTCTCTACACCATTTACTAAATAATCCGTTATCTTCCACAATCTTACCCACCACCATGGATTTAAAATGCCACCTTTATCTTATATTACATATGTTTTGGGTCTGTTAATAGACTTTCTATTTTAAGGAATATAATTTTGAATAGTCTGTTGTTTCAAGCTTTTTACCAAAATTTTGTTTTATAAGCTGGGCACAGTGGCACATGCCTGTAGTCCCAGCTACTCAAGAGCATGAGGCGGAAGGATCACTTGAGCCCAGAAGTTTAAGTCCAGCCATGGCAACATAGCAAGACCTGTCTCTTAAAAAAAGAATAACACAAAATTTGTTTGATAGAAGTCATATTTATGCAAGATTATTTAAATGCTGTTCAGTCCATTTCCTTCTCTGAAAATTCAGAGATCTATTCTCCATACTAACCATACAGACTGTCAGCTACCTGACTCTTCCATATAATCTTAGCTTCCACATACTTATCATCAATGAGTTGTGTTATAATGTTAAACCCTTGGGTTTTCTCAAAACACACTACATAAAAGAGCCATTAGAAAATAAAACAACTAAATATATTTATTGCACGAGTATTATAGACAATGAAGTCATTATCACTCAGTATTTTCAGTGTGAATCCTCCTTGAAAAATACCCCAGAAAATTTTTGTTTATCTAGAGGAATAGTAATAGTTAGTTCTTTGAGTTTCTACTTTTATTTCTATCTTCCCTAGTATTTATTATGCTATTGTAAATGTTATATGGCAAGACACATTAAAACTTGGTGAACCTTGTCATGAAATGAATAAATAAGCTTGCTAGGGAAGTGTAGTAACCAAGAAGATGTGTTGCTCAGATCTGCTTCAAGAGAACCTATTGTATGGACCACAGTTCAGCCTCTAGCCACCAACCCCATGAACACTGAAAGCACTCTTTGCCTAAGCTGCTCCCAGCCAGTGACTGAGCAAGGCAGGGGTAGTAGTGCCTGCCCACCTGCCCCATACGGGATTCTGCTAACAAGCAACTTTTGCCTGGGGACTCTACATCTGCATGGCTGGGATTTTCTCAACTATGCTGTGGTCTGCAAGATTTCCTACCCAGCCTTTTCTTCCCGGTCTTCCTTCACAGGTATTAGACTTGCACCATATTCAAAAAGCTCTCCCTGCCTACTCCTGGCTCCCTCCCAATTGATTGTTTGTGGTTCAATAAATTTTATGCCTCTAAGTCTGTCTTGGAGGATCCACACTGACACAGGGAGCATAAGATAATTTAGTTAATTGAGGAAAGACTCAATTGCCTAGTTAAATAGAACCTGACTCCACATTCTTCATACCCAACATTATCTTTAAAATCACATGATGGCTTCTGTAGACAAGCAGATGGAAGTCAAGAAGCCCAGATGTAAAAGAAGAGATATAAGCTTTTTAAAAAAATCTAAGTATACTGTGGGCTTTTTGGCCATTTCACTTGAAAATTCAAGTACCTTTGCCTCAGGAAACAGAACTGTCTCTAAGTGAATCAACGAATTTTCCCTTGACCTATCTTGAACTGAGAAATAACAGAGACCTGGCCCGCAATGAAGACAATATAGCACCTCTATCTGGCATTTAAAATATCCTGAAGAACAAACATGTTATCGTGTTATCAGCTCAAGGCTTCTTCATCCCCATCACTGAGGAAACTCCCGACTCAAGGATATATGTTTTGCCATCTTGTGAAAGGAAACATTCGTTTCAATAGGATTTCATCTGTTGTTGTTGTTGTTGTTTTACATTTACATTTGGCCGAATTCCTCCATCATTCTATTCCAAAGGGAAAGTCTTAGGAAATTTGCCAAAGTTTCTAAACTACTGAAACACACTGAGAATGCATAAAGCATATAATGGCCAGTCATTTTATTTCAGAACCTCAAGAACTATGTACTGTGTTGTATACAGTGCTTAATATACTGTGCATGGCTAATAAATATTAAATCAATCCTTCATAACCTGTCTCTGGGACAAAAACTCTTTATTCACAAGACCAAAATATTTCTCAACCATTTCTCCAGAGAAAGAACTCTCAAATCCTTCATTTTGGCCTTACAGCTTCATACTACAAAAAGTCCTGAGGGATGAAGGCACCCGAATCACCCAAAAACTACATCAGGGCATTTCTTTTAGAGAGGTATAAATTTGCCCTGCCCTTGGTTTCACCTTCTTACAAAGTTCTGTAGTCCAGGCTAAATAATTCTTCTCTTCTTCCAATGTTAACACCCTTCAAATATTTGGGAGTGTCTCTCCTGGATCTTGTAGTTGGAATTCAGTCAACCCTGCATGCTTGAATTTGTTAACTGATCTTCATAAATTCATGTATTTATCCCCCTCAGCACTACAGTTGCTCTCAGAGCTCACCACCTTCTGTTTCTATCATGCTGACACTGTGCTAAATGTAATACTCCCGGTGGGCTCTTGCCAACTCCCTATGCCGTGGCACAATTCTTCTTTGTTAGCTGCCCAGAATAGCACTGGCTTTCCTTTGACTGCTAGATCACATTTCAAGCCCAAACCAAGTTTGTTATCTGCCATTTCTGTCAAGTCTCTCTGGCCCTCTGGGGTTTCATTTAGTTTTTTCTGTCAGATCTCTTGCATCTCCTCTTCCGCCTCTGAAACAAGAGTAGAATTGTGTCCTATTGTTAATTTCCAATGAATATTGTTCATATTTCAGCCTGACATTAGTACTAAAATGGCTGACGGCTAATTTTCATAACTGACCATTTTCTCCCCTCTCTACTGGATTCCCACCTAAGATTTTTTCCCTGTTAAACCTACACTCAAACCTATCTCCTCCTTCGAGTAACTGTTTTAAGTAAAATAAATAGGTTGTAAACTCTCCACAGTCCCTTTGGTTCAATCAACTTTTACTAATCACCCACTAGGATACAGGTGTTGTGGATAAAGGTAAATACATAGCTTTTGCCCTCAAGCAACTCACAGTCTTGTTTAAAGAAAGACATGTAAATTTACATTTATAACACAGTGTAATCACGCAATTATAGGAAAATATATAAAGGTTGGGAAAGGTGGTAACTTTAAGAATGAATAGGACTCCATCAGACCTAGGAGGAGGACATTTCAATCAGAGAGAAATTCCAGAGCAAAGGCAGAGTGCTGAACATGTGGGATGCAAGGGAAACAAATGACATGATGTTGCTGGAGTATAACAGGAAAGGCAGGAGAGAAATGGCAGCACAGGACAGTAGGGGATTAGGAAAGAACCAAGGTACTGGACCCTGAAGTGCTTTGAATTCCAAGCCAAGGAGTTTGAACTTGATCATGCAAGCAATGAGCAGACGTTATAGAAATACAAAAAGGGAAGATTACATGATCAATATTTTAGAAGAATTATTCAACATAAGTGTAGAGAAGAAAAGAGAGGGAGGAGGGACAAAAGCAAGACTGTCAGGTGTCAGCTGCAATAGTCCAGGTAAGACATAGGGTTTTTTTCAGAAGGAAAAAAATGAAGATGGCCATTTCAGCCTATCACTTACAGAGCACCAACTATGTGGTAGGTGCTGTATGATGTGCTTTCCATACTAAACTCACTTAATGGTTACCATAACCCTGTTAAATAGGCATTAGTATCTTAATCTAACAGGAGGAAACTGAGGCTCAGAGAAAACAGATAAAGCTAAAAAAAGCAGCAAATAAGCCAACCACTGAAACAGAATCAAATTTAGTAAAATGTACTCTGTACTGCCATTGTGGCTTCTAGAACCTTATTCCAGAGTACTATATCCTTAATCTGGTCACAGACAGCTTACGTTCTCTATTTCAATTCATTTATTCAGTGCCTAGAGTGTGTCCTATGTGTCCCCACCCCACTCCCATCCCAAATTCATATGTTGAAACCTAATCTCCAATGTGTTGGTATTTGGAAGTGAGGCCTTTGGGAAATGATTAGGTCATGAGGACTGAATGGGATTAGTGCCCTTATAAAAGAGAGCTGAGAGCTCTCTCATCCCTTCCACTATGCAAGGACATGGCTAGAGGATGGCTCTCTATGAACCAGGAAGTGGGCCCTAACCAGAAACTGAATCTATTGGTGCCTTGTTCTTGAACTTCCTGGTCTCCAGAACTATGAGAAATAAACTGTTGTTTTTAAGTCACCCAGTCTATGGTAGTTTGTATACAGCCTGAATGGGCTAAGACAATGTGCTAGGCAATGCACAAAAACAATTCCTACAGTCAATGAGTTTACAATCTGGTGAAAGAAAAACATAATATAATCATATAATAAAAGATTAATTAGAAATGAATAAAGAATTACACAAGAAAAAGTATAAGATATTATGAGACAGTACAGAGGAAAACCATAGTTAGACTTGAGGAGAGGAGATTTATGGGAAGACCTCTGAGAAAGTGACACATGAGACTAGAAGGGATGACTTGAAGGTGAATTTTCCTATCTACCTATTTCTATGCTGCCATCTGCTACCTCTAGTCACTCCATGTCATTTGCTGAAAACTCTTACAACTAGCTCATGACTCTGGGTCTTTGAAGTCCATGGGCATAATTTATCTAACCAGATACTTGATCTCGACTCCTTTTTAGTTATATTCTCTAATGGCTGTGCCCTGGTAACCTTGTCAGTACCTATAAATGCTACATTTCTGGAATCTAACATTCAAATACTGTATTTTATCAAATCTGCCATTAATTGGAAGACTCACCATCATTTCACATAATAGTAAAAAGAAAGTGTTACCAATTAAACTGGCATCTCAACTTTAGAAATGTTAAAATGGAAAAGAAAGTATTCCTTAAAACCAATCAACTATGGTATCTTAACTTTTATGACAACTGCTAATCCTTTTATCAATATCCCATTCTATTTTTTTCATTGTGTCTATTTGGAAATAGTTTGAACTCAACCATACCTCTGGAAACGATCCTTTTGTACTATCCCAATCTGTTTTTCTTGACTATCGCTTCTTTCTCAGGCTAGCCAAAACTCAAGGTATTATCACTTCAGTCAGTATCTGGCTAACTCCTTTGTCTGTCTGGCTGTCCACTGAAACTACACAGCAAAAAACACTGTCAACTTTCTCTGTTTCTACACCTGAGCTAAGTTCTGCTGAAGTAAGTCATTCAACCACATTGGCTGGTATTACATGAACCACACTCACGGCCAGAACACTGAGCCTCCAACAATAAGCAATAAATCTACATTGCCCAAATCCTCAATCTCCCATGCTTCTAACATTTCAAACTTCCTTCACTGTCTTCAAAACCCCAATCCTATCACCTCCTCTGTACTCCCAAAAGACAATTTTATCCCTTATTCTCTAAAAACAAAAATACAACATGAGATTTTCTTCAATTTCTGAATCCTCCCATCTGGATTGCCTACAAATTTATATCCATTCACCAGACCTCTCATTCATTCATTTCACTAATATTTATCGAACACTTACTGTGTATTAGGGACTGTTTTGGGTGGTTGTAGCAGAACAAAAATCCCTGCCCTTGTACAGCTTAGATTCTAGGAGAGAGACAATAAATATCAAACATATTAAATTATATGTTAGAAAGTGGTTAAGAGAGACAGAAGAAAGAAAAAGTACTGCAGGGTAAAAAGTAGCAAGTGCAGAAGCAGGGATTGGTGAAGAGGGTCAGGCTATAGTATTACACCTAACAGTATTAAATAAGTAGGGCTCAAGTTTAGAAACAGAAAACCTAATTTATGGGGTGATGTAAGTCTGAATAGTGGTTACATACGGGTGGGGGTGAGAGGCAGGGAGCTTCTGACAGGGAAAGAGTATACAAGAATGTTCTAGAGAGATGAGAACGTTCAATGTCTCAATGTGGATGGTGTTATATATGCTGTAGACTTAATATCTGTGTATTTTACACCTCAATTTTTTCAAATAAAAAAAGTCTAAATAGTTATAGGTAACTGTAGCAAAAAGGTAATCTTGTATATTGACCTCCTGACTAAAAACTATTAAGAACTAGAGATCTGAAGGAGTGTAGCAGAGCTGAGCATAGTGGCTCACACCTGTAATCACAGCTACTTGGGAGGCTAAGGCAGGAGGATGGACTAGGCCCAGAAATTCGAGGCTGCAGTGAGCTATGATGGCACCACTGCACACCAGCCTGAGTAACAGAGCAAAACTCCATCTCTAAAAGACAACAAAAAGAAAGAAAGAAAAGAAAATGAAGGAGGCTGGGTGCAATGGCTCATGCCTGTAATCCCAGCACTTTGGGAGGCTGAAGCAGGAGGATCACTTGAATCCAGTAGTTGAAGACTAGCCTGGGCAACACAGGGAGACCCTGTATCTACAAAAAAATTTCAGAATTAGCCAGGCATGGTGGTGAACGCTTGTGGTCCCAGCTACTCAGGAGGTTGAGCTGAGAGAATCACTTAAGCCCAACAGGTAGAGACTACAGTGAGCCGTGATCACGCCACTGCACTCCAGCCTGGTCCCAGCTACTCAGGAGGCTGAGGTGGGAGGACTGCCTGAGCCCAAGAGGTCGAGGCTACAGTGAGCTGTGACTGCACCACTGTACTCCAGCCTGGGGCAATGACAAGAGCGAAACGTTGTCTCCAAAAGAAGAAGAAAAAAAAGAGTGTAGCAGAATGAACAAGGAGAAATATAAGTAAGAGTTCATAGTTTAATATAATTATAGTCAATTTTAAGGCCGTTGCCTTTCATTATCCATGACATGAGAAGCCACTGCAAGAGTCAGAACCTAACAGTGACATGATCTGACATAGGTTTTAACAAGTTCCCTCCAGCTATAAACTGAAAACAGACGACGGAAACAGCAATAAAGAAGCAGAGACCATCTGGAAGGCTATGCAATAATCCACGTAAGATGTGACAGTGTGGCTTAGACCAAAGTGGTGAGAAGTGGTTAGACTATGAATATATTGAAAGTAGAGCCAAAAGGATTTGCTGACAGATTAGTATTAGAGAGGGTAGTCAACAATGACAATAGGACTTTCTGCCCAAGTTGCTGGCGCGGTGGGGGGTGGGGTTAAGACCAGAGTGTAGAAGAAGTAAGTTTCAGAGGAATTCAGTTTTGACATGCTAAGTTTTGAAATGTTTACAGACACCTGAGAGAACATATAAAGATGGCAGTTAGAGATGCAAGTCTGGAATTCAGGAGAGTTTGGGACTTGTCAGCATTTAGGTTAGATGATATTTAAAACCACAGGAATAGGTACGATCACCATGACAGAAAAGAGATGAACTTATTCAAGGACTGGCCCCATGGCATCCCATATTAATAGGTCTCTTACTGTATAAGATATCCTGTTTCTATGTAAATAAGGCCAATCGTCCTATTCATGCTTTGAATCATGTTCCTTTCTTTCTTTTCAAGGACTTCAGTCCATTTTTATTCCCTTCTTCTTCCAATCTTGCTTTCTTCCTCTCCAAACTCTCTTCCATAGGCACCTAAACATATTCAAGTCTGTCGTACATTTTTTTTTTTTTTTGAGACAGGGTTTCACTCTTGCCCAGGCTGGAGTGCAGTGGTGTGATCTTGGCTCACTACAACCTCTGTTTCCTGGGCTCAAACAATTCTCTAGCCTCAGCCTCCTGAGTAGCTGGGACTGCAGGTGTGAGCCACCACACCTGGCTAATTGTAATTTTTGTAGAAACAGGGTTTCACCATGTTGCCCAGGCTGGACTCAAACTCCTGAGCTCAAAGTGATATGCCCACATCAGCCTCCCAAAGTGCTAGAATTACAAGCATGACCCACCACGCCTGGCCCATCAAGTCTGTTATATACTGCTTTAAAAAACATTTTCCCTAGAGCTTGCAACCCTCTCCAGCAACTCTAACTCCCTTATTCTTCACAGTCAATATTTTCAAAACAGTTTTCTACCCCAGCTTGTTTTGCTTCCCTACAAATAATGTCTCTCACCAGTGCAATTTAACCTTACCAACTATCCTAACACTTCACTGCTTTGCTGCTAAATTCAGTGAATTATTTTCAATACTGATTTTATTTTACATCTGTATAGCATTTAACACTTAATTCCCCTCCTTCTTAAAAACTCTCTTCTTTTTGGAATACCACACTCTCCTGGCTTTCTCCTTCAACCCTGGCTTCTAATTTCCTTCATTATCTTTTCCTTCACCAATTCCCTCAAATGTTGATGTCCATTGGGGTCCATTCTCAGCCTTGTCTCCATCACTTCATATAAACTCCCTGGTGATTCCACTGAAAGAATGAATGATTTGACAGGAGATCCTTGGTGATCTTAGCAAGCATGGTTTCAGAGAAAAGGTGACCATAAATGCTCTATTACCAAACAGAAAATGAAATGATAAATCTAAAAGAGTATATATAGATAGGATTAGAGATTTATGGGGTCTATTTTGTCATCTTTTTTCTTTTTTTTAAATGGGAATGAAGTTAATGGAGAGGGAAAGACTGAAGATCAAGGATATAAATGATGTTATTAAGTCACCAAGGAGGTGGATGAGATGGTATCAAGAATCATATATTTAGACAGATGTCACAACTATCTAAAATGGGAAGAGCTAAACCTCTTCCTCTGGGACAGAAAGGAAAAAGGTAAAAATGAGGTCAAACAGAGACATGTAATGAGAAAGTCAGAAGGAAGTTGAAAGAGTTCACAAGAGAAAGCCTAAACTTTTTGGTGTCCCAGATCCAAGGTGGGTTGTATGACAATGAGACAGAGATTAGGAAGGGGTCTGAGATGAGTAGAAGTCTGTAACAGCTGCTGAAGGAAAAGGCAAAGGGAACCAACCAACGTAAAATTAAAAAAAAAAATGGTGACTGGTAAAGAGAACTCAAATGAGATTGGAATTTAGAGACATGAGCTTAGAGAGGCAGCAATTCCATAACTTTATAGCACTCAGTTTTTAAGGCACAGGCAGAAACAGAGAAGGCAGACTGTAAAATTGATCCAGGAATGCGGGGGCTGGCAGCGGACAAGAACCAAAAGAATAGAAGATATTTATATGTGACAAACTAAAATGATGAACCATTTGTAACCATAAATTTTCTTTTCTTTCATTTATTTATTTTGAGACAAGGTCTTGCTCTGTTGCCCAGGCTGGAGTGCAGTGGTGTGATCACATCTCACTGCAGCCTCAAACTCCTAGGCTCAAGTGATCCTCTCACCTTAACCTCCCACGTAGCTGGGACTACAGGCATGTACCTACCACACCCAGCTAATTTTTAAACTTTTTGTAGAGATGGAATCTCACTATGTTTTCTAGACTGATCTCAAACTCTTAGCCTCAAGTGATCCTCCCATCTTGGCCTCCCAAAGTGCTGGGATTACAGGTGTGAGCCACTGTACCTGACATAACCATAATTTTTGTTGTTGTTTTGAGACGAAGTCTTGCTCTGTCGCCCAGGCTAGAGTGCAGTGGCATGATCTCAGCTCACTGCAACCTCCACCTCCTGGGTTCAAGTGATTCTCCTGACTCAGCCTCCCAAGTAGCTGGGATTACAGGTGCCCGCCGCCACGCCCGGCTAATTTTTGTATTTTTAGTAGAGACGGGGTTTCACCATGTTGGCCAGGCTGGTCTCGAACTCCTGACTTCAGGTGATCTGCCTGGTCTCAGCCTCCCAAAGTGCTGGGATTACAGACATGAGCCACTGTGCCCAGCCCATAACCATAAATATTTTTAATTCAATGTTTTAAAATAGTTATCTTCCAAAATAGACTAAGAACCACCACATGACCACAGTGACATCACACTGAAATTATAATGAATGATCCATACCATGCTGCCCAGATCATGTGGCCCAGGGCACCCAATACCAACCCCACATGCTCCTCACTATAGCAAATTATTCTTCAGTTGTAATGATAGTTTCTTTTTTGAAACTGTCTTAGAATAATTCTACTATCTGAATGTTTCTGTTTTTTAAATGAACATAAAGAATCTTCTCCTGAGAAGACATGGAGTAAGATAGCTGAATAGAAGTCTCCACTGATCATCCTCCCTGCAGGAACACCAAATTTAACAACTATCTACACAAAAAAAGCACCTTCAATTAGAATCAAAATCATGTGAGCAATCACAGTACCTGGTTTTAACTACATATCACTGAAAGAGGTACTGAAAAAGGCAGGAAAAACAATCTTGAAATGCAACAACACCCCTCTCCCATCCCCTGGCAGCACCCACATGGGCAATCTGTATGCTGTGGCAGGGAGAGCTCAGTGATTGTGCAACTTTGCATTGGAACTCAGTGCTGGCAACACCAGACAGGACTCAGCAGGTACCCACAGAGGGAGCATTCAGAAAAGCCCTAGCCAGAGGGGAATCACCCAACCCAGCAGTCATATCTGTAACTTCCATAAGGCCTGCTACCATGGGCTAAAGTGCTCTGGGGTTCTAAGTAAACTTGAAAGGCTGTCTAGGCCACTAGGACTACAACTCCTGGGCAAGTCCTAGTGCTGTGCTGGGCTTGGAGCCAGGGGACTTGAGGGGCACATAACTTAGTGAGATGTCAGCCAGGGTGGCTAAGGGAGTGCTTGCGTCACCCCTCCCTCAACCCAAGGCAGTGCAGCTTGAAGCTCCCAGCTTCAGAAGAGACCCCTTTCTTCTGCTTGAGGAGAGGAGAAGGAAGAGTAAAGAGGATGTTGTTTTACAACTTAGATACCAGTTCAGCCACAGTAGGAAAGAGCACCAGGCAGGATCATAAGGTCCCATTCCAGGCCCTAGCTCCCGGACATTTCTAGACATATCTTAGGCCAGAAGGGAAACAGTCCTGGCAGGATTCATCACCTGCTGACTAAACAGCCCTTGGGCTCTAAATAATCAGCAGCGGCAACCAGCTAGGACCTGCCATGGGTCTTAGGTAAGACTCTTGAGCCATGCTGACTTCAGGTGTGTCCCAGCAAATTCACGACTGTGTTGGCTATGAGGAGAGAATCCTTCTGCTTGAGAAATGGAGAGGAAAGAATAAAGGAGACTTTGTCTTGCAGCTTAGGTACCAGTTCAGTCAAAGTGGGGAAGAGTACCAAACAGGCTCTTGGGGTCCCTGATTCCAGGCCTTGGCTCTTGCATTGCATTTCTAGACCTACCCTGAGCCAGAGGGGAGCCCACTGCCCTGAAGGGTGAGTTCTAGGCCTGGCAGCATTCACCACAAGCTGACTGAAGAGCCCTTGGGCCTTAAGTGAACATCAGTGGTGCCCTGGTACTCATAGGCCTGTGGTGGTGGTGGTGGACATGGGAAGAGACTCCTCTGCCTGGGGAAAGGGTAGGGAAGAATAGGAAGGATTTGTCTTGTGGTTTCACTGCCAGCATAGCTGCAATGGAATAGGGCACCAAGTAGATTTCTTTCTAAGGTTTCCAACTCCAAGCGCTGGCTCCTGAACAGCATCTCTGGACTTGCCCAGGGCCCAAGGGAACTTGCCACCCTGAAGGGAAAGGCACAAGACTAGCTGGCTTCACTACCTGCTGACTGTAGAGCCCTAAGGCCTTGAGTGAACATACGCAGCAGCCAGGTAGTGGTCACAGCACCCCCTGGACAAGATTCAACACTTTACTGGCTTCAGGACTGACCCAATGCGTCCCAGTGTTGGTGGCCACAGGGCTGCTTGTGTTACCTCACCCCTAGGTCCAGGCAGTTCAGCACAGAGACAGAGAGAGACTCCGTTTGTTTGGAAGAAAGTAAGGTAACAAGAGTCTCTGCCTGGTAATCCAGAGAATTCATCTGGATCTTACCCAAGACCATCGAGGTGATACCTCTACGAGTCTGTATGAACTACAGCATTACTGGGTTTGGGGTGCCACTTAATGCAGATATGGCTGCAGTGACCAAAAACAGATCTCAACACCCAAGTCCCTTTGAATATCTGGAAAGCCTTCCCAAGAAGCACAGGTACAAATAAGCCCAGATTGCTAAGAAGTCAACAAATACCCAACTCTTCAATGCCCAGACACTGACAAACATCCACAAGCATCAAGACCAGGAGGAAAACATGATCTGACCAAACAAACAAAGTTAGGCATCAGAGGCCAATCTCAGAGAAACAGAGATATGTGACCTTTCAGACAGAATTCAAAATAACTGTTTTGAGGAAACTCAAAGAAATTCGAGATGACATAAGAAAGAATTCAGAATCTTATCAGATAAACTTAACGATGAAATTGAAATAATTAAAAAAAGAATAAAGCAGAAATTCTGTAGTGGAAAAATACAATTGACACACTGAAGAATGCATCAGAGTCTCTTAATAGCAGAATTGCTCAAGCAGAAGAACTGTGAGCCTGAAGACAGGCTATTTGAAAACACACACCCAGAGGAGACAAAAGAAAAAAGAATACAAAAGAATAAAGCACACCGACAAGATCTAGAACATAGCCTCAAAAGGGCAAATATAAGAGTTATTGGCCTTAAAGAGAAGGTAGAGACAGACATAGAAAGTACATTCAAAGGGATAACAATAGAGAACTTCCCAAGCCTAGAGAAAGATATCAGTATTCAAGTACAAGAAGGTTCTAGAACACCAAGCAGATTTAATCCAAGGACGACTACCTCAAAGCACTTAATATCCAAACTCCCAAAGGTCAAGGATAGAGAAAGGATCCTAAAAGCAGGAAGAGAAAAGAAACAACATACAATGGAGCTCCAAATACATCTGCCAGCAGACCTCTCAGTGGAAACCTTACAGGCCAGGAGAGAGTGGCATGACATATTTAAAGTGTTGAAGGAAAAATCTTTTATCCTAGAACAGTATATCCAGTGAAAATATGCTTCAAACATGAAGGAGAAATAAAGACTTTCCCAGACATACAAAAGCTAAAGGATTTCATCAACACCAGACCTGTCTTATACGAAACACTAAAGTGAGTTCTTCAATCTGAAAGAAGAGGATGCTAATGATCAATAAGAAATCATCTGAAGGTATAAAACTCACTGGTAATAGTACACAGAAGAACACAGATTCAAGTGTTTTTGAACTTAGGTAATTGTGGTATGTAAACTCATATTTCAGAAGAAAGATGAACTGATCAAAAATAATAACTACAACTTTTCAAGACACAGTACAATAAGATATAAATAGAAACAACAAAAAATTAGAAAGTGGGGGGTATGAAGTTAAAGTATAAAGTGTTTTTTTTTGTTTGTTTGTTTGTTTTTGAGATGGATTATTGCTCTGTCACCCAGACTGGAGTCCAGTGGCACGATTTCAGTTCACTGCAACCTCTGCCTCCCGGATTCAAGCGATTCTGCTGCCTCAGCCTCCCAAGTAGCTGGGACTACAGGCACGTGCCACCATGCTCAGCTAATTTTTGTATTTTTAGTAGAGACGGGGTTTCACCTTGTTGACCAAGATGGTCTCAATCTCTTGACCTCGTGATCTGCCCGCCTCGGCCTCCCAAAGTGCTGGGATTACAGGCATGAGCCACCATGCCCGGCCTAAGTATAAAGTTTTTATTAGTTTTTTTGCTTGTCTGTTTATACAATCGGTGTTGTCATCAGTTTAAAATAATGGGTTATAAGATATTATTTGCAAACTTCATGGTAACCACAAATCTAAAAACATATAGTGGATATGCAAAAAATAAAAAGGGAGAAATTAAAACATACCACCAGAGAAAATCACATCCACTAAAAGGAAAATAGGAAGGAAGAAAAGAAGAAAGAGAAGACCAAAAAAAAAACCAGAAAACAAATAAAATGGCAGGAGTAAGTCCCTACTTATTAATAATAACATTGAATGTAAATGGACTAAACTCCCCAATCAAAAGACATAGAGTGGCTGAATGGATAAAAAAGCAAGATTCAATGATCTGTTGCCTACAAGAAACACACTTCACCTTTAAAGAAACATATAGAGTGAAAATGAAAGGATGAAAAAAAATATTCCATATCAATGGAAACCAAAAAAGAGCAAGACTAACTGTATTTGTATCAGACAAAATAGATTTCAAGACAAAAACTACAAAAAGAGACAGAAAAAGGTCATTATATAATGATAAAGGGGTTAATTCAGCAAGAAGATGTAGCCATTTTAAATATATATGTACCCAACACTGGAGCACCCAGATATATAAAGGAAGTATTATTAGAGCTAAATAGATAAGACTCCAAAACAATAGCTAGCTAGAGACTTCAACATCCCATTTTCAGCATCGGACAGATCATCCAGACAGAAAATCAACAAAGAAACACTGGACTTAATCTGCACTACAAACCAAATGGACCTAATAGATATTTACAGAACATTTCATCCAATGGCTGCAAAATACACATTCTTCTCCTCAGTACATGGATCATTCTCAAGGACAGATTATATGTTAGGTCACAAGACAAGTCTTAAAACACTCAAAAAACTGAAGTAATATCAAGCATTTTCTGACCACAATGGAATAAAACTAGAAATCAATAACAAGAATTTTGGAAATGGTACAAACATGAAGGAATTTCTTGAAACAAATGATAATGGAAACATAACATACCCAAACCTATGGGATACAGCTAAAGCAGTACTAAGAGGGAAGTTTGTTTGTTTATTTATTTATTTTTATTTTATTTTTTATTTTTTGAGACAGTCTTGTGTCAGCTCAATGCAACCTCCAGCTCCCAGGTTCAAGTGAGTCTTGCGCCTCAGCCTCCTGAGTAGCTGGGATTACAGGCATGCACCACCAATGCCCGACTAATTTTTTGTATTTTTAGTAGAGACAGGGTTTCACCATGTTGCCTAGGCTGGTCTGGAACTCCTGAGCTCAGGCAATTCACCCGCCTCAGCCTCCCAAAGTGCTATGATTACAGGTGTGAGCCACCACACCCAGCCAAAGAGGGAAGTTTATAGCTATAAGTTCCTATATCAAAAAAGTAGAAACGCATCAAATAAATAGCCTAACAATGCATCTTAAATAAGTAGAAAAGCAAGACCCAACCAAACCCAAAGTTAGTAGAAAATAAATAAAGATCAGAGGAGAAATAAATGAAGTTGAAATGAAGAAAACAATACAAAATATCAACAAAATAAAAAATTGTTTCTTTGAAAAGATAAATGAAATTGACAAACCTTTAGCCAGACTAAGAAAAAACATGAGAAGACCAAAATAAAATCAGAGATGAAAAAGAAGACATTACAGCTGATACTGTAGAAACTCAAAGGACCATTTGAGGCTACTATGAGCAATTATATGCCAATAAATTGGAAAACCTAGAAGAAATGGATAAATTTCTTGACACATACAACCTCCCAAAATTGAATCATGAAGAAACCTAAAACCTAAACAGATCAATAACAAGTAGCAAGATCAAAGTCAAAGTTAAAAATCTCTCAGTCGGCCAGGCATGGTGGCTTATGCCTGTAATCCCAGCACTTTCGGAGGCCAAGGCGGGCAGATCACCTGAGGTTGGGAGTTCGAGACCAGCCTGACCAACATGGAGAAACCAGTCTCTACTAAAAATACAAAATTAACCGGGTGTGGTGGCGGATGCCTATAATCGCAGCTACTTGGGAGGCTGAAGCAGGGGAATTACTTGAACCCCGGAGGCAGAGGTTGCGGTGAGCCAAGATCACGTCATTGCACTCCAGCCTGGGCAACAAGAGTGAAAGTCCATCTCAAAAAACAAAGAAGTATCCCAGCAAAGAAAAGCTTGGGACCCAATGGCTTCACTGCTGAATTTTACCAAACATTTAAAGAAGAACTAACACCAATCTTACTCAAACAATTCCAAAAAATGGAGGTGGAAGGAATACTTCCAAACTCATTCTATGAGACCAGTATTACCCTGATACCAAAATCAGAAAAAGACACACCAAAAAAAGAAAACTACAGGCTCTGATGAACATTTATGTAAAAATCCTCAACAAATACTAACAAATCAAATTCAACAACACATTAAAAAGATCATTCATCATGATCAAGTGAGATGTATCCCAAGGATATAAGGATGGATCAACATACACCAATCAATCAATGTGATACAGCCTATCATCAGAGTGAAGGACAAGAACCATATGATCATTTCAACTGATGCTGAAAAAGCATTTGATAAAATTCAACATCACTTCATGATAAAAACCCTAAAAATAACTGAGTATAGAAGAAACATACCTCAGCATAATAAAACATATACAACAACCCACAGCCAGTATCATACTGAATGGGGAAAAACTGAAAGCCTTTCCTCTAAGATTTAGAACATGACAACAATGCCCACTTTCACCACTATGATCCAATATAGTACTGGAAGTCCTAGCTAGAGCAATGAGTCAAGAGAAAGATATAAGGGCACTCAAACTGGAAAGGAAGAAGTCACATTATCCTTGTTTGTAGATGATATGACCTTATATTTGGAAAAACCTAAAGACGCCACCAAAAACCTATTAGAACTGATAAGCAAATTCAGTAAAATCAACACACAAAAGTCACTAGCATTTCTATATACCAACAGCAAGTAATCCGAAAAAGAAATCAAGGAAGTAACGCCATTTATAATAACTACAGATAAAATTAAATACCTAGGAATTAACCAAATAAGTGAAATATATCTACAATGAAAACTATAAAACACTGATGCAAGACATTGAAAAGAATACCCCCTGCACCAAGAAAAAGACATTCCATGTCCACGGATTGGAACAATCAATATTGTAAAAATGTCCATCCTACCTAAAGCAGAATCAGTGTAATAATAGGGATTGCACTGAATCTATAGATTCCAAATCCCAATAACATTCTTCACAGAAATAGAAAAAAAAAATCCTAAAATTTATATAGAACTACAAAAGTGACAGAATAGTCAAAGCTATCATGGGCAAAAAGAACAAAACTGAAGGAATAACACGACCTGACTTCAAATTATACTACAGAGCTACAGTAACCAAAACAGCATGGTACTGGCATAAAAACAGACACATAGACCAATGGAACAGAATAGAGAACCCAGAAACAAATCCATACATCTACAGTGAACTCATTTTTGACAAACATGCCAAAACTATACATTGGGGAAAGAACAGTCTCTTCAATAAACGGTGCTGGGAAAACTGGATATCCATATGCAGAAGAATAAAACTAGACCTCTATCTCTCACATATACAAAAATCAAATAAAAATAGATTAAAGATTTAAATCTAAGACCTCAAACTATGCAACTACCAAAAGAAAACATTGGGGAAACTCTCCAGGACATTGGAGTGGGCAAAGATTTCTTGAGTAAATACCCCACAAGCACAGGAACCAAAGCAAAAATGGACAAATCAGATCACATCAAGTTAAAAAGCTTCTACACAGCAAAGGAAACAACCAACAAAGTGAAGACACAACCCACAGAATGGGAGAAAGTATTTGCAAACTATCCATCTGACAAAGGATTAATAACCATAATATATAAGGAGCTCAAACAACCCTATGGAAACAAAATCTAATAATTCAATTAAAAAATGGGCAAAAGATCTGAATAGATATTTCTCAAAAGACATACAAATGGCAAACAGGTGTATGAAAAGATGCTCAAGGCCAGGTGCAGTGGCTCACACCTATAATCCTAGCACTTAGGGAGGCCAAGGTGGGCAGATCAGTTGAGGTCAGGAGTTTGAGATCAGCCTGGCCAACATGGTGAAACCACATCTTCACTAAAAATACAAAAATTATTCAGATTTGTAATCCCAACTACTTGGCAGGCCAAGGCAGGAGAATCCCTTACCCAGGAGGTGGAGATTGCAGTGAGCTGAGATTGTGCCACTGCGCTCCAGCCTGGGCGACAGAGTGAGACTCCATCTCAAAAAAACATAGAAAAACTACAATGAAATATCTTGCCACAGCTGAAATGGCGTATATCCAAAAGACAGGCAATAACAAATGCTGGCAAGGATATGGAGAAAAGGAAACCCTCATACACTATGAAGAACAATTTAGAGACTCCTCAAAAAATTAAAAATAAAACCACCATATAATCCAGCAATCCCACTGTTGGACATATATTCAAAAGAAAGGAAGTCAGTATATTGAAGAGATATCTGCACTCCCATGTTTGTTGTAGCACTGTTCACAACAGCCAGTATTTGGAAGCAACCTAAGTGTCCATCAACAGACGAATAGATTTTTTTAAATGTGGTACATATAAGCAATGGAGTACTATTCAGCCATAAAAAAGAATGAGATCCTGTCATTTGCAACAACATGAATCAAAGTAGATATCCTTATGTTAAGTGAAATAAGCCAGGCACAGAAAGACAAACTTTGCATATTCTCACCTATTTCTGGGAGATAAAAATTAAAAGAATTGAACTCATGGAGATAGAGAGTAGAATGATGGTTACCAAAGGTTGGGAAGGGTAGTGAGGAGGCTGGGGGGGAGGCGGGGATGGCTCATGGGTACAAAAAACCAGGAAGAATGAATAAGATCTGGTATCTGATAGCACAACAGGGTAACTATAGTCAATAATAATTTAATTGTACATTTTAAAATAACTAAAAGAGTATAATAGGATTGTAATATGATAAATGGTTGAGTTGATAGATACCCTCATTTACCTTGATGTAATTATTGCGCAACATATGCCTGTATCAAATATTCCATAAACTCCATAAATATATGCACCTACTATGTACCCACGAAAATTAAAAATTTTAAATAAATAAAAAAATTTTTCAAGTTTTCTCCTGTATGTATAAAATTTCCAGGCTGGTCTCAAAAATTTTAAAAAGAGTCTTCTCCTTTAAAAAATTATTTCAGTGTTTTGAACTTAAATTATCTAAACCGTGGGTATATAATCAAACCACAACAGGTCATGATCCTACATGTGTGGGTAAAGAATCATCTTCCACATATACAAAGTTCTGTACTTCTATGCCATGTGGTTGGTGATGAGATGGAACAGGTACAACACCCCTCTGACAAGTTTTCTTTGTTACGGAAGTACTCCTAAAAGTTGGAATCTGGCTGGGCGTGATGGCTCATGCCTGTAATCCCAGCACTTTGGGAGGCCAAGGCGGGTGGATCACGAGGTAAGGAGATCGACACCATCCTAGCTAACATGGTGAAACCCTGTCTCTACTAAAAATACAAAAAATTAGCACGGCGTGGTGGCGGGTGCCTGTAGTCCCACCTACTCGGGAGGCTGAGGCAGGAGAATGGCGTGAACCCGGGAGGCGGAGCTTGCAGTGAGCCGAGATCGCGCCACTGCACTCCAGCCTGGGGGACAGAGCGAGACTCCATCTCAAAAAAAAAAAAAAAAAAAAAAAAAAAAAAAAAAAAAAAAAACAAGTTGGACTCTCCCACCTCAGCCTCCTGAATAGTTGAAACTACAGGTGAGCCACTATGCCCGGATAGTTTTTTGTTTTTTTTTTTTTGGTAGAGGAGGGGACTTGCTATGGTTCCCAGGCTGCTCTCAAACTCCCAGCCTCAAGCGATCTTCCCATGGGATCACAGACATGGACTACCATGCCCCATAGTTTCTACATTTTTAAATGGTTGAAAAATTTCCAGTCTGTCCCTGATTCTCCCCCCAAAAATGTCAAAAAATTTAAAAAAGAACAATATATCATGGCACATGGAAATTGTATCAAATTCAAATTTTTGGTTTCCATTAAGTATTTTTGGAACTCATTCATTTATGTATTGCCTATATACTTTTTTTCGCTACAATAACAGGTTTGAGTAGTTACAACAAAAAACATATAGCCTGCAAAGCCTAAAACACTTACCATCTGAGCCTTTACAGAAAAAGCTTGCCTACCTTTAGACCAAGAAAAGTTTTATTTTATTGTATAATTCAGTAATGATTGTGATAATTATTTCCAAACAGGCAAAAGAGGTGAAACTAACAGCAATTTGGAAAATAATGACCTTAATTATAAATAACAAAGCTTAAACAGTTTAATATAATACATAAAATAGACAAATCACTTGGTAGAATGACAAATATCAAACAAACACTGCAAATGTGCTGCTTTGGTTTGGTTCTTGTAAGGCCTTACGTTGCTTCTTTTCCATTATCCCCCAAGCAAAGTTTAGGAAAAAACTCCAAAATCCTTCTGGGAATTTTAGGAAAAGCTACATAGAGGTATTTTAGTCACTACAACCCTGCCTAAGTACTTTCCATAGCTGTTATATGTTTCAAGAAAACAAAACAAAAAACCAGGTGTCCTCATGAAATGCCAAGTGAATTGCGGCCAGCAGGTGGAGACAGTTTCTAATCAAAGCAGAGAAGCAAAATTTGATACCAGTTGTAACGGAAATTTAAACTATCTTCATATCCTTACCTTGAAATATTTAGTTAACTAGATAAGACAAAGTGATTTTCTCCTTCCCTTGTTCAACAATAAAACCAGGCTACCTTGTATTTCCTAAATCAGATTTCACTAAGGAATCAGAAATAGGCTGGCTGGTGAATACCCCACTCCCTATATAATATGAACCTAATTTATAAGTTTTTCCTCTCTTGCCATTAGAAAAGGAATATTTTCTGATCGTTTTCTCTCAATGAGGTTAGAGTCTTTCCTATCAAATTAAACCACAGGCTTTCTTGTCTATAGTTACCCTCTAGCTATCTGATTATATAAACTGGGAATGACTATTTCAGCAGGTAATGATTTGTTTATTTGGAGACAGGATCTCGCTGTCACCCAAGCTGGAATGCAGGGGCAGGATCATGGCTCACTGCAGCCTCAACCTCCCCAGCTCAAGCAATCCTCCCACCTAAGACTCCTGAGTAGCTGACACTATTAGTGGATTAGTCCACCACCATGTCGGGCTAATTTTTAATTTTTTTTAGAGACTGGCTCTCCCTATGTTGTCCAGGCTGGTCTCAAACTCCCAGGTTCAAAGGATCTTCCCATGCCTTGGCCTCCCAAAGTGCTGGGATTACAAGCATGAGCCACTGCATCCAGCCAGGTAATGATTTTGATTACAGCTCTCAATTACCCTATCAAACACCATATACTTTCACTCATTAAAAAAAAATTCTTCTCAAAAATTTTTCTCATTTTATAAACAAGAAAAAAGTTACTTTTCCATACTACAAATGACAGGAATAGAATGGTGGTTCCAACTTCGGGACCCGTAGTCCAGAGCTACGTAGAAATTTCTAGCAGTCTATAGGAGGAAGGAGACCAATTAGGTCTCAAGCAAAGGCATTCTAAATTTCCTATCTCAACATGTGACACTTCTGCTCCCCAAGCACCAGTGCTCTGGAGCTGTTCGCTAGTTTTCCAAAGCTCCCAACAGTCGCTTCTCCCTTGGGGCCTGTCTACCCTATGCTTTTTCAGTACCTTTAATTTCAGCAGTATGCACAACTCAGCCCGGTCCTAAGATGAAGTTTACTTCAAAGCAAAGCATACTAGAGTGCAAAGGACTCACAGGCAACCACTGACACCATCATTAACCAGGGGACATAGCACTACAAAAAATTTGTAATTGGAATAAACAGTGATGTTTTCAGAAATTCCTCCTCTTTGGAGCAGCCACCTCTCTACAATCCTTTTACCTTTCACATCCCCAATCACCCTACTTAAAGTCACACAATGTGCCAAGGCTACAATAGATCAGTGTGCATGTGTACACACAGTCTTCACAAGTTGGCTACCCACTTCAGAAAGGTTGACATATATTAAATCTCAAAAAGAATATAAACTTTAAGCTTCCGAAAACTCTAACTCACCAAGCAAGGGTAAGGACTCCAACTGAGCCAATTTAGTTTAATTCTCCTTTATAAGGCTATTTTCAGAAACCATTTGAGTATTGTTTTAAACTACCTAGTATCAGAATGTCCTGAAATTTTTACTTAATTTACCTTCCAGATTATGTGAAAAATAGGTATAAGCATCCTAACCTTTCCATTTTAATAAACCAGGCATTTACTCTCTATCAACTGCATGGACCATTCTAGGAAGCCAAAATTTCTTATTTATTTTTATTTTTTAGAGACAGGGTCTCACTCTGTCAACCAGGATAGAGTACAGTGACATGATCATAGCTCACTGTAGCCTTGAACTCCTGGGCTGAAGGGATCCTCCTACGTCAGCCTCCCAAGTAGCTGGACTACAGGCATGTGTTACATGCCCAACTAATTTTTTAATTTTTTTAAGTAGAGATGGGGTCTCAGTATGTTGCCCAGGCTGGTCTTGAACCCCTCAGCTTGAGTGATCCTCCCACCTCAGTCTCCCAAAGTGCTGCGATTATAGGCGTGAGCCACCATACCTGGCCCCAAAATATTTAAATCCAATGAATGCCAACATAACACCAGAAAATAATTTTGTCTTTCTTCCCCTGATGTTTGTGATTCTTTGGGAAAGTACTTAATTGGAAGAAAAGTCTGTGGTTGATGGAATATTAAGGTGTACAGAGGTTACTCACTGGCTCCCTTTATGCAACCTCTCTTCTACTCTTCCTATTATTTCCTTGATTTTTTACTTCCATCTAAATGTGTTTTCTCCTAAATATAGTGATAAGAATTTTAAGTAACTATCATAGGGGTAATCCTACATGATTCCTCCAAAATGAGACTCATCTAATCACACTTCTAAAGTCTCCAATGAGTTGGAATAACACATACTGGAATGGGGATTGAAGCAGCGAAGGCAAGTGGCTGTCTACAGTACTAAGATTCCAAGATCTAAAACCAGCTATATATTTATCCAAAATCTATTTAGCAAATAAAGGTAACAGTATAAACGCAGAGAAGCTTTAGAGAAACTAATCTATTTTTATCCTGACTTTGGCCAAATTACTTAAACCAGTGGCTTTAATTCTGCATATATACGAACAACTCCCCAGCAAAGTCAGCAACTGTTGGAAGAATAAAGGATTAAGATCTTCCTAATTAGAGACATTTGAGTTCTACTAAGAGCATGCATTAACCCTCTGAGGATGCCTGTAGTTTCAGAAACTCAAATGTTTTAAGTAGTTTCTCTGGCCATTCACGGCCTTCACTGTAAGACAATAATTAGGCATAAATTTACAATCATTTTTATTACATATTCATATCCTTACTGCACACCTACTGTATGTTGATTGTTGACCTTTAGTTTTATTTTTCTATATTATAAAGTACTTGAGTCAGCTCACTAACAAAGGTGTGGAGAAATACCAAATAATGACTAGATGGGGTCTCAGTTCTACAGTCTATACAATGGTCTCCTACTGCCTATTTTTTCAGCTTTCAGAGTCTAGGCTTCTCTTCAAGATGCTATGAACTTGTTGAAGACTATTCCCTGAACTTAAACCAGTTCCACTACTCTGTTCTCAGTCTAGGGACACAGACTGACTCATACGTAACATTTTTAAAGCTGCTGCTCAGCAATGCACATCCCTCAGAAAACCTTAATCATAGAGAATTTAGTTAAATCCTTTAAAACCAGATTGCTCTGGCTTCACAGAACCAGCCTGGCTGCTCAGCTTCAATTCCCCGGAGAGAAGAGAGAAGCTCTACTCTATTATGAAACCAGCTTGCCTAATCAAATTCCCTTTCAGAGAAAGAGGTCAAGGAGAATAACTCCTGTGCCATTTTTCAATTCTTCCTTCCAAGAAATGACTGTGATTGACAGATGCTATTTCTTTGAGTTCCAATGGCCTACTGCCAAGATCAACTAATTGTTTCTTGGTTAAAAGAATGGTACCAATCCATCAAGCCACACAACTCCTGAGAACCACATTACTTAATACTTTACATTGGTAAAGTTTTATCATTTTCAAAGCCAGCAAACACACATTCAACACACCCCACTGGGAAGGCAGAATAGATATTATTAACATCTTCATTTTTACAGACTGGAAAACTACAACAAAGGCAACATATGACTTATCCAGGGTACACGTTAATAGTGGATCTAAAATTCTAATTTATGAAGTTATAGTCCCAGGATTTTTCTATACATCACATATTGCAATCTCCTTAACACGTCTACTAATCTCAATACCTGCCCCATCTTATTAAAATATTTGCTAATAAAAGATATCCTGTTCAGATGAACAGCTACAGTGTTGTGGTGGATATAGATTAACATGGTGTAGTAGAAAGAGAGATATTTAGAGACCGATATGGATTCAGATTACACTCTTGCCACTTAAGGTGTGTGACTTATGGTAAATTGATAACTGGCTTCAATTGCTGTATCAGAAAAATTGATATACCATCTACCTCACAGAATTCTAAGAATTAAATGAGTTAATACATCAAATTCCTAATACTAACAGGCATGTAAGTGTTAATTTCCTTCTCTGGAATAGTTCTTAAACAGACCAACAGCCTCTAGAGAGTCTAACCCTTCTGATTTCAATGACCCCTAAAAATTAAGGGACAAGAATCAAGGAAATTGAAGCATTAACACTTTCCTGGCACTTCCGTCAGACATGTGGGATTTTTTGGCATCAATCTAAAGAGAGCTTTTAGAGATGCAGTCAAACCAATTAAGAAAAAAATAGGAAAAGGCAAATGTGTCCAAATAAATAACATTCATCATAGGTACACAAAGTAATTGTTCTACCAACTAAACATATATTTAAATGCCAGCTAGAATACACCTTTCAGTCTCCCAATAAAGAAGAGAAGAATGTTTCTTTTTCTACAAAATAACTGATTAGATACAAAGTGAAATAATACAAACATTAATCTAAATAATCTTTCTCCATTACTACCAAACAAACCAGATAAAGCACTTTTCACAACCAATAAGTAAAAAATCACGTTGACTGTGAAATTAGTTCCTAAAAGTGAATTAACAATCTCTAAATTAGTTTGGAACAAATCACATCCAAGTCTTAATCTCAATACTATATACAAATTCATACTAAGCCATCTCTCTCCTGGAATTATACTATATTCCAAAAGACAGTTAAGAGATTACTGCTATAAATATTTGAACAATTTGAACATGTTAGATCCCTGACCTATAAGAACTTAAATTAATTGTTGCAATTTTTATCATTTTTGTTTGAAAAAATGTTATGTGTGTATTGGGTTTCCTCAAATAAGTTTTTGGGGTTTTTTTTTTAGGGGGAGGGGTTTGAGGCAAGGGTTCACTCTGTTGCTCAGGCTGGATTCAAGCAGTCCTCCCACCCCCCTAGTAACTGGGACTATAGGCATGTGCCACCATGCCCAGCTAATTTTTTTGTATTTTTTGTAGAGATGGGGTTTTGCCATGTTGCCCAGGCTGGTCTCAAACTCCTGGGCTCAAGTGATCCGCTGGTCTTGGCCTCCCGCGTCCAGCCAGTTTTAGTCACAATCAATCTGTGGCTTCTACTAGAACATTTTCAAGGCCAGACTCTGGTTATTAGTTGAAGGGGTATACATATATTTGTATATAACTTTTATGTGCTTTAAGAGTACTTTTAACCTCTTAGTCTTGGAAAACCAACAACTATAACTTATTACAATAAGTTTAGCATTTATTATTTCTTAGCTTCCTTTTTTAAAAATTCCTTTTCCGCAACCATTACAAATGAGTTTCTCAATGCCATACTTTGAAAGATACCAAAAAAAAAACCCAAAAACTCTGTCTTCACTGATCAACTTGAGAAAGCCAGGCACAGTGGCAAGCGCCTATAATCACAGCTACTCAGGAGGCAGAGGTGGGAGTAGTGCTTGGGCCTGGTAGTTTGAGACCAGCCTGGGCAACACAGTGAGACCCCATCTCTAATAAATAAATAAATAATTTTAAAAGTGGGTAAGCAATATGCTTTTATTCTTTACTCCTCTTACTATCATTCCCAAAGCAATATGCTTTTAAGAGTAACGTTTCTCAGTCTAGAAGCTATAAAACTGTGTCCCAAATAACTTGTTCCTAATATTTAAGTTCCTTTCTAATGAATAAGTTAAAGTAAATTCAATCCCTATTAACATAACTTACTTTCTTTGTTTTTTTTTTTAAGACAGAGTCTCACTCTGTCACCCAGGCTGGAGTACAGTGGCATGATCTCGGCTTATTGCAACCTCTGCCTCCTGGGTTCCAGCAATTCTCCTGCCTCAGCCTCCCAACTAGCTGGGATTACTGGTGTGTGCCACCATGCCCAGGTAATTTTTGTATTTTTAGTACAGATGGGGTTTCACCATGTTGGCCTGGCTGGTCTTGAACTCCTGACCTCAGGTGATCTGCCTGTCTCAGACTCCCAAAGTGCTAGGATTACAGGCGTGAGCCACCGTGCCCAGCCTTAACATCATTTTCATTCTTGTGTCACATTTAACTTTACTGAGTGGGAGAGAAAGGAATGATATATAGCCCTAGTCAGCAAGCAATTTTGGACAACCAGTGGGCTCTATTACATATGCTATACTCACAGCTGTGACAACTGCTGATTATTATAGTGCTTGTGACTTATTTTATCTTTATCCACGCATAAATTCATGACAATGAAGCAAAGACAGATGAAGAAACTAGGATGGCTGCCTCTTTAGGACTCATGTATGAGAATGTTATGAACCTGTTTATAACCACACAAAACAAGTTATAATTATCTAATCAAAGGGAAAGTGATGGTAAGCAAATTGTTACAAGCAGTAGTCCTACTAAAAATGTTCAAGATTTGCAAATTCTATGAATTCTAATTTTTTTACAGTAATACATGATACAGTAATAATAGGAACTTAATTCTTCAACACTTCATAATTGTTTGTCTTAATACCAACCATGAAATGATGGCCTGGGAAAAATTAAAAGTCATTTTTTGGAGGAATAAAGTTCCATTAAAAAAAAACTTAGCCATATTTGTCATCATAAAATGACAGACTTTGGGCCGGGCGCAGTGGCTCACACCTGTAATCCTAGCACTTTGGGAGGCTGAGGCGGGCGGATCATGAGGTCAGGAGATTGAGACCATCCTGGCTAACACGGTGAAACCCCGTCTCTACTAAAAATACAAAAACAAAATTTTCCAGGCATGGTGGCGGGTGCCTGTAGTCCCAGCTACTCGGGAGGCTGAGGCGAAGAACGGCGTGAACCTGGGAGGTGGGGCTTCCAGTGAACTGAGATCACGCCACTGCACTCCAGCCTGGGTGACACAGCAAGACCCTGTCTCAAAAAAAAAGAAAAAAAAAAGACTTTGTGGCAATAAATTTTATTATTCACATGATTATAAAATTCTTTTATGAATACCACCCCATCCTGCAAAAAAAAAAAAAAAAGGTCTCGGGTAAAGTCACTGAAAGTAATTTAACAGCAGAGGCTCCGGTAAAAGAATGCATGATTTGAATCCTAGCACTAATATTCACTAGTTGTATGCCCTCAGTAAGTTACTTAATGTCTGTGCTTCAATTACTTAATCTATAAAAAGGAGACGATGATAATAATCCTACCAACTTTATAGAGTTGTGGTAAGAATAAATGATATGTATAATCCATGCAAAAATGTTCAGAGCGGTGCCTCACATATTGTGGGTACTTAGTTTTGTTTTACTTCCCTGCAAAATTTTGGGGGGGTTTGTAGAATAAATGAATAAACTTATGGGGAACATGTCTGTCATAAACATGTATGCTCTTTGCCATTTATATTAAAAGAGAAAAGAACCTGAGGGGAGGAAAGGTGGCTTTTAAATGTTACTTATCTTACAGCAAGTGAAGTAAAGACAAGGACTCTGAATTACTCCTTTTTTTATATTTTAATAAATATAATTAAAAGATCCACTGGAAACAATAGTGGAAACAATGCCACGTCTGTTAACAAATGGCAATTAAATAATATTAACTGTTTTGTTTTGTTTTTTTTTTTTGAGATGGAGTCTCACTCTGTCGCCCAGGCTAGAGTGCAGTGGCGTGATCTCGGCTCACTGCACACTCCACCTCCCGGGTTCAAGCGATTCTCCTGCCTCAGCCTCCTGAGTAGCTGGGATTACAGGCGCCCGCCACTGCGCCCGGCTAATTTTTGTATTTTTTAGTAGAGATGGGGTTTCACCATCTTGACCAGGCTGGTCTCGAACTCCTGACCTCATGATCCACCTGCCTCAGCCTCCCAAAGTGCTGGGATTACAGGCGTGAGCCACCACGCCCGGCCACATTCACTTTTTAAAAAACATGTTTTTCTTTCACCTGCAACCATATTATTTTTTACTGTTATACTGCACTTTCTTCAGCTCACACAGGAAAGTAATACTGGACTTTGCTCCTCTGTCATGCCTCCAAAACTTTTTTTTTTTTTTTTTGAGACAGAGTCTCACTCTGTCGCCCAGGCTGGAGTGCAGTGGCGCAATCTCAGCTCACTGCAAGCTCCGCCTCCCGGGTTCATACCATTCTCCTGCCTCAGCCTCCCGAGTAGCTGGGACTAAAGGCACCCACCACCACTCCCGGCTAATTTTTGTATTTTTAGTAGAGACAGGGTTTCACCATGTTGGCCAGAATGGTCTCATCTCCTGACCTCGTGATCCGCCCGCCTTGGCCTCCCAAAGTGCTGGGATTACAGGCATGAGCCACCGTGCCCAGCCACTAGCTCTTATTTTTAAATGCTGCTCAGAATATCAACTCATTCATTTGACATTTATTGAAAGCCACGCACTAGGCACCATGGACAGAAAGATGTCTAAGACACGTCCTCATCATCAAGCTGAGTTTATTAGAAGAAATATATATGCCACTGGGCATGGTGCCTGTAATCCTAGTACTTTGGGAGGCCGAGGCGGGAGGATCACCTGAGGTCAAGAGTTCGAGACCAGCCTGACCAACATGGAGAAACCCCATCTCTACTAAAAATACAAAATTAGTTGGGCGAGGTGGTGCATGGCTGTAATCCCAGCTACTCAGGAGACTGAGGCAGGAGAATCACTTGAACCCTAGAGGCGGAGGTTGCAGTTAGCTGAGATTGCACCACTGCACTCCAGCCTGGGCAACAGAGCAAGACTCCGTCTCAAAAAAAAAAAGAAAGAAAGAAGAAATATATCAGTAAAATCACTAGAAAAGGAAAAAAATGCAATGAATTGAAACATATTCAAAAATGTTTAAACCCAAGAGTTTATGATACCAAAAAAACCCCCACCAAAACCAATGCCTAATTGGAGAATGCTAGTGAACCAATACAGTATTCTGAAAATTGGTAAACAAGGGGAAAGAACAAAATATTCATCCTGACTTTCCAATATGTATTATACCACTGGGTAAATCGAAGATTAGAAAAGGGGAGGTTTCTCTTTATAGAAGTATTCCAGCTAATAAATGAAAGAATAATAGAACTAGAATATCATCATTGTATAGCTCTTAATGATTTAATGGATCTAAGTAAAAATCATCAATAGTTACTAACATCACACAAAAAGAGACAGGTTGGACGAGGTGGCTTGCGCCCGCAATCTCAACACTCGGAGAGGCCAAGGCAAGAGGACTGCTTGAACCCAGGAGTTCAAGACGAGCCTAGGCAACATAGTGAGATCCCATCTCTACAAAAAAAATTTAAAAATTAGCTAGGCATTGTGGCACACACCTGTGCTCCTAGCTATTAGGCAGGCTGAGGCAGGAGGATCACTTGAGCCCAGGAGGTTGAGGCTGCAGTGAGCTGTAATTGTGCCACTGCACTCCAGCCTGGGTGACACAGCAAGACCCTGACTCAAAAAAGTAAAATAAAAATTAAAATAGGCCCGTTGTGGTGGCTTATACCTGTAATCCCAGCACTTTGGAAGACGAAGGCTGGCAGATGGCTTGAGCCCAGGAGTTCAGGACCAGCCTGGGCAACACGGTAAAACTCTATCTCTACAAAATAAACAAACAAACAAACAAAAATTAGCCAGGCGTGGTGGTGCATGCCTGCAGTCGCAGCTACTCAGGAAGCTGAGGTGGGAAGATCAATTGAGCCCAGGAGGTTGAAGCTGCAGTGAGCTATGATCATGCTACTGCACCTCCAGCCTGGGTGACAGAACAAGGCCTTGTCTCAAAAATAATAATAATAAATAGATAAAATTTTAAAACAAAAAAGACATGCAGACATTTATGTACCTTCTGATGGAAGTACTTAACACCACTCATGAAGAAGTCTGAGCACTCTTCTAAATAGAAGTACTGCCAGGCGCAGTGGCTCACGCCTGTAATCCCAGCACTTTGGGAGGCTGAGGCAGGCAGATCACTTGAGGTCAGGAGTTCGAGACCAGCCTGGCCAATATGATGAGACCCTGTCTCTACTAAAAACACAAGAATTAGCCAGGCGTGGTGGCGGGCCTCTGTAATCCCAGCTATTCAGGAGGCTGAGGAGGAGAATCGCTTGAACCCAGAAGGTGGAGGGTGCAGTGAGCCGAGATCACGCCACTGCACTCCAGCCTGAGTGATGCGAGACTCTGTCTCAATAAAATAAAATAAAATTAAATTAAAATAAATACAAATACAAATTTACAGGAGTTGCAGAAGACAAAGGAACACGTTAAAAGACACCACAGAGATGTAATCAGCAAAATTCAGACTCAGGGAAATTCTGCCAACACAAATGACTTGATTTCTACAACAAAAAACTGCAAAACAAAAAGCAGGGGAGAAGAGAGGACTAATGTTAAGAGACAAATCAATAAACTGCACTATATGATACTCATTTGTATCCTGATTCAAACATACTGAAAAAATATACATTTATGAATAACACAATGAGGGAAATGTGAACATTGGGTTTTTATGCTATTAAAAATTATTGCTAATTTTTTAGCATGATAATGGAATTGAAGTTATTTAAGGTCTTTATCTTTAGAGATATAGTGATATGTTTACAGGTGAAGCTATAAAATTCTTCAATTTGCATCCAATAATCCAGGGAGTGGATGGTGTGGACAGGGCTATATGTGAAACAAGTGGCCATGAATTCACAATTGTTGAAGGTGAGTAATGGAGTACATGATCGACATTTTCCATTATAAAAAACATTCAAAAGAAACAGTAAACATCAAAATGACGTGGGGAGAAGGAGCTCTACATAAAGAACTTAGCCTGTGTATCACAAGTACTAATTATAATCACTAAAAAGCTTAAGGGTTGGATTAGATGACCTCTCAGCATCTGACTTTCAAATCCAATAGTCTAAAATTCGATGACCAGATTATCTTTAAAGGTCATTTTTAATCTCTAAAATTCCTTGGTTTTTCTTTCCCAGAGAGCTGCCTTAACTTTCCTCTCCCACTGGTTAGCAATAGCCTACAAAAACACTGAACAACAACTACTTTTAAAAAGCACATTAAACTGAGACTTACTCCCGGTACAGTGCTTGGAGTTTTCAGCTATACCACCCACTTCAATTCTGGAGTCTGGATGTTATACTGCTTAATTAGGCTAAACAGCCAGTACTGATTAAACACAAGGAAAAATCTGCTGTAGAAGTAATGGTGATAACTCTTGTGTTTCTCTTTTCTCACACATAAACAGTTTGGGAACAGTGGTCTCAAAATATGGTCCAGAAACTACTTGAGGTATCCCTGGAGGGGGTGCTTGAGGTTAAAAGTATTTTCATGATAACCCTAAGATTATATTTGTTCTTTTTACTCTTATTATTTTATAAGTGTACAGTGGAGTTTTCCAGAGGATACAAGATGTGTGGCAACACATCAGATAAGGCAAAAGCAGATACGAGAATCCAACAGTTTTTTATGAATTTGGCCATCAAAGAGATGGCAGGAATATAAAACAATGCTTTTCTTCCCATTAAATGTCTTTGTTTTAGAAAATGTAGTTACTTTTCATGAAAATATTATTTATGTTAACATATAGTGGGATTATTATTTTCAATTTATTAATATTTAAATATTATTAAATGTCTCCATTTAAAATAAATAACACATGGCGGGTTTATAGCTATTTTAAATCAATCAATCAATCAATATTTTTAAATTATCAGGTTTAATTCCTAACATTGTAAGTATTGATATAGATATAACCCACAGAGACAAAAACTCTTTGGGATCCTTAATTTTTAAGAGTGTAAAGGAGCTGGAAGTGGTGGCTCACCCCTGTAATCCCAGCACTCTGGGAGGCCAAGGCAGGTGGATCACTTGAGGTCAGGAGTTGGAGACCAGGCTGGCCAACATGGTGAAACCCATCTCTACTAAAAATACAAACAATTAGCCAGGCACACTGGCATGTGCCTGTGGTCCCAGCTACTCGGGAGGCTGAGGCAGGAGGATCACTTGAGCCCAGGAGGTGGAGGTTGTAGTGAGCTAAGCGCATGCCACTGCACTCCAGCCTGGGTGATGAGAGTGAAACCCTGTCTCAAAACAAAACAAAACAAACAAACAAACAAAAAAACTAACTCCCCTCCTCTCATATTTATATTTGTCTTTGAAAACCAGGTAAAGGTAAAAAAGCAAAAGGCCAAGGCAAGTCTCATGGAGAGAAGCTTGAAACCGGGAGGCAGAGGTTGCAGTGAGCTGAGATTGCGCCACTGCACTCCAGCCTGGGCAACAGAGCAAGACTCCATCTCACACAAAAAAATAAAAAATAAAGAGTGTAAAGGGCCCCGAGACAAAAAAGTTTGAGAACTACTGCTCTAAAACACCTATAATTCTAATTAATGCTCACATTACCATTTCATTTTATATTGTGTAGCCTCAATTCTTTCATTTTCACCCTCCAAAGAAAGACACTGTGACCTAAAACTAGTTGGTTTGATATAACTAAAATTTCTTTTTGGTGGAGGTTGGGGGTAGGAAGGTGGCCCTGGTTTAAATAGAGGATTTAGGCCAGGCATGGTGGTTCATGCCCCTAATCCCAGCACTTAGGGAGGCCAAGGTGGGCAGATTACTTGAGTTCAGGAATTTGAGACCAGCTTGGGCAACAAAGAGAGACCCCTGCCTCTACACAAAATACAAAAATTAGCTGGGTGGGGTGGCACACACCTATAGTCCCAGCTACTCAAGAGACCAAGGTGGGAGGATTGCTTGAGCCTGGGAGGTGAAGGTTGCAGTTAGCAAGGTGGAGGTTGAGATCGTGCCACTGCACTGCAACCTGGGTGACAGAGCCAGACCCTATCTCAAAAAAAAAAAAAAAAAAAAAGAGAGAGAGAGAAAGAAAATAGAGGATTACTGCTCAGAACTCTAAAAAGGACATGAAGAACTTTAATCACATGGATTCTACAAGGTCAGGAAGAACATTTCCCTCTGGGGAAAGATTGGCAGTAAGTTCAACCTAAGTTCCTTTTTTTGTACCTTTTTTTCTTTTCCAACTTGCCAAAACTGAAATTTAGACTCCTCAATCCTGGTTCCCTGACACCATGGGAAGACTGGCAAAACAATCCTTCCTGGTCTGGGTAGGAGAAGCTGGTCATCTCAGGACACAAAGAGCTGTTCATTTCCTTGCCTGATGGATTCTCCATCAGGAATCTCTATGCTCTGATCCCTGCCCAATTCTTCTAACAAAAACTTGAAGTTTAATTCAGTTCAACAAACTTGTGTGAACTCTTGCAAGAATGACTCCAGGAGGCCTCAGATGGGAGAGAAAGAAAAGAATGCAGCCCTAACCATAGCTGATGCTAGCTGTAAATACATCCATACATCCACACATCAGGGAGGCTACATATATAAATACACGAGGGAGGCCATAGATGGGAGAGAAAGCAAAAGCTGTAGCTCACGGCCTTTAGTATATTAAAACCTACATATGCTTACAGCTAGAGCTGGCTGTCCCAGCCTTATTAACCCCTGAGCAGCACTGGCCTCTTCTGTACCATGTTTTCTAATTTTTTATACTCCAAAATATTTTAACTAGATTTCACCATTACAAAAATATTGTAGCAGAAAACAGAAATTTGCTTACCTTCCTAGGGCTATAATTCTATAAAATTAGTAAAATAAAACTTGGATTATTCTAGTTTGCCAAAAATAAAGCTCTAGAAACTAATGATTTCATTTTCAATTTCTTAAGACATTTTTCTAGTTTGAAAAAAAAATTTTTTAGTTTTTTCATTTCCACTCCTTTTCAATTAATCAACAATTGCATACTGAACATAGAGGAGAAAGAGAAAGCAGGAGTGAAAGTCACAAGCTAGAATTCTCCAAGAGATTCCTTATCTTCATACTCCCATATGTGAGAATCACATTGTCTCAGGATGGCCCCCAAACAACTATTCCAAGCTTTTTTTTTTTTTTTTTTTTGAGACGAAGTCTCAACTCTGTCATCTAGGCTGGAGTGCAGTGGTGCGATCTTGGCTCACTGTAACCTCTGCCTCCTGGGTTCCAGCGATTCTCCTGCCTCAGCCTACCAAGCAGCTGGGATTACAGGCACATGCCACCATGCCCAGCTAATTTTTTTATTTTTATTAGAGATGGGGGTTTCACCATGTTGGCCAGACTGGTCTTGAACTCCTGACCTTAGGTGATCCGCCCACCTCAGCCTCCCAAAGTGCTGGGATTACAGGCGTGAGCCACCATGCCCGGCCAATTATTCCAAGCTTTTTCCATCCCACCTACAGGTGAAATTTTCCTATTCCTCACGCTTGTCCTTCCTCTCTGAGAAGACTAACAAATCCCTTCATCTTAACTACGGAATCACTCTCTGCTCACAGTCAACCCCAACCACATAACTTTCTTTCGTTTATTACTTCCACTAACAGAATTCAGTCCTTATCACTTCCCTTAATTTATTCAGCTAGGACACATTCTTCCTACCCCAGGAAGTCCTGGAAATCAATTATTTATAATAAAATAGTACTCACATTATTCATTAACCAGGCAAAGGACAGTGCTTTCTTTTAAAAAAATGACTCCATTGTAGAAAGGTTTAAAGATATTAAAATTTTTTAAATAGCTGGATTTTGATTTTGTTTTTTAAAGCCTCAGGATGTAAAAAGTTTCTTTATTCTATTCCTGGGTGGGTTTCTTCCCTAAGGTCACAAGATCAAATCAAACAAGATAGGTAGACTGGTTTTAAATTTTAAAAATGACCACCTGATGCTATTTGGAAGCTAATATGAAAAAAGATAGTGATGCTGAGTTCAGACCTCAGGGCCTGTGGTACAAAAAGTACTATATTGTTTGAGTCACACAACCATAGAACATATTAAACCTCTTTTTTATAGATAAAAAGCAAAGCACAAGCAAATACCAAAAAACACTTAAAATATAAAACTTTAGTCTCAAAATGATGGAAGAGAAGAAGGTGAAACTTAATTTTAAAGTCTAGAAAATTTCTGTCAGTACCTCATCTTTGGCAAATATATCCATTTAGTCTATATGTTTATCCTGAAACATTTCAAGCACATAAGAAGTATTTAAAATAATGGACTTCCATTTCTAGCCAATATGTAATAACAAGTATAAGATTTACCTACCTGCCTGAAACAAACAAACAAAAAAAGCAGAGAAAATACATGAAATGATGGTTTCAAAGACACTGCACATTAGGCAATGAAGAACAGCAATCCCTGAGAGACAGAAAACAAGTGAAGTAAGTTCTGTGAATGCTTCTGCTTACTGCCTTGAGAATATTTCCAAGGTGCAGTTTAATGAAGGAGGAACCCAAGTAGAGCCCAGGGCTATCTTCGTTGAAGAGATTGAGCTGAGAGTCTGGGAAGGCCAAGGCAGAGACAGTGTGCAGGATGGAGTACTGGAAAACGCGCTGCATGCTGGGAGCACCTGGAGCTCTGCAGTGGGCTCCTCTTAAGTACTCAGTGGGGTACTGACCAGTGAGTGCATGTAGGAACTACTTAGAAAACTAGAGGGAACACTAACTGGCACTCAAACAGAACAAGAACAATGCCTGTTCCCACCAGCCAAACTGGAAAACCCCGTAATTAACAAGGCACGAGGTAGAGTATTCCAAGGATCCTGGGGAGTAACTACCCTAGATGGAAAACTGCTCTGGCCCCACCTAACAAATATTTTTTTTTCTCCCCCTCTTCTCTCTATGTTTTTGAAACAAATCTTAAGGAAAGGATTCAACTGTATTAATAAATTAACTGTGACACAGAACAAATAAAAAAAAAATCCAGTACCTAAACAGGTAAAATTCACAATGTTTATAATCCACAAAAATTTATCAAACATGCAAAGAAAATATGACCCATGAAGAAGAAAAAAATCAATCAACTGAAGCTAACAAAATTGACATATATGTTAGAATTAGCAGACAAGGGAATTAACAAAGTTATTCCATATTCAAAAAGCTAAGTAGAAACATGGGAGAAAGAAAATAAGGCCTAAATCCAACTTCTACAGATAAAAAGAATAATGTCTAATATGAAAAATGCATTGGATAAGACTGATGGCAGATCAGACAAAACATAAGAGATGAGTGAACTAGAAGACACATAATAAAAACTACCCAAAGTAAACCAGAGTGGAAAAAGAATAAAAAGACCATGAGTGAATTCTGGGAACACTTTAAGCAGTTTAATATACATGTAACTAGAGTTCCCAGAAGTAAAGAGAGGATAAACAGGGATATTTAAAGAAATAGTGGCCAAATTTTTCCAAATTTGATATTGACAATAAACTCATAGATCTAAGATGCTAAATGAACCATAAGAACAAAAAACACAAGAAAAATGCACCAATAATAGAAAAATATTTTTTCAGTGCATATAAAAAATTTACCAAGATAAGCCATATTTGAGGCCATAAATCAATCCTCAATAAATATAAAAGAATTAGAGTCATACAAAGTATGTTCTCTAACCATAATGGAATTAAATTAGGAATCAACAAAGGAAAATATCTGCAAAACTCCCAAATATCAGGAAGTAAAGTAATACATACCTAAGTAACTGATGGGTCAAAGAACAAATCAAAAGGGAAATTAGGAAGTGTTTCTAACTGAATGAAAATGAAAGTACATCAAAATTTGTGGAATGTTGCTAAAGCAGCACTAAAGGAAATGTATAACACTAAACATTCCTATTAATAAAAGAAGGTCTCAAATAAAAGACTTCAGCTTCCATTTCAAGAATCAAGAAACATGGCCAGGTGCAGTGGCTCACGCCTGTAATCCCAGCACTTTGGGAGGCCAAGGCAGGCGGATCACTTGAGTACAGGAGTTCAAGACCAGCCCGGGCAACATGGCAAAACCCTATCTCTACAAAAAATGCAAAAATTAGCCAGGGATGGTGGTGCCAGGCATGTAGTCCCAGCTACTTGAGAGGCTGAGGCAGAAGGATCATTTGAGCCCAGGATGCGGAGTTTGCAGTGAGCCGAGATCACGCCATTGCACTCTAGCCTGGGTGACAGAGGGAGACCCTGTCTCAAAAAAAAAAAAAAAAAAAAAAAAATCTAGAAACAGAAGAACTAATAAAATACAAAGCAACCAGAAGAAAGAAAATAAAGATCAGAAGGAAATCTATAAAAACTCTTCTAGAACACTGAAAAGAAGAAACATTTCCTACCCCATTTTATGATGTCAGCATTATCCTAATACCAAAGCCTTGCAAAGACCTAAAGAAAATTGCATACTAATAACTCTCATGAACATAGATGAAAAAATATTTTAAAAATTTCAGCAAACCAAGCCCAGCAATATATAAAAAGAATACATCACAATCAAGTGAAATTTACCCTAAGAATAGAAGGTGAGTTTAACATTTAAAAATGAATCAATGGGCCGGGTGTGGTGGCTCATGCCTGTAATCCCAGCACTTTGGGAGGCCAAGGTGGGCAGATCATGAGGTCAGGAGATCGAGACCATCCTGGCTAACATGGTGAAACCCCATCTCTACTAAAAATACAAAAAATTAGCCAGGCATGGTGGCGGGCGCCTGTAGTCCCAGCTACTCAGGAGGCTGAGGTAGGAGAATCACTTGAACCAGGAGGCAGAGGTTGCAGTGAGCCAAGATGGCACCACTGCACTCCAGCCTGGGCGACAGAGCGAGACTCTGTCTCAAAAAAAAAAAAAAAGAATCAATGTAACTCACCATGTTAACAAAATTAAAAAGATCATGTGATCATTTCAATAGATACAGAAAATGCATTAGACAAAATCCACCAGAAATTCCTGATGAAAACTGTCAGAAAACTAGGAATACAAGGAAACTTTCTCAACATGATAAAGGGGATCTAAAAAAAAAACAACAGCTAATATCATACTTATTGGTGTCTACTCTCACCACTTCTATTCAACATTGTATGGGATCATCTGAAAAGTACAATAAAATAAGAACTTATAAAGTATCTAGACTAGAAAGCGAGTCGTAAAACTGTCTTTACTCATAGTTGACAAAAAACTGCCTCAGTTGAAAATCTGATGGAATCTACAAAAAAGCTACTAGAACTAAAACAAGAATTTAGCAAATTTAGGGCCGAGCATAGTGGCTCATGCTTGTAATCCCAACACTTTGGGAGGCCAAGGCAGGTGGATTGCTTCAGGTCAGGAGTTCCAGACCAGCCTGGCCAACACGGCGAAACCTCGTGTCTACTAAAATACAAAAATCAGCTGGACATGGTGGTGGGCGCCTGCAATCCCAGCTACTAGGGAGGCTGAGGCAGAAGAACTGCTTGAACAAAGGAGGCAGAGGTTGCAGTGAGCCGAGATCGTGCCACTGTACTCCAGCCTGGGCAACAGAGCGAGACTCTCTCAAAAAAAAAAAGTATTTAGCAAACTTAAAGACTATAAGATCAATTTATAAAAGTCAATTGATATTTCTGTATATTAGCAAAAAGCAACCATATTGTCAGAAGCATTAGAACCAAGGCGACTCCATCTTAAATAGAGGCTGGGTAAAATGAGACCTGCTGGGCTGCATTCCCAGGAAGCTAGGCATTCTTAGTCACAGGATGAGATAGGAGGTTGGCACAAGACACAGGTAACTAAGACACCACTGATAAAACAGGATGCGGTAAAGAAGCTGACCAAAACCAAGAGGTGCCTCTGGTTGTCCTCACTGCTGGTTATATGCTAATGATAATGCATTAGTATGCTAAAAGACACTCCCACCAGTGCCGTGACAGTTTACAAATACCATGGCAACATCAGAAGTTACCCTAAAAGGAAGGGGACCCCTTAGTTGTGGGAAATGCCTCCCCTTTTCCTGCAAAACTCATGAATGAATAATCCACCCCTTGTTGAACATATATGATCAAGAAATAACCACAAAAATAGCCAACCAGCAGCACTCAGGGCTGCTCTGCTTATGAAGCAGCCATTCTTTTATTCCTTTACTTTCTTAAACTTGCATTCATTTTACTCTGTGGACTCACCACAAATTCTTTCTTGCATGAGAACCAAGAATCCTCTCTTGGGGTCTAGATTAGGACCCCTTTCCAGGGTAATAACAAAAACATGAAACATGGAACATGAAACATCGATACATTGGACAAAAGATATGCAAGACCTATTGAAAACTATTAAACACTGGCCAGGAAGCCGGGGTGGGGGGATCACCTGAGGTTGGGAGTGTGAGACCAGCCTGGCCAACATGGCGAACCTCATCTCTATTAAAAATACAAAAATTAGCCAGGTCTTGTGGCGTGCGTCTGTAATCCCAGCTACTCGGGAGGCTGAGGCAGGAAAAAAAAAAAAAACTACCAAACACTTCTGAGAGAAATAAAAGATGTCCACAAGATGGTACAGATATGCCATTCATGGCCAAAAGATTCAATATTGTTAAGCTATCAATTCTCTCCAAATGCAGATTCAATACAATTCCAATAAAAATCCCAGATGCTTTGTTGTAGAATCTGACAAACTGATTCTAAAATTCACATGGAAATGTAAAGGGCGCAGAAGAGTCAAAACAACTTTGAAAAAGAAATACAAAGCTGGAGGACTACCTCTATCAGTTTTTAAGACTTATAAAAACTATAGCTATAAAAATAATGTGGTAGTTGTGTCAAGTTAGACAAACAGATCAATGGAACAGAAGAAAGTCCAAAAATACACCCACACATCCGTAGACAACTGATTTTCAACAAAGGTGCAAGAGCAATTCAGTGGAGAAGAGTCTTACCAACAAATGATACTGCAACAATTAGATATTCATATGCAAAAAAAAAAAAAAAAAAAGAGCTTCAATACAAACCTTGTACCATATGCAAAAATTAACTCAAAATGGGCCATTGGTATAAAATGTTAAGCCAGAATTATAAAGCTTCTAGAAGAAAACATAAGAGAAAGCTCTTCTAATCTTGGGTTGGACAAAGATTTCTTAGATATGACACCAAAACTACAAGCCATAAAACAGCAAATTGATAAATTGGGCTTCATGAAAATACAAAGATTTTGCTTTTCGAAAGGCATTGTGAAGAGAATAAAAAAAATAAGCCACAGACTGGGAGGAAATATTTGCAAATCATCTATCTGATAAAGGACTTATATCTAGAATATATAAATAACTCTCAAAACTCAATAATTAGAAAATAAACAACCCAATTAATTAAAAATGGTAAAAAGAGACTGGATGTGGTGACTCACGCCTGTAATCCCAACACACTGGGAGACTGATGGAGGAGGATCACTTGAACCCAGGAGTTTGAGACCAGCCTGGGCAACACAGGGAGACCCCATCTCTAAAAAAATAAAAAATAAAATAAAATGGTCAAAATATTTAAATAGACACTTTACCACAAGAGACATACAAATGACAAAAAGTACATGAAAAGATTCTCAGCATTAGTCACTTAAGTACATTAAAACCACAATGAAATACTATTTTATGCTAATCAGAATGGCTAAAAATAAAGACTGACCATACCAAATGTTGATGAGGATGTGGAGGAATTCAAACCTGGTGGGAATGTAAAACGGCAAAACCTCTTTGGAAAACAGTTTGGCGGTTTCTTAAAAATTAAACCGTACACTTATATAATCCAACCATCACACTTCCAGATATTTAACAACGAGGAACAAAAACATATCTCTAATAAATGTTCACAGAAGCATTATTTATGATAGCCTCAAACTGGAAATAACCCAAGTGGCTGTCAACAGGTGAACGAATAAATCAAATGTGGTCTAACCATACGATGGTACTACTATGCAATGAAAAAGACCTTTGATCAATCAACAACATAAATAAATCTCGAAATAATGATGCTAAGTGGAAGAAGCCAGAATTACCCCACTCCCCTCTCCCCAAAGAGTACATACTACTTGATTCCACTTAAAAGCCTAGAAAATGCAGACTCTATTATTATATGAAGCAGATCAGTGATTGCCTAGGGATGAAACTGGGTGGTAGAGACAGGAGAGGCCAGGCGCAGTGGCTCACGCCTGTAATCCTAGCACTTTGGGAGGCCGAGGCAGGTGGATTGCCTGAGCCCAGGAGTTCGAGACCAGCCTGGGCAACATGGCAAAACCCTGTCTCCACTAAAAATACAAAAAAATTAGCTGGGTGTGGTGGTGCGCACCTGTAATTCCAGCTACTCAGGAGGCTGAGGCAGGAGAATTGCTTGAACCCAGGAGGCGGAGGTTGCAGTGAGCTAAGGTGGCACCACTCCATCTAGCCTGGGCGACAGAGCAAGACTCTATCTCAAAAAAAAAAAAAAAAAAGAGAGAGACTTTAGAGGTAATAAATATGTTCTTTATCTTCATTGTAACAATAGTTTCATGGTTTTAGACATGTGTCAAAACTTTCCAAGTTGTAACCTTTAAATATCTGCAGTTTTTTGTTTGTCAATTATACCCCTTTATAAAACTATTGTAAAAATTGCATCTGTGCCTCTTTTCAATTAGGTAGTATTTTACTTATTAATTCAAAATATTTAATGATTATAGGTCTCTTCAGGTTTGTATTCCTCCTTGAGTCAATTTTGGTAAGTTATATATATTTTTCACAACGCTGTTCTTTTTATCTAAGCTGTACAATTTAGCACCATAGATTTGTTAATAATACATTTGTTATTTCATAATCTATGCTGTATTTGTAGATATGTCTTCTTGTTCAATCTTAGTGGTATCTGTATCTTCACTCTGTCTTGCTGATTAATCTTTGCAGGGCTTTGTCTTATTTTAATCTTTTTTTTTAGAAAACCAACTTTTGTTGCTGTTAATTCTTTTATATCTTTGTGGTTTTTTTCTTTTTTTTTTTTTTTGAGACAGTTGCCCAGGCTGGAGTGCAGTGGCATGATCTCAACTTACTGCAACCTCTGCCTTCCAGGTTTAAGCAATTCTCATGCCTCAGCCTCCCAAGTAGCTGGGATTACAGGTGCCCACCACCATGCACAGCATTTTTATACTTTTAGTAGAGACGGAATTTCACCATGTTGGCCAGGCTGGTCTTGAACTCCTGACCTCAAGTGATCCACCTGCCTCAGCCTCCCAAAGTGCTGGGATTATAGGCATGAGCCACTGTGCCCAGCCTGTTTTCAATTTCATTCAGTTCTGGTTTTTTTTTTTATTCTTCCCTTCTACTTTCCTTGGTTTTTATTCATTTCTTTTTAAAAATAACTTCTCAGTCAAATACTAAGACTAATAAATAATGAACTCTGTTTTTTTTCTAATATAAGCATGTAAGGCTGTAAATTTCCCTTTGGCTTTTTTAATGTTCTTAATTAGTTTTTCTTACCCTCATCTTCTTTGTGATGATATAAATTTCCCTCTAAATGCTGCTTTAGTTGTAACCCATAATTCTGATACACAGTATTTATATTATCATTCGGCTTTACTTATAATTTCCATTATTATTTTTTCTTTGATCTATGAGTTACTTAGAAGTATGCTTTTAAATTTCCAAATATATAAAATTATTTTGGTTATCTTTTTGCTCAATTTCAGTCTTAACTGAATTGAGTACGAGAATAGTTTGCATAATATCCATTCATTGGTTTTGTTGAGACTTGATTTATGAATTCAGTGTGTGTTCAATTTTTTTAAAACTCCCTAAAAAGAATGTATATTCTCATCTATTAAGCGTGGGGCTTGGTACATATCCAAAAAATGAAGCCTGTTGGTTGGTTGTTCAAATCTTCTGTTATCTTCTCAAGTTGTTTTTGTCTGTTTGACCATCAATTACTCAAAAAGACATGTTAAATTTTTCCATTTTATAGATTTATAAATTTATTCATATTTGTATCTATATATTTTCTTCCTATATTCTATCTACATATTTTGTATTCTATCTATCTATTTTAAGGCCATGCTATAAGATGCATACTGATTTGGAATTATAGCTTCTTGCTTAATTCTTCCTTTACAATTTTTTTCTGATAATTTTTAACGCAAATAATGATTTTTGCCTTCAAATCAGTTTTGGCTACTATTAACCTGCTATGCCAGCTTTCTTTTGGAATAGATTTTTCCATATCTTTATTTCCAGTCTCTCTCATTCCTTATGTCTTAGGTGTATTTCTTACAAACTGCATAGACTTGGATTATTTTCTATTCAGTTTGGCAATGTTCCAGTTATTTTTTTATTTTTTTATTTTTTGGAGACAAGGTCTTGCTGTGTCACCCAGGCTGGAGTGCAGTGGCACAATCTCAGCTCACTGCAACCTCTGCCTCCCGGGTTCATGAGATTCTCCTGCCTCAGCCTCCTGAGTGGCTGGGATTACAGGCGCCTGCAACCATTACAGGTGCACACCACCATGCCTGGCTAATTTTTGTATTTTTAGTAGAGATTGGGTTTCAATATGTTGGCCAGGCTGGTCTCAAACTCCTGACCTCAGGTGACCCACCCGCCTCAGCCTCCCAAAGTTCTGGAATTAGAGGTGTGAGCCACTGCGCCTGGCCATGTTCCAGTTATCTACGGCTAAATTTAAAAACTATTCTAAATCTTAGTAGTGTTAAACAATAATCATTTTATTATTCTCATGATTCTGTGGGCCACAAATTCTGGCAGGGCACAGCAGAGACCGCTTGTCTCTGATTGACGATGTCTGGGAAACTCAGGTGGGATGCCCTGAAAGGATGAAGATGGCTGAGATGTCTTAACATGTGCCATAAGTCTGAAACCTTGGCTCTTCTCCAGATGGTGTCTGCTAGGGCTGGATTATTCAACATGGTTCCTTCACTCACTCCTAAGGCTGACAGTTGATACTGGCTCTTTGCTGGTAGCTCAATGGGGCTATCAACCAGTGCCTACATGTGTCCTCTCCATCTGGCTGGGGATTCTCACAGCATGGTGACCGGGTTCTATGTGCAAGCAGTCCAAGAGAGAGGATTCCAACGGGCACAGGCAGAAGACACAAGGCTTTTCATGACCTAGCCTCTGAAGTCCCAGAAAGTTACAGTCTATTGGTTAAGCAAGTCACTAAAGCCAGCCCAGATTCAAGGGGACAAGGGAAATAGACTCCACCACTGAATAGCAAGAAGGGAAGAAATTGGTGGCGGCCACTTTGGATACAAGCTACCACAGACCACCCTCTGGCCCCAACAAGGCCCTCCCACATGCAAAATACACTCACCCTCTTCTAAGACCTTCAAAAGTCTCATTTCATTATGGCATCAGCTTGATGTCCAGAATCTCGATATCTAAATCAGGTCCAGATGTGGTTGAGGCTCCTCAGATGCAGTTCCTCAGGTACAGCTACTGCAGTATAGTTCCTCCTGATCTGAATTAAAGAAACAAATTATCTGCTCCCACACACCCAACATACAAACATACAATAGTGAGACTGACTTAAGATAAGCACAATAGACACTCTCATTCAAAATGTGAGGAAAAAGGGAGAAGGAACAGGAGACACATAACAGTTACTGGCCCATAACAATTCTGAAATCTAATCAGACACATATCACCAGTTCCTCTATTACAGCCAAGTCCTACACCTTGAGAATGACTCTCCACAACCCTTGGCTCCACCCTCTAAGTTTCTGAATTAACCTTCTTTTTACATAAGAGATGGGTTAATTTTTGCAATGGAGTGGCCTTATAAGCTTGTTTCCTGCCTATAGATGATTGGAAATCTAAAGGCCTATTTTCACTTTCTACTGTCTCTGTTCCTCTTTTATTATTATGATTTCTTTAAAATCTTGTGGATTTCCTATGAATCTTATTGGGATTCACTCCAGCAGACAAAAGCCACATCCACCTTTTCTATCGCAAGTCTTATGTGAGGCTACTGTGAGAAAACACACTTAAGATCCCTAGAAGCCCTATTGTTTAACATAGTAAGCCTAAGAAGTATTCCCTTAAGACCTCTAGATATCCCTTTATCTAATTGAAAGGTTTTGTGAGGCATTGTCTTAAATCTTTCTGAAGTCGGCCAGGCGCAGTGGCTCATGCCTATAATCCCAGCACTTTGGGAGGCCGAGGTGGGCGGATCACCTGAGGTCGGGAGTTCGAGACGAGCCTGACCATCATGGAGAAACCTCGTCTCTACTAAAAATACAAAATTAGCCAGGCGTGGTGATGCATGCCTGTAATCCCAGATACTAGGGAGGTTGAGGCAGGAGAATTGCTTGAACCAGGGAGGCAGAGGTTGCGGTGAGCCAAGATCATGCCATTGCACTCCAGCCTGGGCAACAAGAGCGAAACTCCGTCTCAAAAAAAAAAAAAAAAAAAAAAAAGTCTTAGCAAAGGGATTTACAGTTGCATCACTGAGATCTTTACTTTGAGGCCATATTTTATTGGTAGCATCTTGAATTTTATCTTTCCTCTGAAGCCATTTATTTAGAAGTCATTGGTCAGGCTAGGCGCAGTGGCTCATGCCTATAATCCCAGCACTTTGGGAGGCTAAGGCGGATGGATCACTTGAGCTCAGGAGTTTGAGACCAGCCTGGCTGATATGGTGAAACCCTGTCTCTACCAAAAATACAAAAAAACAGCTGGGCATCATGGCGGGCACCTGTAATCCCAGCTACTCAGGAGGTTGAGGCAGGAGAATCACTTGATCCCGGGAGGCAGAGGTTGCAGTGAGCACCACTGCACTCCAGCCTAAGTGACAGAAAAACTATCTCAAAATAATAATAATAATAATAAAATAAAAGTCATTGGCCATTTGAAGCAACTAGAGATGAGAAAAAGTTTTATTTTCTATAATAACACAACCATTCCTGGGTTAGAAATATTTCCTCTAAGTTCTGTTTTAAAACTTAGTAGTTCATTTTTTAGTTCATTTATCAATTTGTACCTTATCATACTTAGAAAAAACTAGGTAACATTTTTTCAACATTCTGCCTAGAAATCTCCTTAGATACACTGAAGTCATTAGATACATTTTCTATGGTCTATGTAACCACATGTGGCAGTACCAATAAACCTTGAATCACTATATAACAAAGGTTCACTCTTTTCCCAGCCTCCAATAACACTTTTCTCTCTGTGTTTCAAGCCTTCACTGTCTTCTCAAGGTCCCTCCATCTTTAACCCTCACCAAATTCCAAAGCCAATGCAAATTGTAGGTTTTGGCAGCACCTTATTTCAAGGTACCAAATTTGGTTTCAGTTATCTATCACTACAAACTACCCTAAAGCTTAGTGGCATAAAACTACAACCATTTTATTATACTCACAATTCTGATTCAGACAGAGTATAGCAGGAACAGCTCGTGTCTGCTCTATAACATCTGGGGCCTCAGGTAAGGTGGCTCCATTGATTGAGGATAACTAGACTGGGAGCCATACGCCTAGGGCCTGGGCTTTTCTCCATATGATGCCCACTGGAACTGGAACTCACGTAGCTGAAAAGTGATGCTAGCTGTTGGCTAGGAGCTCAGCTGAGCCTCTCCATCTGGCTTGGACTCCTCACAGCATGGCAGCTAGGTTCCAAGACTAAATGTTCCATAGCACAGCAATCCAAAAGAGAATGTTCAAATAGGCCTAGATGGAAGCTGCAAAACTTTTCATGACCTGGCCTTGAAAGTCCCAGAATGTTATCTCTGCCACATTTCACCAAACAAGTCACTAAGGCCAGCCCAGATTTGGTATGAACAGAGGAATAAACTCCACCACTAGATGGGGGTGGTGCACATGTGGAGGGAAGGAACTAACATCAGCCATCTTGAAAACATGCTACAACAATCTGTCTTTGTTTCAATAAGTGTAATTCATTTATGTTCAGTATGATTACTGATGCATTTGGATTTATCTCTACCATCTTTTATTATGCTTTCTATTTATCCTATCTTTTCTATGACATTTATTACATTTTCCTTATCTGCTTTCTATTAAATGGAGGAAGTATACAAATTATAAATTCAATGAATTATAACAGAGTGAAACAGCCATGTAACTATCACCCAGGACAAAAATCCAATGTTACCCGCACCCGGGTTTTTAGCTTTATATAAATAAAATAACATAGTATATATTATTTTACATCTGGCTTCCTTCCTTCAACATTATTGTTATTCAGCCATGATCTTATGCATAGCAGCAATTTATTCATTTCCATTGCTTAATAGTATTCTGTTCTATGAATATACCATAATGTATCCATTCTACCATTGATATTGTCCACCAAATTTTAAGTTTCAGTGACTATATTTTTTGAAGGTCTATTTTAAAACTCTTTTTTTTTTTTTTTTTTTTGGAGACAGTCTCGTTCTGTTGCCCAGGCTGGATTGCAGTGGCACCATCTCGGCTCACTGCAAGCTCCACCTCTCGGGTTCACGCCATTCTTCTGCCTTAGCCTCCCGAATAGCTGGGACTACAGGCGCCTGCCACCACGCCCAGCTAATTTTTTGTATTTTTAGTAGAAACGGGATTTCACCGTGTTAGCCAGGATGGTCTCATCTCCTGACCTCGTGATCCGCCCGCCTCGGCCTCCCAAAGTGCTGGGATTACAGGCATGAGCCACCACGCCCGGCCCAAACTTTTTTTTTTTAGAGCACCTTTAGCTGTGAGATTTGGTGTGGCCTAGATTGAGGATATCCCTATAGAGAAGTTTTGCACTTGCTTCAGCCTGATGCCGTAGGACTGTTGCAGATTCAAGACTACTTTATATGTTAATTTCTTGGCTTTGGGTTTCCTGGACTGCAGAAAAAGAGGAACATTCTAAACTGAACCTATGTGAAGACAACCCCAGGTAACAAATTCTCAGAGAAACCTTTCTCACCTAAAGCCCACACGGAGTGGACAAACTTCCTTGACATTTCTCTATGCCATGGGGCAAATGTTTTTTCTAGATCATCTTTTCAATAATGTGGAAACCCTTTGAGGAACTTAGCTTTCTGCAAGGGAGTAAAAAAGTCTCTTATTCCCATGTGGTTGTTAAAACTAAGTCTCTTAGTCATCCAGAGCAGCCGTAACTTTAGCTTATGTACTTAACACTGATTTTCAATGCCCTCATCATTTTTTTGCCCCTAAGGATTTTCCTTACTTTTTCACAAGCTCAGCTATAGATTTAAAATAATGTCTATTATATATTTATCTGGCATATGACTAGGAATCTTGAGTGTTCTTTCCCCCTTTGTCAAATGTAAAACATATAACAAGGAGGGGGAAGTCACAGGAAGAGAAACTCAAAGAAAAAAGTGAAAAATGTTCTGCCTTTTATCATGGACAGGACCCATAGGTCCAAGGTTATTTGCACTAAGAAGATTCTAACTAAAGGGAATGTATACTATTTTTATCATTGGAACTGAGTATCTCTGTACTCTGGTGACTAATAGAAGAGGACGCCAATCAAGCAGGTACGTATGTCAAGGCAGTTCTAAACACAACTGACGTTACATTAGGAAGGTAGAATCCCTCAACCAGTGTGACCCAGATAATACAATGAGGAAGGATCTAAAGGAACTGAGAAAGGAAATATTAAGATATACCTAATAGTCTCCTAATGGGCTTCATTTTCTTTTCAGTAAACTTTTGACCTTGCTTCTACCAAACACTGTAAAATTAAATAATACGCAGGAATAAGGAAGGCCCAAGTCAAAAACTTTCCATCACTGTAAGTATAAACACTTTAGCTAGAAAGTGAGTAGTAGATAGGAGCAAAAATGGTAATATGAAATTATAAATGAAAGTCAGACACTGGAACAATATCAATAAAGAATATATTTTAATGTCCATAAAAAATCCATTACAAATAATTTATTTGACATATATTATGCATTTAGTGATAAGGATATAAGCATGAATTAAGTATCAAGCAAATTTATCAATCTATAGACACTGTAAAATTTAAGGTGAACTCTAAAAATTACGGAATACAAAAAGAACTCATTTAGGGCCGGATATGGTGGCTACACTTTGAGAGGCTTAGGCAGGAGGGCTGCTTGAGCCGAGGAGTTCAAGACAAGCCTAGGCAACATAGTGAGACCCCCATCTCTATTAAAAAACAAAACAAAACAAAACAAAACAAAACCGGCACAGTGGCTCCCGCCTATAATCCCAACACTTTGAGAGGTTGAGGTGGGTGAATCACGAGCTCAGGAGTTCAAGACCAGCCTGGTTAGCATGGTGAAACCCCATCTCTACTCAAAATAAAAAAAAAATTAGCCAGGCATGGTAATGCGTGCCTGTAATCCCAGCTACCCAGGAGGGTGAGGCAGGAGAATCACCTGAACCCAGGAGGCGGAGGTTGCAGTGAGCTGAAATTGTGCCACTGCACTCCAACCTGGCCAATAGAGCAAGACTCTGTCTCAAAAAAAAAAAAAATTAGGCATGGTGGTGCACACCATGGTGGTCCCAGTAGGACTCAGTAGGCTGATGTGGGAGGATGGCTTGAGCCTGGGAGGTTGAGGCTGCACTGGGCCATCATCGTGCCACACCACACTTCAGACTGGGCAACAGAGTAAGTGAAAAAAAAAAAAAAACAGGAATCATTTAGGAAAAAAAGAAAAGAAAAAAAAGAAACTTTGAAAGCCAAAAGGTCTACACATATGGTTATGATCCCATTTATATGAAATGTCCAGAATAGGCAAATTATATGAAACGTCCAGAGACAGAAAATAGATTCGTGGTTGCCTAGGGAATGATTACTACAAGGTTTCTTTCTGGGATGATGAAAATGTTCCAAAATTAAATTACAGTAATGGTTATACACTCTGTAAATATGAAAAAAAATCACTCACTGAATTGTATGCTTTAAATGAGTGAACTTCGCAGTATGAAATTATATCTCAATAAAGTTACTTTTAAAAAGTAAAGAGGTCTACTTATTTTCAAAAAGCTAAAACATTCTACCAAAAGAGAAATTCAGCCCACCAGGCAGCCTTCAAATCTTACTTTTGGTTTGTTTAAACAAAGGAAAGATTCAACCACAGCATTAATGTCGTTCCCAAGAAAGCACAAGCGGCCAGGTGCAGTGGCTCACGCCTATAATCCCAACACTTTGGGAGGCCGAAGCGGGTGGATCCTAAGGTCAGGATCTGGCCTTAGACTGGCCTGGCCTACATAGTGAAACCTCATCTCTACTATAAAAATACAAAAATTAGCCGGGTATGGTGGCCCGTGCCTGTAGTCCCAGCTACTCAGGAGGCTGAGGCAGGAGAATCACTTGAATCCGGGAGATGGAGGTTGTGGTGAGCTGAGATCATGCCACTGCACTCCAGCCTGGGCAACAGAGTAAGACTCCGTCTCAAAAAACAAAAACAAAAACAAAAAAAGAAAGCACAAGCAAACTCCCTAATGCTGCCTTCAAAGTTACAGCATTTTCATACCTTGATCTTTCCAAAACCTGGTTATGTCACAAAGCCCTTTCAAAGCTGAGCTTCTTTAAGGTATAGCTGGTAAAAACAAGATCCTCAAGATAACATAGAGGCTTAAAAATCAGTCATGACTGTTAAAATTCTGACTTGGAAATTATTAGTTTAAATTTACTAAATTACTAATTACTAGTTTAAACTACTACGTTTACTCCTAGTAGAACTAGGAGTAAAAAGGGAGTGAACTAAAATAGCAAGTTTGTCCAAAAAGTCGTCAAAAGAAATTCCTCACTTTCCTCTCTCTCTATTTCCCCTCATCCTCTTTTTTCTTAAAACAGATCATATGCCACATTTTCAGAGCTTTCTACTCCCATGTTATAGGTACTTTTAAATAAATAGGAGTATGACCATTTACCCAATCATATAAGACTAGAAACTCATCTCTCTGTTATCACACAGAGCATCCACTCCCACACACATACAGAAGTCAGTCACCAAATTCTATCAATTCCATCATCTTACCATCTCTCCCACAAGATTCCCTCTTTTCTACTTCCTATCTTAGGGTCAGGTCCTTATCCTCTCTTACTTAGATAATTACAATAGCCTGATTATTCTCTCTTCACTTTCAATACTAGCCTCACCTCCACCTTCAATATACTATTGATGCTAACATTCAAATCTAATAAGGCTTGGGGAGGGGCGCAGTGGCTCATGCTTCTAATCCCAGCACCTTTGGAGGCCAAGGTGGGCAGATGACTTGAGGTCAGGAGTTCGAGACCAGCTTGGACAACATGGAGAAACCCTGTCTCTACTAAAAATACAAAAATTAGCCAGGCATGGTGGCAGGCACCTACAATCCCAGCTACTAGGGAGGCTGAGGCAGGAGACTCGCTTGAACCTGGGAGGTGGAGTTTGCAGTGAGATGAGATCACGCCACTGCACTCCAGCCTGGGCGACAAGAGTGAAACTCTGTCTCAAAAAAAAATACCTAATAAGGCTTGATTGAACTCAATAAGTTGGAGGGTGTACACACACACACACACACACACACACACACACACACACACCCCTTGAGTGAACTCAATAACTTGGAGGGTGTACTACTCTCTCTCATACATACACCACACACCCCACTCATGTTAAATTTCAGATTTTCTATTTGTGTGATTTCATAATCTTTTTTTGTTTTCACTTAAAACAAAATGATCATTTCCCCTTCTCATTAGGCATACTTGTGCAACATCATTTCTGATGGCTGCTTAGTATTATGCTCTATGAATGTATCATAATTTACTATGTCTCCACAACATAAATATTTTGCGTTTAGTGGGCAAAAAAAAAAAATTTATCTGACATTTTCTTATGTCTATCTTTCCTTTAAAATCTATTTGTATCTAAAATGTTAAAATATTGCTATGGTTAGTCATACAAAATCATCTAATCATCTTTGTTTAATATCTTTTGTAGCATTTATGGTATTTATTACATTCTAATTTGAATAAGTGATAGACATGATTCATTAATTCTACTCTATTATAATCCTCCAAAGGTATGTAATATATTTTATTCAGCTTTGGATTGCCCCTCCTATTCCCCGCCCTCAGTATCTAGCTCAGTACCATTATTAAATTAGATACTCAATTATATGAGTGATTTGTCCAGAAGACGTTACCCTGATAAAAACCATTATGTCCATTATGCTATCTAGATCTCAGTGAGATACTTTAGTTCAGGGTTCTCCCAAGGTGTAATTTTTTTTTTTTGGCGGGGGACGGAGTTTCACTCTTGTTGCCCAGGATGGAGTGCAATTGTGAGATCTCGGCTCACTGCAACCTCTCTGCCTCCTGGGTTCAAGCCATTCTCCTGACTCAGCCTCCAGAGTAACTGGGATTACAGGCGTGAGCCACCACGCCCAGCCCCAAGGTGTAATTCTTTAGCATTTCCTTATTCTGTGACTTACCTCTATTATCCTTTCCCCTCCCTCCTTCTCATCCACTACCTTTTTTGCTTAAGTCAATTGAACAAAGTCAATTTTGGTTTGTTTTGCAACCAAAGAAGCCTAACCGATAAAGGCTGAAACAACTTTGTAATTGTTAACAGTCATTTGTTGGCTGAGCAAAATAGCGAATGTATTGAAAACTAGTTAAATGTGCACTGAGAAAAAAGAAAAGGAGACAAGAAACAGGAATATACTAAAACAGGAAGACACTGATTACACCTACAGAAGGTCACTGTAGCAATACAATTATCCTCATTTTGGACAACTTCTCCCTATTGTTTTTATACTTACAGTTGTTCTGGACAAAGACTTTGAAGTCATCCAAAACTTTTCTCTTTCAAACACTCATCAAATACATTAGCATATCTTTTTTGCTCTACTATATATGCAGAATCTGGCCACTTCTCTCATCGTCACCGCTATTATCTGCTCCAAACTACTATCGTCTCTTCTCTAGTTATTGCAGTAACCTCCTAACTGGTCTCCTGACCCCTTCAGTCTATTCTCAACCCTACAGCCAGAGCGATCTTTTCAAAACTTAAATATGATCCTGTCATTCTTTGCTCAAAACTTTCCAATGGTTTTCTATCTCATTTAAAGCAAAAGTTAAAGCATAATCCTGAATATGACCTATTAACACCATACATGACACTGGCTCATTACCTGCCAGCCTTAATCTCCACAACTCTCCCCCTTACTTACTCTACTCCAGCTGCACGTGCCTCCTTGCTAATTCCTGAAAAATGTCTGATAAACTTCCTTCACCCACACACACCCCCTCAGAACCTGTGCACTTGCCACACTCTGCCAGAATACTACTTCACTCTCTTATAATAAAGCAGCCCCTTTAAGGTCATGCCATTCAACTCCCTCATCTCTTTCCCTAGTTACTGCCACCTATCAAATTCCTCTCTCAGATTCTAGTCATCCTAAATCCCACCATCAACCTGAGTTTATCAGATGAAATGGAAGCGGAAGTTGTTGGGTGGGGCTTCTGGGATGCCCTTTTTGCCTTTTTCCCCTTCCTCCTTCTTGCTTCATATAATGCTGAAATAATGCCCTGAGCTCCAGCAGTCATCTTAAGCCATGAAAGCATCCCTAATGATGGAAGCAGCATACTAAGAACAATGGAGAGAAAAATGACAGGAGTCTGGGTCTCTAATCCCTGTGGAGGAGCCATCACACCAATCTTGTAAATGTTTCTCTCTATATTTCTTTATAAATAAAACACAGTACATACATTCTGGATTACAATTGACCAGATTTAATAAATCATGTATATAACTTACTCAAGTTAGAATCTAATAAATACCATAAATTCTGTAAAAAATGTGAAACGAAGCTGATTTTTTAATAAAAATAAACTCATATACAATATAAGGCATTGTTATTGGGGGTTACTGTTATATGCAGTTGAATTTAATTCTATGTATAGTTTTTCCAATGCATATTGCCTAGCGTTCTGCTAGTAAGGAAGAAGTAGAAACTGGATACTGAGTAAACAACTAGGAGTCTCTGTCACACTGAACAAGCAACAATCCACGTGGGTGGCCCATAAAGACCTTAGCCTTCGAGTTCCTTGATGTCATCTTCAATGACGTTCTGCTCCATTCTAACTCAGCTAAGCACAACCAAGGTTACTCCAGACCTTATCACCACTAGAAACTGTTCCATCTCCATAATGGCTAATTTGGGTATCCTGTTCTCTGACTTCTTTTTAGCTTGCTTGTTTAATTTTCTCTACTATAATTTCACAGACTTTAGCTCACTAATTCTTTTACTTCAATCTCTCGGTCATCTCCTTTCTTCCTTTCCTTCTTATCCATGATTTCTTACCCTTACATTCCATGAACCATCATTTTAATAACACTCTTTACATCCCGTGAGCTCGATACCGGTTTATCCAATTTGCCTACTAGTCATCTCCACTTAGATGTTCCACAGACACCTCAAACTCAATGTCTAAAATATCTTCTACTGGCCGGGCGCAGTGGCTCACGCCTGTAATCCCGCACTTTGGGAGGCTGAGGCGGGTGGATCACGAGGTCAGGAGATTGAGACCATCCTGGCTAACAAGGTGAAACCCCGTCTCTACTAAAAATACAAAAAATTAGCCGGGCATGGTGGCGGGTGCCTGTAGTCCCAGCTACTTAGGAGGCTGAAGCAGGAGAATGGTGTGAAGCCAGGAGGTGGAGCTTGCAGTGAGCCGAGATGGCGCCACTGCACTCCAGCCTAGGCGACAGAGCATGACTCCGTCTCAAAAAAATAAAAAATAAAATAAAATAAAATATCTTCTCCTCTGACCTGTTTTACCCCTTATGTTGGTGAATGGCACCACCATCTACTCAAATGCCTTACCTGGACATAACTCTCTTCCTTCTCTTTTATTTCTCCCCACAATAGCCAGGACTCAGAGGTAACTCTAAAAGAATCCCACATTTCTATTGCCAGGCCCTTAGTTTGTCCTTCTATATCTGAAACAGATTACTAAAAATTCTTTCTACACAAGGCACTAACTGTTCTTCCTGCTTTTACTCGAATGCATTCTCCCCATTCTCCATATTGCATCTGAAGTAATCTTGCTAAAATGCACATCTGATCATGACACTCTCCTATTAGCTTACAGACACAAAGGAAAATTTCAGGAACCAGGACAGCCTCAGGGAGAAGAGAAACAAATTAAAGCTGCCAGGACATTTTCTTGTCTCTCGTTTCTCTGCCTACAACTAGCTTTATTCCCTCAAGCTACTTCAAGTCACTGGGAACACAGTCACCAGATGCTCCCAGGTAATCCCGGAAAGCAAAGAAATAAAATTTGATACATGTAAATAGATGCCATTATTATTCAAAAATCACTGCTCCTTCCTGGTGGAGAATTAGACAACTGGTCCAGTTGATATCAAGTTTGGCCACATGACTTGCTTTAGCCAATGACGCTGGGAAGTAAGAGGAAATGACACATCCCACTTCTGAACAGAAACTTTCAGAGAAATGGTGTGGTTCTACCATGCCTTATTTATCTCTAATACAAGAGAAAATGTCTCAGATATGAGCATCTAGCCTAAGTCTTGGAACAAAGCTACACAATGGACATGCAGTATGAGCAAAAAATAAATCCTTGTTATTGTAAGCCACTAAAATATGGGGACTGTTTGTAACCACAACATAACAGACTAAACTTAATTATATAGTATGTCATAAGGAAGGACTGACTAGACAGGCTTGGTTTTGATCACATCCCCAGCTTAAAACCCTTCGGTGATACTCCTGTGCCTCCTGGAGTCCAAATTCTAGCAAAGAATATAAGGCCCTTTCTTTTATGGTCCCACCTCCAGCCTCATTTCTTGGGACTCCTATTCCGTATTCCAACCATCCTGGATTATTTTAAGATTTCTAAACACATCAGGTAGCCTTTACCCTCCATTTTCATGTCAGCTTATTATATGCTATTCTTCATAAAAAGGAATGTTGTTCCTCCTGAGAAATAAAATTCTAAGCCCCCCAACTGACTGAAGTGACCATCTCTTGGCCAAGGAGACCCCAGAGAAGCCCTGAAATCTGAGTTCCCAGCCATGACCAAGTGAAAGGTCAGACACACCTCATTATACCCATCCCTTGCTGCCCAGCATTAGGCTTCTTTCCTAAGGGTTAAACAGAAACCAGCCTTTTTACTTGCTCCACTGCTAATATAAACCAACCTCCTGACATTGCCCCTCCCTCTTGTGGTTTCCTCACAACCACCAACCAGCATTCCTTCCTAATAGGAGACCACCAACCACGGAGTGGTTCTGGCCAGTCTACAGAGGATGCGCAGTGAGGCTTTTCATGTCCTCTGCTTCACCTTTTGAGGCCAGAGGCTCAAAAACTCCACCCTTGGATCATGCTAATACTGCCTTTTCTCTGTACATGCAACCCATAAAGGGGTAAGAAGCTCAACTGTGCATGTACATGTTTCTCCTTTCATAAATATTCATGACTCCTCCTATAGCTTATTGAAAATGTACATTTCGCCACCTTATTCAGCATAAATCCCTGTCTTATTTTTCTAACCCTCAAAGTATGTTTTCTGATCCTGGCCAGCGGCTCTTGCTATACAGTAAATATTTATATAAATACGTATCTCTCCAATTATATTGTGACCTCCTTGAGAACAGAGACCATATCTTATTTATATTTGGAGCCCAAGAATCTAATGCAGTGCCTGGCACATAATAGAATATCAATATAAGCTTATGAAAAGTGCAAACATATAGTCTTTTTTCAGTGATGTTATATGCAAAAATATGAGACAGGCCCTTCTACCATGTTAAAAAATAATACAGAAAATCAAACCTATTCAACTCTTATTTTGCTTGCATTTTCTTTATCCAGAGTAACTTTCCATACTGAAAAGAGAATGCAAATGGTTAAGAGGAAACTGAAGCCTGAAATAGGAGAAAAGATAATAAAAGAGCACCCAGTAGCTTTTAGTAAATGCAAATATCTAGAACCAGATAAATTACAGCCTAAGATCTCCATGATCTCTCATGAAAAATGGAAGAGAAGCTAGAAGACTAGAAACAATAAAGTGCAATTTTAATTTTCTCAATTTCAAAGGAAAAAAAGAGACTAGATTATTGAAATCATAGATTAAGGGTTTAACAAAGATTTCCTATGTTAGCCTACGGTGGGGTAGGGAAGGGGTACAGAGAACACAGTGAGTCAGAATGGGGTTCACCAAGAAAAACAATCATGCTAACCTCATTTTACTTTTGACAAAAGTATTAGACTAAGAGATCAGAGAAATAACATAAAGTAGGTCCAATACATATTGCTGAAATCAAGATTAACTTTCTTATGCTAGTTAAGTGATAGATTTACAATTGGTTGAACAACGATTCTAAGATTATTAATCAATTGTTTAATGTAAATCTGGAAAGAAGTAACTAACAGTTGCCACAGAACTCTCTATTTGGCCTTATCTTAGTAGATGTTTATCAATATTGTGAAGATTTAAATGGTAGCTTATAAATTTTCTGGTGATCTAAACCTATCTATAAAGATTAAATAATACCATTAAAGATATAAGAGATATCATTAAAGATTATAAAAGATCAAATATCTGAACATATAGAAACAACGTGCTGAAAATACAAAATAAAATTTATCAAGGGTAAATATACATGCATTTATTTTTTAGAAGTATACAGCGAATAAGAAATCCATTTCAGGCCAGGTACGGTGGCTCACGCCTGTAATCCCAGCACTTTGGGAGGCCGAGATGGGCAGATCACTTAAGGTCAGGAGTTCGAGACCAGCCTGCCCAACATGGTGAAACACTGTCTCTACTAAAGATACAAAAAATTAGCCGAGGGTGGTGGCGTACGCCTGTAATCCCAGCTACTCGGGAGGCTGAGGCAGGAGAATCACTTGAACCCAGGAGGCGGAGGTTGCAGTGAGCAGAGATCGTGCCACTGCACTCCAGCCTGGGTGACAGGGCAAGACTCCGTCTCAAAAAAAAAAAATTGAAACCAATTTTAACATGTGTTGATGAGAGTTCAGTTGACTGTAAGCTCAAGGTGGGCCTTTGTACTGAATTGACAGCTTAAAAGTTAATACAAATTCATAGGTAATAAAATAACAGTACAGTGACCTGAACAAGGAAGAAAATTGAAACAGGTCAAGCAACACCCTGAGAATTATAATTTGAAATATGAAACAGGTCAAGCAACACCCTGAGAATTATAATTTGAAACATGACCTCTTACAAGTGATGCTGATAGCCAGGATGGTAGTAATGGCCTGGCCGACTACATCATATGAAGAATGATTAAGAGAAGCAGGAATGATTTCCATGGAGAAGAGACTATCTGGGGTAGGAAAAGTAAGAGCAGAACTGTCTACAAGTATTTGAATGATTGTATATTGAAGGGCAGGAATCACACTTGTATACATTTTATATTTATTCCCTATGCACCCAGTTCCAAGCTTTGCATATAGTAAATGCTCAAATATTTGAAGTCCAAGATCAATCCACCTGTTGAAGACTAAGCCAACAAAGACAGTTATACAAGAGTATCTGTTGTGATCTGAATGACAACTCAACAAAAGGATGAAGTAGGAGGAAGGAAACTTAAAATCAAAGTAAAAAGCCTTAACTGGCACAAGCTAAGCAGGCATAACTAAGGCACATTACCTTAAAAATCAGAATTTGTCTTATATCAGCTTTTTTTTTTTTTTTTTGAGATGGAGTTTCACTCACGTTGCCCAGGCTGGAGGGCAAAGGCATGATCTCGGCTCACTGCAACCTTCGCCTCCTGGGTTCAAGCGATTCTCCTGCCTCAGTCTCCCAAGTAGCTGGGATTACAGGCACATGCCACCATGCCCAGCTAGTTTTGTATTTTTAGCAAAGACAGGGTTTCACCATGTTGGCCAGGCTGGTCTCGAACTCCTGACCTCAGATGATCTGCCTGCTTCAACCTCCCAAAGCACTGGAATTACAGATGTGAGCTACCTCGCCTGGCCAACCTCAGCTGACATTCTTGACCATACTACTAGTTAAATTTTATTTCCTTTTGTAAGTATTTCCCCACAACAGAGTGAGTCGTCGTTTTCACTCTTCCTTTACAAAGAGAAAAACTGAGGTTGAGGGAAGTTATTTTCCTAGCACCAACATCATAACAATAGTTAACCTTGAATAGGAACCTTAAGCTTCTCGCTTACAAGCCTTGTTGTTAAAATCACTGGACTCATTGTGGGGTAGTAAACAAGTACAGTACTTAACTTAGAACTCAACCTCATTTGGTAATTACTTCAGTTTCACTTTTATTATTCTCCTCCAGTCATCTAATCTCTAAATCCACAAAGAGTAAGCCTACATTAATACTCTAAAACTTACAATCTTATGACTTGAAATTCAAAGGTTAGGAGTACAAAAGACTTATTGAAAAAAATTTTAAAATAATTTAAAATTTTAAAGACTAATATAAAAAATTAAGATTTGAGACCAAAGATTTGTCGCTCCTGTGCTGCTTAAGAAGGGGCCCTGGCACCACTTGTTCCACCATAAGCCAAATCTTGGCCATCAGAGTATACTAGGTACACACCACATCTCTCAAAACCTAAGTGGCCTTCTTTGTTTATCAGAGACTTGGTGCTGAGTGTTATTGCCAGAAGCAGTGGGAAAAAGGTAATGTTATTAAAGGAAGAAGAGGTCTTAATGTGAATGAAGGAGGCACACCAGAGATTCATTTCCTATTTTATATACATATTAGTTTGGTGTTAGTTTCTCAGAAAACTAAAAGAAGGTTGGAATAACACAGGACTTGATGGTGTCCAAGGAGCAGGATTTTAAAATAGCAAAATGCTACTCAGCTCTAGTTGTAGATGTAATAAAGGAATGCCCTAACAAGTGCTCACGCTCTCAACTTCCTGCCCAAGAAGGCTCATTTACATTATAATGGTTGCCACGGTTACTTTAATTCCATCACAGCTCCTGTCTCCAGTTGCTAATCTGGAGCCTGGGTGGTAAAACAACCAAAAACCTTAATTGAGGCTAACTCAAAACTCAGGCTACTCAAAAGTTCATGACCTACAAAAGGATTTTGTTCTAGCAACAAAAATTGCTTACGATAGGAACTGTTTGTTTCCTACACTCCATTCTATCCAAGATCTTACCTGGTATCTCAGGGAACTCTCTGGAAGTCAGTCAGTATTTTTATCTGCTATAAGCAGAGATTCTTGTAAAAAAAAAAAAAAAAAAAGCAAGATAAATAACATAAATTTTATAATGGGTAACAGATCAAAGAAGTGACTGCTTTATTCCAACTATTGGCATTCCAAGCTTTAATCAGAAAAGGCAATTATCTAAAAGAACATGGAGAAGTCTCCCAATGAATTATTAATGTCACTAAGTATTATCTTCTAAGAAGGATATCATGTAGTCCTGGTATACACGTAGTACCTAAATTAGGCATAAGGTTAGTATTTTGTATTTAAGCAACAATCCAACAGAATACACAGTAACAGAAAAAGTGAAGGATGGGGGATTCTTTTTTTTTTTCCTTTTAAAGGCAAAAAAAAAAAAAAATTGAGAACTGTGAATCTGATTTACTTTCAGTTAAATTAACAACAAAAAATATTCCAATGGTAATTCGTTACCAGAAATTTTACTCCCAAAGGTAACCACAATGGGAGAATGGGAGACACAGGGGTACTGATCTGTAGGTGTCCTCCTAATTATCCAACAGATGCTTTAAAGATCACCTCCATACAGAAATGAAGTTTTACATTTGTGTATTTTTACTCTTATTTGCTTATTCTTTTATTCCACTCCTATCATCCACAACACAGGCAATCACTATAATGTGTTTAATGTGTTAACATGTTTTCTTGTAAAGTATGTAATGTTTTACTTACATACATTTTAAAATGTATATAAATGCTATTGTGTTACATATCTCATTCCTTTTCTTTCTGTTGTTACTCAGCACTATGTCTCTAAGATCCTTAGGCTGCCATGTGCACATCTAGACCATTACTTCAAACTGAGGTATAAATCTATGATCACATTTTACCCATCACTGGGGAAAGGGTATGGACAACAAATTACTTTCCACAAGAACAAATACACTGAAATGAATGACCCCTTATGAACCTGTGTGAGAACTTCTTTCACGTATATATACAGGAAAAAAGTTGCTGGGTTACAAGGTATACATAATGCATAATCTGATTAAGTACCATCCTTCAAAATGGTCAGACCAGTCCATACTTCCACCAGTAAGGAACTACCATTACTGAGCAGCCACCATGCACCAGGCACTGGGTAGGTACTTGAGACCCTTTTGCCCCTCCACCCCTCATTCTCTTCTGCTAGTCTTTGCCCCTTTTGCTCTTCATATCAGTTGTCACCATGTCAGAAATATGAAGGTAGGACTTCCTCCCTTGTCTCTGACCACCAAGTTCCCTTTTCCACTCCAAGGATCCCTTAGGCTGCCAAGGCTCCACTAACCATGAAGCTTACTAAAACAAAATCAAACAGCAAATGTTATTTTAAAAAGGTTTGATTCTCAAAAAGTAATTAATTGGGGTTTACCTGTTACACAAAACACTTCTGCATACATTTCCAAGCCATTCCTATTCCTATCTGAGGGTTCTATAGTTCATGTTTTTCTGTTTTTTGGGTGGTCTTGGAGGAACAGCTTCATCCCTTCAGAGCTCTCTTCTTCATAGATAAAATAAAGGGAGCTGGTTATCGGTGTTTTCAGTCTATGCCTCTGCAACTCTAGGGGCTCCTCTGAGGTTGCTCAAAAGGATCATGTCAAGACAAAAGGGGGTTATCTATGCCTCTTCAATTCAACAGCACAATAAAAATTTTATTATTTATAAATTTTATTTTCTCCTAAGACTCGGTTTGTAGAATCAGTTTTATTTAAGAAAAAGTTTATTCACACATTATTAGTTGGAAGTGTTAACTGGTAAAAACCTCTATTGCATTTGGCAATATTTATACAATTAAAAAAAAAACCTTTTGAACAAGAAATTCTACTTATGAGAATTTATTCCACATAATTCACATAGGTGTTCAACAGATATACCCAAAGATATTCATTACAGTATTGATTGTAAGGGCAAAATATTGAAAACAATTTAAATAACCAACAATAAAAAACTGGTTACATAAATTATGGTACATCCATACAATGAAATATTATATAGACTTTAAAAACAACAAAGCAGCTACAAGATAGATTAAGGCGGGGGGGGGGTGGGGGGTGGGGGGCGGGAAGCAAGATGTAAAATGGTAAATGGTGTGTATTGTATGCTGCTACCTTTTGTATATTTTCAAAAGGATATAAGTATTTTATTGGTTTATTCAAGGAAAGACAAAAAAGTATGTATACACTTGTAAATGCATAGGCTACTCCTAAAAGATAAATAAGACATAAGAAACTATTCTAGTTACTCTCAAGGAAGGGAATCAGATGGCTAGAGGATAAGAGCTTTATATTTGATACATAATCTTTTTATATCTTTTGATTTTTATACTATTGCATGTATTCTTAAAATTTTTACTTTATCACTCTAACCTATTATTTTTTCCTAGTCCTACCTATATTAGTTTCTTCTAATCCTCACATTCTAATTGTAACACACTGACTTCCAGGTAGACGGTATTTATTACAAGTCATCAGAAAAAATAAAGTAGTTGAAGGGTAGTAAGAGGCCAGCTTTCCATTCAACAAAGTGGATGTGTCTACACAGGACGGAGGTATTAAGTTTAGTACTGGCACTGCCTCCTTGCAATGACTTCCCTTTGAACTCAATCTCACTTTCTTTTTTTTTTTGTTTTTTGAGACACAGTCTTGCTCTGTCACCCAAGCTGGAGTGTAATGGTGCAATCTCAGCTCATTGCAACCTCCGCTTTCCAGGCCCAAGCAATTCTGCTTCAGCCTCCCAAGTAGCTGGGATTACAGGTGCCTCCCACGAGGCCCAGCTAATTTTTGTATTTTTTTTAGTAGAGACAGGGTTTCACCATGTTGGCAGGCTGGTCTTGAACTCCCAACCTCGGCCTCCCAAAGTGCTGGGATTACAGGCGTGGACCACCGCGCCAAGCCCTCATTTTCATTTTTATTCACATCAACTTCCGTTGAGTTCATCAACCCAGGCCTATCAAATGAATTGTCTTAACCCTAAGAATTGCTAAACATGCGCGTGCGCACGCACACACGCACATACACACACACACACATTCATGTAAATAGATGACGTGTCTATGCAGTTCAAAATTTATTTTTAATTACTTTCGACCCACACTGTCCAATAGATAGTTACTAACCACATATGACTGTTGAACTCTTGAAATGTGGCTAGTCAAATTCAGATATACTGTCAACACACAATATACACCAGATTTCAAAGACTCAAGTACAAAATTAAAAAGATATCTTAATTTTTATATTGATATGTTAAAATAATAACTTTTTAATTTACTGGGTTAAGTATAAGATATTAAAATCAATTTCACTTGTTTCTTTTTACTTTTTTTTCTTTTTTTGAGACAGACTCTCGCTCTGCCACCCAGGCTGGAGTGCAATGGCGCGATCTCGGCTCACTGCAACCTCCACCTCCCAGGTTCAAGCGATTCTCCTGCCTCAGCCTCCCGAGTAGCTGGTATTATAGGCACGTGCCACCATGCCCGGCTAATTTTTGTATTTTTAGTAGAGACGGGGGTTCACCATGTTGGTAAGGCTAGTCTCGAACTCCTGACTTCATGATCCTCCCGCCTTGGCCTCCCAAAGTGCTGGGAGCCACCACGCCCGGCCCTTTTTACTTTTAATGTAGCTACTATTAGAAAATTTAATTCTTTACTTTCTAATTAATTCAGAAATCCTACCACATTTCTGATTAATTCAGTTGCTCACACTCCACAAAAAACTATTCAAATTCTCACCACTTTTTCTCAAACCTCAGAACGCTTTTCTTCTTCCCCATCACAGCCTGTGACCTACCCTCAGAGACAATAGAAAGGTAGCTATAAAGGTGCCTTCAGGTTATTTACAAAGTTCTATCTTCTCTGAAATGAAACTTGTGGATAACACTGCTTTAGCCAGGTTAAGAAAAGCCAAAGTGATCCACAGCTTAATGAGCATTGATGGTTTTACAGGAGTATGGTGCCACAAAGAAAGCCAGAGAGAAAATTGAGACCTGGCTCTAGTTCAACAAAATTGCTATTTCTTTGAAAAATATTAACAATGTACCAATCAAGTACAAAATAATTCAATGTAAAGTATCTAGGTTTTGTCTTTATAATATAATCAGAGTTTCTAGAAAAAACAGTACTAGCTAGTTTCTCTAAAATTAACATGTTGTACTAAGAAGTCACCTGCTTTATTTCAAACTATTTCAGTATCAAGTAAGATAATGGATATTACTGGTTTGAAAGGTATAAGCAGTTACACAAAGGTAAAATTATGTTGTTGTAGGATAATAATGTAATTTTGCTAATACCTTTTCTTCTTTCTGTCCATTAATGGTGCTTTGTACCTAAGGTACTCTAATTAGCCATCTTTGTCCTCCATATCAATCAAAGTATAGCTACCATTATGATTGGGACCTTTCTGATACCTTCCAAAGCTATTTCTTGATCCTTTCTTCCCCACTTCCACTATGAATCCAGTTCTAACTATCTGCAAGACATCTTCATTTAGATGTTATACTAACATCTCAAAGACAGGTAAAAAACTGAACTTGAATTCTTATTCTGTAATACTTAAACCAAGTGCTCATATTTTGATTTTGTGAAATAAACACTTGGTTAAAGTACTACAGAACAAGAATTCAAGTTCAGCTTTTTACCTTGTGTTTGATTAACTAAATCATAATAGTTAAGCAGAAAAGATATAATTATAAACTACATTTGTTTCTCTTTTCTGTAATTATTTTTACTCCTTTGAAAATGCATGAAACATGAAAACCTAAACAAGTATATTTTGAAACATTTGCATTCTAATCTCTAAATATTCAAGAAGAATATTTTTTGACCAGGTAGAGCAGCTTATGCCTGTAATCCCAGCACTTTGGAAGGCTGAGGCAGAAGAATCACTTGGGCCCAGAAGGTCGAAGCTGTAGTGAGCTGTGTCTGAACCACTGCACCCCAACCAGGGCAACAGAGTGAGATCCTGTCTCAAAAATAAAAAATAATTTCTTAATTACAACCTTATAACTCTGGGATTATATTTACAGACAGAGAAACTGAGGTGCTGTCTTAGCAAAATACAGTGTTTGCCATTTGCATTTACAGCTCTGAAGCCTTGGACAAGCACTAAGTATAGTGCTCAACGTCATTTAACAAACATTAATTGAATTTCACTTTATTTGGTCTTGCCATTAGTAAACTACAATTGCTTATCACAGTGCTACCGTAAGAATTAATTCATATTTGTAAGTGCTCTAAAAAGAGTATTCTTCGATACTCTGCTACATGCTACGTCTTGGCAAGGTCCCAATCTTCCTAAGGGTCCCTTCTTCTTCTCAAGATTGGGACAAAGCCTTCATGAGTCTGACTGTGAGTCCCAAAACACCTATCACCTTTGCCTTCTTTTTTTTTTTGAAACAGAGTCTTGCTCTGTCGGCCAGGCTGGAGTGCAGTGGTACAATCTCGGCTCACTGCAACCTCCACCTCCTGGGTTCACGCAATTCTCTGCCTCAGCCTCCCCAGTAGCTTGGATTACAGGCGCCCGCCACCACACCTGGCTAATTTTTTGTATTTTTAGTAGAGACAGGGTTTCACCATCTTGGCCAGGCTGGTCTTGAACTCCTGACCTCATGATCCGCCCACCTCAGCCTCCCAAAGCGCTGGGATTACAGGCATGAGCCACCGTGCCCGGCTACCTTTGCCTTCTTTTTAAGCCAAGAGCCCACCTGCTGAGTCTTCTAATCTTCAAGTGGGACACAGACTTGTCATGATCTCTGCTATCTATTTATCTATCAATCAATCAATCAATCAATCATCTATCTACCTACCTACCTACCTAGCTATCAATCAATCAGAGACAAGGTCTTGCTTTGTCACCCAGGCTGGAGTGCAGTGGCACGATCATAGCTCACTGCAGCCTCAAACTCCTTTGCTCAAGTGATCCTCCCACCTCAACTTCCCAAGTGGCTGGGATTACAGGCATGTGCCACCACCCCCAGACAATATTTTAATTTTTTGGAAAGGTAGGGTCTCACTATGTTGCTTAGGCTGGTCTCAAACTCCTGTGCTCAAGCAATCCTCCTGCATCACCCTCCCAAAGTGCTGGGATTACAGAGGTGAGCCATCACGTGCAGCCTCTGCTACATATATAAAGAACAATTCTGAGAAGAGAATACCAAACAGTAAAAACTACAAGTAGGTTTTAAGCCAAAGGAGTATTAGCTGGTTTAACCCGATGATCTTAAATAAAACCAGTGTTGCTTTAAAACTGTCAAGTATCATGTTGCTATATACTACTCACTGTTCCTGTTGTTAACATCTAGCCAGAGAGCCTGAAAGCCCTTGGGATCTTTCCAAAGGATTAATTATCAGTGCCATCTGACAGAGACTCTACCTAAGAGTGTTACATACAAGAACTGAAAAATTAATACTGAAGTCTCCATGTATGTCATGGCATCAGGGGTTATGTTCATTTAAGGGCAGAGGTAACCAGGTTGCTAAAGGGAGAGAGTATGTTAGAAATCAATGGTTCATGACTGGGGCTCAGCTCGATAATCAGAAACATTTATTATGAACTTATCATGTGCCAGCATTAAATTGTGCAAGATCCACTAAAAGCCAGCCAAATAATTAACAAAAAGCACATCAACAGAAGAGATAAACAGAAGAGATTAAAAACACAAATATTCTCAATGATTCTCACTCAAAAAGATTCTAGAAACCATAAAATGTATAAGCCACTATAATAACTCAGAAGGCAGTGTGACAAGAAAAAAATTAGGATTAAGCATGCAGATTAATGGACGTATTTGAACTGGAAATAATCATTTTTAGATATCCTCATTATCAAACTATATGAGTTACCATTATATCAAGCAGTTTGAGAAAAACAGATGATGCTTACTGGAGCATCACTGAGGTGCAAAGACAGAGAATAAGGCTGGGAATCAAAAACTTCAGCTGGCCAGGCACAGTGGCGCACACCTGTAATCTCACCACTTTGGGACGCCAAGGCAGCCTTTACCAAACTGTAAAGGAGGCGAGATGTGTTTCAAATTTTTTAAATGCACACATGTAAGAGAATAATAAACCTAGTAATAGCTTAATTACTAAGAAGAAACTGGAAAAAAATCCTGTTTAAACTAAATAGACAACAATTCCTACTCTAGAATGCTTCAAGAATTTAGAGAATGAAAACCCTAAAGCAAAGCCAGTTTACACTAATCACTTCTCTTCACACAAGCATCACAAAACAAACTGATTTAATCACTCTTATTTAAAAAAAAAAAAAAAAAAAAAAAAATCTTTACTATCTGCCAGCTGTTAACAATACAGTGAACAAGACACACATGGTCTAAGTCCTGTAGAGTTTACAATTTAAGGGATAAGGCACTTAAAACATCAGACACAGGCTTACCAATCAAGGTATATAAACCTCACTGTCCCCATCCAAATGGAGAAGGATGCTGCCTGTGGATCTTATGGGAATAGATGAAACAACAGGTTTGGACTGTAAAATAAACTACATCTATTTAAAAACACACAACAACATACATTTCACTTTAAGAGAAAACAGCACAGAATCTTTCCCCATAGAAGGGAAAATTATAATAAGCTTTAAAACAGCATCAGAAAACACAAAGGCTTCACCGGTTTTGGTCACAATCTAGACACCCTAGACTTTAATATGGACAAGCAGACCATGAACTGCAAATTTAGATGAGTAATTTGACTAATTCAAAAACTGAAGGACTCAAAGTAGAAACTTACAGGGTATCATAAGGGTTGCTCCATTCTACAAGGAAGAAAGGGATTTTTAATCTTATAGCTTAGCTAAGAGACATATAAATGTCAAGAGGTGATATTCACTAACACATGCCAATTTATTCAGTCCCTTAGTCAGCCAAAACTAAGACATTATAAAGGATATATTAGGAGAAATCTGCCCTACCAACTATCAGTGAACATTACACTTAATGATGAAAGACTGAATACTTTTCCTCTAAAATCGGAAACAAGGCAAACATGTCCACTGTTGCCACTTCTATTCAACATTGTACTGGAGGTTCTAGACAGTGTAATATGAAAAGAAAAGAAATTAAAGGCACATACATTGGACAAGAAGAAGTAAAATGGTCATTTGTAGATAACATGATCCTGTACAAAGAAAATCCTAAAGAATCTTCAAAAAACTAAATACACAAGTTTATTAAAATTGCAGAATACAAGATCAACACAATAATCAACTGTAATCAAGCAATTCCACTCTTAGGTATATATCCAAAAGAATTGAAAGCAGGAGCTCAAAACAGATATTTGCATACCAACTTTTTGGTTTGTTTGTTTTTGAGACAGGGTCTCACTCTGTCATCCCAGCTGGAGTGCAGTGGTGCAATAATAGCTGACTGTGGCCTCGAACTCAGCCTCCCAGGTAACTAGGACTACAATTGCACACCACCATGCCCAGCTAACTTTTTTTTTTGGAAGAGATGGATTCTTGCTAAGTTGCCCAGGCTAGTCTCAACCTCTGGCCTCAAGCAATACTCCCACACTGGCCTCCCAGAAGTTGGGAGTGGTGTGGGCCACTGCGTCCAGCCTTGTACCCCAATAACAGCATTATTCACAATAGCCAAAAGAATATAGAGACAACCCAAATATCCATAATATCCATCAACAGATGAATGGATAAACAACAGAATATTACTCGGCCTTAAAAAGAATGAAATTCTAATACAGGCTACAATATGAAGGGACCTTGAAAACATTATACCAAGTAAAATAAGCCAGACACCAAAGGAAAAAGAAAAGGTACCCAGAATAGGCAAATTCATAGAGACAGAAAATAGAATAGAGGTTTCCAAGGGCTGGGGGACCGGGGAAAAGAAGACAATGTTTAGGCCAGGCACGGTGGCTCACGCCTGTAATCCCAGCACTTTGGGAGGCCGAGGCGGGTGGATCATGAGGTCAGGAGATCGAGACCATCCTGGCTAACAAGGTGAAACCCCGTCTCTACTAAAAATACAAAAAATTAGCCGGGCGCGGTGGCGGGCGCCTGTAGTCCCAGCTACTCGGGAGGCTGAGGCAGGAGAATGGCGTGAACCCGGGAAGCGGAGCTTGCAGTGAGCCGAGATTGCGCCACTGCAGTCCGCAGTCCGGCCTGGGCGACAGAGCAAGACTCCGTCTCAAAAAAAAAAAGAAGATAATGTTTAATACATAGTTTTTGTTAGAGGCAATGAAAAAGTTTTGGGTATAGATAGTGGTAATGGTAATATTGTGAATGTACTTAATGCCAATGAATTGTACACTTTAAAATGGTTAAAATGGGCTGGGTGCAGCAGCTCATGTCTGTAATCCCAGCACTTTGGGAGGCCAGGACAGGAGGGTTGCTTGAGTCTAGGAGTTCGACACTAGCCTGGACAACATGGCAAGATCTTGTCTCTACAAAAAATATGAATATTAGCCAGGCACAGTGGTGCCTGCCTGTAGTCCCAGCTACTCCGGGGGCTGCAGTAGGAGGATCACCTGAGCCCAGGAGGTTGAGGCTGCAGTGAGCCAAGATCGCGCCACTGCACTCCAGCCTGGGTGAGGAAGTGAGACTATGTCTCCAAAAAAAAAAAAAAAAAAGTTTATTGTTAGTAAACTTTACCACAATTTTAAAAAATTGTATTTTTACAATTGTTTATGCTAGCAATAAACAATCTGAAAGTAAAATCAAGAAAACAATTTCATTTACAATAGCCTATACAGTGTAAAGTACAAAATACTGCTAAAGAGCAGCTAGAGAAAATCTAAATAAATGGAGAGAAGTTCCATGTTCATGTATCAGAAGTCTCAGTATCATTAAGATGGGAATTCTCCCGAATTGACCTACAGATTCAATGAAATCCCTATCAAAATCCTAGCAAGCTTTTTCTGTAAACATTGACAAGCTTATCCTAAAATCTATGTGGAAATTCAAAGGACTTGGATACCCAAAATAATTTTGAAAAAAAAAAAAAAATAGTATCCAGGATTTATACTACCCAATTCCAACAGTCAGCCCTCATATCCATGGGTTCTGCATCCACAGATTCAACCAACCTCAGATCAAAAATATTTAAAAAAAAAAAAGAAAAAAAGAAAAAATAGTAACAACACAACAATAAAAAGTAATACAAATAAAAAATACAGTGTAACAACTATTTACATAGCATTTACATTATATTAGGTGTAAGTAATGTAGAAATGATTTAAGTATACAGGAGGATATGCACAGGTTATATGCAATACTATGCCATTTTATATAAGGGACTCGAGCATCCCAGGATTTTTATATCCATGAGGGTCCTGGAACCAATTCCCCAAGGAAACCAAGGGATAACTGTACTTACAATAAAGCTACAAAAATCAGGGGAGTGCTGTACTGGCATCAAGACAGACAAGCTGATCAATGGAACAGAAGAAAGTCTAGAAACATACCTCCACATCTGCAGACAGCTGATTTGCAACAAAGGTATCACAGCAATTCAATGAGGAAAGGATAGTTCTTTCAACTAATGGTGCTGGGATAAGTGGATATCCATATGAAGGGAAAAAATGGGGACTTTTTTCACCCCAAGCCCAAAAATCTAAATGCAAAACCTAAACTATAAAACCATTAGACGAAAACAAAGGAGATAAAATTTGTGACCTTGAGTTACACAAAGATTTCTTTGTTATACCACCAAAAGTAGAATCTAAGGCTAAGTGCAGTGGCTCATGCTTGCAGTCCCAGCACTTTGGGAGGCAGAAGTGGGCAGATTGATTGAACCCAGGAGTTCAAGACCAGCCTGGGCAACATGGCAAAACCCCTTCTCTACGAAAAATAGAAAAATTAGCTGGGCATGGTGGCACACACCTGTACTCCCAGCTACTCAGGAGGCTGAGGTGGGAGAATCATCTGAGCCCAGGGAAGTCAAGGCTGCAGTAAGCCATGATCATGCTACTGCACTCCAAACTGGGTGACAGAATGAGGCCTTGTCTTGGGGGGAAAAAAAAAGTACAATCTATTTAAAAAGTAGTAAATTGGACTTTTTCAAAATTAAAAAGATTAGCTCTTTAAAATACATCATCAGGAAAATGAAAAGACAAGCCACAGACTAGGAGAAAGTATTTGCAAATCACATATCTGAAAAATCTTTTGTATTCAGAACATGCTGTATAAAGAATTCCTACAACTCAATAATAAAACAACCCAATTAAAAATGGGAAAATGATGTAAACAGTCATTTTAGCAAAAAAGATATACAAATAGCTAATAAGCACATGCTCAACATCATTAGTCATGAGGAAACACAAATTAAAACCATAATGACATAGCACTATACAACTGCTTCGATGGTTATCATCAAAAAGACTGACAATGCCAAGTATTGGCAAGGATGTAAAGAAAATGAAACATTCATGCATTGCTGGTGGGAATCTAACATCATACAATCGCTTTGGAAAACAGTTTGCCAGTTACATTTATATGAAATAATTACACATAAATGTAACACACAACCCAGCCATTCCACTCCTAGATATCCACCCAAGAGAAATGAAAATATATGTCTGCCAAAAGATTTACCATAATTGATCATAACTGCATTATTCAAAATAGCTAAAAGATGATATAATCTAAATGTCCATCAACTACTAAACTGATAAAATGTGGTATAGCCATATAATGAAATACTACTCAGCAATAAAAAGGAACTACTGAATGAACCTACTACATGAATGAACCTCAAAAACATTACATCAAGTGGAAAAGCCACACACAAAAGACCCCATATTGTATAATTTAATTTATATGAAATTTCCAGAAAAGGCATGGTGGCTCACAACTATAGTCCCAGCACTTTGGGAAGCTGAGGCAGGTGGATCACTTGAGCCCAGGAGTTTGAGACTTGCCTGGGCAACAAGATGATATCCCATCTCTACAAAAAATACAAAAATTAGCCAGCCACGGTGGCACGCAACTATAGCCCCAGCTACTTGGAAGGTGAGATGAGAAGATCGATTGAGCGTAGGAGATCAAGACCACAGTGAGCCGAGTTCACAGCATGGCACTCCAGCCAGAGTGACAGAGCGAGATCCTGTCTCAAAAAAATAAAAATAAACAGAAAGAAAGCTGATCAGTAGTTACCTGGGGCAGAGGGTGGGATCAGGGACTGACCACAAATGGGCAAAAGTGACTTCTGGGGGAAATGAAAATGTTCTGAAACTGGATTGTGGAGGTGATTTTAAAATTCTACATACTTGGCAGGGTGTGGTGGCTCACGCCTGTAATCCCAGCACTTTGGGAGGCCGAGGCGGGTGGATCACCTTAGGTCGGGAGTTCAAGACCAGCCTGACCAACATGGAGAAACCCTGTCTCTACTAAAAACACAAAATTAGATGGGCGTGGTGGCACATGCCTGTAATCCCAGCTACTCGGGAGGCTGAGGCAAGAGAATCACTTGAACCCGGGAGGCAGAGGTTGCAGTGAGCCAAGATCGCATCATTGCACTCATCCTGGGCAACAAGAGTGAAACTCCGTCTCAAAAAAAAAAAAAACAAATCCAACATACTTCACACCTATTAGGATGACTATTATCAAAAAACGAAATAAGTGTTGTCGATGTATAAAAATTAGAATCCTTGTACACTGATGATAGAAATGTAAAACAGTGCAGTTGCTATGGAAAACGGTATGACAGTTTTGCAAAACGTCAGAAATAAAATGACCATATAACCCAGCAATTCCATTTCTGGGTATACAACCAACAGAACTCAAAGTATTGACTTCAACAGATATTTGTATGGCAATGTTCATAGAAGCATTATTCACAACAGCCAAAAGGTAGAAACAACCCAACTGTTCATTAACAAATGAATAAACAAAATGTGGTACGTATATGTAAAATGGAATATTATTCACCCTGAAAAATGAATGAAATTCTGGCATGTGATACAACATGGATGAACCTTGAAGATATTATGCTAAGTGAAATAAGCCAGACATAAGGAAAAATACTGTATGAGTCTACTTATATAAGGTACCTAGAGAAGTCAAATTCATAAAAGACAAAATAGAATGGTGATTTCCAGGGGCTGGGGGAGGAAGGAATGGAGAGTTACTGTTTAATGGGTATGGAGTTTTGGTTTGGGAAGATGAAAAAACTTCAGAAGATGAGTAGTAGTGATGGTTGCACAACAGTGTGAATGTACTTAATGCCACTGAACTATGCACTTAAAAATGTATAAAATGGTAAATTGCATGTTATATATATTTTACCATAAACAGAATATTCTGGCCGGGTGCAGTGGCTCATGCCTGTAATCCCAGCACTTTGGGAGGCTGAGGCAGGTCGATCACCTGAGGTCAGGAGTTTGAGACCAGCCTGACCAACATGGTGAAACCCCATCTCTACTAAAAATACAAAAATTAGCTAGGCATGGTGGTACACGCCTATAATCCCAGGTACTCGGGAGGCTGAAGTAAGAGAATCACTTGAGCCCAGGAGGCGGAGACTGCAGTGAGCCGAGACTGTGCCACTGCACTCCAGCCTGGGCAACAGAGTGAGACTCTGTCAAAAAAAAAAAAAAAAAAAGAATATTCTACAAATATATATCATTGAATTGTAATTTGTAATGGGTGGATTTTACACTACGCAAATTTTACCTCTTGCTGTTTAAAATAAGGAATACATTAGGAAGAACTTGCCCAACCAAAATATCAAGAGTTGTTATAAAGTTCTAACAATTTAAAAAGCATGCAATTGGTAAAGACATCAACAAAGACACCAGTGAAACAAAAGGGAGAATCCAGAAACAGAAAGGATCTGGATATCAGAAGGCGGCATTAGATATTGCCCTAGACTGAATGTTTGTGTTCCCCCAAAAGATTCGTATGTTGAAATCTAACCCCCAGTGTGATGGTATTTGGTGGTGAGGCCTTTGGGAGGTGATTAGGTCATGAGGGTGGAGTCCTCATAAATGAGATTAGTGCCCTCATAAAAGAGGGTCCCAGAGAATTCCCTTCCCTCTTCCCCCAAGTGAGGACACAGCAAAAAGACTGTCATCTATGAACCAGTTAGCTAGGCCACACCAGACATTGAATCTGATCACCAGTCTGATCTCAGACTCCCAGCCTCCAGAACCATGAGAAAGCAAGTTCCATTGTTTATAAGCCTCCCTATCTATGGTATTTTTGTTACAGCAACCTGAGTGGACTATGACACGTATCACAGAGAAAAGACATACTCAGTCAACAATTGGTTGTCCATATGGAAACATATGGGACAACTGGTTATCCATATGGAAAATAAAATAAGGCCAGGCACAGTGGCTCATGCCTGTAATTCCAGCATTTTGAAAGGCCAAGGTTGAAGGATTGCTTGAGCCCAGGAATTCAACACCATCCTGGGCAACATAGCAAGACTCTGTATCTACAGAAAAAAAAAAAAAAATGAATTAGGCATGATGGCCCATACACCTGTAGTCCCAGCTACAGGGAAGGCTGAGGCTGAAGAATCACTTGAGTCCAGGAGTTCAAGGCTGCAGTGAACCATGATTGCACCACTGCACTCTACCCTGGGCAACACAGCAAGATACTGTCCCCCCACCAAAAAAAAGCACAAAAAAAGAAAAAAATAATAAATAAAATAAAATAAAATAAAATAAGATCACTATCTCATACCATATAAAATATTAATTTCAGTTGGATTAAAGACATGACTGTGAAGGCCAGGCATGGTGGCTCATGCCTGTAATCCCAGCACTTTGGGAGGCCGAGGCAGGTGGATCACGAGGCCAGGAGATCGAGACCATCCTGGCTGACCATGCTGGCTTACACGGTGAAACCCCATCTCTACTAAAAATACAAAAATTAGCTGGGCGTGGTGGTGGGCGCCTGTAGTCCCAGCTACTCGGGAGGCTGAGGCAGGAGAATGGCGTGAACCCAGGAGGTGGAGCTTGCAGTGAGTCTAGATGGTGCCACTGCACTCCAGCCTGGGCGACAGAGCAAGACTCCGTCTCAAAACAAAACAAAACAAAACAAAAACAAAAACAAACAAAAGACATAACTGAAAACACAAAACTAAACATTTTAGAAGACTATATTGAAAATATGACCCCAGGATAGGTACAAGTTTCTAAAACAAGACTCAAAAAGGACAAATGATTTTAAAAAATCAATTTTATATTAAAATTTTTAACTTTTTAATAAAAGTCATAAGTAAAGCCACAAGCCACAGACCAAAAGATATTTTCAACACACACACATATCTGATAAGGAATTAGAAACAATATAGTCGGCTGGGCATGGTGGCTCACGCCTGTAATCCCAGCACTTTGGGAGGCCGAGGCAGGTGGATCACAAGGTCAGGAGCTCAAAACCAGCCTGGCCAAGATGGTGAAACCCCATCTCTACTAAAAATACAAAAAAAAATTAGCTGGGCACAGTGGCAGGCGCCTGTAATCCCAGCTACTCAGGAGGCTGAGGCAGGAGAATTGCTTGAACTCGGGCTTCAGAGGTTGCAGTGAGCCAAGATCATGCCACTGCACTCCAGCCTGGGCGACAGAGTGAGACTCCATCTCAAAAAAAAAAAAAAAAAAAAGAGAAACAATATAGTCGATAAGAAAACGCCACTGGGATCCCAACAGAAAAATGGGAAAGGATATGAAAAAAGGAAATCCAAATGAACTACAGACATATTAGAAGAAACTCAATCTCACTATCCAAGGAAATGCAAATTAAAACAACAGAGATACTACCTGACAGAAGTTTAATGTCTGACGACACCACATATTAGTAAGGATTTGAAAACAGGAATCAAGCCACTTCAGAAAGCAATTTGGAAATATCTTGTCAAGCTGATATAAATTAACATACCACAGGCAATTTTTTTTTTTTTTTTTCTGAGACAGAGTCTCACACTGTCACCCAGGTGGAGTGCAATGGCACGATCTCAGCTCACTGCAACCTCCGCCTCCTGGGTTCACATGATTCTCCTGCATCAGCCTCCGGAGTAGCTAGGATTACAGGCGCACACCACCACACCCCGCTAATTTTTTGTATTTTTAGTAGAGACGGGGTTTCACTATATTGGCCAGACTGGTCTCAAACTTCTGACCTCGTGATCCGCCCCCCTTGGCCTCCCAAAGTGCTGGGATTATAGGCGTGAGCCACTGCACCCGGCCACCATAAGCAATTTTGCTTCTAGAGATACATCCTGGAGAAACTCTCACACATGTGCATAAGGAAACATGAGTAAGGTTGTTCATTTCAGTTAAAAAAAAAAAAAAAGGCCAGGCTTGGTGGCTCCTGCCTGGAATCCCAACACGTTAGGAAGCCAAAGCAGGAGGGATCGCTTGAGTCCAGGAGGAGTTTGAGACCAGACTGGGCAACACAGTGAGATGAATGTGTAAACTGTAGTATATTCATACATGTGAAATACCACATAGTAGTTAAATCAATTAGAAAATCTACATGTATCAAACTGGCTAAAACTCTAAAGTTAAGTAAAAAAGAGGGCTGCAGAATACATAAATACCATTTATGTAAAGTTTATAAACAAAACAATGCTATATATTATCTGCTGACATACAATTGATACTGATAAAGAATATATAGCAAAAGTACTAAACATGAAGGGGAGTTATAAACACAAAGTTACCTTTGTGGGCCTTATGGGAAGGAGAGAAGGGATAAAGGAGAATGAATAGAGAAGGAATACACAGAGTTCTTTTTTTTTTTTTTCTGTCTCCCTTTTTTAAAAAAAATAGAGATAGGGTCTCACTATGTTGCCCAGGCTGGTCTTGAACTTCTGGCCTCAACTGATCCTCCCACCTTGGCCTCTCAAAGGGATTACAGACGTGAGCCACTGTGGCCAGCTGCGTCTTCAATTTTATCCAATGTTTTACATCTTTAAAAAATAAAGAAATTTTGCAAAATGAAAACATTTGTTAAACTGGATAATGAGTACACTTTTCTCATGACTCTTCCATCTATTTGAAATGAAATTTTATTTTATTTTATTTTTTTTGAGATGGAGTCTCACTCTGTCACCCAGACTGGAAGTACAGTGGCCAGTCTCAGCTCACTGCAACCTCTGCCTCCCGAGTTAAAGTGATTCTCCTGCCTCAGCCTCCCGAGTAGCTGGAACTACAGGTGCACACCACCACACCTGGCTAATTTTTATATTTTTAGTAGAGACAAGGTTTCACCATGTTGGCCAGGCTGGTCTCGAACTCCTGACCTCAGGTGATCCACCTGCCTCAGCCTCCCAAAGTGCTGGGATGACAGGCATGAGCCACCATGCCTAGCCTGTTTGAAATTAAACAGGTTTAGTCAAAGGAATACATATACGTGTGCCAGGCAACAAGAGAAAATAGTTCTTTTTGGAACTTAACGTTTATAAAACTATTCTGATGTCTCTGGTGTCTGGCTCCCTTGGTGTGATAGAAACTTTCAAGTATTTACACACACAAACATGCTGCATGTGTCAACTCTTTTTCCTAACAAGATAATTCTCAGAAGATGCTGCCCGAGTCACAAGAAATCTGGCTATGTAGTTTCAGTGTTCTCTCTCAACCAAAATAATCCAAAGCGCCATCCCCTGCCCACATTAATGTAGCTTAAAAATCATTTAATTTACAACTAAATAATTCCTAAGTCATTCTTAAGTTCCATCAAGCTCTCTACGCAAACCTATACCATGAATGACCCACAGGTTAAAAAAAAATGAAAATTACATCTCTTTCTATATCTAATACATAATCTTCCCCCTACATTCCTCGGTCCCACGCACCCACAGAGGACTCAGTATGAGTTCCTCCACATGGGCACAGTGTTTCTGGATCTTCCAATCCTGGGCAGACTTATATGACTCAGGGAGCACCAAGGGAGTGTGTTAATTAGTGCCAAAGGAGACTGAGCATAAAACTCTGCTTAACCAGCAATCTAGGATGCAAGCTCCTGAGAGAAAATAAGAGAATGACTTTCCACCTAAGCATGCTGAGTGCATCAAACTGAAAACAATGCCCAGGAACAAGCAGTTCCAGAAACAGGAATCCAAATCAAACTGGCTTTGTAGCATTCACTGTTCTGCAGACCCAATGGCAGCCCGTCTGTTTTTGCTTCATTTTCTGGCTCAGTTAAAAGTACCTTTGAGAGAACACTTGCTCCTTCTCCTCAAAATAACTGTGGAGAACACTATTCACGCTCCATGAAAACCTTAGTTTTAAGCATTACCTGTTGGATGTCAGTGTGTGTGTCTGTGTATGTATTTCTCTCTGTGGGAGCCCGTGTTTTTGTGTGTGGGTGGGTCTCAGGGTGTGTGTGGTTTGTGTGGGGTGTCTCTGTAACCATGGAGAAGACTCTCTGTGGAGATGGCCATGGGATTCTTTTTTTTTTTTGAGGCGGATTTTTTTTGCTCATGTTGCCCAGGCTGGAGTGCAATGGCGCGATCTCGGCTCACCGCAACCTCCACCTCCCGGGTTCAAGCGATTCTCCTGCCTCAGCCTCCCGAGTAGCTGGGATTACAGGCATGTGCCCGACCAATTTTGTATTTTTAGTAGAGACAGGGTTTCTCCATGTTGGTCAAGCTGGTCTCGAACTCTCAACCTCAGGTGATCCACCCGCCTCAGCCTCCTAAAGTGCTAGGATTACAGGCGTGAGCCACCGCGTCCGGCCAGCCGTGGGGTTCTCTCTGTGGGTATGGGGTCTCTGTGTGTGGGAAGGGACTGGGTAGAGGCTTGGGCATGGTGGGGCAGGGGTTCTGTTATGTATATATGGGGGAAGTGTCTCTGTGTGTAGGGAGTCTGTGTGTAACTCTCCCTCTGGGTCTCGGTGTGTCTGTCTCTATATATCTGTGCCTGTTTATTTTTCTATGTCTTTGTGTCTATTGAGTATTTTGTTATAAGTCTTATAACAGGTTTTACTGTAAGTTTCCACCTTTCCATAAAACCCTAAAATTATTTTCTTGCTTTTCTACTCTGAGGTTTCATAAAAGAGAAGCATGAAGCTGGGCACAGTGGCTTGGGCCTGTAATCCCAAGCTACTCAGGAGGCTAAGGCAGGAGGACTGCTTGAGCCCAGCAGTTTGAGGCTGCAGTGAACTATGATCACACCATTGCACTCCAGCACCACTGCACTCCAGCCTGGGTATCAAAGCAAGACCCCCATCTCTAAAAAAAAAAAAAAAATTAATAAAAATGAGAAACATGAAATGAGACTAATTGCTAAGCCAACATCTACTCAACAACGAATACAAAATTGAGGTTCTGACAGATATATGCTAGTACAGAGCCAGAGTTACCTGATATTGTTCATATCTCACAAGCTCCCAGGTGATAACCAATGCTTCTGGTTTGAAAAGCAAGGATCAGTTTGAATAGCAAGGATCTAAATGATTCCAAACTTAATAAACTGTCTCTAACTATAATTAGACCTCCCATATAGATTTTCCAGAATATCCTCTGATTTACACGTTTATCAGATTAGCTTGAGTGTTATACATGACTGTAAATTAAGAGTTACCATTTTGTTTTAAATATGAGTCTCCCATGATTTTGGTTAGTCTGAGCCAGTCCTAACAGGTAAATGATCCCTGATTGCACAAAAATGTGAATTTCTAGACTTGTAAAGCTGGAACAAGGAAACCTCACAAAGGTTCTTTTTTTTTGAGACGGAGTTTTGCTCTGTTGCTCAGGCTGGAGTGCAGTGGTGCCATCTCAGCTCACTGCCACCTCCACCCCTGGATTCAAGCGATTTTCCTGCCTCAGCCTCCTAAGCAGCTGGGATTACAGGCACCCGCCCCACCACGCCTGACTAACTTCTGTATTTTTAGTAGAGACAGGGTTTCACTGTGTTGGTCAAGCTAGTTTCAAACTCCTGAGCTCAAGTGATCTGCTGCTTCGGCCTCCCAAAGTGCTGGGATTGCAAGCGTGAGCCACCGCGCCCGGCCACAGAGGTTCTGACACATGGTGAAACCTCTTGGGTTTCACCTCAATTTCAGTGCTGACCTCTTCAAACTACAATTCCTGTTTCCAGTATTGCTTATATCAAACTACACTGTATTTAGTTATTTCTGTGTCTACATTCCCTATCCTCTCCTGGAGGGCAAGAATGGTATCTTGCTAACTTATAACTCTAGCACTTAGCAGTATTTGACACCCAACAAATAAACGGTTTTTGCAAAAAAGAAGCTCACAATGTATTAGGGAGATTATTAGGCAAATATCCAGAAGCAGTTAAGTTACTTCTCTAATACAGTCTAGCATCGGTCATAAAAAAAATAGCATTAGGCCAATCATCTTTTCTCCCTTACAGAAATGAAAGACATGAATTAAGGTAGTACAATTCCTATTCCATTTCTACCTCCCTGAGCTCAGTGACCCAAGACTAGACTCAGTTGAGCTGTATATCCAATAAAGCTTTGTTGAAGAAGAATCTTTATTTGCCTTCCAGGAAAAGAATTTCTTCTTTAAGCTAACGCAGTTAATGTCAACTTTGAAAGATAGGTGACCACACCTACCTAACCCGGGAAAAATTTTTCGTCCTAGAGCCTCATCACACATACTCAATTCCTGACAAGGCCTTAAAATCATAATAATTGGCCAGGTGTGGTGGCTCACATCTGTAATCCCAGCACTTTGGGAGGCCGAAGCAGGTGGATCACAAGGTCAGGAGTTCAAGACCAGCCTGGCCAAGATGGTGAAACCCTGTCTCTATTAAAAACTACAAAAAAAATTAGCTGGGTGCAGTGGTGGGCACCTGTAATCCCAGCCACTCGGGAGGCTGGGGTTGCTTGAACCCGGGAGATGGAGGTTGCAGTGACCCAATGGTGCCACTGCACTCTAGCCTGGGCGACACAGCAAGACTCTGTCTCAGAATAATAATATTAATAAAGTGTCATTTTGGAAAAGGACCACACAGTATCACATTTTTCTAACTTAGTATAATGCAGAAGATGAGTTTCTCTGTAGGCTACCACTGCATAGGACATGTATCCGAGATATCATTGGGGCTCCAATTTCCGTCAAAACATAAACTAATCTACATAAACAAAAAAAAAAAATCGCTAAAATAGCAAGTATTTCTATGAATAATTCACCGTAAACACTAAATCAGTAGTATCAGGATGCTAATTTTTAGTGTCATATTTGCGTTAATAAATAGGCACAGTCTTCAATCACAAGTTTCTTCTACATGTAAACTAAGAGTTAAGAAAGAAAAATAGTTAAGAAAGACAAGTTAAAGAAACAATCAGAGAACAAACCAGAAAAAGGTAAAATATATTTTATTTGGGAACAAATAGAGCTATCTCATATTACAAATAGTCCCTATTTTACATTACAAACAAAAATTAATTCCAGATGGATTGAAGACCAAAATATAATAAATACAACCATATAAACAGGTGAAGAAAACACAGATGTTGTTTATAAATTTGGGGTTGGAAAGGCAATTCTAAGACACAAAATGTTGAAGCCAAAAAGGAAAAAAACTGGTAAATCCAAGTTTATAAAAACTTTGAAAATAATAAACAATGTTACAAGAAACAAGAAATGGAGTAGGAAAAAATATTTGCAACATATACACAAATAATTAATATCCAGAATATATAAAGAATTCCTAAAACCAACATGAAAAAAAAAATCCAATACGAAGGCAGAGATTTTATCCGTTTTGTTTACTGCTGTATCCCCAGCACTTGGCATACAGTAGTCAATCAATAAATAATTTGTTAATGAATATGAACAGGGAATTACAAGAAAAAGAATATAAATTGCCAATATATGCATGAAAATACTCTCAGCCTCATTCTGTCAGAAGAATGCAGATATTATAAAAAGACCAGTAAAAGACTTTCCCCCAAAGATGGAAAAATACTCAGTATTGGTAAATGTATGGTGAAAGAGTTGTTTCGTGTATCGTTAGCTGATATGTAAAATGGTACTACATTTTTAAAGACAACATGGCATTTTGCATTTAGTTTAAAACACGGCCAAGCACTGTGTTTTATGCCTCTTTGGGAGGCTGAGGCGGGCAGATCGCTTGAGCCCAGGAGTTTGAGACCCACATGGGCAACATGGTAAAACCCCATCTCTACAAAAAACACAGAAATTAGCTGGGCCAGGTACATTGGCTCACACCTATAATCCCAGCACTTTGGGAGGCCGAGGCAGGCGGATCACCTGAGGTCAGGAGTTCAAGACCATCCTGGGCAACACCGTGAAACCTCGTTTCTATGAAAAATACAAAAATTAGCTAGGGGTGGTGGCACACACCTGTAATCCCAGCTACTCGGGAGGCTGAGGCAAGAGAATCGCTTGAACCTGAAAGACGGAGGTTGCAGTGAGCTGAGATCACACCACTGTACTCCAGCCTGGACAACAGAGCAAGACTGTCTCAAAAAAAAAAAATTAAAATTAAAATTAAAAATTAGCTGGGCGTGGCAGCGTGTACCTGTAGTCCCAGCTAACTCAGGAGGCTGAGATGGGAGGATTGCTTGAGCCCAGGAAGTGGAGGTTGCAGTGAGCTGAGACCGTGCCATTGCACTCCAGCCCAGGTGACAGAGTCTCAAAAAACTCTCAAAAAAAAAAAAAAAAAAGGCTATCTTTGATCCCAAAATTAAAATTTTAGATATTGATCCTAGAGAAACACTTCTACATGTACACACACAAAAATGCATACAGATAGTTACTGCAGCACCATGTATAAAGAAAGAAAAAACAAGTTAAGGTAAATGTGCATCAATGGAAGAATGGTTTAAGAAACAACAATATAGACTTAGGAAATTAATTGAGCAGTTAAAAAATATGAGACAGATCTATAGGTACTGATACAGAAAGAGCTCTAAGATGTGCTACTGAATAAAAAAGGAACCTGCAAAACAATGTATAGAGAGTATGCTTTTATTTATGTACAAGTTATTATAAAACTCACTTTGGAAAGCTGAGGTGAGCAGCTCACTTGAGCCCAGGAGTTCATGACCAGCCTGGGCAATATGGCGAAACCCCATCTCTACAAAAAATACAAAAATCAGTTGGGCATGGTGGCATGTGCCTGTAGTCCCAGCTCCTCCACAGGGTGAGGTGGGAGGATTGCTTGAGCCTGGGAAGTTGAGGCTGCAGTGAGCCATGATGGTACCACTGCACTCCAGCCTGGGTGACACAGTGAGACCCTGTCTCAAGAGAAAGAAGAAGAAGAAGAATGAGAAGGAGGCTGGATGAGGTGGCACATGTCTGTAATCCTAGTCCTTTAGGTTCAGAGGTGGAAGCCTCTCTTGAGCCCAGGAGTTCAAGTTTACAGTGATCATACTATTGCACTCCAGCCTGAGCAACACAGTGAGATCTGCCTCAAAAAAAAAAAAAGAAGAAGAATGAGAAGGAGCAGCTAGAGAAATAAGATGGAAGCTAGTAAAGATCGGTGTCACAGAAGCCAAGGGAAAAGAGTGTTTCACAAGGAGTCAATGTCAAATGCTGCTAAGAGGTCCAAGAAGATGAGGACTGAAAAAAAAGACCCCCATGTTTCCCAATCTAATGGACATCAACAACTTTAGCAAGAGGGTTTTGTTTTGGTTAAACAGAATATTATAGCAGGAGTGAGTTAAGGAATTCATGAGAGGAAAAAAGCACATATAGCATGTACTGAAAACTCCTTTAAGAAGCATGCCTGTGAAAGAGAATAGAAAAACATGACAGCAACAGAAAATATGCAGGTCAAAGGACAGGGTTTTCAAAATGGGAGACAATAGGGCAAGTGTGAATTCTGAAGGAAAAGACCTAGTAGAAAGATGAAATAAACCAAAGGAAGAAATTCTTTAAGACAGGAGAGGCCAAGCACAGTGGCTCACACCTGTAATCCCAGCACTTTGGGAGGGTGAGGCAGAAGGACTGCTTGAAGCGAGGAATTCGAGGCCAGCCTGGGCAACAAAGTGAGACACCATCTCTACAAAAAGTTTTTAAAATGTGGCTGGGTGCAGCGGCTCATGCTTATAATCCCAGTACTTTCAAAGGCCAAGGAGGAAGGATCACTTGAAGCTGGGAGTTCAAGACCAGCCTAGGCAACATAGCAAGAGACCCCATCTTGGCCAGGTGTGGGCTCGCGCCTGTAATCCCAGCACTTTGAGAGGCCAAAGTGGGCAGATCACAAGGTCAGGAGTTCCAGACCAGCCTGGCCAACCTGGTGAAACCCCGTCTCTACTAAAAATACAAAAATTAGCCAGGCACAGTGGCGGATGCCTGTAATCCCAGCTACTTGAGAGGCCGAGGCAGCAGAATTGCTTGAACTCACGAGGCGGAGGTTGCAGTGAGCCGAGATAGTGCCACTGCAGTCCAGCCTGGGTGACAGAGTAAGGCTCCATCTAGGGGGAAAAAAGAGACCCCATCTCTACAAGAAAGTCATAAAAAAATTAGCCAGGTATGGTGGCATGCACCTATAGTCCCAGCTACTCGGGAGGCTGAGAAGGGAGGTTCTATTGAGCTCAGGAGGTTGAGGGTGCAATGAGCTATGACCACACCACTGCACTCCTGCCTGGGCTACAGAGTGAGACTTCATCTCTTGAAGAAAAATGAATGAAAACAAAGAGAAAGAGAGAGAAGAAAGATAGAAAAAGAAAGGAGGAGGAAGGGGGGAGGGGGAGAAAAGAATGATTACAGCACCTGTGAAGGGATTGGTCTTGACAGAATGAAGGAGAAAAAGATGAGTCCCAGATGCACATAGGTTTGTAGACTTGGGAGGTAAAAGAATGAAGGAATTCCCATTCAGCAGCTTCCATTTTTATAATGAGGCATAAAGCCTATGACTGGTTAAAAAAGAAGAAAATATGAGAGATTAGAAATAAGAGCTGGGCACGGTGGCTCATGCCCATAATCTCAGCACTTTGGGAGGCTGAGGAGGGCGGATCACGAGGTCAGGAGATTGAGCCATTCTGGCGAACACGGTGAAACGCCATCTCTACTAACAATACAAAAATTAGCTGGGCGTGGTAGTGCGTGCCTGTAGTCCCAGCTACTCATGAGGCTGAGGCAGGAGAATCGCTTGAACCCGGGAGGCGGAGGTTGCAGTGAGCGGAGATCGCGCCACTGCACTCCAGCCTGGGGACAGAGCAAGATTCCATCTCAAAAAAAGAGAAAAAGAAATAGAGACAGTAGGCCAGGCACAGTGGCTAATGCCTATAATCCCAGCACTTTGGAAGGGTGAGACAGGAGGATCACTTGAGCCCGAGAATTGGAGACCTGCAACATGGCAAGATACCGTCTCTACAAAAAAATAAAAAAATAGCCAGGCGTGGTAGCACACTTGTAGTTCTGGCTACTCAGGAGGCTGAGACAGGAGGATTGCTTGAACCAGGGAGTTTGAGGCTACAGTGAGCTGTGACTGTACCACTGCACTCCAGCCTGGGTGAGAGAGGGAGACCTTGTCTCAGTAAAAAAGAAAAGAGAAAGAGACAATATGAAGAAATAATTCGCAGTGAGCTGGAAAGTGAACTAGAGAAATGTATAACATTGCTAGGTAATGCTGATTATGCATATGAAATAGATGATTATAAATTTTTAATGACACTGATCTGTCTAATTTGCTGATTTTCTCTAGCAACTCTCAGCTCCATGAGTGCCAGCAACTAAGAAGGTAGATGGTTAGGTTCAACCCGTACATCACTCCAAGTTCTACAAGCAGCAGAAGTCAACACTGGCTGAATTAAACAGAAAAAGAATTTACAGAAAGGATATGAGGTCACTTTTTCAGTGAAGAACTTAAGTGCTACACAGCTAAAACAACACTCAAAATTACAGAACTGGGTTGGCAAAGATGTGATTGCTAATGCCAAGCAGGAGATGCTGCAGCTTGGTTTGCACCATCACAGTTCTGGATACTAAGTGCTAACACTTGCCACTGTTGCCCTTATAACTTGATCTTGCTGCTAGAGACTGATACTACATGTGAATCTGCTGATCAAGGAGGGGGATATTGTAAAGAACATGGTGGAACAGTTTGAGGGACTGAATCAGCTGAAGGATGAAGAGAGTGGTAAAGGAATTAGTATTGGGAAGATAATGGATGGCGGATGGCGGGTAGTGACTGAAACAAACAGGGATGTGAGGCATGGTGTTTAGGCCTCCCCTTGAAAGAGGCTAGATTGTGAGATCCAAAGTGGTCTTAGCAGCAGCTTAAGCAGACTTCAGTGGGAGTCTGGTCAGAGCAGCACGGGTGTTGGCACAGAGGCAAAGCTGCCCAATATTGCTATGGCCAGCATTTCATTGACAAAGCCTTGGACAAGTTAATTACTCTCTTTGAGCCTATATTTTCTTATCCATAATATAAAGATAGTACTACACATCTGATAAAGTTGTCATGAGGATTAAATACTAAGACAGAGATTCCTGACACGGAGTAAGTATTCAGTAAATGGTAGCAATTATAAGTGACACTGAAGCCAAGAGAAGAGTTTCCAAGAAAAGGTAGTCAATAGATGAAGTTTCACCTTGGAGCACTGTAGAATGTAAGTGTGTGCAGAGAAGATGAAGCTAGTTTTAGCCTCAGGTTTGCAACATTCAGAAAGGCTAAAGTCCTATACTCAGAGAAACTCAATCAGCAGTTCAAATACCCTTCCTTTATATAGGTTCTAAGCTAAGAACTAGGTGCCCCAAACCAATAGATTTCTACTGATAGACCCTTGAAAAAAAAAAAGAAAATAAAATCACCAGCTTTTAGTGCAAGCGTCCAAGAGGGAAATAGCTAACTGAACTGTTGCACGATACAGCTGGGGAAAAGGGAGACTGAAACCCATACAAATAATCATCTAATTTAATCAAAGTAATTTTAGAGTTGGGAACTGTTACAGAAGAAACGTCAATCCACTGCCGCTTTCTGCTCTGCTCTCACCAAATCGCAGGCCATAGGTCATTCAGACTATAAAAAGCTCCTACAAATTCCATAGAAATCTGATCAAGTTTACTAAACCTCTTGTTGGGTGAATGGAATTTCAGCTCCTCTAATTGTGTCTACCACCTAAACATGACAGCAGGGCAGTGGATCAGGGCAACTGCCAAGATTGTTCTCTTCCCATCTGCCTCAGTTGTACCTCTCTAAATTATTTAAACAAAAACCACCATGAAACAAACTGCATATTCTTTATAAACTTGACAAAGGGTCTGAATAAAGATTACAACAAACTTTTTTTCTCTCGTGGGGGAGGGAATCACTTCCAAGGAAATGATATAATAAACTCACTCTCCCTTTTTAATGAACTATCGATTTCTTCAATTAACTGGATACTGAGAATGTAGGTAGTACTAGTAGTAGTAGTAGTAGTAATTGTCTTCCTCAAGACATCAAACACACAACTGCAACTTCAGCTCCTAAAGCAGCTTTTTTTTTTCTTTTTTTTGAGACAGAGTCTCATTCTGTCGCCAGGCTGAAGCGCGGTGGCATGATCTCGGCTCACTGCAACCTCCACTTCCCGCATTCAAGCATTCAAGTGATTCTCCTGCCTCAGCCTCCTGAGTAGCTGGAACTGTAGGAGTGCACCACCATGCCCAGCTAATTTTTTGTATTTTTAGTGGAGACAGGGTTTCACCACATTGGCCAGGATGGTCTTGATCTCTTGACCTCATGATCTGCCCACCTCAGGCTGCTTTCTCAGAAAATAAATGCTCACAAAAACACACGGTAAGACCTTCAACCACGCAATAAATAAAAAGAAACTGTCAGTGCAATAACAAAAAAACTACCCAAAAAACACAGATTAAGATTTAGGGCCAGGCGTGGTGGCTGACGCCTGTAATCCCAGCACTTTGGGAGGCTGAGGCAGGTGGATCACGAGGTCAGAAGTTCACGACCAGCCTAGACAATATGGTGAAACCTCGTCTCTACTAAAAATACAAAAATTAGCCAGGCGTGGTGGCGTGCACCTGTAGTCCCAGCTACTCGGGAGGCTGAGGCAGAAGAATCACTTGAACCCGGGAGGCAGAAGTTGCAGTGAGCCAAGACCGCACCACTGCACTCCAGCCTGGGCAACAAAGCAAGACTCCATCTCAAAAAAAAAAAAAAAAAGATTTAGAAGGTTCATCCTGAGTTTCGAACAGAGTACTATTTGAATTGAAAAGCAACAGTTTAGGGCTCTGTTAGTTCCATCACATTACCGTGTAACCTTGAGACAAATTCCTTAATCTCTTCGACACTCAGTTTCTTCAATAAAACAAGGAGAACACTAGCTATCTTCGAGGCCTCTTAAAAGAATTAAATAGCCGGGCGCGGTGGCTCATGCCTGTAATCCCAGCACTTTGGGAGGCTGAGGCGGGTGGATCACGAGGTCAGAAGATCGAGACCACCCTGGCTAACTTGGTGAAACCCAGTCTCTACTAAAAATTAAAAAAATCAGCCGGGTGTGGTGGCACACACCTGTAGTCCCAGCTACTCAGGAGGGCAAGACAGGAGAATCGCTTGAACCCAGGAGGCGGAGGTTTCAGTGAGCCGAGATCGCCACTGCACTCCAGCTTGGGTGACAGAGCGAGACTTGGTCTCAAAAAAAAAAAAAAAAAAAAAAAGAATTAAATAAAACAGTATATGTAAAGCTCTAAGTACAATGCCTGGTATACAGTAGGAATATTCTTCCCTTTGCAATTTTCAAAAGCTCTTATCAAAGATTGACTCATAGAGATGGTGAGGCTTAAAGAATAGGGAAAAAGTGTTAGCTGAACAGGAAGAAAGGGTATATTCCTCAGGTACTCCAAATTTATTTATAACTTTTAAAATATGGATAAATTTCTCAGATTATCAGTAAATTACCAGTGTGAAGCTGCATCATTGATCTTGAAATGCTTTTCTGTATAAGATGCTTTTATTCTCCTCTTCTAAATTTACAATTCTTTCAAGTTCTACATTTGTACAATTTTCTCCCATCCTCTTCCTAAAGCTCTAACTCAGACCTGCCTTACTTTGGTCTTGGGATGACCTAAGCCTTAGCCAGACAGACACGCCTTAGAGTTCACTTAGTATTCTAAAAGACCTCTGGGAGAAAGCAAGAACTCAGCATCTAAGAAGTTAGAATCACTGTGGCATAATGAAAAGGACATGGGCTTTGGAGACGGACAGCCCTGGATTTAAGTTCTACCTCTGACACTTTCTAGATGTATAACCTTGGGCAAGGCACTTAACCTCCCAGGATCTCATTTCTGCATCTATAAAATGGAAATAATGCCACCTACATCTCATAGTATGGTTGTGAGGATTACAGAACCCCTATGACAACTCCTGGCACATAAAAGGCTAATGGCTCACATCTGTAATCCCAGCACTTTGGGAGGCCGAGGCAGGCAGGTCACCTGAGGTCGGGAGTTTGAAAGCAGCCTGACCAACATGGAGAAACTTCATCTCTACTGAAAATAGAAAATTAGCCGGGCATGGTGGTGCATGCCTGTAATCCCAGCTACTCAGGAAGCTGAGGCAGGGGAATCGCTTGAACCCGGGAGGCGGAGGTTGCGGTGAGCTGAGATTGCACCATTGCACTCCAGCCTGGGCACCAAGAGTAAAACTCTGTCTCAAAAAAAAAAAAAAAAAAAAAAAGGCTAATTATTGGTAACTATTATTACAGACCAACTGCCAATTGCCTTACTGAACACTTTTCAGAGCAGTACTCTTGTAACAGGCAAAAGGAGTCATACTGCTACCACATTCCCATGTCTTTATCCAAAACATTCCATTTTAGTACTCTATAATTAACCAAATCAAGAGCTTAAACAATTCAGGACAAGAAGTGCTAACATGGCTCAACTCATTCTCTCCTGACAGCAACAAAGCCAGTGGAAGGTGGATATGTTTGCCAAAAGCAATAAAGGGTCTGTTTGAACACGGTCATTACTGATACTGATGTAAGCACAATCTAGTTGAGGTTCTTGGGCTTGCAGCCTTATTGTCAGAAAGTTTTAATATTTCTGAAATAAATCCTCTCCTGCCTTGTTTTCCCTGCTGTGCGCCAACACTCCTATCACTCATTTTCAAGAACACAAGGAAGAAATCCCTTTCAGCTAGTACTACCTCATTCCCTGTGGAACTTACCTTCCCATTTCCCAAATTACTTCTTATAGAGATTTTTGGCTTGCTGGGTTCACTTGATGTCAACTTATGAAAAAGGACACTATAATTAAATATATCATAGCCACATAACATGATCTGGCCCCCAGAGCATCGCAAGTTACAGGACGGAGGCAGGTGCCAAAGATAAGATGTGATTGAGTAACCTGCACACCATATGTTCCTTCTTATTAACTACTGCACTTGGGAATTCTGGCTCTTGTAAAAAGTTTATTCCCCTTGTGTGGCTGAGCAGAGTAACAAAACTAAGAAAACTGATGATATGTGAATGAAGTAAGGAAAACCATCTATGGAAATGTGACTTAAAATAAATGTTTATACATGAAAGTTAAAAAACAAATGCAACAGTCACCAGTTCCACAGCCAAAGGCAGCTATTTCAATACTAGTATTCTCAGTTCCTTCATATGCTATAAGAAAAACAGTAAGGAGTCAAGGTCAAAGTGGTTATTTACATAGACAATCTAAGAATCAACAAAGGCTCAACAAATCAAAATGTCACACTGCAGTTCCTTGGTGAGATGACTTTCAACTTAGGGAAAGGGCAGTCTTGGGCACTTATTTTGATTTAGCCAATTCAATATCAAGAAGGTTAAAGATTGGGCACCTGAAAAGCAGCTCAGCAATGCCCTGAATTTCGTCATCCAGCTGTATCCTTGCCCAGAGCTTCACCTGCTTAACTTTCAGCAGAGAAGTTGTTTTTTTGGTGCAATTAACATTGTAAGGCAAGCTCAGCCCTGCTTTACAATAGCCTTGAGGCTGCTGAGTATATCTACAATCATGGAACATACATTTGGTGCTGAAAAAACAGGAAGATGGTTCAACGACAAGGAAAGTGGTCAAGAAGCACATCTAGAATTAAGAAAAACAGACTCCAGTATGCTGGTCTTTGATTTTTTAACTTTTTTTTTTTTTTTTTTTTTTTTGAGACAAGGTCTCACTCCAGCACCCAGGCTAGAGTGCTCATTGCAGCCTCAACTTCCTGGGCTCAGGTGATCCTCCCACCCCGGCCTCCTGAGTAGCTGGGACTATAGGCACACACCACCATGCCCGGCTCTTTTTTTTTTTTTTTTTTTTGGAGAGAGAGGTTTTCACCATGTTGCCCGGACTGTTCTCAAACTCCTGGACTCGAGCAATCCACCAGCCGTGGTTTCCCAAAGTGCTGGGATTACAGACGTGAGCCATGATTTTTTAATTTCTTTATATAGAATATATTGAACTGTGTGTAACTTTCAGAGGTGGTCATGGGGGCTTGCACTTAAGCCATGATGGGAGGAATAAAATAAAATCAATTATTCATAATAATAAAAGCATTAGTAAGAATATCATTTAAGACTTTATGTGCCAAGCTCAATGCTAAACCTTTTACAAATATTTCTAATCCTCAATCATAATTAGTACTTTCATTTTATAGAAGAGGAAACTGATTTGTGTAATTTGGAAATTACCCAAAAGGTAGTAATGGGGGTACTAGGCTTCAAATCCAGGTCTGCCTGACTGTAAACTTCATGCTCTAAAAGCAATTTGTTAAACACTTTTAGCCTAAAGAAATCTAACCAAATTACAAAGTTTAGACAAAAACAGTCTTTATCACAAGAAAATGACTTAACGATACAAAGTATCTCAACAAGTCAGAAGTATGCTTTGGATTTCCAGACTCAGATCTAGGTACTCCCAGCACTGGTGCTGCTGCTGCCTCTCTTTTTTACTTTACTTTTTTTCTTTAAACCCATTTCTGCAGGATGCTGCCTCTTTCTACTCTAATTCTTCCCAGAGGAGTTTCATACTACAAACGACAAAGACATTGTCTAAAGCATTACAGAAATTCCTTCAGTCTTGCCTCTGACTTATCACCTAAATTTGTATCGTTAGGATGAAAGGATTATCCGCTATACCTTAATCATGACGCTATGACAACAAAAAGTTATGGTGGATCCAAGGTTCCAATTCAGCTGGTCCCACACAGTAAAACCAATGCACACTTCCCGTCTCTTTGTTGCTGTTCTGATAAAGCAATTAAAAACCATTCACAACAATTTAAAAAAAACATTAATCCCTGTGCCCATACTGTGTCTACGAAATTGAAGCTGTAAGCCCTTTTTATATGATCCACACTTCTGTCTTTTCCAATACTTGCCCTGTTTTTCTGTGCTGATTCAGCTTTAAGAGAGAAAGAAAGACAAGCTTTGAGAGAGACAGACAACTATGGATAGACAATGTACGGGTAATACAGGGCTATCATCCACCTAGGCAGTTACTTCTTGGTATTCTGAGACCTCCTCAAAACTGTCTGAAAGAAGCTGACGCCTAAGACCGAAAACCCCACAAAGATCGTCTTTCCCAAAAGTAGCAGCATTTCTTCCTATCACTTTCAGATTATAATAAAGCAATCAATAAGACATTCATTCTCTTCATACACAGCCTAATAATCCTGGTGACCAACTATACCCAGCAGGGAGGACAAAGCTCTTAACACGAAAGAGTGAGGAGAATCTCTCCATTACCCTTTTACATATTCAGGGAAGAGAGAATATCGCAGTCGCTGGAAATGAAGGGCACAGCATCGTGTTGCTGTATGGCCACGGTTGGCCACAGAAAGGCAGAAAGTCATCAACTGTATGGAAACCAGACAACTCTGACGATTTCTATGCAAGGTGACTACACCTTACTCGTTCTCCAAGTATTAAAGATCTTTTCATCCTTATTGCTGTGTGAACTCCCGTGAGCGGTAAGGTTTTTCTATACTATCGAGGTCTCTTCCCCGATAGGCTGGAAAATCACACCCGGGAGCGTGTTGGGGCCGCGGGACGTACTATTAGGTGTCTCTCCTCCCGCTGCCTATTCCAAGTAGTAGGGGAGAGCGCTACCTCCATGTTATTCAGAGCGAAGTACGGCCGTGCCTCCTGGAGTCTCCGCTCCCAGCACGAGGGGCCGGCTGGGGGGCATCTCTGAGAGAGTGGGTTTAAGGGGACAAGGGGTATCTCCGGTCCTGCGATCAGAAAGGAGGGCGTGGAGGGTGGTGCCGCCGTGCCGAGAGGATCTGCAGTTCCCCTCCCCTCCCTTCCTCTCCTAGAGAGGCAGCCCGGCCCCAGTACCTTCTTGACTGTGCGCGGCGCCTCGGTGACGGTGCCGTCGGGGCTGACCAGGGCCTCGCCGCCGTCGCGGTGCCGCTGGTGCTGGTGATGTGGGTCGCTCCGCTTCATGGCCGACGCCTGAGGCACCTTCCCGGCGGCGGGGCTGAGAGCGGCGGCGGGCCCCGAGCCCGGGCCGGGGACCGGGGGCCGCTCCGCGGCGGGAGCTGGAGCCTCAGGGTCTCCACCGCCCGCCGGGGGGGCCATGGCGCCCACGGCGGCCGTGCTCAGTCCTAGTTGCGACTCCGCCTCGGAGGGGCTCAGGTCCTTCAGCTCCACCTCAGGCACCTTGGCGGCAGCCGCGGCTGACACAACCTGCACCGACATCACCGCCTCCGCTGCAACCACCGGCTCAGACTCCAGCTCCTGCTCTTGGTCGGCCCCGCCTCCCACCTCCCTTCCTCTTCCCTCCCCCATGTCCCCACTCCTCCCCTCCATCGCCTCCTCTCCCACCCCCTTTCTCCGCCCGCCAGTCCCGGCCCCTCCAGCCCCGCCCCGCCCCGTCCCGGTCTGGCCTCGCGCGAGGCGCCACGGAACCTGTAGTGCGTTTGCTCCCGGCCGCACGCGGCGAGAAGACCGTGGGACCTCAGGCCCCGACCTACACTGCGCGCCCCATGGGCGGGGCCCGCAGCGTCCCCTGGGAGTTGTAGTCCTTTCAGCCTTTCCTCCACTAAGTGAGATTCAGCCGAGGAGAGGGAGCGCTAGGGCCGGCAGCTAACAGAAAGGAGTGAGGATAGGTGACTCGACGGAGGGGATGAGGAAGAGAAAGTCTCCAGAGGAGTTGTGACTTCCGGGGAGGGAACGCCAAGAAGCCTTAGGGGAGGGGAAGTGGTAGAGGAATGGCTCGTTGTCCTGACAGCGTGAAGTTCCTCCGCGCGTGCCCGTCTGCGATCACGTGAGCGAGTATTTAAAGGAGAAGCGGCGGCTCCAGGCTGGAAGTGGCTTTATTTTTCTTTGTGATATTGAGAACTCAACACCCTTCCAAACTTCAGTGGCTTTGTTTTTAGAAGGGATAAAGTAGGACCTTGCTTGCTGTGGCGCTTTCTGTCACATTCTGGGTTTGGAAGCTAAGATCATTCCTCAAAGAAGTTAGGTATCACTAGATCAAAATTCAAGGCTGAGGAATTACACGTTGCCTTAAACGAGGCCAAATCTTTTCACCTATAATTCTAATAGGGCAATCATCTGAAATTCAGATACATATATCAGCATAGAGGGATATGAATAGTGAATATGAGTAGTTAATTTCCTAAGTGATGGGATTTAAGGTGATTTTTACTTTGTACTTTTCTGTATTATTTTTAAATTTTACATTTAGAGGATGTAAGCAAAAAGACATGCACCGCAGCGTCCTTTTTAATAACAAAAAACTGTCTAAAACTAATGTCCAACAAATAGAGCAATTGTTACAGCCTTTGAAAATCGTTTGCCAGCTGGGCATAGTGGTTGACGTCTGTAATCCCAGCACTTTGGGAGGCCAAGGCCGGCAGATCACTTGAGATCAGGACTTCAAGACCAGCCTGGCCAACATGGTGAAACCCCATCTCTACTAAAAATACAAAAATTAGCCAGGCGTGGTGGCGGGCACCTGAAATCCCAGCTACTTGGGAGGCTGAGGCAGGAGGATCGCTTGAACCTGGGAGGCAGAGGCTGCAGTGAGCCAAGATCATGCCACGGCACTCCAGCCTGGACAACGGAGTGAGATGCCGTCCCAGAAAAAAAGGAAGAAAGAAAGAAAATTGTTTGCCAATACTTTTTAACAACAAGGTTTTCCCTTTTTCATTCTTTACTCTGAAAGCCAAAATGTGAAGAGGAAGCTAAGAAACTCTTGTGTCTGGTACACTTGTGAGCTCTGTGGAAATGGCAGTGCTCAGACGCCTTCCGATACATAGTGTGAGGCACAAATTTGGCGATCAGGAAATGAGAGACTCCAAGGCAGGACAACTTCACGAAGTGAAGATTTCCAAAATCGTAATAGCACAGGAAAGAAGATCAAGGCATTCTGGCTTTCAGAATAAATGCTTATGATAAAAACATTAAGCTAAGAAGCAAGAGACAAAATTGCACATGCCATAAGATTTTATGTAAAGAATACTTTAAAAAGCCTGTAATCCCAGCACTTTGGGAGGCCGAGGCAGGCAGATCACGAGGTGAGGAGATCGAGACCATCCTGACTAACACGGTGAAACCCCGTCTCTACTAAAAATACAAAAATAAGCCGGGCGTGGTGGCGGGCGCCTGTAGTCCCAGCTACTCGGGAGGCTGAGGCAGGAGAATGGCGTGAACCCAGGAGGCAGAGCTTGCAGTGAGCAGAGATCGCCCCACTGCACTCCAGCCTGGGCGACGGAGCAAGACTCCGTCTCGTAAAAAAAAAAAAAAAAAAAAGAATACTTTAAAAAAACAAAATGCAGTTGACTCGCGACAGATTATGGGGGGGGTTCCTCTCTATGCTCAGAGAAACAGGAGCAAAGGGGTTCATACAGTTTACAGCTGTTTCAGAGACTTACAGCCCTAACAACCCAGGCAGCCACTGGACAGCTACTCTTTAGACATCTAGTCTTTGGTGTCACTGTGTTTTGCCTGGCAAGGAGAAGGAAGGAGGCCAGGCATGGTGGCTCACACCTGTAATCCCAACACTTTGGGAGGCCGAGGCGGGTGGATCACTTGAGGTCAGCAGTTCGAGACCAGCCTGGCCAACGTGGTGAAACCCCATCTCTAATAAAAATACAAAAATTAGCCAGGCGTGGTGGCTTCTGCCTGTAGTTCCAGCTACTCAGGAGGCTGAGGCAGGAGAATCCTTTGAACGCAGGAGGTGGAGGTTGCAGTGAGCCGAGATTGCACCACTACACTCCAGCCTGGGCAACAGAGCAAGACTCTGTCTCAAAAAAAAAGAAGGAGAAGGGAGAGAAATCACCTGCCTCGATCTTCTTTCCTGTCCTACTATTTTGGAAATCTGTTCACTCTGTGTGGTTGTCCTGCCTTGAATGGAGGCTCTCATTTCCTGATCTCCAAATTTGTGCCTCACAGTACATGTCGGAAGGCATCTGAGCACTGCCATTTCCACAGAGCTCACAAGACACAAGAGATTCTTAAGTTTTTTCTTCACATTCCGGCTTTCAGAATTTCCTTCCTGTTAAAAAGAAACCAGCCCAGAGCTTCATCCTCCAGCTGTCGGAGCAGAGATTAGCAGCTCTGTAACTGATTTCATTCTTCCCCCTAATGCTCAAGGGAGCTACGGTACAGCCACCTGGCATGTGTTGGAGCTCATAGGCAGCAGCTGCCTACCTGCCACTAGAATTGATTACTGAGAGGATGAATTAATTCTTCAGTGTGATGTGGTTATAAAATATAAGGAGTTAGAGCACTGGAATGAAACTGATACCCTGTTTTATTCCAGTCACCACCACTGATTGGGGCCAACCATCAGGACACATTCTTCAACCTGTTGTCAACTCCATCCCTACATACCTGCTGCTTCTGCCATCCTTGTAGCTGAGGGACACCAGGTACAGTTGAAGATCAAATTACATACTAGAAACAGGGTAATTAAGCACCAGTTTATGAACTATTTAATGAAATATTTGGACTACAGGTCTTCTTCCTTCACCCGGCTCATTCAGCTTCCAGAACGCTGGCAAGCAGGAATGTAACGTCCATGCAGGACATTGGTATAAAAAAGAATTTCTTTTTTTCTTTTTCTTTTTTTTTTTTTGAGATGGAGTCTCGTGCCATCGCCCAGACTAGAGTGCAGTGGCATGATCTCGGCTCACTGCAACCTCTGCCTCCTGGGTTCAAGCAATTCTCCTGCCTCAGCCTCCCGAGTAGCTGGGACTACAGGCACGTGTCACCACACCCGGATAATTTTTTGTATTTTTAGTAGAGACGGGGTTTCACCATGTTAGCCAGGATGGTCTCAATCTCCTGACCTCGTGATCTGCCCGCCTTGGCCTCCCAAACTGCTGGGATTACAAGCCTGAGCCACCGCGCCCGGCCAATAAAGAAGAATTTCTTGGCCAGGCACGGTGGCTCACACCTGAAATCCCAGCACTTGGGAGGCCAAGGCGGGCAAATCACGAGGTCAGGAGTTTGAGACCAGCCTGACTAACATGGTGAAATCCCGTCTCTACTAAAATACACAAATTAGCTGGGTGTGGTGGCACACGCCTGTAGTCCCAGCAACTCGGGAGGCTGAGGCAGGAGAATTGCTTGAACTTGGGAGGCAGAGACTGCAGTGAGCTGAGATTGCGCCACGGCACTCCAGCCTGGGCAACAGAGCAAGACTGTGTCTCAAAAAAAAAAAAAAAAAAAAAGAAGAATTTCTCTGAGGTATCTGACCAATCCAAGAGAGAAAACAAAGATACTAACATTGAGAGTTTCCAAAGGAAATAAGCCAGCCAGATCACCCGCCCTGAAGACCATACTCATGTTCACAGAGCTTCCGTGAACAATTTAGTGTCACATTCTTAAGTATGAACAGACAACCAAAGTCACCAGACATATGAAGAAAACTTTGGTTTTTTGTTTCGAGACAGAGTCTCACTCTTGCTGCCCAGGCCAGAGTGCAGTGGCATAATCATAGCTAACTGCAACCTCTGCCTCCTGGGCTCAAGCAATCCTCCCACCTCAGCCTCCCAAGTAACTGGAACTACAGGTTTGCACCACTACACCTGGCTAATTAAAAAAAAATGTTTTTGGTAGAGTAGGGCTCTTGCTATGTTGCCCAGGCTGGTCTCGAACTTCTAGTTGTTTTTTTTTTTTTGGAGACGGAGTCTCGCTCTTGTTGCCTAGGCTGGCGTGCAGTGGCGCAATCTCGGCTCACTGCAACCTCCGCCTCCCAGGTTCAAGCAATTCTCCTGCCTCAGCCTCCCGAGTAGCTGGGACTAAAGGCACCCACCACCATGCCGAGCTAATTTTTCATATTTTAGTAGAGACGGGGTTTTACCATGTTACCCAGGCTGGTCTCAAACTTCTGAGCTCAGGCCATCTGCCTGCCTTGGCCTCCCAAAGTGCTAGAGTTACAGGCATGAGCCACCGTGCCCAGCCTGTTTTTTTGTGGTTTTTTGTTTTTTGTTTTTTTTTAGATGGAGTCTCACACAGTTGCCCAGGCTGGAGTGCAATGGCAGGATCTCGGCTCACTGCAACCTCCGCCTCCCAGGCTCAAGCGATTCTCCTCCCTCAGCCTCCCGAGTAGCTGGGATTACAGGCACGCATTACCACATCCAGCTGATTTTTTTTTTATTTTGAGTAGAGATGGGGTTTCACCATGCTAACCAGGCTGGTCTTGAACTCCTGAGCTCGTGATTCACCCACCTCAACCTCTCAAAGTGCTGTGATTACAGGTGCTAGCCACTGTGCCCAGGCTTGCTTTCCTTTTGAGCAGCGGGGAGAGTGGGGTGGGGTATTGGTCAAAGGGTACTTTAGCTAAATCTGTTATACTTTTCTTTAAAAAAAAAAAAAGATCTGAAGCAAATATGATAAAATGATAAAAAGTTGATAATTCTGAGTGGTGGGAATATGAGTGTTTATTAGGTTGTTCTTTGTACTTTTCTATATCGTTTCAATTTCTTAAAAACAAAAGTAGGCTGGGCATAGTGGCTCATGCCTATAATCCCCACACTTTGGGAGCCCAAGGCAAAAGATCACTTTGATGCCAGGAGTTCAAGACCAGCATAGGCAACATGACCAGACCCTGTCTCTAAAAAAAATTTGTTTTTAATAACATTTGTCTGGCATGATGGTACATGCCTGTAGTTGTAGCTACTTGGGAGGCTGAGGCCGGAGGATCCTTTGAGCCCAGGAGTTTGAGGCTGTAGTGGGCTATGATTGCACCACTGCCCTCCAACCTGGGCAACAGAGCAAGATTCTGTCTCTAAAAATAAAAATAAAAAAGCAGGCAGAGGCTGAACACGGTGGCTGATGCCTGCAATTTCAGCACCTTGGGAGGCCAAGGCAGGAAGATCACCTGGGCCGAGACCAAGTTGGAGACCAGCCTGGACAACATAGTGAGACCCCATCTCTACAAAAAATAAAATTAGGCTGGCATGGTGATGTGCACCTGTAGTCCCAGCAGCTTGGGAGGCTGAGGCAGGAACATCGCCTGACCCAGGAAATTGAGGCTGCAGTGAGCCGAGATTGCATCACTGCACTCCAGCCTGGGCAACAGAGTGAGACCCTGTCTCAAAAAAAAAAAAAAAAAAAAAAAAGAAGACAGAGGAACAACACTCCAGCATGGGCAACAGAGTGACACCCTGTCTCAAAAAAAAAAAAAAAAAAAAAAAGCACAGAGGAACAAAGATGGGCAGTGGACAGACTGCTTTAAGGAAGCTGGAACAAACAGAGGCAAGGCCAGCTGAATTTGAAAGAATGGTAAGAGGCCCAATGAGGCAGCTGAGGGCAGAGCCTGTGATGAGGGGCACGCATGGGGAGCTGTGTTTTCAGGGCAACAGCATAGCAGGGAGTCCCCCAAACTGGGAGTCCCACAAACCAGGCTCCCCTTGGATCCTGAGGGGTTTCTTTGGGGATCTCACTCAGGAGCTTTTGGTAGAAGGGTGGTTACTGTTGTTCAGTCCTGAGATTGATGCTCCCGTAGGGATACTACTGGAAGATTTCTTGGTTGTGGGAGTGTCCATGGTGCTGGACATCTGCATTCACAAAGGTGGGCTCACATTGCCCCCTAGTGGCCACAGAGTCTCTGCACAAATGTCACATTTCTCAGCTGTTTTTTTGGAGACAGGGTGGTGCTTGCTGTAGCCCAGCGCCCAGGCTGGAGTGCAGTGGTGCATTCTCGGCCAGCCTTGACCCTCGCGGGCTCAAGCAGTCCTCCTACCTCAGCCTCCCGAGTAGCTGGGACTATAGGCATGCACCGCCACGTCTGGCTAATTTATTTTTTGTAGAGACACAGTTTCGCCATGTTGGCCAGCCTGGTCTCAAACTCCTGGACTCAAGTGATTCTCTCGCCTCAGCCTCCCAAAATGCTGGGATTACAGACGTGAACCACAGTGCCTGGCCTATTTCTCAGCTTTTAAGGCCCAGATTGAACTCCCCTTTCACCCCATCTCCCATCCTTTACATAAGTAATCCCACTAAAGAAAGGATAGAAGGAGGGAGGAAAACTAGTAGTCAACTGTCTTTGGAGATGAAAAGAAGAACATTGTAACACTCCCCTTTGTTTCAGAAAAGATCCTTAAACAGCACTGATAACTTTCATTATTTTAAATACTGTTGTTGATAAAGGCTAAAAAATAGCTGTAACAATGCTAAGGGAAGCAGTAACGGCCGGGAAGAACAAGAAGAGCAGGTGTAAGAGGATGTGGGATGGCCAGAGGGAACATAAACCAGGAAACCTGGATAGAGAGAAAAATCAAAGGCGGGATTAAGCGTGGAAAGAGCCTGGACACTAGTCAGGAAGAGCCTGGACCTAGTGTCTGTCACTCACTAGCTGCGGGGTAGCAAGCAAGTCATTTTGCTTCACTGAGCTTATATTTTCCAATTAAAATGGCAACAACTGGCTGGGCTCAGTGGCTCACGCCTGTAATCCCAGCACTTTGGGAAGCCAAGGCAGGTGGATCACCTGAGGTCGGGAGTTTGAGACCAGCCTGACCAACATGGAGAAACCCTATCTCTACTAAAAATACAAAATTAGCCAGGTGTGGTGGTACATGCCTGTAATCCCAGCTACTTGGGAGGCTAAGGCAGGAGAATCACTTGAACCCTGGAGGTGGAGGTTGTGGTGAGCTGAGATCACACCATTGCACTCCAGCCTGGGCAGCAAGAGTGAAACTCTGTCTCAAAATACTTAAAATAAAATAAAATAAAATGGCAAAAACTGCAATGACTTTTGCATCAACCTAACACATAAAATGAGCTCCTCTGATTGGTTTATTATTCTCTGAATTAAACAAGAGACAGTGGAGCACCATGGCTAAGTGCCCACTGGAGCCAACAAAATGCCAGCATTTCCACTTACTGTGTGGTCTTGGGCAAGCTACTGAAACTCTCTGTGCCTCAGTATCTTGAGGGGTGTTAACAGAGCCTCACAGGTCTGAATCTGTGAAATTTGATGAATTAATGTACACAAAGTGCTTAGAGAAGTACCCGGCAAGCATACACTAAGAGTTGGCATTTTTTTTTTTTTTTTTTGGATTTATTGATCATTCTTGGGTGTTTCTCGGAGCGGGGGATGTGGCAGGGTCATAGGATAATAGTGGAGAGAAGGTCAGCAGATAAACACGTGAACAAAGGTCTCTGGTTTTCCTAGGCAGAGGTCCCTGCGGCCTTCTGCAGTGTTTGTGTCCCTGGGTACTTGAGATTAGGGAGTGGTGATGACTCTTAACGAGCATGCTGTCTTCAAGCATCTGTTTAACAAAGCACATCTTGCACTGCCCTTAATCCATTTAACCCTGAGTTGACACAGCGCATGTTTCAGAGAGCACGGGGTTGGGGGTAAGGTTATAGATTAACAGCATCCCAAGGCAGAAGAATTTTTCTTAGTACAGAACAAAATGGAGTCTCCTATGTTTACTTCTTTCTACACAGACACAGTAACAATCTGATCTCTCTTTCTTTTCCCCACATTTCCCCCTTTTCTTTTCGACAAAACCACTATCGTCATCATGGCCCGTTCTCAATGGTCGCTGTCTCTTTGGAGCTGTTGGGTACACCTCCCAGACAGGGCAGCCGGGCAGAGGCGCTCTTCACCTCCCAGACGGGGCAGCCGGGCAGAGGCGCTCCTCACCTCCCAGACGAAGGGGGGCCAGGCAAAGGCGCTCCTCACTTCCCAGACGGGGTGGCGGCTGGGCAGAGGCGCTCCTCACATCCCAGACGGTGGGTGGCTGGGCAGAGGCGCTCCTCACATCCCAGATGATGGGCGGCTGGGCAGAGGGGCTCCTCACTTCTCAGACGGGGCAGCTGGGCAGAGGCGCTCCTCAGTTCCCAGATGGGGTGGTGGCCGGGCAGAGGCACTCCTCACATCCCAGATGATGGGCGGCCGGGCAGAGGTGCCCCTCACATCCCAGACGATGGGCGGCCAGGCAGAGACGCTCCTCACTTCCTAAACGGGGTGACGGCCGGGCAGAGGTGGTCCCCACTTCCCAGACAGGGTGGCGGCCAGGCAGAGGTGCTCCTCACTTCCCAGACGGGGCGGCCGGGCATAGGCACTCCTCATATCCCAGACGGGGCGGCCGGGCAGAGGGGCTCCTCACATCCCAGACGATGGGCGGCCAGGCAGAGACGCTCCTCACTTCCTAGATGGGGTGGTGGCCGGGCAGAGGCTGTAATCTTAGCACTTTCGGAGGCCAAGGCAGGCGGCTGGGAGGTGGAGGTTGTAGCAAGCTGAGATCATGCCACTGCACTCCAGCCTGGGCAACATTGAGCATTGAGTGAGCGAGACTCTGCAATCTCAGCACCTCGGGAGGCCGAGGTGGGCAGATCACTCTAGGTCAAGAGCTGGAGACCAGCCCAGTCAACACGGCGAAACCCCGTCTCCACCAAAAATACAAAAACCAGTCAGGCGTGGCGGCACGCGCCTGCAATCCCAGGCACTTGGCAGGCTGAGGCAGGAGAATCATGGGAGCCTGAGGTAGGGAGGTTGCAGCGAGCTGAGATCACGGCAGTACAGTCCAGCCTCGGCAACAGAGGGCGACCGAAGAAAGAGAGAGGGAGAGGGGCAGGGGGAGGGGGAGGGGGAGGCTTTTTTTTTTTTCTGAGACAGAGTCTTGCTGTGTTGCCCAGGCTAGAGTACAGTGATGCAGTCACAGCTCACTGCAGCCTCCAGCTCCTGGGCTCAAGCAATCCACCTCAGACTCCCAAGACCTGGGACCACAGGCACACAACCACGCCCCGCTAATTTTTTAATCTTTTGTAGAGATGGGGGTCTCATTTTGTTGCCCAGGCTGGTCTCAAACTCTGGGCTCAAGCAGCCCTCCTGCCTCGGCCTCCCAAGGTGCTGGAATTTCAGGCATGAGCCACTGTGCCCAGCCAAGAGTTAGCTATTATTAATACACATGTAAAGTGCCTAGGAATACAATCCGTGGGTTAGTATTCCCTTTCCCCTTCTCCTGGAATCTGGCCATGGTCAAAATGCGGTGTCCTCATCACATGAGCAGCATTCAAAGACTACTCCTGGCTGGGCGCAGTGGCTCACGCCTGTAATCCCAGCACTTTGGGAGGCCGTGGCGGGCAGATCACGAGGTCAGGAGATTGAGACCATCCTGGCTAACATGGTGAAACCCCGTCTCTACTAAAAATACAAAAAATTAGCCGGGCGTGGTGGCGGGCACCTGTAGTCCCAGCTACTTGGGAGGCTGATGCAGGAGAATGGCATGAACCAGGGAGGCAGAGCTTGCAGTGAGCCGAGATTGTGCCACTGCACTCCAGCCTGGGCGACAGGGAGACTCTGTCTCAAAAAAAAAAAAAAAATTAGGCCGGGCGCAGTGGCCCACATCTGTAATCCCAGCACTTCAGGAGGCCAAGGCGGGCGGATCACCTGAGGTCAGGAGTTTGGGACCAGCCTGGCCAACATGGAGAAACCTTGTCTCTACTAAAAATACAGAAACTAGTGGGGTGTGGTAGTGCGCGCCTGAAATCCCAGCTACTTGGGGGGCTGAGGCAGAAGAATCGCTTGAACCAGGGAGGCAGAGGTTACAGTGAACTGAGATGGCACCACTGCACTCCAGCCTGGGCGATGGAGCAAGGCTCATTCTCAAAATAAATAAATAAATAAATAAATAAATAAATAAATAAACAAACAAAAATTAGCTGGGCATGGTGGCACACGTCTGTAATCCCAGCTACTCGGGAGGCTGAGGCAGGAGAAATTCTTGAACCCAGGAGGCGGAGGTTGCAGTGAGCTGAGATTGTGCCACTGCACTCCAGCCTGGGCAATAGAGTGAAACTCTATTTCAACAACAAAAAAGAGTACTCCCCAAACAAGCCTGGTCTGTACTCCACAATACCCGCCAGGTCTGTGGGCACCAGCCCCTTTGCTACACAGACCTCCTTCTCTCATAATCCTGAGCCCTTGCACCCCAGTTCCCAGTCTTCTACTGATTATCTCATTGGAGGAAGTGGGGCTAACAGGCTTCCCTGACTGGCCAGGGGAGGAAGCTGTGGATCAGAATGCGTCTAGCCCAATGGACGTCCCTGGTAGAAGAAAGAGGCCCCCAGAGATGAGGTCCAGGAATGCCTCGAGGAGTCCTGCCCATCTCCACTCCCATCAGGCAGACACCATCACCCCAGGGGAAGCTGCATGCCTGTGCTCAATTATCTTGTGATCACTGCTCCGCGAGGCAGCCGTGGTCACAGAAGAGCTTTTGTTCATATAGAGCCGACTGGCTCAGGTGGACAGCCAGCACATGAGGGCGCCATCAGCCTGACATCTGACTGTCAGCCGTGGCCACATTAGCACAAAGCTCTTGGCCTTTCAGAGCACCCTCGGGAAGATGGGGAAGACCAAAAAGATTGGGACCAAGACAAGGTAAGGAGGCCAGGATCGGAGCCCATAGAAGAAAGAACGCACTAGCTGGGCGCGGTGGCTCACGCCTGTAATCCCAGCCCTTTGGAGCCCGAGGCGGGTGGATCACTTGAGGTCAGGAGTTCGAGACCAGCCTGGCCAACATGGTGAAACCCCCTCTTTACTAAAAATACAAAAATTAGCTGGGTGTGGTGGCAGGCACCTGTAATCCCAGCTACTCAGGAGGCTGAGGCAGAATTGCTTGAACCCAGGAGACGGAGGTTGCAGTGAGCCAATATCATGTCACTGCACTCCAGCCTGGGGGATAGAGTGAGACTTTTATCTCAATTAAAAAAAAAAAAAAGAGAGAGAAAGAAAAAGAAAAAAAAAAGGAAAAACACACCAAGAGTTTATACAAAAACCTTTTATTGACTGTATTTCTTCTCCCCATAACCTGGAACCCAGCCAGCATCTATGGCTTCCTGCTGTCTGATTCTTGAAAGTGGGGCCTTGGGAACATGTTTGGAGGCTATGGAAGGTGGGAATCTCCTCACCCACCGGCTATGCAGGTTGAAGGAAGCTTTCTTGCCTGGCTGAAGCTACGGCAGCTTCCCAGGGTAGCCCCTCAAGTCTAGAGGACCCATCCCCCACTAAATGGGTGTGAGGAAGAGATGATGCATCTTTCAGAGGCTTTGTCACTCACTGCTCCTATCCCACTCCAGACTGAGGCCCTAGAGCTGAACCAGTCTCTCCTGTGGAGATGGGGCCCAGCAGCGAGGGGAGGGGGTTAGAGGTGAGTGTGTGCAGCAGCTCTGGGTCCTCATCAACAAAAAGGAAACGCAAAGAGGTTGGCACCGCTGAAACTGAACTGAAATGGAACAGAAGAAGGAGGATATAGGAGAACAAAAGATGGGTTTGGGGTAGTGCCACCTATTAAGAGAGGACATGGCCCCTGTGGGAGCAGGTCCTTCCAGCCCCACAAACACCTGGGAGAGGAATACGGTGCCCTGGCCCTACTTAGACAAAGGACTAATGACACAGTCAACACTTTTGGACTGAGACTGCCAGGAAAGGGCACCCATCAGCCCAGAAAACGGCAGCCAGCCCTCATCTGCCAGACATAGGCTAGGCTGCCTCCCTGGCCACCAAAGCCCACTCTGGGAACTGTCACCTCTGCCTCCACCGTTCCTGCCCCACCACAAGCTCTGCATACCCCCTGCCCCGATGGAGCAGATGCTGCCAACCAGGCTGCAGCTGGCAGGGCAGAAACAAGGACCCTGAGCTCCAGGGCCCTGTCCCTGGGGTGAGGCCTCCCCATGGAGATGTTAGGCTCTTTCCCACAGTCCTGCTGCTTTGAGCCAGACATCCAGAACTCTCTTCGGAGGGCAGTCAGCCCACAGGTTCTCTGGAAGACGGGATCCTAGGGAAGCATGCTCGGTGAGGAAGAAGAGCCTTGAAGGTATTGGTTCCTCTCTTTCCTGTCCCAGGTCCTGCTCTGCAGGCTCAGAAGTCCGAGTCTGCATCCATGAGTTCTGTGTCCATCAGGTTGGTGCGGGAGTGAATAGGCCCCAGGCCCTGTCGGCGGCCATGAGCCCATGCCACGGGGGCCGGTGCACTGGGCAGAAATGGATCCTGAGGGGGACTGGGCTCTGGGCAGAATGGGTTGGAGACCAGGGTCCACGCTCCCTGTCGGCAAGAGTCCCCAGCTCCCCAGGCACCTGCAGCCACCAGGCATTTCTGCCGGGGCAGCTGAGGCAGTCGAGGAATGGTACTGGGGGCAGGGGCAGGGGGGTGAAGCTCAGGGGGCGGCGCCAGCGGGCACACCTCCTTCTTCCTCTTCCTCCTCTTCTTCTTCCGGCCCAGGCGCTTCTGCAGCTCTGGGGAGATCTCTGCCTCAACCAGCCACAGGTTGGCTTGTTCCTCTGGGGGCACTGACAGGAGGAGAGACAACACGAGCCTGGGGCCCTGGCTCTGTCCATGCCACCCCCGCTCCCCTGGGAGCACTTAACCTGTTAGTTCTGGGGCCCAGGTCTCTAGACTCTTAGAGCCTCAGCCCCACTCTTCAGATCCTCTGGGGCCTTTCCTTCCTCTTCCTCCTCCTCCGACAGCCCCTGTACTCCAGTCCCAGAAGCCCCCAGCCTCTGTGCTCCCCCCACCTTCCTCCAGAAGCTTGAACTCTCATACCTGGAGTTGCCACAGGGGTGACAGAAATATCCTGGGGCAGTATGGCTCCTCTCCGAGCCACCATCTTGGTGACATGCTGGGCCCAGGCAGAGGAGACATCAGCTGAGGGCTCATTGAGGTCAAAGGCCAAGCCCGCTGTGGGAATGGAAGGAAGGAAAGGAGAAGGAATAGTGACTTCCCGGTCCCTGGCAGTGCCTCCCATAGTCAGTGCCATTCATCTTCCCACAGCCAGTCCCTCCTGCTCACCAGAGAAAGCTCACCCTGTAACCACGGTGATCTCTACCCCTTCAGAATCTGAAGAGAAGGGCCTCACGTCCCCAAAGGGCCTAACTGGAGGCCAGAAATCCAGTTCTTGGAACCCTGACTTACTCTTGCCCAGGGAGAGCAACTGGAGAATTTATGAGAAGGGAGAGGGAGGGGAGTCTTCTTGGAACCCAAGCACCGGCAAGCAGACCCAGGGGCAGAAACAGAGAGGGGAGAGCCCCCCAGAGGGTAGGAGGGGCCGGGGGAAGAATGGGTGTGTGAGCGATGGAGGGAGCGCCTTGCTCCTCACAGTCGGTCTTCCAAATAATCTGTGTGCCCCCAGCAGGCTGGGAGAGACTAGCACATGGGCAGCGCGGGGCCAGGCGGCTCCGGTAGAGGAGGGGTGAGGCTCACCCACGGGCCCGTCGTGGGACACAGTGTGCATGCTGAAGGACAGCTCCTGGCCTGGGTTCTGCAGGAGCTCGTGCCGCTTAGAGAAGGCCTTGGCAATCATCTTGCTCTTCTTGATCCGCTTTGGCTCATCGTCACTCTGCCCAGTCAACCTGAGAGCAGAAGGGATAGGGAAGGAGCGTGAAGAAGCTGCCACTTCCCATCAAATCTTGGGAAGGGCCAGCGATGCCATTCTTTCCAGAGAAGGAGGCTCCCAAGGGCCTCAAGTCCTTCAAGGACTCAGGAGTAGAGGCCTTCTCTGCAAAGAAGTGGGGCCAGAATGCAGAGCTCCTGTGTGCCCAGCCCTCCAATCACTCCGCTCTTAAAAGGTGATGGCAGCTGGCTCTGCCCTTGGCCCAGGCCCAGGCCCAGGCATCAGGCCACCCAAGGACAGAAGGTGCCACCAGGGGGCAGCGGTGAACCACTGACCAAGGCTGTGCTAGAGGCAGGACCCGACAAAACCTAAAGATGGGGTCCCAAGGCTGAGGGTGAGGCGGGCAGGGCAGGAGGGGCTGGCTGCCATGCCCACCTGCACCAGGTACGCCTCCAGATGAGCAGCGTGGCCTTGGTCCAGACCCAGGTGCTCATGGCGATGCCAGTTCCAAACATGGCAAACAGGTTGATCTTCTCCACCAGAAGGCTCGGGCGATTCTTGATCTCACAGTCAGGGATGGGCTGCTTGGTGGGCAGCCCGATGGTCACATTGGCCTGACATCTACAGTGAGGGAACGTAGACAGGTGAGGCTTTCCTTTCTTTTCCTCTCTCTTTTTTTGAGATAGGATCTTGCTCTGTCACCCAGGCTAGAGTGCGGTGGCGTGATCACAACCCACTGCAGCTTCCAACTCCTGGGCTCAGGCAATCTCCTGCTTCAGCCTCCCAAGTAGCTGGGACTACAGGTGGGGTTTTCTGAGTCTACTGGGTAGACTCAGACAATCAATCCAAAAACTTTAGAAAGGGCTAAGCTCCACAGCACTGATCTCAACCCTGGGTGCTCATTAGAATCAACTGGGGAGCTTTTAATAGCTACTGATGCCTGGGACCCACCCTAGACAATTAAATTGAATCTCTGGGGCAGAGACTCAGGCATCACTGTGGTTTAAAGCATCCCAGACTGGAAGCCGGAACCTTTACGGAAGAGCCTGAAGCAGTCAGGGCTTGGACTAGCATCCATTTTAGCGACTGTCCTTGTAACAGTGGGTACTGCGCTTCTCTCAGCAGTAGCAATGTCTTACTCTCTCCAATCCATCCTCATTATGACACAAAAAAGCACAGGCAAAAACTAGCCAACATTAGCAGGTCATTAACCTATCACAGAGAGGTAACTAGTCCTGTGCCAGGATCTAAAGCAGGCTCTGCAGGAGAGCACACAGAATTAGAGGGCAACTTAGTGTCAGTCAGAGAAGACGAAGCTGAACTGGCTGCTTAACAGTCACACATGCACCAGCTGGGCAACCAAGGGGGTGGAGAGGGAAGGGCAGAGGTGAGAAGGGATGCGAAGGTTGTTTGCCACGTTTGAGAAACTACGGAGACTGATGCCTTATGCACCCAGACACCATCCATTGAATCTGCTGTCTGCAGCAGGGACCTGGCAAATCCCTGCTGCCCGGTGGGTGGAGGTGGGTGTCTTTATGGCCTTGGCTCCAGCTCCCAGCACTGCCGCCTCCATGCCCCTCACTCACAGCACATAGTCCCGGAAGCTGCGCTCCCACTCAGCCTGGTTGAAGAAGTCGTAGAAGTGGCAGCTGAAGGTAATGAGCACAAAGCCAAAGGCCAGGAAGCCAAAAATGCCTGTGGAGGACAGGGGCAGGACAGGACGTTACCAAGCCCAGTCCCGCAGCAGCAGTGGGGAGGAGAGAGTCTGCCCCACTGGGCCTCAAAGTTCACCCAGCTGGGGCTGGGGTGAACTCATGCTGGGCTCAGTCCAAGAACTGCTTTCTCTAAAATAAAATAAGAAGGGCACTTGAAGCAACTGTGGGAGGGACCACGTGGGACGTAGTGGGCAGGAGGAACCAGTCCCGGCATGAACTTGACTGAATTCTTCCCCCCGAGTAGACCCCCTTCTTTTGAGCTGCCACTACCACTACCACCTACACACACCCCTTGTCCTTGTCCCTATGGCTAACTTGTCCCACTGACTTACTGCATCCTGCCGGTCGCATAGCCCCAGGAGGGTGCAGTGTTGGGCTGGCCAGGACCTCAGACCGAAGTCCCCCGGGGCCACTCACCCAGGCGCAGCATGGTCTCGTTGATCTTGCTGGCAGCCTTCTCACTCAGCAGCCCGGGGTGGTTGCTCTTGATGGAGAACAGAGTCATGACTCCTGAACAGAAGGGGGACCTCAGACATTAGCAGGGGTGAGGCTGCCCTGCTGGGAAGGATGGGTGAGTGGGAGGAGGGTCCTAAGGCTCTGGAGTCCCAAGTCTGATTACCCCTGTGCTAAATGAAAACCTGGGGAGCTAGAGACACTGGAGAAATGGTGAGAAGACCAGGGCAGAGCCTAGACAGACACTTGAGAAGAGGGAGCCTCGGTCGTGGCCCAGCTGCCCCTGAAGAAGGGGGCAGATCAAAGCTGTTCTGATGGGAAAGACATAAAACAGACTCAAGAACAGCGCTATCCATATAATTTTTTTTTTGAGATGGAACCCTGTCGCCCAGGCTGGAGTGCAATGGCGTGATCTCGGCTCATTGTAAACTCCGCCTCCCAGGTTCAAGCAATTCTCCTGCCTCAGCCTCCCAAGCAGCTGGGATCACAGGCACCTACCATCACGCCGGCTAATTTTTGTATTTTTGTAAAGATGGGGTTTCACCATGTTGGCCAGGATGGTCTTGAACTCCTGAACTCAGGTGATCTGCCCACCTCGGCCTCCCAAAGTGCTGGGATTACAGGTGTGAGCCACCATGCCGGCCTTCCCATAGAAATATGTGAGCCACATACATATGGCAAATTTCTAGTGGCCACTTAAAAAAAGTTAAAAGAAACAAGCAAAACTAATATCAATATATTTTACAAACCTAATATATTCAAAATAAAATCATTTCAACATGTAATCCATGTAACAAATTATTAATGAGATATTTTACATTTTTTTCCCACTAAGTTTTTTTTTTAATACAGTGTGTATTTCACATTTTACAACACATCTCAATTTGGACTTGTTTCTTTTTGTTGTTGTCTTGTTTTCTTTGGAGACAGGGTCTCACTCTGTCACTCAGGCTGGAGTGCAGTGGCAAGATCATGGCTCACTGCAGCCTCAACCTCCTGGGCTCAAGCAAGCCTCCCACCTCAGCCTCTCACATAGCTAGGACCACAGGCATGTGCCACCCTGCCCAGGCAACTTTTGTATTTTTTGTAGAGATGGGGTTTCACTATGTTGTTCAGGCTGGTCTCGAACTCTGAGCTCAAGTGATCCGTCCGTCTCAGCCTCCCAAAGTACTGGGATTACAGGAGTGAGCCGCCGCACCCAGGCTGGACTAGTTCAACACATGTGGCTAGTGATTACCATACTAGGACAGCATGATAACGAAGCACAAATCAGAGGGCCAGACACTATGCCAAAAAGAGGGGAAAGAGGTGACTGAACAGAAGGCTGGCAGTTCAGGGTGAGGAAACTGAGGTTTACAAAGAAAACCCAACAACAATGAGCTAAATAGATGCTGAGGCTTACTATGGGATGGCAGCATGAGACAGGAAAGTTAGGGACCACTAATTCCACGCATGCTGTGAGAGCTGTGTGTGCCGGGGACAGAAAGAAGATGAAAACCAAGCTCCAGAAGATTGACAGTACATATCGAATTAATGTGCACACAGATAACCAAACGACCTAGGTTGGTCCAAGTGGGCAGAGTAGGTTACTCAGGGTGTTCATCACACAAGTGCACCGGCCAGGAGCTGACTGGGGCTGGATCCTGACCCAACTCCACCTAACAAGCTGTGAGGCTGGGCACTGTGGCTCATGCCTGTAATCTCCGCACTTTGGGAGGCTGAGGTGGTGGATCACTTTAGGTCAGGAGTTCAAGACCAGCCTGGCTAACATGGTGAAACCCCGTCTCTACTAAAAATACAAAAATTAGCCAGACGTGGTGGTGCATGCCTGTAATTTTAGCTATGGGGGAGGGTGAGGCAGGAGAATCACTTGAACCCAGGAGGCGAAGGTTGCAGTGAGCCAAGATTGTGCCACTGCACTCCAGCCTGGGCAACAGAGCTAGACTCTGTCTCAAAAACAAAAACAAACAAAAAAAACAAGCTGTGAGCCCTGGGCCAAGGCCCTGGAGAGAGGGATGGATTTTTCTGGCCAGTACAAAGGTGCTGTCCCGCAGCAAGTGCTCACGGTGTTTCGTCTGCCTAGAGGGTCACCTTCTACTGTGTGAAGGCCCTATAGGAGCTAGCTGGGGTTTCAGCATGGGGGCAGCCGTGCTGGCAGCTCCCAGTACTGGCAGCAAGTGCCCAGTATATTTTGTTGCCCAACTGGTCCTGGCCTGGTCTTCACTCACCTCGGATGAGGAAGTAGCCTCCCACGATGAGCACCAGGCCGATTGGGGCCAGCACGAAGCCCGCACGGTATCGGTAGTTCTTGTAGCCCACAAAACAAATCCCACTCACAGAGTCCCCATCCACCTGCAGCAGGAAGGGGTGGGACAGAAGGTGGGTTACTGGCCCCCTCCCTCAAACTCACCCCATCCAGGTCTCCCGTTCCTACCAGTCACTATACCTGCGCCACAGCAAGGATTGCCACAGTGAGGACAAAGGGGAGTGACCAGGTGAGCAGGTGGAAGTAGGAGGTCTTGCCCGAGAGAGGCTGGTAGGTGGTGCCCAGGGCTTTGAAGGAAGTGTGCCAGGCATAGGTGAGGACCACAAACCAAACCACACCAGCCATCAGGGCGTAGTACACGATGACAAAGATGATGACGCAGGACAGAGTCTCATTGGAGCTGTGCAGAGAGGTGAGGTGTCACTTGAGGCGGTCACTCTGTACTCCCTCTACCTGGTCTCCCCACCCTGTGCCCAGACCCTCAGCTGCTGAGGTCTGGAGGTTCCCAGAAGTCAGGGCTTGGAGACAGGACCCAGGTCAGATCTGAGGAGGCTCTAGGAGCCGCCCCTTTGAGCAGATACAAACCATGAAGGTCCTGATTCTGAAACTAAGATCCTAACACTGGAGATCTTGCATGCAGTATGCAGTAGGGCAGAGCCAGATCCTGCCCTGGATCTCGGTTTTACACGCACCTGCTCCCTTTGGGGTAAACGCACACTTCAGCCTTCCTCCCTGTACCTTCACCTCTGGGTCCCCAAGACACCTACGTGGGCTCCCCAAGCCTCATGGTGCCATCTGCACGGCAGACGATCTCTCGGCGGGCACCATCCATGAACTGGGCCAGCCAGCCAATGCTGCCCACAAAGAAGCACGCATTGACGTAGAAGAGAATAACAGCAGGGTAGCGATTCGAGTTCCGCCAGTCAGCCACGAATGTGGCCTAGAAGAGAGAAGTGGGCCATTCTGTGAGGTTAGGGTTATTCTGCTGACACAGACACCCTTAACTGAGCCCCAGACCCTTCTGATCATGACCCTTCCCTGGGGACCCCCACCAAGACCTCTTTGCCCCCCTTCCCTCTGGCTCTCTTCCCACGTTCCAGGCTGAGGGCCCCCCGGGCCTGCCCTCCCGCGGCTGACCAGGGTGAAGAGCGTGCAGAGGCCCGTGACGGCCCCGAAGGCCGCGATGTAGCTGTGCATGTCCTGGTGCTCAGCCTCTGTGAAGAGCGGGTTCTGGCACTGGATGCCGCAGCCCTCCACGTCCTCGTACCAGCTCTTGGGGTTGTCTGTCCGAACCAAGGGCACTTCGCACTGGCCTGAACTGTTGAACTTGATGTTCTGCACCTCATTCTGGCACCAGGGATGGGAAAAGACGGTGTCAAGGCAGCTCAGGGACGAGCCTCTTGTTTAGGGAAAGGTATCTAGGTAGCATGGCAGGGTGGCTGGAGATACACTTCCAGGACCTGAATCCCAGGGCTGGCTTGGCAAATTATTTGGCCTCTCTGTACCTCAGTTTCCCCACTTCTTTCTTTCTTTTTTTCTTTCTTTTTTTAGACAGTCTCGCTCTGTCGCCCAGGCTGGAGTGCAGTGGCGTGATCTCAGCTCACTGCAACCTCTGCCTCCCGGGCAATTCTCCTGCCTCAGACTCCCGAGTAGCTGGGACTACAGGCGCCCACCACCACACCCGGCTAAATTTTGTATTTTAGACGGGGTTTCACCAGGTTGGCCAGGCTGGTCTTGAACTCCTGACCTCATGATCCACCCACCTCGGCCTCCCAAAGTGCTGGGATTACAGGCGTGAGCCACTGCGCCCGGCCAGTTTCCCCATTTCTAAGATGGTAGTACTTACCTTATGGTATGGTTTAAGGGTTAAATGAATAAACATATATTATATATATAGAAAGAGAGAGACAGAGTCTGGCTCTGTCGCCCAGGCTGCAGTGCAATGGCACAATCTTGGCTCACTGCAACCTCCACCTCCCGGGTTCAAGCGATTCTACTGCCTCAGCCTCCCAAGTAGCTGAGAATACAGGTGCCCACCACCATGTCTGGCTAATTTTTTGTATTTTTAGTAGAGACGGAGTTTCACCATGTTGGTCAGGCTGGTCTTGAACTTCTGACCTCATCAAGTGATCCACCCGCCTCAGCCTTCCAAAGTGGTGGGGATAACAGGCATGAGCCACTGTGTCTGGCCAGCCTATTTATTTATTTATTTATTTTGAGACAGAGTCTCACTCTGTAGCCCAGGCTGGAGTTCAGTGGCACGATCTCAGCTCACTGCAACTTCCACCTCCCGGGTTCAAGCGATTCTCGTGTCTCAGCCTCCCGAGTAGCTGGGACTACAGGCGCACACCATGACATCAGGCTTATGTTTGTATTTTTAGTAGAGACAGGGTTTTGCCACGTTGGCCAGGCTGGTCTGGAACTCCTGACTTCAGGTGATCTGCCCACCTCGACCTCCCAAAGTGCTGGGATTACAGGCATGAGCTTATTATAATGGCATTTGGCATATAGTAAACAGGACTAATTAGTATTATTACCATCATTATTACTGTTATTATTTTCATTGAAGACCTCTCCTGCACCACCCAGAACTAGCTCACGTCCCCTGTCTTGGTGGCTCTAGCTGTTTCACACGCTCGCGCCTTAACTCCCAACATACATGAGAAACTTCCTGATAGGCTCCTGTCATCCGTGATGCCCGTAACACCACAACACCCAACAGCCAGTGCTCAAAACATTTTGCTGAACATGTGATCATTGATAAATAAATAGAGAATCCCTAATAGACGGATCCAGCCAGTGAGCTGCAGTTTGAGTTTGTGTCCTGTTGACCCCATGGCTGTAGGCTCAGGGTCTCCAGGAGACAAAGCTCTGGGCTCCCCTGCTCCCCACTGGACCCTGCCCTATACCCGGTCCTGCCCAACCCAGAGAGCCTGGACCTTGTCTCACAGAGCACTCACCGTGCAGCCTTCAGGGAAGCGGTCAGGAGTGCAGCGCAGGAAGTCAGGCCAGCCCCGCTCCCTCTCCACGATGGCACAGGGGCCTCGGGTGGCCTGGCAGAGGGTACGGCTGGGCAGCTCCACCCGGTCATTCTCACACTTGGGCATGTATACGGCACACAGCAGGGGCTGGATCACTGCCCAGCAGCGGGGGGCATTCCGGAGGCCTGGGGGTGGCAACAGCATTGCAGTGAAGGCCCCTCCTCACTCTGACCCACAGACGCAGCTTCACCCCTGTCCTCCAGGCCTTTGCCACACTGCAGCCCATCACTGGTCAGACCTGGCAGGTACAGTGTTTCTCAACAGTGCATCTGGGCAGGACAGTTCTTTATACCATAGGACTGTCCCATGCATTGCAGACACTAGACTCTGCCAACTCAATGCCAGTAGAACCCAGAAGTGATTGTGACAAACAAAAATGCCCCAGCCCTCTACTCTAGGGACGGTGACTAGAAGGGAGCCTGGAGAGGAACCTCTGGGCTGCTGGGAATGTTTTACTTCTTGATCTGGTACTGGTTACATGGGATGTTGGGAATATTCTATCTCCTGATCTGATACTGGTTACATGAGTGTATTCACCTTGTGGAAACCAAGCTCATGATCTGTGCGCTATTCTGTATGCTTACTATCATTTAAGTTTTAAGAAAATAACTGCCACTTCCAGATGCCCTGCTAGGGAGTGGTAATGCCTCTGGTAGAGCTCCCCGGGGTGGATTTACCTTTTCAGGGGTGCACCCAACTCTCACGGGGCCCATTTGCTAGAGCCAGGAGATGTTTCCCTTTGCCCAGACCCCAGAACCCTTGTTCCTCTTACCAAGCGGAGTGAGAGAGAAGAGATGGGGGCTTAAGAAGAGGTAGTCAGAGGAGCCAGGCACTCCAAAGCCAGAGGAGGAAGCAGGAAGTCAGATGGAGAGGAACAGAAGAGGCTCTGTCCAGTGCGGAGAGGGGAAAAATGTTGTCAGCAAGACAGAAACAGGCGGCAATCTCCCAGCACCCGTCCCCAGCCTAGTCCTCCGCCCTGCCCATCACAGAAGCCCTTCCTGAATCAACCCTGCTTCAGCAATATCTATTTCCCAAGCAAGAAGTTGCATTAGGAGAGAATATGAGGATGTGAGAGCCAACATGGGTGCCGGTCACATTTCCAGGCTGGGGGTGGTAGAGACAGGTAACCACTCTTTTCGGGGGAAGGCAACATAGTAGAGAGGTAAGGGGCATGTGCATGGCAACTGCCCAGCCTGGGTCCAAATCTTGGCTCCACTCTTTCCTGGCTGTATGATCTTGGGCAAAGTACTTTATCTTTAGCCTCAGTTGCCTCATCTGTAAAATGGGGATGATAGATTTACCTCATGGAACTGCTGTGAAAAGTGATATAATGCTTTAAATGCCCTTGGCACAGTACCTGTCATGTAGTAAGCGCTCAGGAAATGTTAACTCTTATGATTATTTGTCTGAGGCCTCTGACTGCTCCCAGCCTTCAGAGTATATTCCAGGGTGCAGAGCAAGTTCCTGCCAGTTAAGAAGCAATGTCCTCAGGCAACAGTTCCCACTTGACTCAATTCAGTCACCAGTTGGCCAGGCGCAGTGGCTCACACCTGTAATCCCAGCACTTTGGGAGGCAAAGGCGGGCAGATCACCTGAGGCTAGGAGTTCAAGACCAGCCTGGCCAACAAGGTGAAACCCCGTCTCTACTAAAAATACAAAAATTAGCCGGTCGTGGTGGTACATGCCTGTAATCCCAGCTACTCGGGAGGCTGAGGCAACAGAATTGCTTGAACCTAGGAGGTGGAGGTTGCGGTGGGCTGAGATGGCGCCACTGCACTCCAGCCTGGGCAAAAGAATGAGACTCTGCCTCAAAAACAAAAAAATAAAAAACAAAAAACCCAAAAACAGTCACCAGAAATTCTGAGTACATAGGTACTTGCAGAAAACAGAGCAGTGGGTGCCAGGGATTGGGGTGAGGGCAGGATTTGCCTACAAAATAGTAGCATGAGAGAATATATGGGGGTTAAAGGACGATTCTCTATCTTGAATTCAATGTGGTGGCTGGTTACATAAGTCTATGTGTTTGTCTAAACTTAGAACTGTACAAGAAAAAGTCAATTTTACTGGATGTTTACTTTTATTGCACAATATATTTAAAATGGGGGGACCTCTCTGGAGTAAAATGCTTTAGAGAAACATCAGGCAGTTAATAAAAAGGTTGTGTCGGCTGGGCATGGTGGCTCAAACCTGTAATCCCAGAACTTGGGAGGCCGAGGCGGGTGGATCACAAGGTCAGGAGTCCGAGACCAGCCTGGCCAACATGGTGAAACCCTGTCTCTACTAAAAATACAAAAATTAGCTGGATGTGGTGGCACATGCCTGTAATCCCAGCTACTCAGGAGGCTGAGGCAGGAGAATCACTTGAACCCAGGAGGCAGAGGTTGCAGTAAGCGGAGATGGCACCACTGCACTCCAGCCTAGGCGACAGAGCAAGGCCCCGTCTCGAAAAATAAAAAAAATAAAGGTTGTGTCAGCCAGGTGCGGTAGCTCATGCCTGTAATCCCAGCACTTTGAGAGGCTGAGGCAGGCAGATCACTTGAGGTCGGGAGTTTGAGACCAGCCTGGCCAACATGGTGAAACCCTGTCTCTACTAAAAAATATAAAAATTAACCAGGCGTGGTGGTCCACGCCTGTAGTCCCAGCTACTTGGGAGGCTGAGGCAGAAGAATTGCTTGAACACAGGAGGTGGAGGTTGCAGTGAGTCAAGATCACGACAGTGTACTCCAGCCTGGGTGATACAGCAAGACTCATTAAAACAAACAAACAAACAACAACAAAAAAAAAACTGTAATTTTTCTCAATCTTTTTATATCTGTGGTAACAATCAGGTTTTAAAAATGTCTAATTTGTTTTCCTTTTTTTCCCTCATTGTGAATATTGTTTCATACCTTAAAAATAAAACTCCCCAGGAAAAAGAGAGATTATTAAATACATCTTCAAGGACAACTAAGAAATTATCTGGGGAAAAAATAAGGTGGAGCTTTACCCCATTTCTTACATAAAAGTCCAGATGGATAAAAAAATAACTACATTGTTTTTCTAAAAATTAAAGTTTTAGAAGAAAAGATGGGAAATGATTTTTTTTTTTGAGATGGAGTCTTGCTCTGTCGCCCAGGCTGGAGTGCAGTAATGTGATCTCGGCTCACTGCGAGCTCCGCCTCCTGGGTTCACGCCATTCTCCTGCCTCAGCCTCCCGAGTAGCTGGGATTACAGGCGCCCGCCACCACACCCGGCTAATTTTTTTTTTGTATTTTTAGTAGAGACGGGGGTTCACCGTGTTAGCCAGGATGGTCTCGATCTCCTGACCTCGTGATCCACCCGCCTCGGTCTCCCAAAGTGGGATTACGGCGTGAGCCACCACGCCTGGCCAGGAAATGATTTTTTAAACCTTGGAGTGGAGAAGGCCTTCTGAAATGACACAAAGCCTACACATCATGAAATAAAAGATTTAAACAAAAGACTTCAGAAAAATCGATACAAAAATCATAAGAAAAGTAAGATACTGAAAAAATGTATTTTCAATACTTATCACAAGAGCTAATTTCCTTATATGCACAAAGCTCCTCCAAATCAGTAAAAATTGCATAATTCTATAGACACACAGGCGAAAGACAAATAACAGATCACATTTTCAAATGTTTTGATCTTTATCACTGTGATAAAAAGTATAAAAGTTTAAAAAAAGAATATTTCGTTGTAGTTTATTCCACATTTGTATTATTAAGAGTGAGGTCGAACATCTCTTTATGTTTTTTTTATTTTTTTATTTTTTGAGATAGGGTCTCACACTGTTGCCCAGGCTGGAGTACAGTGGCATAATCACGGCTCACTGCAGCCTTCAGCTCCCCAGGTTCAGTTAATCCTCCCACCTCAACCTCCTGAGTAGCAAAGACTACAGGCTCACACCACCACACCTGGTGAATTTTTGTATTTTTCTGTAGAGACAAGGTTTCACCATGTTGCTCAGGCTGGTCTTGAACTCCTGGACTCAAGGCCATTTAATGGCCTTTAAAAACATAAAGAAGGCTGAGCATGGTGGTGGCTCACGCCTGTAATCCCAACAGTTTGGGAGGCCGAGGCAGGTGGACCACCTGAGGTCAGGAGTTCTACACAAGCCTGGCCAACATGGTGAAAACCCGTCTCTACTAAAAAACTACAAACATTAGCTAGGTGTGGTGGTGGGCGCCTGTAATCCCAGCTTCTTGGGAGGCTGAGGCAGGAGAATTGCTTGAATCCAGGAGGCGGATGTTGCAGTGAGCCGAGATCGCCATTGCACTCCAGTCTGGGTGACAGAACAAAACTCTATCTCAAAAAAAAAAAAAAAAAGAAAAGAAAATACCGTACTATAAAGAGTGTAGGGATAAACTGGCACTTTTATATTTGTTGGTAGGAATAAAAATTAGTAAACACTTGTGGAGATCACTTTGGCATTATCTACCAAAATTTTATACTAGTACTTCTACTTCACATGTTCACAAAGATAATATAGATTATTCATTGCAGCACTGTTTTGCAATAGCAAAAAAGTAGAAACAGCTTGAATCCATATCCATCAATAGGAGACCAACCAAGTAAAATAATGTACACCATTATAATAGAACACTATTCAGGGTTGAGATATAGTCACATGTTGCTTAACAATGAGGATATCTTCTGTGAAATGTGTCATCAGGCAATGTCATCTTTGTGTGAACATCAGAGTGTACTTACACAAACCTGGATGGTATAGCCTACTGCACACCTAGCTGATACAGTATAACCTATGGCTTCTAGGCTGCAAACCTGTACAGCATGTTGCTATACTGAATACTGCAGGCAACTGTAACACAACGGTGAGTATCAGTGTATCTAAACATATCTAAACATTGAAAGGCTACAGTAAAAATGTGGTATTATAATCTTAAGGGAACACCATCACATGTGGTCCATTGTTAACCAAAATCTCCTTCTGGGGTGCATGACAGGATGTGCATTGAAATGGAATGATGTCCAATGTTGTCATGTTACATGGACTCAGTTGAGTGGAGAGCAGTCTATAGAGCATGGTACTGGTTGGGCGGTAGAGGAGAGACTGAGAGCACATCTACATCTGGACAGATGTTGGATATTTCCAAAAGGACACAAAAACCAGTGTTGGTGGTTACTTCTGCAGAGGAAAAATGGGTAGCTAGATGCAGAAGTAGGACTTAACTTGTTCCTTTTGAATTCTGTGCCATGTACATGTATAACCTATTTTTTAAAAGTAATTAAGCTTAAGGCTGGACATGGTGGCTCACGCCTATAATCCTAGCATTTTGGGAGGCCCAAGGTGGGTGGATCACTTAAGTTCAGGAGTTCGAGACCAACCTGGGCAATATGGCCAAACCCCATCTCTACAAAAAAACAAAAACAAAAACAAAAACAAAACTTGAGCTTAAAAACAAAATAAAGAAATACACAAATTACTAGGATGGGGAAGCTTTCCAAAGAGAAAAGAAGGATATGAAACTGAAACGAGAAAGAGAGGGGATATCAGCTTTATCAGTATTATTTTACTTCTTTTATTTTAATAAAATATGAAACAAAAAGAGAAACAGGAATACGGGTGTTACCGCGCCTGGCTGATCTAGACTTTTAAAAAGACTTTTTATTTGTGTGATTCTGATGACTAGTCAAGTTGAGTATCACTGTTCTAAGGCTGGTTTAATATTAGAAAATTCAATCAATGCAATTTACTACATTAACAGGTTAAAGGAGAAAAAAATCATATGATCATCTCAATGGATGCAAAAAAAAGTTGATAAAATTCAGCCGGGCGCAGTGGCTCACACCTGTAATCCTAGCACTTTGGGAGGCTGAGGCGGGCGGATCACACGGTCAGGAAATTGACCTGGCTAACACGGTGAAACCCCGTCTCTACTAAAAATACAAAAAATTAGCCGGGCGTGGTGGCATGCGCCTGTAGTCCCAGATACTTGGGAGGCTGAGGCAGGAGAATCGCTTGAACCCAGGAGGCAGAGGTTGCAGTGAGCTGAGATCGCATCACTGCACTCCAGCCTCGGTGACAGTGACACTTCGTCTCCAAAAAAAAAAGTTGATAAAATTCAACATCCATCTATGATCAAAAGAATAATTGGCAAATTTGAAATAAGAGACAACGTTCTTAATCTGATAAAATGTAATTAACTATAAAAAACCTATACCAAACATCAAATTTAATGGTGAAGGGTAGAAAAAGCTTTCTTTTTAGAATCCAGAAAAGTCAAGAATTAAGATGTTTTGTCTATTTAACAATGTACTGGAAGCCTTCAGTAAAGCAATAAGGATAAATAAAAGGTATAAGACTTGGAAAGAAAGAAACAAAACTCATTACTCACAAATTATATGACTATGTGTATAGAATAAATTTAGCAAGTTTACTGAATTCACAATCAATTTTATTTCTATATATCAGCAACAAAGTGAAATAAATGTTAAAGGCATCAATTTTATTTCTTTTTTTTTTTTTTTTTTGAGACGGTGTCTCACTGTATTGCCCAGGCTGGAGTGCAGTGGCACAATCTGGGCTCATTGCAAGCTCCGCCTCCCAGGTTCACGCCATTCTCCTGCCTCAGCCTCCTGAGTAGCTGGGACTACAGGCGCCCGCCACCATGCCCGACTAACTTTTTGTATTTTTAGTAGAGATGGAGTTTCACCATGTTAGCCAGGACGGTCTCAATCTCCTGACCTCGTGATCCCCCTGCCTTGGCCTCCCGAAGTGCTGGGATTACAGGTGTGAGCCACCGTGCCCAGCCAGTTTTATTTCTATATGTCAGCAACAAACAAAGTGAAATAAATGTTAAAGGCATCATTTACAACAGCATCAAAAATATCAAGTACCTAGGAATGTCTAACAAATAATAAGTATTTAAATCTGTGCAGAATATTGAGAAAATGAAAGATCTAAATAGAAATATATAAATGTTCAATGTTTGGAAGACTCAGTATTGTAAAGATGTCTCTTTTTTTTTCCAAGTTAATCTATATAGTCAATGCAATCCCAATAAAAAATCACCAAGTATTTTTATATTAAAACACAAAGGAGCATTTTGGGAGGCCAAGGCAGGAGGATCACTTGAGCCCAGGAGTTCAAGACCAGCCGGGACAATAGGGTCAAACCCTGTCTCTATTAAAACACACACACACACACACACACACACACAATCAAGAATAGCTCAGACTCTCTACTAGATAGTGATATTCTGTAAGTAACATTCTTACCCTATGGTTCACAAAGGATTCTTGGAAAAATTCAGAGGTCCATGAATTTCAATGGGAAAAAAATTACACCTAACTAAAATTTGGCCCTTCCTCCAATTATGAATGTAAGCAACACATCGCAGTACATAATTTTTTTTTGTTTTTTTTTTCTTTTCTTTTTTTTTTTTTTGAGAGGGAGTCTCACTCTGTCACCCAGGCTGGAGTGCAGTGGCACGATCTCGGCTCACTGCAAGCTCCGCCTCCTGGGTTCACACCATTTTCCTGCCTCAGCCTCCCGAGTAGCTGGGACTACAGGCGCCCACCACCGCGCCCGGCTAATTTTTTGTATTTTTAGTAGAGATGGGGTTTCACCGTGTTAGCCAGGATGGTCTCGACTTCCTGACCTCGTGATCTGCCCACCTTGACCTCCCAAAGTGCTGGGATTACAGGTGTGAGCCACCACGCCTGGCCCACAGTACATAATGTTAATAGTACCTGTGGCGTTGTCACAAGTGGAAACCAGATATTTTTGTTGCAGATATCTTGAAATAATGTCAATGCTTATAATCACTTTGATATTATAGTTGTTATTACACCTGCACCAGATCTTATTTATTGTATAAATAAATAAGCCCACATACTTGCATTTTTATATTTGATAACTATTATGTCAATATAATTGATTTCCTTTGTAATCCTATAAACTCATATCTAGCATATATAAAGAACTCCTACAAATCTTACAAAAATGACAGATAGCCCCTATGGAAAAATATGTCAAAGATTTGAACAGACACTTCCCAAAAGCAGAAACCCTAAAGGCCAGTAAGCATTTAAAAAGGCATTTAACTTTACTAGTAATCAGGGAAGTGCAAATTAAAACCACAAATATATGCCACAATATAGCCACTAGATTGGCAAAAATGTAAAAGGCTGATAATACCAAATGTTGGGAATCATGTGAACCAGTGTTGACTTTCTACTAGCTAGTGGGAGTATAAGTTAGTACAACCACTTTGAAAAATGGTTTGGCAAAAGCCTAAAGTATGCGTGCCTTATTATCTAGCAATTCTACTTCTTCAGCATATACCTGAAGGAACTTGTGCCAGTTGTACTAGGATATACATAAAAGACTACTCACAGCAATGTTATTTGCAATGGGCAAAAACTTGAGATGACAATAAAATGGGTAAACAACTGGGGGTATACTCATATAATGGAATATTATTCAGCAATGAAGAAATAAGCTGCAGTATGAGGCGGGTGGCTCACCTGAAGTCAGGAGTTTGAGGCCAGCCTGACCAACATGGCAAAACCCTGTCTCTACTAAAAAATACAAAAATTAGCCAGGCCTGGTGGCGTGCACCTATGGTCCCAGCTACCTGGGAGGCGGAGGCAGGAGAATCGTTTGAACCCAGGAGGTGGAGGTGTAGTGAGCCGAGATCGCGCCACTGCACTCTAGCCTAGGTGACAGAGTGAGACTGTCTCAAAAAAACAAAAACAAACAAATAAACAAGCAAAAAAGAAATAAGCTGCAATAACATGGATGAATCTTACATAATGATATAAAGTAAAAGAAGCAAGAAATAATATGCACAGCATATTATTTTGTACAAATTCCATTTGAACAGAGTTCAAAAACATGCAAAGCTGAAATATACTGCTTATGGATTCCAAAACTAGGAGGTAAAACCATAGAGAAAAAAAGGATGTGATTACTGAAAACCTCTTGAGCAAGGGGAGGGGGATGTGACTAGACAAGACACAGAGGGAGCTTCAGGGGTCTGACTGTGGTCTAGTTATTGACCCAGATGTCACTTTATAATTATTTGTTATTCAGTACCTTTGTGTTTTATGCAGTTTTCTGCATACAGTTATATTTCACAATTAAAAAGTTAAAGATCTGAAGCAAAATTGAAGACTTGAGCTGGCACAGAACACATGCCTGTAGTGCCAGCTATTCCAGGCACCATAAGCACCATGCGCACAATGAGTGAGCCTCTGAATAGCCACTGCACTCCAGCCTGGGCAACACAGCAAGACCCCATTTCTCAAATAATTAATTAAAGATAATTTTTTTTTAAAAAAGACTTAGGTCCATGTATGTTTTTCTGTATTTTACATTTTCACTATACATATATGTGTGTGTGTGTATACATACACACATATCTATATGTATGTATGTATTTTTGAGACAGGGTCTTGCTCTGTTGCCCAGTCTGGAGGGCAGTGGTGTGAGGATGGCTCACTGCAGCCTCAACCTCTTGGGTTCAAGCGATCCTTTTGCCTCAGCCTCCAGTGTAGCTGGGACCACAGGTGTGTGCCAACATGCCCGGCTAATTTTTTTTTTTAGAGATGGGGTCTCACTTTGTTGCCCAGGCTGGTCTCGAACTCCTGGCTTCAAGAAATCCTCCTGCCTCAACCTCCCAAAGTGCTAAGATTACAGGTGTGAGCCACTGCACCCAGCCTATACATATATATATATATATATATATATATATATATTTTTTTTTTTTTTTTTTTTTTTTTTTTGAGATGGAGTCTCGGTCTGTCGCCCAGGCTGGAGTGCAGTGGCGTGATCTCGGCTTACTGCAAGCTCTGCCTCCCGGGTTCCCGCCATTCTCCTGCCTCAGCCTCCCAAGCAGCTGGGACTACAGGCACCCGCCACCATGCCCAACTAATTTTTTTGTATTTTTAGTAGAGACGGGGTTTCACCCTGTTTGCCGGGATGGTCTCGATCTCCTGACCTCGTGATCCGCCCACCTCGGCCTCCCAAAGTGCTGGGATTGCAGGCGTGAGCCACCGCGCCCGGCCATATATATCTTTTTAACTGACTCTGATTACCAGCCAAGTTTGGAAATAGCTCTAAGGAAATTCTTCCTGATCCGTCCCTGAAAATAACCCACCATCACCAAAAACATTCCTCCTCTCAGCCCTCAATTCAATGTGTGAGAGGCAAACAAGAAATTCCTCCCAGCCTTTGTCTCTCTCCTACTTACCTGCAAGTGGGCAAGGTGACAGGGCCACACACTTATGTACCACACAGAGCACAGCAGTGGTTAAGGAGGCTACGTGCTGGCTCTCAGGGACCTATCGCCACTGCCAGCTGCAGGCCTCTCTGCTTTTTTGCCCCACTTACTAAACCAGGTTTGGCCTAAGGTGGACCACGGCCTGGACATTATGTTTGTCTGGTCAGCTTGGAATGCCCGGGAGGAGGCATTTCCAGCTGTAAAGGGGAGAGATGCTAAGTGACTGAAGAAGCCTGAGGCCAGAGAGATGAAAGACAGAGGAAAGACCTGAGGTCTATACAGACCTAGAAATTGGACCAACCTGAGCTATAAACTTCCTCAGTCAATGGCATCCTTCCAAAGCCTCAGTAGTCAGGGCCAAGGAAGCACACAGTGGCCACCTCTCTCCAGCAATTCCTATTTCCAGATCTGCTGAGAATCTCCACATAGATGTCCAATGAGCATCTCTAATTCACACGGCCAAAATCAAAGCCACACCTCCTGCCTAAACTTCTTCTTCCTCTAGCATTCTCTATCTTAGTGAAAGGGAATGGCACCACCTTCCATCCAAGCCTGAAACCCGAGGCCTCCTGCTCACTGAGGCTCCACATCTAACTCATCAGTGCCCTATGAGCACTACCTCTGAAAGTTAGTGGGATCTGCCCACTCCCTCTGTCCTGCTACCCAGTCCCAACCGCCATCGTCTCTTACTTGGGCTACTTCAACATCCCCTGGTCAAGAAGCCAGGCTCCAGGCTTTCCCTGCTCCTATGGCTTCTTCACACCATACCCAAAGAGATCCAGCTAAAATGCAAAGACAATTACATCTCTCCCTTGCTTAAAATCTTTCAATGGCTCCTTATCATCCCCTGGATAACATCCAAACTTAATATGAGGTATAAATCCCTTTATTTTCTAATTCTTTAGGTCTTATCTCTCACAATTCCACCCCTCACACGCTTTGATCCAGTTCTACTGCAACTCTTATACTTTCTTTCAAAGCACCAAGCCCTCCTACCTCTACACCTTTGTACATGCTATTTCCTCTTCCTATCCCTTCAAACCTCAACTCTCCCTCGGCCAGGCAATTCCTGCTTATGTGTCAAGTTATGGGTTAAATGCCAGTTCTTCTGGGATGTTCCTTGGGTCCTTTATGCTTTTTCAGTACCCTAAAATGCCACAGTACCTTTCACAGGTATTTCCAAAGCCTGTTGAATTATCTGTCTTCCTTTTTTTTTTTTAGAGGCAAGGTCTCAGGCTGGTCTTAAACTCCTGGTATTGAGCAATCTTCCCGCCTCGGCCTCCCAAAGTGCTGAGATCACAGGTGTGAGCACCATGTCCAGCCTGTCTTCTTGATGACAGAGGATCATATCTGTATTCTTCATCCTTACATGCGCAGCATGTGACATACAGCAAACATTCAATACATAACTGAATGCATGAATAGAAGCATGGCTGTGTACTCAGTACTCACAGGCTTTGAAAAAAAGTGAAGACCCAGTTCCTACATTCAAGAGTTTACCGATGAAGACAACCTAGATCACCTTCATCCTTCACCCACAAAAACACCCCTAAGAGCCAGGTAACACTGACCCTGTCTAATGCAAAATCAAGATCATTAACTCGGGACATGATAAATCACTTGCCAGAGGCTACCAGCTGACCTGGCTGTGATTCTCACACGAGGCTTGGGTTCACTCTACCTACTCATTACCCAGCTCAAGCCAACACCTGCTTCTGCCCTACTTGCAAGTCCCAAGCAGAAAGAGTGCAACCAGAACACATATGGAAACAGGAATGAGCTGAGGGATGGTGGTTGGTGGCAGAGAAGAACTCATAGTGAACTAATGGAACTAACGGTGCTGGGCTCAGTGCTGGCATCTCTGTAGGACCCTGCCCTGCCAAAAGGCACAGATAGTGAGATTTCAACCTGCACAACCTGCAGATGGTACTAATTGATACATGTTCCAGCTTAAACTACTTCTGTCTGCTCAGCAGCTGCTCTCAAGAGTATGGGCTGGAAAGAGGTTCATACCCTTCCTCCTTGATCTGATGGTAACTACACAGAGGCAACATCAAACATGCATTTAACTTGGGAAAATTAAACCATGGGTCCTTGCACAATCAATAAAGAGAGGGACAGAAAGATTATCCTCTGACAGCATGAGCAACTCAGAACTGGGTGAGATTCTAGTGCTGAGAGATTTGGACTTTCCACACAGCTGGCTCCTAAACTCAAGTCTCATTTTGGGTGGTGCTCAAAGCAATCTTGCTTAATCTCACTTTGGTGTTCTTTTTATTATTATTATTATTATTTCAGTCTTTTGCATGAATGTAACTTTAAAATTACAATTATTTTATCTTCTATGTATACCCATTCTTATATATGAGTATACATGTAACACATGTATGCAAACATCGTAAAAGAAGTGTATATGCAAAACCACATCCACCTTACACTATGGTAATCTGCAGAGTTTTCAAAGCCACTGTTGTTTACACATGATTTCTGTCTAATGTGCTGTGCTGACTTTAGAACCTGATCCCCAAAAAGGATGCAGCTCTTCCTCATGGGTACCATGGATACCATCCTCCAAGTTCCTCCTCCAGCATCTGCACCAAGCCAGGAACCTTATGGCCTTGTCCAACATCTGACAAAGGCCGAGAACTTGTCAATGACAGGCGGCCTACATACACTCCCTACATTAGGGTCCTCACCAGCCCCCTGGGCAGAGCTAAGAGATGGGGTACCCCAGCCCTGTCAAAAGAGGGAGGCTCCCAGTTCTGCTCCTGGCTCCTGGTTTTCTTTTCTTTTTCCCAGGACAGTTTTAGAATCATACTGGCTAGAAGCGAGGGCTGATAAGGCCAGCTCCCTTCCTCAGCACCCTCCAAGCCTCATCTAGAAAAGTGACAGGTGGGGGAGAGTATACTCCACACTGCTAAGGAAGGACATTTGGGTTCAGTGTGCAGTTTTTCAGACTCTGCCACTCCAGTGAGGGGGCTTTGGGACTTCAAACCACCATGGAAGTGTCCACAGGCTCTCAACACTCCAGACTTAAGCGTCCTTCCACAGCCCTGACCAGCCTCGGTAACCAAATTTCCAAAGAAAACACAAATAACTGTTAGAAAGGTCTTATTCCTTCATAACCTCCTGCATGCGTCAGAGGGCCGGTTTTTCAGATGCACAAACTGAATGAAATCTCCCGTGAAAGCCAGACAAGATCACAGTTCTCTAGGCTTCATTCCTGTCTCCCAAATCAAGATTTCCAGAACTTTCTGGTTACCTTTTAATAATTCATCACTAGGGAGGTTTCTTTTCCTTCAAAACTTCACTCGATCATGTCCCCCTACCCTTCCCTCCAAATGTCTAAACCTCTTCCTCCGTCATCCCTCCCCTTTTCCTCTCCAACTCCAATTTCCCCAGGGTCTTCAACACCTCCTTGAATCCCCCGGCACCCTGCTTCCAGAATAGGTGGAGCATCTCCTCTTCTTACAAAATGTCTTTTCCCGTGGCTTAGAGCCACCTCCTCACGGGCCCCTCATCCCCGCCATCCTTTGCTCACCCACCAGCTCAGGCCCTTTGTGACCCGCTTCGTCAACTTCCTTGCCCTCCTTTTCCCATGACCGAGGGTCCCATCCTGCACGTAACCTGCCCCCAAAGTTTCGGGATCTGTCCCTCCAACTCTCCCGGGTGCTGTCCCCGCCCTCTCCAAAACTCAGGCCTGAGCCTGTTCTTTCCAAGGGTGCCCCCATCTTACCGCGGCACCTCCCGCCCCCCAGACCCGGCTCCGCCGCACTTACCCGACCAGAGCACGAGCTTGCCGTGCGCTTCCTCCTGGGAGTCCGAGTCTCCGGCCAGCAGTGTGGAGGTGGCCCCGTAGGGCAGCACCGAGCCCAGGCACACGTTGTAGCGCAGCGGCTCGCAGGGGGCAGCCCGGCCGCAGTGGCTCAGCGGCGGCGGAGGGCCAGTCACCGCCGCGCTCCTCCTCGCGCTCCCGCCCGCGCTCCGAGGCCCAGGCCCGGTCGCGTTCCCGCTCGAGGCCGCCCCCCGGCCCGGGTCCCCCAGCAGCAGCAGCAGCAGCAGCCCCAGGAGCGGGAGCTCCGGCCCCCGCGCTGGGCGGGCAGCGGCCATGGCCAACCCCGCCAACTCAGCAAAAGCCCCGGCGCCCCCGCCTGCTCCTCGGAGCCCCCCGGCCACACGCACGACCTCGGCGGCCGCGGAGGCGGCTCAGGCGACCTGTGCGCCCAGAGAATCCGGGCCCGGGCCCCCCCGGACGCTCCGCGCGCCCCGGCCCCTCGGCGCCCAACTTCGCAAACTTTGGAACCCGGGGCCCATGTTGGGCTGCGGAGGCCCGGAACGGGATGCACGACTCCCCAAGCCCTAGCCTCGCAATCCAAGTTGTCTTCAGCCCTAGGAGACCCCTGGGCCCCCAATCCCCAGCCCCATTCCCTCTCCCACCATTAAAGCCACCTCCCCGCCCCGCGAGGGAGGCCAGACGCGGGCCGGGGGTGCGAGTGCAGCTCCGGCTCCGCCCCCGCGCCAGCCCGCGGCCCAGCAGCCACCTTCGCCCCAGCGCGCCGCAGCCCCCCGAACTCTCCCCGCCGGCGACCCGGCTCCTTTGTTGCTCTAGCTCGCTGGGCTCTCTGGAATGCACGGGCCTCGCGGAGCCAAGCCCGGCCCCCCTGCGCCGAGGCTGGGGGAGGGACTGGACGAAGGAGCGGAGAGGTGGGGAGGGGAGGCGAGAGAGGAAGAGCGCGAGCGTCAGCGTCCCTGGCGCCTGGAGGGGCCCGGGCTAGGGGGATCTGGTGACCCCGCCTGCCGCCGCCCCGCGCCCGGGGGAAAGAGATGAGTGGAAATCGTGGGCCGGACCTGCAAGGAGAGACTCGGCGGGCACCTTGCTTGGTCTGAGGTCGTCTGCAGGAAGCGGACTTTTCTCCTGGCTCAGGATGGGAAAGACAGGGGATGCCTGAAGTCAACGGGGACTTCTGTTCCATCTCTGCCCCGTTCTCCAGGCCCGCCAGTTTTTCCTGCTTTGGTTAGATTTTCCAACGTATCCCGGGGCCCCATGGAGAAGAACCTGGGTTTGGGGTTTGCGCTTCTCCAAATCCTTCCAGCTCGGGACCTTTGAGAGAGACGACCTCAGAGTCACTCACGGCAGCTGCTCTGGCTGCTGTTACCTGCGGGAACAGGTGTCTGGGAAATAAACTTGCCAACATCAAGCCTTTACTGCTACAAATATGTGAAGTCTGAACTGTGGTTCCCAGGGACTGGCCTTGGTTATGTGAGAAGGAAACCAGTCCTTCTTTGATGGCCCTGCTGCTCATCTGCTCTGGGAGGTTTCTGCTGCTCCTCTTCCCCACTCTGCTCATTTTGCCTTTCCTCACTCCTTTGAGCATCACACTTTTGGTCACCACACTTAATTTCCCACTTCAGCAGTTTACACCTGCACAACCAAGTATAACCCAGCATAACCACAAGGCTCCAAACAGGAGAGTAGACTTGCACTGAGCAACTTTTTCCTTGTTGCTGATCGGGCTGCACACCAGGGTGGGTTTTCCTTTCTTACCCCTGGAAGACTTGCTCATGGCCTAGCGGTAGTGGACTAGTTCTGTTACTTTGGACAGTTTAAGTGCATATTAGTTATTGCACTTCAACTATATCAATTGGAGAGAGAGAGAGAATTTAATTCAATTTAGCAAGTCTTTCTGAAATTCCAGCATGTACATAGCACAGAGACATCCTGGAGGAACCTGTAGACTTCCATTTTCCTGTGGATACATGGCTTGCTCTCAGGAAACATAGCATGACAGAACAGCAACGTTCCCTCCTTCAGGTCAGGGACCTTATCTCATTCTCTTAGTGTTCACAAAACATCTAGTTCACTTGAGCATACATAGTAATCACTTGATAAATAAGCTGCCAAAATGAGATGTACCGTGAGTATGCTATAGGAATAGGGGACAGAGGTCAGTGTGGATAGAAGTGGAGGAGGTGGGTTTTGAATCCAGGACTAAAGTGTGAGTAGGAGGAGTTAGAATAAGGACATAGATAAGTAGGGAAACTGATTGGTAAGAAGCCTCAAATAACACACAGAATTAAGGGTCAATTCTCTTGATAGTAAGGAAATCTCAAAGTTTTGACTAGGGGAATGATATTAATCTTTACTGGTTAATATTAGGTGATATGGTTTGGATCTGCATCCCCACCCAATCTCATGTTGAATTGTAATCCTCAGTGTTGGAGGTGAGGCCTGGTGGGAGGTAACTGGATCACGGAGGCAGTTTCTCATGAATGGTTTAGCACCATCCTCCTCGTGCTGCTCTCACGATAATGAGTGAGTTCTCACGAGGATTGTTTAAAGGGTTTGGCACCTCCCCGCTTCTTCCTCCTGCTCCTGCCATGTAAGATGTCTCGCTCCCCCTTTGCCTTCCACCATGATTAGAAGTTTCCTGAGGCTTCTCCAGGAGCAGAAGCTGCTATGATTCCTGTATAGCCTGCTGAACTGTGACCCAATTAAACTTCTTTTCTTTATAAATTACCCAGTCTGAGGTATTTTTTTTTTTTTTCAGACGGAGTCACGCTCTGTCGCCCAGGCTGGAGCACAGTGGTGTGATCTCAGAGCACAGCAGTGTGATCTCGGCTCACCTCAACCTCCACCTCCCAGGTTCAAATGATTATCCTGCCTCAGCCTCCTGAGTAGCTGGGATTACAGGCACATGCCACCACGCCAGGCTAATTTTTGTATTTTTAGTAGAGACGAGGTTTCACCATGTTGCCCCGGCTGGTCTCAAATTCCTGACCTCAAGTGATCCACCCACCTCAGCCTTCCAAAGTGCTGTGATTACAGGTGTGAGCCACTGCACCTGACCAGTCTCAGGTATTTCTTTATAGCAATGCGAGAACAGACTAATACATAAGGCAACATGAGGATGGCATGAAGTGCAAGAGGCTGGAGACAAGGGACCATTTTAAGGAAAGTCTCTGGTGACTTATGGAAGAAGTGAAACTAGACTATGTCATCAGGGCATAATATTCCTACTGGAAAAATAATTTGAAATGTTATGACCTACTTCAGTTATTTCTTTCTGTGACATAATAAAATGGCTGTTATAACATGTCTAAGTCCAAGCTGTAGAGAAAGCTGCCTTGGAGCCTGATAGCACACCCGATGCTTTGCTTTGTGAACTATCTGCACTTATTTTCTATTTGATTGTGTGTGTGTGTTGTTTTGTTTGTTTTTGCTTTTCTCTTTACCTTCCTGAGTGAGCAAGAGTAAAATATCTGGTTGTGGCAGTCTCGAAGCCCTGTGGGATTTTCCTAATATTTCATGTATTAGGGAAGAACTTACACATGTGCTCAGGCAGGCCCTTATTTCTCTACTCCAAATGTCAGTAGGTAATTCTTCAAGGATATAGGCTCTCCCATTTCTTGTGTGAGGTTTCTCAGGAAGTATGAGGAAGATTCGCATTGTGGGAATATAATACCTTCACATTGGAGATAGCAGAGGTAAATTGAGGCTATCCTAAGACACTATCTTCCAGCCAGAATGCTCTTCCCTTCTTGAGGGGAGAATATACCATAAGTTCTCAATTCTGTGTGTGTGTGTGTTTGTGTGTGTGTGTGTGTACACTCATGCACACATGTGCTCCTATTCATCAGACTTCAGTATTCCCTTGTGGGAATCCTGCTGGCCTAGCAAAGGGTAGCAGGAAGGCAGACTGAGAAAATGCTGCTAGTACTGTCCACAGCTATCAGGCCACGTTCCCATTAGTGACAGCTGCAGCGATGTGCTATCTCCTAGATATAGAAGGAAGTAGAAAGAGATTCAGGAATCCTGTCATTTGAGAGAAGGAAACTGTTCAGTGGGGACTGGGGAGAGGGAATTTCCCAGTCGTTCGTGAATGGTATTCAGGTTCCTGGAGAAAGTTCATGCATCCCCTCCTGTAGACATACAAGACTGCCAGTGTCTGTTAGACTACGCAGAGTGACTTGGCACACTCAGGTCTCCAGCCTGGTGGCAGGCTGCAAAGTGCTTCTCTCCCAAGCAAGCCTGAGCCACACCCCACCCAGTTCCTCAAGAGTCTTAGCCTCAACTGCATGTCCTAACACAATCCTTTTCTCAGGGATGAGAGGCTGTCCTGTGTTGACAATGCATTTCAGTACTTGATTTGTTACAAGTAGCTTCTTGATTTCTGAGTCATTCTCATAAAGTATTTTGGCATTTTGAGGTCACAAATTCAATGTTGACTGTCATTTGCCTGTGGGCCCTCCAGTCAAAGAGGGTTGATGTGAACGTATCCATGGGTATCACTGAGACCATGGCTGCCTCCTGTGGTTCAGTTGTTACACTGGCAAAATTCGGAACATAACTGTTGCAGTGCTCCAATTTTTTTTTTTTTTAGATGGAGTCTTGCTCTGTTGCCCAGGCTGGAGTGCAGTGGTGCGATCTCAACTCACTGCAAACTCCGCCTCCTGGGTTCAATCGATTCTCCTACCTCAGCCTCCGGAATAGCTGGGATTACAGACTTCTGCCACCATGCCCAGCTAATCTTTGTATTTTCAGTAGAGATGGGGTTTCACCATGTTGGCCAGGCTGCTCTCCAACTCCCGACCTCAGGTGATCTGCCCACCTCGGCCTCCCAAAGTGCTGGGATTACAGGTGTGAACCACCACACCCGGCTGTGCTCCAGTTCTTTCTTTTCCCAGTGCTTCCTATTTTGCAATTAAGAGCATTGAGTCAAAGGGAAAGGGCAAAATGGTAAAGGGGCCCAATAAGCAACCTCTTCAGAGAGACAGCACGATAGATTCAGAATTAAGAGCCCTGAGTTGGGCCTTACTAGCCATGCACCTTTGAGCAACTTATTCTGAGCCTCAATTTCTTCCCTCCCAAAAATGAGAAAATTATCCGTTGTGTTTCTATATACCAGTGATGAATAACCTGAAAGGGAAATTAAAACAGTAATACCATTTACAATAGCATCTAAAATAATTAAATACGGCTGGGTGCGGTGGCTTATGCCTGTAATCCCAGCACTTTGGAAGGCCAAGATGGGTGGATCACAAGGTCAGGAGTTCGAGACCAGCCTGACCAACATGGTGAAAGCCCGTCTCTACTAAAAATATAAAAATTAGCTGGGCGTGGTGGTGGGTGCCTATAATCCCAGCTACTTGGGAGGCTGAGGCAGGAGAATTGCTTGAACCCGGGAGCCGGATGTTGCAATGAGCTGAGATTGCGACACTGCACTCCAGCCTGGGCAACAGAGCGAGAGTCCGTCTCAGAAAAAAAAAAAAAGAATTAAATACTTGTGAATAAATCTAACCAAGGAGGTAAAAGACTCATATACTGAAAAGTACAAAATGTTGCTTACAGAAATTAAAGAAGTCCTAAATAAGTGAAAGGACATTTCGTATTCAAGGATAGGAAGATTTAACAGTGTTAGTCAATATAATTCAAATTGATCTACAGATTTAGCACAATCCTTATCAAAATTCCAACAGCCTCTTTTTCAGAAATGGAAAAGCCAGTCCTCAAGTTTATATGAAATTGCAAGGAGAGCTGAATAGCCAAAACAATCTTAAAAAAAAGGACTCACACTTCTTCCCAACTTCAAAATATACTGTGAAGCTACAGTAATTAAAACACCATGGCCAGACACGGTGGCTCACGCCTGTAATCCCAGCACTTTTGGAGGCCGAGGTGGGTGGATCACTTGAGATCAGGAGCTGGAGACCAGCCTGGCCAACATGGACAACTTGTCTCTACTAAAAAATAAAAAATAAAAAATAAAAAATAGCCAGGCATGGTGGTGCGTGTCTGTAATCCCAGCTACTCAGAAGGTTGAGGCAGGAGAATCGCTTGAACCTGGGAGGCAGAGGTTGCAGTGAGCCGAGATTGCACCACTGCACTCCAGTCTGGGCAACAGAGTGAGACTCCGTCTCAAAACAAAACAACACTATACTACTTGCATAAGGGCAGAAATACAAGTCAATAGAAGAGAATAGAGAGCCTAGAGGTAAACCCTCACATATGTGGCCAATTGGTTTTCGACAAGGGTGCCAAGCCCAATGAAAAAAAGACACACTTTTCTTTCTTTCTTTTTTTTTTTTTTTGAGGCGGAGTCTCACTCTGTCACCCAGGCTGCAGTGCAGTGGCGCGACCTCGGCTCACTGCAATCTCCGCCTCCTGGGTTCACGCCATTCTCCTGCCTCAGCCTCCTGAGTAGCTGTGACTACAGGCACCCGCCACCACGCCCAGCTAATTTTTTGTATTTTTAGTAGAGACGGGGGTTCACCGCGTTAGCCAGGATGGTCTCGATCTCCTGACCTCGTGATCCGCCCGCCTTGGCCTCCCAAAGTGCTGGGATTACAGGCATGAGCCACCTCGTCCGGACAAAAGACAGTCTTTTCAACCAGTAGAACTGGGGAAACTGCATATACACACGCAAAAGAATGAAGTTGGACCCTTAGCTTAAACGACATTCAAAAATTAACTCAAAATTAATCAAAGGCCTAAATGTAAAAACGAAATCTATGAAACTCCTAAAAGAAAGCATTGGGGAAAATCTGCATGACATTGAATTTGACAATGATTTTGTGGATATGATACCAAAAGCACAGGCAACAAAAGAAAAATTAGTTAAACTGAGCAGCCGGGCGTGGTGGCTCACACTTGTAATCCCAGCACTTTGGGAGTCCAGGGCGGGTGGATCACTTCAGGTCAGGAGATCGAGACCAGCCTGGCCAACAGAGTGAAACCCTGTGTCTACTAGAAATACAAAAATTAGCCAGGCATGGTGGCACCCACCTGTAGTTCCAGCTACTTGGAAGACTGAGGCAGAAGAATTGCTTGAACCCAGGAGGCAGAGGTTACGGTGAGCTGAGATTGCACCACTGCACTCCAACTTGGGCAACAGAGACTCCATCTCAAAAAAAAAAAAAAAAGACTATATAAAAGAAAAAATAGAGAAATTGGACTTCCTCAAAATTAAGAACTTTTGTGCATCAAAGGATACTGTCAAGAAAGCAAAAAGACAACCTTTAGAATGGGAGAAAATACTTATGAAACGTATGTCTGATGAGACATCATATCCAGAATATATAAGGAACTCCTGAAATTCAGTAACAATAAAAAGAGAAACAACCCAACTAAAAAGGGGGCAAAGACTTGAATAGACATCTTTCCAAAGAAGATACACAACTAGCTAATAAACACATGAAAAGATGCTCAACATCATTATCCATAAGGAAAATGCAAATCAAAACCATTGTGAGGTACCACTTCACATTTATTAGGATGATTATAGATTTTTTTTCTTTTTTGAGACAAAGTCTCACTCTGCCCCCAGCCTGGAGTGCAGTGGTGCAATCTTGGCTCACTGCACCCTTCGCCTCCCAGGTTCAAGCAATTCTCCTACCTCAGCCTCCTGAGTAGCTGGGATTCTAGGTGCGCGCCACCATGCCCGGCTAATTTTTTTTTTTTTTTAGTAGAGATGGAGTTTTCACTATGTTGGCCAGGCTGCTCTTGAACTCCTGACCTCAAGTGATCTGCCCACCTTGGTCTTCCAAAGTGTTGGGATTGCAGGCGTGAGCCACCATGCCCAGCCAGGATGATCATAATTAAAGCAAGCAGAGAAAATAACAAGTATTGGTGAAGATGTGGATATATTGGAACCCTCATGCATTACTGGTGGAAATGCACAATGGAGCAGCTGCTGTGGAGGACATTTTGGTGGTTTCTCAAAAGGCTAAACATAAAACTAACATGTGATCCAGCAATTCCACCCCTAGGTATATGTAATCTGAAAGAATTGAAAGTGGAGACTTGAAGAGATATTTGTACATCAATGTTCACAGCAGTATTACTCACAATAGCTAAAGGGTGGGAGTAACCCAAGTATCTATCAATGGATGAATGGATAAACAAAACGTGGTATATCTATAATAATGGAATATTACTAAGCCGTAAAAAGAATGAAATTTTGATATATGGATAACATGGATGGACCTTGAAAACAATATGTTTAGTGAAATAAGCCAGACACAAAAGAACAAATATTGTGTGATTCCACTGATTTCAGGTGCCCAGAACAGGCAAATTCATAGAAATAGAAAATAATAGAAGTTTCCAGGGGCTGGGGAAAGTGGTAAAAGGGAGTCTATTGTTTAACAGGTACAGAGTTTTTGTTGAGGATGATGAAAGAGTTTTGGCTATAGATGGTGATGGTTATGCAACATCATGAATATATTTAATGCCACTGAACTGTAAATTTACAAATACTTAAAATAATAAATATGGACGCCAGGCACGGTGGCTCATGCCTGTAATCCCAGCACTTTGGGAGGCCAAGGTGGGTGGATCATCTGAGGTCAGAGGTTTGAAACCAGCCTGGCCAATGTGGTCAAACCCCATATCTACTAAAAATACAAAAATTAGCCAGGCATGGTGGCATGTGCCTGTAGTCCCAGCCACTTGGAAGGCTGAGGCAGAAGAATCACTTGAACTCAGGAGGCAGAGGTTACAGTGAGCCGAGACAGAGCAAGACTCTGCCTCAAAAAATAGTAACAATAATAAATATTATGTTAGATATACTTTACTACAATTTTTTAAGAAAGAAAAAAGGGAAAAAACAAGTGTATTTTTACTTAGCTGTAAGGAGTCTAATGAAGATTAGTGCGAAGTAACATGGAAAAGCTTGGTTCTTACGTGCTTAAGAACTACTGGTTTCACTTACCTTTTCTTTCTTCTCCAACATCCATCTTATGGTACCATCTCAGTGGTTTCTGGAATTCCAACTAGTTGCCAACATTGTAGAAATGTGGCTGGTTTGGGAAAGGTAATCTTATCCCATACCAGTCTGTGACTGCAAACTGAGATATTAGGTTTCAGGTCTTTTCTGGGTAGTGACAGTTCTTTTTTTTTTTTTTTTTCAGATGGGGTCATATATTGCCTAGTCTGCTCTCAAGCTCTTTGGCTCAAATGATACCCCCTCACCACCTCAACCTTCAAAATTGCTGGGTCTACAGGTGCAAGGTCACTGTGCTGGCTGACAGTTCTGTTTTCATACTGAAGAATGTAGTTCTCTTCTCAGTAAATGGCACCACTGTTCACCCAGCTGCACGGGCCAAGATCCTTGGAGCCATATATGCCTCTTCTCTTTCTCTAACATCTCACACCGAGTCATCAGCAAATCCTGACAGCTACACCTTCAAAATATATCTAGACTCCAATTACTCCTTGTCCCCTTCACACTGCCACCCTCTTCTGAGCTACAGTCACTTGTCCTCTGGGCCACTCCAAGAGCTAACAGCTTTCCTGTTTCCCCTTACCCTCCTACAACCAATTCTGCATTCAGGCGCCAGGGTCATCCTTCTAAAATATGTCTGACTATATCGTTCTTGTGTTCAACACTCTGATGGCATTTCATCACACTTAGAGTAAAATTTCAATTTCTCATCAGGACTTCACCAACGTCCCGCTAACCCCTGGCAACCTCCTGGATCTCATTTGCTCACACCACCTTGAACATGCTGTCCTTTTTACTGATTAATGGGTACAGTTTTTGCTGTGTGTCCTTACACACACCAAGCAAGCACTTGCCTCAGGATCTTGGCACTCAGGCTTATTCTTATGTTCTCATTTAGGTCCATTCAAATACCCTTTCTCAAGAAGGCATTCCTAACAAACTGCTCCAAAGAAAATGAAATACTTGACTGGGCACAATGGCTCATGCCTGTAATCTCAGCACTTTGGGAGGCCGAGGTGGGTGGATAACCTGAGGTCAGGAGTGCAAGACCAGCCTGGCTAACATGGTAAAACCCCATCTCTACAAAAATACAAAAATTAGCTGGGCATGATAGCAGGTGCCTGTAATCCCAGCTACTGGGGAGGCTGAGGTAGGAGAATCACTTGGACCCAGGAGGCAGAGGTTGCAGTGAGCCGAGATCATGCCATTGCACTCCAGCCTGGGCAAAAGAGTGAAACTTGTCTCAAAAAAAAAAAAAAAAGAAAGAAAGAAAGAAAGAAAGAAAAAAAAATGAAATACTTAAGTACAAATCTAACAAAATTTATAAAGAATCTATATGATGAAAATTATAAAATGGGGATGAAAGAAATCAAAGGCAACCTAAATCCTTGGAGAGGCATACTATGTTCATGAATCAAAAGATCAAACATAGCAAAGATGTCACTTTCCCCTAGGTTGATTCCCTAAGCCTCTAGGTTTAACAAAATTCCTATCAAAATCTCAAGTTTTGAGAAAGAAAGAAAACAAGTTTCTCTGTAGACATAGACAAGCTTATTCCAAAACTAATATGGAAAGTGAAAGGCCTTGCTCAATTTTTGACAAAGATTAAAGTGGGAGGAATCGCTGGCTGATATTAAGGCTGACTATATAGTTACAGCAATCAAGACAATGTGGTACTGGTAGAAAGATAGACACATAGATCAATGTAGCAGAATAGAGAACCCAGAAATATGCCCACATATATGGCCAATTAGTTTTTGACAAAGCAGCAAAAGCAGTTCAATGGTGGAGGAGAACTTTTTCAATAAATGGTGCTAGAGCAATTACATATCCATATGCAAAAAAATAAAAATAAAATAAAACTCTATGTAAACCTCACACACCTTAAACAAAAATTAACTCAAAACAAATCATGCACTTAAATGTAAATATAAAACTTCTAAAAAACACATAGAAAATCTTCAGGACTCATACCAGGCAAAGAGTTCTTAGACTTGATACCAAAAGCACAACCCAGAGCCAGGCACAGTGATGCACACCTGTAGTCCCAGCTACCAGAAGGCTGAAGCAGGAGGATTACTTGAGCTCAGGAGTTCAAGGCTGCAGTGCTCCATTATTGCAGCTGTGAACAGCCACTGCACTCCAGCCTGGGCAACATAGACCTTATCTCTAAAGAAGTTAAATAAAAGTAAAATAAAAAATAAAAAGCAAAACCGGAAGAGGAAAAATTGACAAATTGTATCTCATCAGAATCTGAAACTTTTGCTCTGCAAAAGACACTGTTAAAAGAATAAAAAGACAAATTAAATACTGGGAGAAGATATTTGTAAATTGCATGTCCAAAAAAAGCCTTGTATCTAGAACACGCAAAGAACTTGAAAACAGTACTTAAAAAAACAAACAATCCAATTAGAAAACGGGAAAAAGACACGCACAGGCATTTTACCAAAGAGAATATATAGGTGGCAAATAGACCCATGAAAAGATGTTCAGTATCATTAGCCATTAGAGAAATGCAAATTAAACCATAATGAGATATTACCACATGCTGATCAAAATGACTAAAATAAAAAATTGTGGGCCAGGTGCGGTGGCTCATGCCTGTAATCCCAGCACTTTGGGAGGCCAAGGCGGGCAGATCACAAGGCCAGGAGATCGATCGAGACCATCCTGGCTAACACGGTGAAACCCCGTCTCTACTGAAAATACAAAAAATTAGCTGGGCATTGTGGCACATGCCTGCAGTCCCAGCTACTCAGGAGGCTGAGGCAGGAGAATCACTTGAACCCAGGAGGCGGAGGTTGCAATGAGCCGAGATCACACCACTGCAGTCCAGCCTAAGCGACAGAGTGAGACTGTGTCTAAAAAAAAAAAAAAAAAAAAGTAGTGATGAACACCAAATGCTGGCAATGCTGCGGAGAAACTGAGTCATTCGTATAGTGCTGGGGAACATAAAATGATAGAGCCACTCTGGAAAACAATTTGTCAGTTTCTGGAAAAAACATATATACCATACGACCCAGCAGTCACATTCCTGGGCATCTCTCCAAGAGAAATGAAGGCTTATTTTCACGCAGGAACTTGTACACAAATGGTCGTGGCAGTTTTATTTGTAATAGCTCAAAACTGGAAACCAACCAAATGTCCTTTAATGGGTGAGTGGTTAAACAAACTGTAGTTTATCCATACCATGGAATAATACTCAGAAATAGAAAAGAACAAACTATTGATACACGCAACAACTCGGATGGCGCTCAAAGAAATTATGCTGAGTGAAAAAAGCCAGTCTCAAAAGGATAACTACTGCATGATTCCATTTCTGTAACATTCATGAAATAACATAATTATAGGGGTGGAGAACAGATTGGTGGTTGCCGGAGGTTAGTGACGGTGGGGAGGAATGGGTGTGGCTATGAAGGGGTAACACCAATGTGTCTTGTGATGATGGCACAGTTGAGCATTTTTTTGTAGCAGTTTCATGGAGATGTAATTCACATATACTCCAGTTGAGTATACCTTGATTGTAGTGGTGATTACACAAAACTACATGTGATAAAATTACATAGAGCCATGCACACATATGCAAATAAGTGCATGTATGATTACTGAAATCCAAATAAGTTCTATACATTGTAGCAGTGTCAATTCCTTGGTTCTGATAATGTATCATACTGTAATTGTAGAAGATGTTAACACTGGGTGAGGTTGGGAAAAAGAGCATGGGACTTCCCTTGCATTTCTTTGCAACCTTCTGTGAGTCTGTAATTATTTAACAACAAAAAAAAAATTAAACTTTTTTAAAAAAGTGCCTTGTAGTCCCAGCACCTCATGAAGCTGAGGCAGGAGGAGTGCTTGAGCCCAGGAGTTTGAAGTCAGCCTAAGAAACACAGCAAGACCAAGACCATGTCTCTAAAAAAAACAAAAAACAAAAAATGTCTCATAAAAAATTGCACTCCCTCCATCACTCTCTATCCTCTCAACTTGCTTTATTTTTCTTCATTGTCTATATCTTCATAGCCTGTATCTGACTTTATAGTATATGTAATGGATAAGCTATAACATATATTTGCATACATCTGTCTCCTCCAGTAGAATGTAAACTTAGGAGGGGCAAGCATTTGTTATGTTCTCTCCCTGGTGCTAGAATGGCACCTGGCACACTGCATTTGTTGAGTGAATGTGTGGGTGTACCTGGCTTCCTACAGGTGTCTATTTCATTTATTGTATCTATACAAAAATTAACCTTATAGCCCCCTGCCAGAAACATTACTTTTATTAAGGTATTCACCCCAGACTCTCAGTTCAGAGGAGATTTCACATTTCTTTCTCTTTCTTTCTTTCTCTTTCTTTCCTTCCTTCTTTCCCTTTTCCCTCCCCTCCCCTCCCCTCCCCTCCTCTCCGCTCCCCTTCCCTCCCCTCCTCTCCTCTCACCTTCCCTTCCCTCTTTCCTTCCTTTTTTTTTTTTTTTTTTTTTTTGATAGGGTCTTCCTCTGCCACCCAGACTGGAGTGCAGTGGTGCAACCATGGGTCACTGCAGCCTCAACCTCCTGGGCTCAAGGAATTCTTTTGCCTCAGCCTCTTCAGTAGCTGGGACTACAGGTGCTTGCCACTAGGCTCACCTAATTTTTAAAACTTTTTTGCAGAAAGGGGGTCTTCCTATATTACCCAGGCTAGTCTCAAACTCCTGGGCTCAAGTCATCCTCCCGTCTTTGCTCCCTAAAGTGCTGGGATTATAGGTGTGAGCCACTGTGTCTGGCCACCACATTTTTTCAAATAGCCTTTTTCTGGTAATTACATTTTCATAAAGGCATTTTTTTTTTCTTTTTTTTGGAGACAGACTGTCTCTGACGCCCAGGCTGGAGTGCAGTAGCACACAAACATGGCTCACTACAGCCTCCTTGACCTCCTGGGCTCAAGTGGTCCTTCCACCTCAGCCTCCCATCTAGCTGGGACCACAGGTACATACCATCGTGCCTGGCTAAATTTTTTATTTTTTTCTTGTAGAGATGGGGTCTCCCTGTGTTGCCCAGGCTAGTCTTGAACTCTCAGGCTCAAGTGACCCTCCAACTTCAGCCTCCCAAATTGCTGGGATTATAGGTATGACCCACCATGCCCAGCTGTAAATGAAATTCTTTAGTGGGAAATACATATTTCACCCAATTCTGTTTATTCTTCCCTGGCTCCAATGAGGCCTTTGGGAGTATGTACTCATTTGAAGTCTTTCTGGGAGAGTTAAAACGTCTGCTATGAGAAGGCAGCTAAATAAAGGTCCTTGAATGTCACTGAATTGACCCTATGTTCCTCAAAAAGAGCTTCAGCCTGAATTGTTGAAATTAAGCAATTTTGTAAGAAAAAGAAACAGTACCAGTGGCTCACACCTGTAATCCCAGCACTTTGGGAGGCCGAGGCAGGCAGAACACAAGGTCAAGAGATTGAGACCATCCTGGCCAACATGGTGAAATCCCGTCTCTACTAAAAATACAAAAATTAGTTGGGCGTGGTGGCATGTTCCTGTAGTCCCAGCTACTTGGGAGGCTGAGGCAGGAGAATCACTTGAACCCAGGAGGCAGAGGTTGCGTAAGTGGAGATTGTGCCACTGCACTCCAGCCTGGTGACAGAGTGAGACTCCGTCTCAAAAAAAAGAAAAAGAAACAGTACAAAGAAATGCTTGGTCATCTATCTTACTACAAATGGTCATAATATAGTCTATTGTGCATCTGTGGTTGGCAAAATAATATGCCCTCAAGATATCCATATCCTAATCCCCAGGACCTGTGAATATATTACCTCATATGGCAAAAGGGACTTTGCAAATGGTGTGATTAAGGTTACATTCCTCGAGATGGGGAAAGTATCTTAGATTATGCAGATGGGCCCAACCTAATCACAGGAGTGAAGAATCTTTCCTGGCCGCAGAGAGACAGTAGTGTGAGAAGTACCTGCCCTGCCCTTGCAGGCTTGGAAGATGGAGGATGGGGCCGCCAACCAAGGAAAGCAGGTAGCCTCAAGAAGGAGGAAAAGACAAAGAAATGTATTGTCCCTGGAATCTCCAGCAAGGAATGCAACCCTGCTGATGCCTTGGTTTTAACCCAGTGAGACTCATAGCACACTTCTGACCAACAGAACGTAAGATAAAAAATTTGTGTTGCTTTTTTTTTTTTTTTTTTTTTTTGAGATGCAGTCTCACTCTGTCGGCCAGGCTGGAGTGTAGTGGCATGATCTTGGCTCACTGCAACCTCTGCCTCCTGCGTTCAAGTGATTCTGTCTCAGCCTCCCAAGTAGCTGGGATTACAGACATGTGCCACCACACCTAGCTAACTTTTATACTTTTAGTAGAGACAGGGTTTCGCCATGTTGGCCAGGCTGGTCTCAAACTCCTGACCTTAGGTGATCCACCCACCTTGGCCTCCCAAAGTGCTAGGATTACAGGCATGAGCCACCGCACCCGGCCAAATTTGTGTTGTTTTGAGCGCTGAGTTTGTGGAAAGTTGTTACAGCAGCAAAAGAGTACTAATACAGCATCTTACTCTGATTCTAGTTTTTCTATTAACTCTGCTTGCGAGCAAGAGAAACTAGTTGAGCTTCCCTAAGCAAACAAAACAGGCTTTACTGTAAGCAGATAGGGAAGCCACGGCTGGAAAGCAGTGCCGCTGCAGAAAGGTTCTGGGATTATAGAGGAAAGGCGCTTCTAGGAGGACTCCTCTTCTTCCTCCTCACCGCACTCCACTCCTTCCTTCTCTTGTTTCTGGGAATAGACTTTCTCCATAATCAGTCCCTGGAGCATAAGAGGGCTGGTACCTCAGCCTCCCTTTGCCTTCTCTTTCTTCATGAGACCAGCCCAGGCTGTGACTAGAACCTCATTCTCAATTCCCAAGTCCCAGGGAAATAACTCTGTTTGTTACTGTTTGGGTTAGGTGCCTGTTGTGGGTTGAATTTTGACTTCTTAAAAAAGATATGTTGAAGCCCTAGACCCCTGCACCTCAGATTGGGACCTTATTTGGAGATAGGGTCATTGCAGAAGTAATTAATTAAGATGATGATACTGGAGGCCAGGCGCGTGGTGGCTCACGCTTGTAATCCCAGCATTTTGGGAGGCTGAGATGGTCAGATCACCTGAGGTCAGAAGTTCAAGACCATCCTGACCAACATGGTGAAACCCTGACTCTACTAAAAATACAAAAATTAGCAGGGCGTGGAAGTGCGTGCCTGTAATCCCAGCTACTAGGGAGACTGAGGCAGGAGAATCACTTGAACCCAGGAGGTGGAGGTTGCAGTGAGCCAAGATCGTGACACTACACTCCAGCCTGGGTGACAGAGCAAGACTTTGTCTCAAAAAAAAAAAAAAAAAAAAAAGATGAGGATACTGGAGTACAGTGGGCCTTGATCCAATGTGACTGGCATCCTTATGAGAAGAGGAAAATTGGGACACAGACACAGAGGGAAGATGAAGAGGGAGGCAGAGTCTGCATTTATACTGCCGCAAGCCAAGGAATACCCAGCTACCAGAAGCTGGAAAGGACAAGGAAGGATCCTCCCCTGGAGGCTTCCGGGGAGCATGGCCTGGTCAACACCTTGATTTCAGACTTCCGGCCTCCAAAACTGTGAAACAATAATTATCTGTTGTTTTAAGCGATCTATTTTTGTGGTACTTTGTGATGGGAGCCCTAGGAAACGAATAGAGTGCCTGAGCTGGATCCAATCAGCTATGCCTAGGGGACCAGGCCTTAGAGGATAAATATGGCTCCTCAAGACTCACCCCTATGGCTTGAGGGGTGGATGCCAGTTTCCAAAGAAGAAGGAATCATTGCAAGTTGGGAAGATACACTGAAAAGCTGTCTACTGTAGCTTCCTAGAGCTAGGACAGTATGATATTCTGGTTTTCTTGTTTGTTTTACTTTAAAATCTTAGCTCTTTTACCCTTCTGGAATGCTTTGCAGTGCACAGTGTGAGGTAGGAATCTGTTACTTATTTTCCACACTGTAATAATTCGCCTAATAGCATTTATTAGTAATTATGATTACAGCTTCCTCTCAACATTGCATTGCTTCTTGTTTATTATATAGTGAGCACCGATGTCCAAAATATTTCTGGAATCCCTTTGCTATTTCCATTCATTTGATTGATTTTCCACATTCCCGATATGGTAATGAGAAGACTCTGGAGGCTTAATTTCCAACTGGAGTTCTAGACCGTGGTTATCCCTTACTTTATTCCCTCCCCTAAGTGCTTTACCTATGATGATTTGAAATATCTAATTGCTCTTATTTTTGGGGGTGGGGTGGGGGTGTTTACAAAACAGAACAGAAGAACTGCTGATGGAAGAAGCTGTGCTGCTTGCTTTGTGTGTGTGTGTGTGTGTGTGTGTGTGTGTGTGTGAGAGAGAGAGAGAGAGAGAGAAAGAGTCTTCTCTGTTGCTCACTGGAGTGCAGTGGGGTGATCACAGGTCTCTGCAGCCTCGACACCCACCTCCCTGCCTCCCACCCCCACCCCTACACACCCCCAGGCTCAAGTGATCCTCCCCACCTTAGCTTCCAAAGTAGCTGGGACTGACCCAGGAGGCTAGATAGCAAGAGACAGTAGAGGCCAACATGTCACCATGCCTGGCTAATTTTTATGTTTTGTACAGACAGGGTCTCCCTCTGTTGCCCAGGCTGGTCTCAAACTCCTGACCTCAGGTGATCCTCCTGCCTTGGCCTCCCAAAGTGCCGGGATTACAGGTATGAGCCACTGCACCTGGCCTGCTCTCCTTTTTGAACCTGGTCTCTGGCCCTGTTAACATATCTGGTCTTCAGGATGAGGATAAGTCAGAAAATAGCCAAGGCTGCGTATTGAACTTCATAATAAATATGTGCCTGGTGCATCATAAGCACTTGATAGACGTTACATAATTATCAGAAAGAAGACCAGAGAACACCTACCTCAAACTCTTGCCAGCATCCAACATCAGCTCATTCCCAAATGCCCCGCACCTGAAGGCATTCATGAGGCTGGAAAGGGGGATGTAATGAGCTAAATCATGCCACCCCAAAAATGTCCATGCCCTAATCCCTAGAACCGATGCATCTCTTTCCTTACATACTAAAAGGGACTTTGTAGACGTGGCGAGATTCATGATCTTCATGGGGGAAGGGCATCCTGGATAATCTAGATGGGCCAATACAATCACAGGGGTCCTGTCAGGGGGCAGTAGGAGAGTCAGAGAAAAAGGAGATGTGATGACAGAAGTTGGAGAAAGGGACCACCCAAAGGTATGCACGCGGCCTCTGGGAGCAGGAAAGATGGATTCTCCCCTGAAGCCCCCAAGAAGGAATACAGCCCTGCTCACACCTTGATCTTAGCTCAGTGAGACCCATTTTGGACTTCTTACTTCCAGAATGTAAGATAAATTTGTGTTGCTTTAAACTACTAAATGTCTGGTAATTTGTAACAGTAGCAATAAAAACCTGATAGGAGGAAATCAGAATTTCACTGAACATTCTGCAAAATTTGCTCTTCTGGGCACAAGTCTTTGTTTAACTGCAGGGCTTAAGGCCCGCAGAACTTAGTGGTGCCTTTCTTGGCATGCCACCCTGGCAGGTTTTCACCATCCTTCAGGCCTTTCTCTCCACCTCTGTGTACCAAGCCTGATTTCTGCTGTCCCCAAGAATCTCCTTTCATTCAACCACCTTTGCGGCCTACATTTGATTAGCTATTCTAAAGTAGTGGTGTCAGAAGCATTTGAACCAGAGCAACTCCATCTTCAATAGGCGCTGGGTAAAATAAGGCTGAGACCTACTGGGCTGCATTCCCAGCAGATTAAGGCATTCTAAGTCACAGGATGAGATAGGAGGTCGGCACAAGATACAGGTCAGAAATACCTTGCTGATAAAACAGATTGCGGTAAAGAAGCCGGCCAAAACCCACCACAACCAAAATGTTGACGAGAGTGACCTCTGGTCGTCCTCACTGCTACGCTCCCATCAGCACCACGACAGTTTACAAATGCCATGGCAACGTCAGGAAGTTACCTTACATGGTCTAAAAAGGTGAGGCATGAATAATCCACCCCTTGTTTAGCATATCATCAAGAAATAACCCTAACAATGGGCAACCAGCAGCCCTTGGGGCTGCTCTGTCTATGGAGTAGCCATTCTTTATTCCTTTACTTTTCTAATAAACTTGCTTTCACTTTATGGACTTGCCCTGAATTCTTTCTTGTGTCAGATCCAAGAACCCTCTCTTGGGAAGGACTCCCGGTAACAGTGTGTGTCTGGTAACAGTGTGTGTTTGGGAGGAGGGTTACTAGAAATAGGTAGAAATTCAAGGAGCAAACATGAAATATAAAACTTCGCGTATTTTCTTCCCCAGCATCAGGCCGAAGAGAAAGAAAGCTACAGACTGAGAATCAGAGACATTGGCAATTTGCAATCTAGCTAGGAACCCTGAACTGCACTATACTGAACATTTGCTCTGTGCGTTATAAAGTCTGGGGCATGGGCAGAAGTTCCCAGCCTTTTAGTCCAGACCCAGGAGGCTAGATACTGAGAGACAGTAGAGGCGATGGTGAAAGTGTAGTTCTTAGTTTTGAAAATCCAGATTTGAATAATCATTCTGAGGATCACGGTTCCTGGTCTTACTTCCTCCAAGGGGCCCCAAACGGAGCCCGCTGCAGGGTGAGCTCCTCAAAGCCGCTGAACCCAGAGGGCGCATCACTCCAACCTCTAACCCAAGACATCGACTTCTGGGTCCGTGTCACTTAAATAAGTTTATAAAGTGCACGTCTCTGGCACTAACCAAGAAAGGCAAGTTAGCAAGAAAGCGCGCTTTTTAACTGTCCTCTCCCAGAATAAAAGGCCCTTACTTTTTATTCTAGATTCTGGATAATTTTATTTTTTCTTTCCGTCTGTTACTAGTTGGGAGCTAAACACTGGCCAGGGTCCCAGCGGCTGCTGGAAAGGCGCCTTCCTAGGAGCAGAAGGCTCGCTTAGGAGACACTGGGGGCAGGGAGCGAACTCGCGGCTCTTTGTCCCCGCAGCAGTTCGGTCGAGGCTATTTCCCGCCAGGCCGAGCCCCTGGTCTGAGCGCCCGATAGCGGGGTGCGGCGAGGAGACTCCGGGAACACTCGCTGGGCAAGCAGCTAGCACAGCCCCCCATCTCCTCCGGGTTGGGGGACGCAGGCGCGGGCCTAGGCCGCCGCGGGGGCGGGGACCACCCACGAAGTCCAGCGCCCCGCCCCGGACGCGCCCGCCCCGCCTGCCTCGCGCGCTCCTCCCGGCGCCAGGAGGCCCAGCGCACCGCGCCGAGCTTCCTCGGAGTCCTCCCTACAGCCGACTCAGGGAGAAGGTCCTGGAGGGCCCGGGTAGGGGAAGAGAGGGCCTTCTTCCTCCTCATTCCCCGTCCCGGCCCCAGCGGAGTGCTCATGTCCCTCCTCCCCATCCCCCTCCTGTTTTGGGTGACAAATTAATTTTAATTAGAAAAACACAGATCAGGTTTTGGAACAAAATTATGCTGTTCCTAGATTGGAACTGGGACTCTTTCGACCTAATTTAGAGCAGAGGGCGAGGCTGTGGGAGGGTGGCAATGCATCGGTTGAAGGAGACGCGCGTGTGGCGGGCAGCAAGGGGGAGGTGTGTGGCGTTTAGGAGAGTCTCCAGTGCCGTCCTCTGCAGGGCCCTTCTACACCTCCCCTTCCAGTTGCCAGAATGGAAAATTCATGGAGTCCCGCGTAGCCCAGGTCAACACGCTTTTATTGCCACTTCTGGCTCCCCTCGTCCCAGCAAGATTCCTACCTCTTACCCTGTAGGAATACTGAGCTCCGATGCAGGGGAATGGGGTGGGGGTGTTACCACTTCTCCTCTGCACACTGCCAAGTTAAAGAAAACCCTGCTTGCTGGAGAGGGAGGGCCAGACAGGGAGGAATTCAAGGGCATGTATGGCTCAGTCCCACTTCTGACTGCAGAGTATAGGGACCAGGGTTCCAAACTTTTTTTCGAAGTAAGGGAGGTGGGGAAGAATTTGGCTGCTGTTGTACCCCGTGTCCTAGCTGCCATGTTTCCATGGAAATGAAGGCGGGGCAGGATGTAGCTCACTCTGACTACCTGGGAGGATGGCAGGACAGGCATTTGGTAAACATATCTCCCTCCACTCCTACCTAGCACATACGGCTGTCCCCAGCCGACCCCCAGGCTCTCTCCTCACTGCCTGCTCCACTCCCTTCCCTTCTGGAGCTGGTATCATGCCAAGTGGAGTCCAGGCAGGGCTGCCAGTGCTACTCTCCACAGCCAGGTCTCACTGGCACGTTAGGATCTAAGTATGTCCGCCAAGCTCAGGAGCATCCCTGCTAGAGCTGGTGGTGGCAGTGCCTCGGTGAAAAGGCAGCAGCAGTACCCCCAACTCTCTGTGCAACTGCTGTTTCCCAAACAAAACTGAAAACATAAACCCAAACACTTAAGGGTATCACTCTGGCACAATGCTGAGGGCTGGGATGGGGGAGAGGAGGCGCATCCTCCTGAGACTGGAGCCACCTGTGCACCCTGCCTTCTGCCCATCTGGAGTTTGCTTCTTCCCACTGGGCTGTCACTGGGGGGCTGGAATCCAAATCTCCATTTGGTGCTGCTTTCAGCACCCACTGCTGTTCGTTTATGAGGCTTGCCAGTTTCCATGGTGAGGAGGTGCAGGATGGATTCTCAGTACCATGGGTCAGCCCGGTGCTGCTGGTTGTAGAGCTGTAGCTTGATCTGATCTTTGATCTGATTCACTAGGATCTGGGACAGCAGAATTCCCACCAGCTGGGAGAGGCAAGAAGGAATTGGGCACTCAGCAGTGAGTGATGGCCTTGTTTTCCCTGGCTCGATCTTCCCAGTGCGGCCAGCACTATCCCTTTCCCTACCCCTCAGCCATGTCAGTGCCTGACACCCTCGCTGATCCCCAGGTGCCTTCCCCAAAACAAAGGAGTCTTTACAGAGTGTGTGGGACCAACAAGTCTCACAGGGTAAGTTACCTGGGGGATGGCCAGGCCTAGAGCCACACCACCAAGTAAGAATAGGTTGCTGTGTATCCAGTTGACCAACTTGTCAATACAGCCATTGGTGTAGATGACTTTGCTAGCTTCCAAGTAGTCAAAGGCCTGCATACCTTGGCCACACATAGTGTTGATCACTGCCTGGGGAAAGAGTTGAAAAGCCAATTGGGACTGTAATTCCAATAACTTTTTGTTTGGGGCCTTAGCTGATGGGCTTCCCACCCTTCCCAAACTCCTAAATTGTCAGAGAATATATGTGGAGGATATTGGGTTGGAAGTTGCCAAATGCAGACTTCCCTTCCTCTGAGAGGTCAGGATCCAGGTCTCTTTGCTCTGGGTGGTGGAATAATCTGTACAACAAACCCCTAAGACACAAGTTTACTTATATAACAAACCTGCACAGGTACTGAATCTGAACTTAAAACTTAAATCTGTCCCTTCTGAACTCCATGTGGACTACATGAGTATGAGGTTAATAGAAGCATCAGGTTGGGGTGAAGAAAAACACCTGACAGCTGTCCCACATGACTGATCGGTGAAGCTAGGGGATGGGGATCCCCAGTAGCAGCTGCCCCCATCAGAAAGTGACTCAGCTCGCTGCCTAGGAGGAAATGAGGCAGGATGCTGGCTCACCTGGTCAGGAGTAGGCAAGCAACAGGAGTAAGGCACAGAGCAGCGCTCTCGACTGGGGTTGTCTTCTGAGCAGTTGAAATACATGTTCTGAGACCAGTCCTTGTAGGAAATCCCTCCACAGCAGCTAAACTGCAACAAAACCCACCAGAGGTTAAGAATCACCCACCCCTCACACTGAGGTGACCAGGGGAATTCTCAGAGCCACCAAAAGTCTATAGCAAGCTTCTACTGGGAACTTTAGGTTGTGTTTTAACACAGCCTTAAACTTTGAGCTCCAGCTTCCCAGTTGCCTTCGCCTGAAGATATTCTCACTTCTTAATTTCTATTACTTCGTATATCTTGTTATAACTTACCACTGTGCTTGTTGGTATTACAGTTGTACATATATTTTGTTTTACATACTCAGCTATAATCTTCTTGAGAGAAGTTTCTGGCTTTGCAGGCAAATGGAAGTGATCAAAAGTATTGGCTGAAATAATTACAGTATCAGTGCTGAAAAACTTCTCCTTAAGATAGAGAAAACACAGGGGAGGAATCTTCAATATTGTGAGTCAATCATTACTCCATGAGAGCCAACTGGATCTCAAAGTCAAGTGTCTATTGCACCAGAGGAAGGGGAACTCAGGACTTGTCTCAGAAGCACTTTTACTTAAAAGTTAACTTTTTTGGCCAGGTGCTGTGGCTCACACCGGTAATCCCAGCACTTTGGGAGGCCGAGGAGGGCAGATCACCTGAGGTCAGGAGTTCAAGACCAGCCTGGCCAATATTGCAAAACCCCATCTTTACTAAAAATACAAGAATTAGCTGGGCGTGGTTTGGCAGGCACCTGTAATCCCAGCTACTCAGGAGGCTGAGGCAGGCAGATTCACTTGAACCCAGGAGGCGGATGTTGCAGTGGGCCAAGATCACGCCATTGTACTCCAGCCTGGGTAACAGAGCAAGACTCCGTCTCAGGGAAAAAAAAAAGTTAACTTTTATTTTTCACTTATTTATTTTTGAGACGGAGTCTCTGTCTGTCACCCAGGCTGGAGTGCAATGGCATGATCTTGGCTCACTGCAACCTCCAACTCCCAAATTCAAGCTATTCTCGCACCTCAGCCTCCTGAGTAGCTGGGACTACAGGTGTGCGCCACCAAACCCGGCTAATTTTTGTATTTTTGGTGGAAACAGGGTTTCATCATGTTGGCCAGGCTAGTCTCAAACTCCTGACCTCAAATGATCTGCCTGCCTTGGCCTCCCAAAGTGCTGGGATTACAGATGTAAGCTACCATGCCTGGCCTAATTGTTAACTTTTGATTCATAGCAGCCTTGTTCACAGTAGCCGAACGGTGGAAGCAACCCTTTTCTCCACTGGTGAATGAATGGATAAACAAAATGTGGCATATACATACAACAGAATATTATTCAGCCTTCAAAAGGAAGGCAGTTGTGGCACATGCCAAAACAGAGATGAAACTTGAAGACATGCTAAGTGAAATAACCCACTCAAAAAAGCATTAATACCGTGAGTCCCTTCATTTGAGGTACCTAGAGTTGTCAAATTTACAGACAGAAAGTAGAATGGTGGTTGCTGGAGGAGAGGAAAATGGGGCTTTAGTGTTCAATGGATACAGAATTTCAGGAGAGGAAAATGGGGAGTTAGTGTTTAATGGATACAAAGTTTCAAGAGAGGAAAATGGGGAGTTAGTGTTTGATGGATACAGAGTTTCAAGAGAGGAAAATGGGGAGTTAGTGTTTGATGGATACAGAGATTCAAGAGAGGAAATGGGGAGTTAGTGTTTGATGGATACAGAGTTTCATCTGGGGCAGATGAGCGTTCTGGAGATGGTGGTGATGGTTGCACAACAATTGAAGGTACTTCATGCCACGGATCTGTATGCTTAAAAATGGTAAATTTTACATTATGTAAATTTTATCACAATTTTTTAAATGTAATTTTCTTTTTTTTAGTCTAGTCAAGTGCAGCAGTGAGAAGGGGGGAAAGAGTAGAACAAGGAGTTGGATCTGTAGCTGACTGTGAACAATCAAATGAGATAACTCACTCCCTTTGGACCAGCCTAAAATGTCACTTTTGAAGAGGTAATATTCAAGAATCTGCCCAGTTCCTCACCCCCTGTAGGTAACCATTTATAACACAGTAGATTACTATATATACTGTTCTGTGTCTTTAAAAGTACATTTAAAGCACTCTGCTACGTGTGCTTTTTTGCCAAACCCCTTCCCAGAAGCCATTACCTGGCAGGTAATGAAGAGCCCCACAGGCATAGAGGGTGAGGCATCTCTTGGGATGACATTCACTTTTACCCACAGTCCCCCAGACCACTGGCTGACCCATACCTTTTTCTGGCCAAAATCAATGAGGTTCTGCAGATCCAAGTCATCTCGGTAGTGCACAATGGCATTGTTGATGATCTCACTCACTTTCCCTCGAGCCTGCCGGAGACATGGGCAAGGAATCAGAACACAGGACTAATCCCTAACTTGCTCCTTCCAGCAAAAATAACAGTAGACAGGGATCATCCTTCTTAACTGAGTCTGCCTTGAAATCAGAACCGAGTCCTAATGGTGGAAGATAGCCGGTTCAGTTCCAAAGCCCATCCCAGGGCCCTCAGGTACCAGTGGGCAGGAGAAATGCTGGACCTGCTGTTGAAGCTTTTCAGAGACACATTTCAAGATATACCAATGTGTATCTATCTCTGAATGCTATTATCACAAAATACTTGTTGACTGATAAAAACAAACTAATTTTTAATTTTTTTAGCAGAAAGTAGCTTACTGAGCTGAGGCACTGCCCTCTAGTGGACACTAGATAATTGCATCTCTTTAGACTCAAAACAGAGCTATTTAATACATCATTTCAGGATCTTACTGTAAGCCAGGAGGACTACGAAATTCGGAATTAACTCAGTGGCTCTCGATTTCATAATTTTCTCCCCTCCCCTCCCCTCTCCCTTTCTCTTTTCTTTTCTTGATACAGTTTTACTGTCGCCCAGGCTGGAGTGTAGTGGCGCGATCTCAGCTTACTGCAACCTCCTTCTCCTGGGTTCAAGCAATTCTTGTGCCTCAGCCTCCTGACACCTGGCTAATTTTTTTGGTGTTTTTTAGTAGAGACAGGGATTCGCCATGTTGGCCAGGCTGGACTCGAACTCCTGGCCTCAAGTGATCTGCCCGCCTCAGCCTCCCAAAATGCTGGGATTACAGGCATGAGCTACCGCGCCTGGCCCAATTTCATAATTTTCTACCATAGTCTCTTCCTTCCTGCCCCACTACTTTTCTCAAATTTTCTTTCCTTAGTTTTGTAGTCTGCCCTTGGCAATCATTTGCCTTTTGGGAAAGACATTCTGGTTCTTAAAAAGGACTGTCACTGAATGGCAGACCATTTCCAGATATGGCAAGCATTGTTCAAAACCTTTTATTAAGCCAATCATGGTGGCACATGACTGTAATCCCAGAGACTTAGGAGATGGAGGCAGGAGGATCACTTGAGCCCAGGAGTTCAAGGCCAGCCTGGCAACCTAGTGAGACTCCCATCTCTTAAAAAACAAAAACAACAACCAAAAAAAAAAAAAAAAAGAAAGAAAGAAAAATAAACCTCAAAACAAAATCTTGTTCTCTTCCCCCTTCCTTCCTTCTGTTTATCTCAATAAACAATTTTTAAAAGAAATAAGAGGCTCTTCATATTGTCAGTGGTCCACTTGATTATTGAGTTTGATTCTGTCATTTGCTATTAAAGTTTCTAAGTTATTTTAACTTTGTGTTTGTATAATTTACTTCCCTGTTAGCTTCTCAGACTGTCAGAGGAAAGCACCTTATGATCTTAAAATTCTCTTCAAATATGATGAGTTTACAGGCTATTCATTCACCCCTAATGAACTTTTCAACGACTGATGTTTCTCAGGGGAAGGAGCTGTGGTTAATTAACCAGGCTAAACATGGGCAGGAACCTTCCTTCCTCCCTCTGGGTCACACCTGAGGAGGCCTCCTGGCTCCCAGTGTTACCTTGTCTGAGAAGACGAAGCCCAGGATCCCAGCGGCCAGCTGCAGCAGGAACACAGCGGTGAGGCAGAGGGAGAACTGTGGAGCAGCAGGAAGAAGAGGCGTCTAGGACCACTCATGGCAGCAACCCCTTCCAGGGCCAAGGGGATGCTGGGAGCTGCCAGGCAATTCTCCCAGATGCCCCACACATGAGAAAGGCAGCTGCCTCTGGGACACTGTCTTGGGGGTGGCCACCCTGTGCTGGGTCACCCGGGCTAAGCTCTGCACTGAGGGGTGGACAGCACAGGCTTGGGGGTAGGGTAGGACAAGGCAACCAAAGGGCCGTGGGAGGCTAAGAGGCATGATGGGGAGAGGGCCAGGGTCTTTCCAGTGGGGCCTTGACCACTCACCGTCTGCAGGAGGCAGATGTTCTCGCGGAGGGACCCAATGCAGCCACAGAAGGTGAGCAGGAACATGAGGACACCCACCACGATCAGCAGGATGGCAGGGTCCACTGCCAGGCAGGCTAGGGCTGCTTCTGGAAAAGGAGCCGGCCCTCAGCCTGAGCCTGGTGCCCACTGAGGAACCCCTGGATGGGGTGGGAGGGTGCCCCAAACTGTTCTCCTTCCCCTGGTGGGGGAATCTCCATTATGGTTGGATGAAGGTTAAGGGGAGGCAGTACCCCTGTCCCATGGGGAGAACCAAAAAGGGCCCAGAAGGGTTGTGGCATTTAATTTGAGGAACTAAAGAAATAAAAGCCTTTATTCCTGGGCTTAAGGAGGGGCTGCTTTCGCTCCGCAAAAGAATTGGAATGGCATTAGGCTCACCAGCTTTGCAGATTCTGTTTCCTGGTGACTTGTGTGGTGAAATAGGAATGGTGGTTGGGTTTCTCCAGGACAGAGCTAGGGAGGGGCTAAAGCCCTTGATGACTCTCTGCTCCCAGGGGCCTACCTTCTTTCTCACACACTTCCTAAGCCTCAAATGTAGGCATATCCTGGAAGACTCAGAGGGGCTCAGGGAAATCCAGGGGCACTGGCCTGGGGGGGTCTGACACCTACGTAGACCATGAAGATTTGGCTCCAGGGAGGCTGCCTCCTTTAGCCCCATAGCTTATGTGTGAGGGCCAGGCTGAAGGAGGCAGAGGGGAAAGGGGCATGGCACAAGGTGGGGGCAGGGAGGGAGAGCTACAGCTCACCTGCATGCTTCATTAGCCGAGCGTAGACACCCACAGCCACCATCACCATGGAAATCACCTGTGGAGACAGGAAAAGAGCCAGACCCTGAGATTCTGGAAACCAGAGAGCCCTGAATGCCATGAGAAACCTAGGAGAGCAGGAGAAGGACTGCTTTCCTGGGACCCAAAGGTGAGCATCTTTCACCTCCCCAGTGATTCTGCTGATAGAATCTGTCAGGGCTTTACCTCCATGAGACACTTTTACCCACATCATATTTTTCATTATTCATTCAGTGCTCGTAACACAATTAGGTTGTGAGGCAGACATTATGCCTATTTTACGGATGAGGAAATTAAGGCAATCCAAGGTTAATACTGAAGAGTGATTAAGAATATGGGCTTCAGGCTGGGCATTTTGGGAGGCCAAGGCAGGAGAATCAACTTGAGGTCAGGAGTTTGAGACCAGCCTGGGTAACATAGTGAGAGCTTGTCTCTAGACACACACACAAAATAATAATTAGCTGGGTGCAGTGGTGTGCACCTGTAGTCCCAGCTACTCAGCAGGCTGAGGCAGGAGGATGGTTTGAGCCCAGGAGTGCAAGGCTGCAGTGAGCCATGACTGTGCCATGGCACTGAAGCCTGGGTGCCAGAGTGAGGCCCCGTCTCTAATAAATTGAAGTTAAAATTAAAAAGGACACAGTCTTCAGAGCGAGTCAAACTTGGGTACACATAGGGCAAATTTCTGAGCCTCAGTTTCTGTATCTGAAGATGGGAAGTAAGAACAAACAACTGACAAGATTACTGTAAGAACCAACTAAAATAATGCATGGAAATAATTTAACACAATGCCTGACAATAAATATTATCTATCATTATTAATAGTTAACTTGCCCAGGGTCACACATAAATGGAAAAGTTTTGAATTCGAATCTATCTGCATCAAAGGACAGGTTTTATACCTAAAGCAGGCCTGGGCGGTTGCATACTCCCAGCTCTCTAACCCTCTTAGAGGTCAATATCATGTCAAGTACAAAAAGAAAGTGCACTCCAATGTGAAGGACTGTGTGTGAGTGCATGTATGTAAGCACTGGAACTGCCTTGGCAAAGGAACCTTTATCTTCACAAACTCTGATTCCAGTGTGGAGGAATAGAGAGGAGTTTAGATCTTTCAAATTTCCTGGCTTCTCCCTGAGAGAACAAACCCATCAGAGACTAATAGGAGACCCCAAAGAGGCCTTATCTACCCCCTAGCCCCCAGGCCTCCAGGGGTGCAGGAGAGCCCCAGTGCCTACTTCCCTTGGCCACCCTTTTTTTGTGCCCAGTCTCCAGGCTGGTGCTAAGCAGCAGCTGGCTGTTGCCATGGCAACAGATGGGGCCAAGCTCTGGCAGGAGAGAGTTCTCAGCAGCAGGGTCTTGACCAACTCAGTGGGGAAGGAGATGGCTGGCTAGACACCACTGTCCTGCAAGACGGAAAGCAGCTGGAAAGAGCCACCATGGGGCTTTGGTGGAAGAAGGGAGCTAGGCCCCCAGAACAGGTAATAGGGTCAGATGAGTCCCTCATTTTTCCCTGTAGGCCTCCTTGTTGAAGGTCCTCTGCCATCTGGCAGGGGAGGGCAGGTGCATTCAGCAGTAAATGGCAAACCTTTATCTAAAACCACGTCTTCCAGAACTCTTCTCTGCCTGTATATACAGCCCCCTCTTTTTTGCGGGGTGAGGGAGGAGGGTCTTGTGCTATTGCTTAAGCTGGAGTGCAGTGGCATGATAATAGCTCATTTCAGCCTTGACCTCCTGGGCTCAATTGATCCTCCCACCCTAGCCTCCCAAAGTGCTGGGATTACAGGTGTGAGTCACCACACTCAGCTGGCCCCGGTCTCTTCCCACCTCACATCATTTGACCATGCCTCTAACTCAGGGCCCAAAGTGTTATTTGCTGGCCTTCATACTCTTTGTCCAGGAGGGTGGGAGCTGCTAGCAGAGCTGCAGGTGCCAGCTGGCGCCTTGTCCCACAGCACTGCCAGGCTCACGGAGCATGGGGGAGGCAGGGAAACTACATGACAGAGATGCCAGTCATTCCCCAGGCCTGGTGGCCAGTCCTCCACCAGAGTCAGTGAGCATCTCTGTCTGCCCTTTAAAACCCACTGCAGCCAATTACAGTTCTGAGTGTCATTTTACTGAACTATTGAAAAATGTGTATCTGCTCTTGATTTCTGTTGCTTCCAGGCTCTCATTGTTTTTCATGTCAAATTTTCACCAGGGTGTATAATTTTCCACAAAGATGGTATCTGATTAAATCGTAGCACAGCTAAAACAAGAAAGGCCAAACAAGCACTACTCACAATAGCAAAGGCATGGAATCAACCTAAATGCCCACCAACAGTACGGGAAAAAGAAAATGTGGGGTCAGGCCAAACACGGTGGCTCACGCCTATAATCCCAGCACTTAGGCCAAAGCGGGTGGATCACGAGGTCAGGAGTTTGGGACCAGCCTGGCCAACATGGTGAAACCCCATCTCTACTAAAAATACAAAAATTAGCTGGACATGGTGGCACACACTTGTAGTCCCAGCTACTTGGGAGGCTGAGGCAGGAGAATCGCTTGAACCTGGGAGGCGGAGGTTGCAGTGAGCCGAGATCATGCCACTGCACTCCAGCCTGGGCAACAGAGTGAGACTTCATCTCTAAAAAAAAAGAAAGAAAAAGAAAATGTGGGGCCGGGTGCAGTGGCTCATGCCTGTAATCCCAGCACTTTGGGAGGCTGAGGCAGGTGGATCATGAGGTCAAGAGATTGAGACCATCCTGGCCAACATGGTGAAACCCCATCTCTACTAAAAATACAAAAATTAGCTGGGCATGGTGGCACATGCCTGTAGTCCCAGCTACTTAGGAGGCTGAGGCAGAAGAATCACTTGAACCCGGGAGGCGGAGGTTGCAGTGAGCTGAGAACGTGCCACTGCACTCCAGCCTAGCGACAGAGCAAGACTCTATATCAAAAGAAAAAAAAGAAAAGAAAATGTGGTACATATATACCATGGAATACTACGCAGCCATAAAAACGAATGAAATCATGTCCTTTGCAGCAACATGGATACAGCTGGAGGCCATTATCCTAAGCAGATTAATCCAGGAACAGAAAACCAAACTCCATGTGTTCTCACTTGTAAGTGGGAACTAAACATTGAGTACACATGGCCACATGTACTTTAGAGTGAAGGGTAGGAGGAAGGAGAGGACGGAAAACTACTTATGCTTATTACCTGGGTTATGAAATATCACCCCATGACACATAATTTACCTATATAACAAACCTGCACATGTACCTCTGAACCTAAAATAAAAGTTGAAAAAATGGGCAAAGTAAAGAGATGCCACATATCATAGAGTAAGTTAACTGTATTTATGGGCCTGTAATGACAGCAGTTGCTCTGTCTCTATCTATGGTGGAGAGAATAATGTCCCCTCAAAGATGTCCACGTCTTAATTGCTGGAACCTGTGATTGTGTTACTTTTCATGGCCAAAGGAACTTTGCAAATGTGATTAAGAATTTTGAGCTAGGGAAATTATCCCTGAGGACTCAGTATAATCATAAAAGACCTTCTAAGAAGGAGGCAAGAGGGCCAGAGTCAGAGAAGGAGACGGTGATGGAGGCAGAGGCTGGACTGCTGTGGTGCCACGGATGGAGGAATGAGGGCTGCCTCTAACAGCTGGAGCAGGCAAGGAGGCGAGCTCTTCCTAGCACTTCCCGAAGGAATGCGGGGCTGCTGTATTTTAGCCCAGCGAGATCTGTTTGATTTTAGCCCGGTGAAACCTGTTTTGGCCTTCTGGCCACCAGAAATATAAGAAAATTAATGTGTGTTGTTTTAAGCCACTAAGTTTGCGGTCATTTGTTACAGCAGCAACAGGAAACTAATACACTGTCCAGATCCAATTCATCTGCTGCTATGCAGATGGTACACTGAGGACCCTTAATCCATGCGTGGATATGGTGGAGGGACAAGAGCGTTTATAGCTGAAAGCACATGCTCAACTTTGGCTGCCATTAGAATCGCCTGGGACTTAGGGTTGTTGGGGGAGAGGCTTAAAAAACTGCTAATGCCTAGGCTGCATCCCAAACCAAGTCGATCAGAATCTTTGGCATTGGGACCTAGGCAACAGTATTTCTGAATGTGTTCCAGGTTATTTCAATGTGCAGCCAAGCTTGAGAACCTACAAGCCTAAAGAATAATCAGCCAGGGATCTAGAGCCACAGATACAGGCTACATTAAAATCAAGATTAAGTCTTTAATATTATTATTAATATTTAATATGATCACTAATGATATCTCTCCCCTAAGCTCTCAAATTCTGCATTTCACAGCTTGACCTTGCACACCCCCATTCCTGCCCCCACTTCCCACCCTGGATTCCTCAAAGCTACTGCCATTCCAAAGTTAGTGCTGCTGCTGCTGTTCATAGCATCACGTTTGGAGGTGAACAGAACCTTAGAAATGGGTTTTGGCCACTCACCTCTTTTTATAGATGAGGCCAAAAGAGCGGAAGTAACATTTAACCAAGTGCATATGGGTGCAGTGCACCATCTGGACCAAATCCAACCTCCCAATCTCATTCTGGAACTCTTTCCACTATGCTAGAATTTTCTGTAAAATCCTTATGGCACCTCACAATATCATGAATGACCTCCTTTCACGATGAGGATGGAGATAAAGACATTTCTCTTCTTTGGATAGCTTTTCACATTCCGACTAGAATGAAGCCTGGCTGGAAACTTCTAAGAGCTAGATACAACTTTTAAAATGGCTGAGTCTAGCTTTTAGCAAAATGTATGTTCCTGAAAAGTTGTCAGTCAAATTATATAAAATAATTTGCACACACCAGTACCATTATCCCTATGAAAGGTGAATGATCACCTTGTAATGAAAATAGCCATCCCCTGGGCTCCTTGGAGAAGTGGCTGATTCTAGGATGGGGGCAGGAAAGGCACGAGATGAGCCTAGAGCATCTTGTAGTGCCCCAAAGAAAGGAAATGCTCACGAAGAAACAAAAATGAATTCCCCACATCAGTATCCTCATCAATGTGAGCATCCCAAAGGGACACAGAAGCCAACTGAAAGAGCTCCCAATGGCCAAGGCTAGAACAATTTGAGCACCGAAATAAAGAAATATTGAATTATTACCCAAAATAAAAAATACACATCTGTGGGCCCATGCTGATATAAATAAGTGACTTAATGAATAGCAGAGAAAAGACAAATCTCCTACATAGAAGAATTTCAAATAATTCATGTAGGTACTCCATCCTCAAAGAGGTAGAGCTTAACTCCTTACTCCTTCAGTGCAGACTGTGCATAGTGACTTTCTTCCAAAGAGCACAGTGTGGAACATGGGGAGAAAGGCTAACTCTACAGCGGAGGAACCTGATAAACACTACTTCATCCAGGCGATCGAGGCCAACATCAACAATGATCATGTTGCTGAATCACTTGTATGATATGATATGATGTGATGTGATGAAAATGGCACTTGACTTCTCTGGTCTTCCTCCCAAAAGCCATAACCCCAGTATTACAATGATGAGTAAAACAGCAGGCAAGTTCCAATAAAGGGACATTCTACAAAATACCTGACCAGCACTTCCCAAAACTGTCAAGGTCATTAAAAACAAGGTAAGTCTAGGAAACTGTCACAGCCAAGAGGAACCTAAGGAGACATGACAACTAAATGTAATGTAGGGCAGGACATGGTGGGCCACGCCTGGAATCCCAGAACTTTGGGAGGTCGAGCGGGGAGGATGGTTTGAGCTCAGGAGTTTGAGACCAGCCTAGGCAACGTAGACCTCATCTCTACAAAAAATAAAAATAAAAATAAAAATAATCTGAGTATGGTGGTGCATGCCTGTAGTCCCAGCTACTTGGGAGGCTAAGGTGGGAGGAGGATCGCTTGACCCCAGGAGGTTGAGGCTGCAGTGAGCCATGATTGTGCCACTGCACTCCAGCCTGGGTGACACAGCAAGACCCTGTCTCAAAAAAAAGAAAGAAAAAAGTAATGTAGTATCTTGAATAGGATTCTGGAACAGAAGGATATTAAATAAAAATGAAAAAAAAAACCAATAAAGTGTAGACCATAATGATAATACTATTAATTACAACAAATGTATCATACTAATGTGTTAATAACAGGGAAAACAGAGTATGGGGTATATAGGAACTCTCAATACTATCTTAAAATGTTTTTAATTGATATATGTAAATTGTATGTATTTATGGGATACATATGATATTTTGATACATGTGTACAATGTTTAATGATCAAATCAGGGTATTTAGAACATCCACCACCTTGAACATTTATCATTTGTGTTAGAAGCCTTTTAAATTTATTTTGAAAAATACAATATATTGTTGTTAACTATAGTCACCCTACTGTGCTGTTGAACACTAGAACTTATTCCTTCTATGTGACCATATGTTTGTACCTATGAACCAGCCTCTTTTCATCCTCCTGCCCCTGGATCCCAGCCTCTGGTAACTCATTCTATTCTCTACCTCTATGAGTTTCACTTTTTTAGCCCTCAAATATGAGTGAGAACATGCAATATTTGTCTTTCTGTGCTCAGCTTATTCACTTAACATAATGACCTCCAATTCTGTCTATGTCACGAATGACAGGATTTCATGCTTTTTTATGGCTGAATAATATCCCATTATGTATATGAACCATATTTTCTGTATCCATTCATTTGTAGATGGACACTTAAGGTTATTCCATTTCTTGGCTATTGTGAATAGTGCTGCAGTAACATGGGAGTGCAGATGTCTCTTCAATATATTCATTTCTTTTTCTTTGGATAAACACTCAGTAGTGGGATTGCTGGATTGTCTAGTAGTTCTATTTTTTGTTTTTTGAGAAACGTCCATCTCTGTACTATCTTCTCAATTTTTCTGTAAAATTGTTCTTGAAAAATAGTCTATTACCTCCTCCCACCCCAATTTGTTAGTTTATACTTTTTATTTTATTTTTTGAGACAGAGTTTCGCTCTTGTTGCCCAGGCTGCAGTGCAATGGCGCGATCTCGGCTTACTGCAACCTCCACCTTCCAGGTTCAAGCGATTCTCCTGCCTCAGCCTCCCAAGTAGCTGGGATTACAGGCATGAGCCACCACACCCGGCTAATTTTGTATTTTTAGTAGAGACAGGGTTTCATCATGTTGGCCAGGCTGGTTTCAAACTCCTGACCTCAGGTGATTCACCCGTCTCAGCCTCCCAAAGTGCTGGGATTACAGGCGTGAGCCATCACACCTGGCCTATACATTTTTTAACATCAGATTTTCATAAACTAGGGTTCACTTGCATACAGTTTTACAAACTGTAATCTGGGTGATTTCCCATCAATCACACCAAAACTTAAGGCAGTGGATCTTTTTTTCTTCCCCCCACCAACAGACAAGGTCTCACTCTTGTGTTGCCCAGGCTGGAGGGCAGTGGTACAATCATAGCTCATTGCAGCCTCAACCTCTTGGGCTCAAGAGATTCTCCTGCCTCAGCCTCCTGAGTACAGGCACATGCCATGACACTCACCTGATTTTTAAATTTTTGGTATAGATGTGATCTTGCTAGGTTGCCCAGGCTGGTCTTAAACTCCTGGCATATGGTGATCCTACCTCATTGGTCTCCCAAAGTGCTGGGATTACAGGCATGAGCCACCATGCTTGGCTAAGATAGTGGATCTTAAAATTGTTCAAGTGACAGAGCACTGGGAAGTCACAGTGCTCTGTTGGTGTACATTATAGATTTTGTCATATTCTTCTTCTTTTTTTTTCTTTGAGGCAGTGTCTTGCTTTGTCACCCAGGATGGAGTACAGTGGCACAATCAAGGGCTCACTATAGCCTTGACCTCCTGGGCTCAAGCAATCCTCCTGCCTCAGCCTCCTGAGTAGCTGGGACTACAGACACATGCCACCAACTGGGCTAATTTTTAAATTTTTTTGTAGAGACAGGGTTTCACCATATTGCCCAGGCTGGTCTTGAACTCCTGGGTTCAAGTGATCCACCCGCCATGGCCTCTGAAAGTGCTGGGATTCCAGACATGAGCCACTGCAACTGATCTTTTTTAAACTTTAATACACTATTACTGTGACCTAATTTACAGTCCATATGTAACTTTCCCCAATTATCCCCAAAATGTCCTTTGTAACCTTTTTTTTGTTTCTTATCCAGGATCCAATCAAGGATCATGCATTTAGAGATTAACTCTCCTTCAGCCTGGAACAGTCTCTTGGCTTTAATTCTTTTCTCTTTAATTTTCTTCCTTTGTTTTTGGTCTTTAAGACACTGACTTTAAAATTTATGGTAAAATACATGTGACACAAAATGTACCATTTTAGACATTTTAAAGTAAACAGTTCAGTGGCCTTTAGTACATTCACATGGCTGTGCAACCATCACCACCATCAGGGTGCAGTGCTTTATCATCACCCCAAATAGAAACCCTGTACCCATTAAACCATCACTCCCCATTCCCATCACCCTGTCCTCCGCCCCCAGCCCCTGGTAACCACAAATCTGCTTTCAGTCTCTATGGATTTGCCTATTCTGGACATTTCCTGTCATTGGAATTACATACTAGGTGACCCTCTGTGTCCGGCTTCTTTCACTTAGCAGAATGTTTTCTTTTTCTTTTTCTTTTTTTTTTTTTTTTTTTTTTTGAGACGGAGTTTCACTCTTGTTGCCCAGGCTGGAGTGCAGTGGCGCAATCTCCGGCTCACTGCAACCTCCACCTCCCGGGTTCAAGCCATTCTCCTCCCTTAGCCTCCCGAGTAGCTGGGGTTACAGGTATGTGCCACCAAACCTGGCTAATTTTGTATTTTTAGTAGAGATGGGGTTTCTCCATGTTGGTCATGGTGGTCTCGAACTCCCAACCTCAGGTGATCCTCCTGCCTTGGCCTCCCCAAGTGCTAGGATTACAGGTGTGAGCCACCCGCGTTCGGTTCACTTAGCAGAATGTTTTCAAGATTCATCTGTGTTGTAGCATGTGTTACAACTTCATTTCCTGTTTGTTTGTTTGTTTGTTTGTTTTTTGAGATGGAGTCTCACTCTGTCACCCAGGCTGGAGTGTAGTGGTGCAATCTCAGCTCACTGCAACTTCTGCCTCTCAGGTTCAAGCGATTCTTGTGCCTCAGCCTCCTGAGTAGCTGGGATTACAGGTGCATGCCACCACAACAAGCTAATTTTTGTAGTTTTAGTAGAGGCGGGATTTCCCTATGTTGGCTGGGCTGGTCTCGAACTCCTGACCTCAAGTGATCTGCCCGCCTCAGCCTCCAAAAGATTACAGGCATGAGCCACCGTGCCCTGCCAACTTCATTTCCTTTTATCGCTGAATAATACTTGGTTGTGTGACTGTAACACAATTGTTTCTCCATGCCTCCATTGGTAGACATTTGTGTTGCTCCCACCTTTTGGCTGCTGTGGATAGTATTGCTATGAACATTCATGTAAAAGGTCTTGTTTGAATACCTGTTTTCAATGTTCTCTATACCTAGGAATTGCTGAATCATATGGTAATTCTATGTTTAATTCTTTAAGGAGCTGCCAAACTGTTTTCCACAGCGGCTGTGCCTTTTTACTTCCCCACTAGCCAAGTGTGAGGGTTCCAGTGTCTTCACATCCTTCCCAACACTTGTTCTGACATTTTTTTGGACACTGACATTTTTCATGTTCCGGCCAATTGTTTTGCAGAATGTCCCTCGATTTGGATTTATTTGTTTGTTTCCTCACAGATTCAGATTACACATATTTGACAGGAATATTACACAGATACTGCTGTGTCCATCTCAGTGTATCATGTGAGGAGGCAAACATATTAATTTCTACTACAGAACTAAGGAACAATTTTACTAAGAGATGTGGCTGCTAGGTGTATGTCTCTGCGTTTCATAAAACAACGCAGGCATACTCTAAATAAATTGTTTCCTAGTTTTCCATAATAGTTGCTACTTGTCCTCTTCTGCTTGCCTTTTGTTAGCACTTGCAGGCAGATAAGCAGTTGCAGGTACTAATGTTCATGGGAGAAAGGAGAAAATGAAGAAAATTTTCTTATCTTGACTTTTTTTCTTGCAAATTGGGAAAAAATAGTCATGATTTGATGTTTAAAAGGAGAAACCCTTATTCTAGCCCACAAGACAGTACTTCAGGGCCATCAGTAATAGGAGAGGAAAGGTTGCAGGGCCTCAACTTGAGGTCCTAAACAAAGGTTGTTCTCCTGGCTCTTATGCCCAAATGCCAATAATTACAGGCAAATTAGCTCCCAGAGTCCATCTCTACTGGATTGCATTTAAGATCAAGGTAGGGCCAGGCATGGTGGCTCATGCCTGTAATCCCACTACTTTGGGAGGCCAAAGTGAGGAAGATCATTTGAGGCCAGGATTTGAAGACCAGTCTGGGCAACACAGTAAGTCCAGTCTCTAAAAAAAAATTAGCTGGGCATGGTGATGCATGCCTGTAGTCCAAGCTACTCAGCAGGGTGGGGTGGGACGATTGCTTGAACCCAAGCAGTCGAGGCTGCAGTGAGCTGTGATCCCATCACTGCACTCCAGCCTGGGTCAAAGAGCAACACCATGTCTAAACAAACAAACAAATAAACAAATAAATACGTAAATAAAAGTTTTAAAAGGCCAAGGTGGTGTGACAAGCCTTGAGAAGCAGAGCTAGGGAAGCCCAGGAGACAACAGTGGAGCTCTGTTCATGGGATATATAGGAAGTATCTCCATAAACTAAAAAATATAAAGCTACCAATAATGATTGTCTCCTGCTTAGCTTTTTTTCTTTTCTCTTTGATTTTCTTCCTTTGTTTTTGGTTTTCCTTTGTTATGGTGAGAATGTGAGCAAAGAGGGTTGAGCAAAGGCTGGCCCTTCCCTAGCCAGTCCCTGTCTGCTTGCCACTCTCTTTCCTCCTCCCTGGAGGAGCGCTCAGCCTCACTCTCCACGCCCACCCCCAGCAGGTGACCTCTAGGAGCATTTACAGGGACAGCAGTGGCAGTACTTTTTGTTGAGTGCTAAGGACCAGGCGCTGGGCTAAACACTGTCTCATTTAATTCTGACCACAAACCCAAGAGGGCATTAGGATCTCCATTTTATAGAGCTGATGTTCAGAGAATTCCAGCAACTTTCCTCAGTTCACATGGCTAGTGAGCGGCTGAAGTGGGAATGGAACCTAGGTCTGGATGTCCCCAAAGCCTTATGAGCTTGGCCACTTGGCTGCCTTCCTATCTCTGCCTCCCAGTACCCCCAGGATTTTGCCTATTCACATCAGCCATCATGGGAGATGGGAAGCAGCTGCTTGTGGTTCCCTTGGGGGAGCAGCTGATAATCTCCAAATGGGCTGGTTTTCAGGCAGGGGAAGGAAGATTGCAGCTGGCGGCGGGGACAGGGTGCCAGCAGGGCCCAGGAGGTGGCTCAGAGGGAAGTCTCTGGAACAGCACTCTGAAAAGGGAAGGCATGGCGTTGCCACAGTGGGGCCACCAGCAGGCGTAGCCTCCAGGGAAAGCCCTAGCCTTGTCTGTCTTCCATAGTCCAAAGTCCAGGCTGCAAGAAGCAGTGGAGCCCCACTGTCTCAGGGCCCGCACCCCCTCCTTAGAATCTCTTTCCCTCCTGTTTTGAAGGTGATGGTGGAGACAGCTGAGGGTAAAGTGGTTCCCTGTGTGGCAATCAAAACCCTGTCCCTGCCCAGAGGGAAGTGGGCAAGGCAGTGGTCTCCACCTCTGGTTTCTCAGTCCTCCCTACCCTTATATCTGGATGAAGCCAAAGAGCTTTCAGCCTGTGGCCCCGGAGTAGGGCCACCTCTCTCCCTGCCCGTGACCTTCACATACTGGTCTTTCTGTGCTCTCCATGGCGCTGCTGTTATGGGTGTCTGAGGTGGCGGCTGTCCATGGGAGGCTGGCTGTCAGCGCTCTCCCTCTGGATTGGGGGACACTGTCCCCCTGGAGTGGAGGAGTCCACAGGGCTCCTTCCTCAACAATGTCCGGGGCCAAGCCTTTGGCATCTTCCTCAGGCCACGGCTGGCTTTGTTCTTCCAAGGTTAAGAAAGAGGAAGGGAGGTCTGCAAGGGCTTGCAGTAAATAACCATTCAAACTCAAAGCCCCGGAGGGACTGGCCCAGCACTAGCCTCCTAAAAAGATCTGAGAGGCACTCTATGTTTTCTTTTTTCTTTTTTTTTGAGACGGAGTTTCACTTTTGTTGCCCAGCGTGGAATGTAATAATCTCGGCTCACTGCAATCTCTGCCTCCCAGGTTCAGGTGATTCTCCTGCCTCAGCCTCCGAAGTAGCTGGGAATACAGGTGTGCACCACCACACCTGGCTAATTTTTGCATTTTTAGTAGAGATGGGGTTTCACCATGTTGGCCAGGCTGATCTCGAACTCCTTACCTCAGGTGATCCACCTGCCCCGGCCTCCCAAAGTGCTGGGATTACAGGCATGAGCCACCGCGCCCAGCCTTCTTTTTTCCTTTTTAAAGGCTGCTTGACGTTTATGGTTTTCTACTTGGTACAGGGCAAACAAAGCTGCTGGGAAGTTAAGAAGTGTGCACGCGACCTGCATAGCAAAGGAGATGGTTCTTGTCTTCATTTCCCATATTTTGTAATTTTCGTTGTTTTTATAAAAAGCATCTGTCTTCAGTTATGGAAGCCAGCCAAGTCTATGGGGAAGACGGCGGGGGTGGAGGAGGGAGGTGGTGGGCTCTGCCTCCTAGTGTATTTGGAAGTATAGGATGAGGGGGTTGGATGGCAGAAAGGGCCCCTGCCACTTAGAAGAGGTTTTTGCCTGGCTTGATGCCTGGTTACTTCCTCATGGTTTTTGAGCCAGACGAAAAGAAATGGTGCTGAGAGTGGCCTGGGTGATTCTGAGTGCCCAAGGACTCCAATACAGTAGTCCTGGATGGGAGAGTGGATTTCTTGAAGAAGATGCCCCACTGGTGGCTTGGCTCAGCCTAGGGAAGACCTGGACAAGGGTGCATATATGTGGCAGTGGAAGTGAGAAAATCCAGATGCTGTAGGCAGTAAGTACGTGTGGCTCTGAGGAGGGGATGGCTGCCATGTTTCTGACCTGGCTTAAGTGGAGGGTTGCCAGGCCGCCAGACCCACCACAGAGGAGAACACAGTTGGGTACCTCATCACCAAGAGTGCTCAAGGACCCCAGGTTGAGCTGCATCTTGACAGGCCAGTGTCCATGAGGAAGGGAGGATGGGCATCAAGCCTCTACCCTGTGGGGTTTGCTCTCTCACTCACCATCCAATAAACATTCAGTAAGCACCCAATTTATGCCAAACACAGCTGGGCACTGGGGATCCAGAAGTGAATAGGGCCGTGCCCACCCTCGAGAGCCCGAAGTCTAGAGGGGGAGACGGAGAAGTAAACACAATTGCAGCACAGGTAAGGGATGTGACAATAGAAGAATACAGAAGGTGCCATGGGAGCCCTGAGGCATGGCTGCTAGGGAAGCCTGGGCTGAGACACAGGGGCTGGAGGTCTGAGCTTCTGGGCTCTGCCTGACTCAAAAGCCAGCCAACTGCTGCCCTGAGTGGGAAAAGGACCAGCGAGGAAGGAGGTGGGCGGCACTGAATATTCCTGACAACACATGGCCAAGCTGAGAAAGCAGGCACCACCCCAATATCTGCACGGAGCTGTCCTGCAGAGGGAGGTGAGGAGAGGCAGCTGCTCTGTAGCCACCCTAACTGATTTAAATGCAACATCTAGGATCTTAGAGCAGCTACTCCAGGCCATGGAATCCCCACAGTCAGTAACCCAGCAACATGATTCTGGGAAGAAAATCAGAACTCCCAGGTCAAAGGGGAAGTGAGATTTGAAACATGAACAGTAGGAACTGGTCCCAGTCCCCCAAAATTCATTAGTTTTCTGAGTCAGACTCCAAATGCCCCAAGAGTCAGGGCTTCTAGAGCAACAGCAGACGTAGCCACCATCACCACCAGCACCACTATTCAGAGCCCAGAGGATGCCGGACACCTTCCTAGTGGGTTCCAGGCACAGACACAATAACCACTGCCATGCGGCAGCTCCAGAAGCCGGCCAGAGCATGCACTCTGCCTGCAAAGGGTGTGGGCTGACCATCATCTCATCCATAGGTGCTTCCTGGGCAGAAGAGCAGAATTTGATTAGGATGGTGGAAGTCTACAAAAAAGAAAGCATGGGAACCAGTCCCTGAAGAGGAGCTAGGAAGAAAGATGGCCCCCTGATCTGGGGAGGCAGCATTTTCTCTCCAGCTGCTCTTGTATGAATATACCTGTGCAGCACTGGGTTTGGGGGAGAAGGGACATTCAATAACACCTGAAAAGTACTGTCCCCTAGGAAGGGCAATCAGGACACAGGGAGATTCATCCTTAGATCCAGCTCTAGGTCTTGAAGAAAGAAAACAGTCCCCAAAATGATTCATTCATCCTTAAATAGTTCACTGAGGCAGAAATTGTTTCTCCTTTAGAGGAGAAAGATTAAGGTCAGAGAGACAGATACATTGGCTTAGGGTCACACAGTAAGTTGGTGCCAAAAAGATGCTGAGCCTCTTGTCTTTCAGTGTGCTATTTCTAGAGCCTCTGATTTTTTATGAGTCTACTGTAGGGCCAAGAAGGGGCTCTATTCTAATTTGGGGTGGTGCTAGCTTGGCCACCCACGTCTTCTGACCTTGAATGAAGCATTTTTACCAAGGTAAATGGGTCTGTGGAGCCAAACTCTCTCCTGGCTGAGATCTCTCAAAGTCGTTTGTCCGATAAAAGGGGGGTAGGGTGGAGGTAGGGGGTAGGGAAGCTCGAGAAAAAAAAAATGACCAGGAACACAAGTGTAACAGATGCACCCAGCTGTTGTCACTGGCGAGCACAGACAAGGGTGAGGTACCAATGGCTCCAAGGGAGACAGTCTCGGCAGATAAAGGAAGTCAGAGTGACGACCTAAAGTCCCTGAAATGCTAGTGCTGGCTCCGAGGATGTCACGTCACTGGCCTGGCACACTCAGTGAGCACAGAGACTTCACTGATACTTGCCCCTAAGTGGGGAGTCTCTTAGTACATCCCCCAGCACTGGTAGAGTGGTAAGGGATTTTCTTGTGTTTTTCCCTAACCTCCAGCTGAAGCAGAACCTAGACTATGGGAACTTGGGTTGACTGGTTAACTACTAATACTGCCCATACCCCAGCTATAGCAGCAGCCATCTGTGCTGAGGACTTCCCCCAGCGGCACTGTGGTTCAGTAGAAAGGTCACCAGACCAAGCCTGCTAACCAGCTGTTGGACCTTGGACAAAACATTTAACATCTCTGTGCTTTAGTTTTCTACATTTTATAGACATAAACACAGATGCTGGACAAGATGTCTTCTAAAATTTTTTTCCAGTTTTACAACTGAGCATTTGATAGGAGCACAAGTTTCATTTTCCCCAGGAGTAGGATGGCTGAGTGCGCTGTCATCACCACCCTATGGGATTTCTCTCATTTGTCCCAACAGGCCAGCACTTATGGGCTTTGTGTCTGCACCTCACCCCACGGGCCCTGTGAAACCTTTCCAGCAAATGGCTTAGATGTCTGTTCTGCTCCCTCCCCTAGGAAACATATTTTAGACTCAATTCTTCCCTCCTGCAAGTCTGAACTTTAGGTCTCCAGCTGAAGTGGGCAAGGATGGTGGGCTCCAGAAGCAGCAGCTCTGGTGTGGTAGGAGCCAGAAGAGGAGGTGAATGGGGGAAGGATGTCCCTATGTTCTCACACCCCAGGACCTCCAGGACTCTCTAGCCAGGAAACAGGGTCGAGCTGGCATTGCATGATCTGGTTCAGCTCAATTCTCAGCTTCAGCAGTCTTTCTGCCACCCCTGATCACACTGGGTTGGATTTGTGGGGGAGGGAGTCAAGGCCTGCAGACATGAACATACATGCTTAGGTCGGTCAAGTCAACAATGAACGGCAGAGTGGGATGGGAATCCAGGTGTCCGGAGTCCCAGCCCAATACTTTTTCCACCCCAAGCAGAAGATTCTGAAAGGACCCCTGGCCCTCCGGCCCAACACGGGGTCCTGTTTAAAGACACTGGTGATTGCCAGGCTCCAGGGGTGAAGTCTGGTCCTGAGAAGGGTGGCAGGGAGGGGACAAAGTTTGGGGCAGTGCTGGGATGGGAAAGACATCTGCACCTGGAGGCCATTCTTCCTAGACTTTGGGGGGGTGGAGGTGGGGGTAGATGAGGCCTGCAAAAGGAAGAGATGATGCCAGTAACCCATCCTCTCTGAGGTGGTGGAGAGAGAGGTTTGGGTTTTTCCTTCCTCTTCTTTCTTTGCCAGCCGGGCCTCCAGGCCCCCAGGCCTGAAAGTCAGCCGCCACCCCCGACCCCCATCATGAATGTGTCAGTGGGTCCGCCTTGGGCCAACAGGCTCCCTCAAACCCACATTTCTAGCCTAACACAGACCCTCCTCCGACGCCCCGAGAATACCCATCAGTCTTTACTGATTCCCTGGCATACCCTCCTCCCTACAACGCCCCCTGCAGACGCGGCGTCCCCGGGGTGTCCCTCCCCAGGATAAATTCCCCCAAAGTGCCGTCAGCCCAGAAAACTCGGCAGTGCGGCTCCCGCGCGTGGGGCACCCCGGGCCACCCTTCCACCCCGCGGGGGGACCCCGCCGCCCAGGTGCCCTCGACCCCGAGACTCACCCAGAAGAGCATGTTGAAGAAGAAGAGCAGGTATTTCACCAGCGGGCTGACGAAGGAGAACTCCTCCCCGGAGGCGGCCGGCGCCCGGGGTCTCCGCGCCATGGCCCCGCCGCCGCCACCGCCCCCGGGGGCCTATTTCCCAGCGGCTGCCGGCCGGCCTGTGTGCCCCGCGCCCGGGGGCATGAGCCGAGCCGCGCCGCGCAGGAGCCCGGCCGGCGGGGGAGCCTGCGCTGCGGCGGGAGGCGCCCGAGCCGGGGGGCCGGGAGCGGCGCGGGCCGGGGAACCGCGCCTGGAGCTGCTGGAGCCGCGGTGGGCAGCGCGAGCGGACGAGACTCACCCGCGGCCGCAGGACCAGCCCGGCCAGCCAGGCGCCCAGGAAACCCGGCCCGCCCCCGGCCGCTCATTGGCGCGACGGCTGGAGCCCGACTTCCCATTGGCTCGTGGCTGATGTCACTAAGTATCCAGCCATCCCTCTCCACCGAGAGTCGGGGGAGACACCTGTTCTGTGAGGGATAACTTGTTAAAGGGTCAGCGGTTCTGCCTCTCCCCTACCCCTAAGGGAAAGCATCCAGGCTGCAGCTGCTCAAAGGAACAAGAGTGAGGAGAAGGAATGCACAGTGCATCCCACACCCACGTCCTCCGCCCAGCTGCTGTGCACATATGCAAACACACATACATTAAAATCAACAAGTACGCACACCGTGTGTTGAGCAATGCGCCGAAAGCTCTGGGAACGCGGGAGAACAGAAACAATCCCTGGGGGATGACAATAAAATCAGGGAGACAAAACTAACCTACACATAACAATTAGACCAAGGGTAGATGCAATCTTGTTTAGTAACTATACATTTTAAATGCTTATTTCAGAAGCTCTACAACCCAACAGTGGAAATTTGGAAACATCACCGCCAATCCCGCCATCCTAATTCATTGCTGTCTCAATTCCCGCCCCCGCAGCCCCTCTTCCCTTGGTCTACTTGCAGACACCGTTTTTAACATGCTGATCCGGCACACACAGGTTGAGTGCAGCGTAGCTGGCGAATATATTATGCTGGCTACCCTAACTAATACAAGTTGAACCTCGGGGAGGGAATCTGATTCCACCATAATTAGCTGCGTGAAAGCTGCAAGCTACTTAATCTCTCGGAGCCTCAGTTTGTTTAATGTTAAATGGGAGAGTCCTGACCTAGATGGCGATTTGAGGATTAAATGAGATAATGCATGTAGCTCACTTAGCACATGGCTGGCACATGGAAGGCTCATCAAAGGCATTACAGTATTTCGTTTTAGCAGAATTAAGAATCCAGTGTGGAAATATGATAACCGCACAAATAATTATAATACGTTTGGTAGAAGGTTAGTGAAGATAGCGTGGCAAGTGAAATTAGGGGAGGATGGGATTTAGAATAGTAGAGACGGAGGGGAAACATAATCCAGGTGGATTAAAAAAAAAGGGGGTGAACCAAAGCCTGGAGGTGCAAAAGCACGCCATGTGTTTCGTGCAAAATAAGCAGACTGCTGTGGCTGGAGCACAGGGTATGCTTGGAATAGCAGTGGGACATAATGCTGACCGATGCCGTTACATGTGGAATTGTGTTAAAACTGCGGAAGTAATTGAATATCAGATTGGGGAGTTAGTGCTTAATTGACTTGGAAATAAGAGTTTTGGAGAAAAGGATGATGGAAAACCCATGGTTTTCAGTTGGAGTGGGAAAGAGGCTGGAGAGAGAAAGATTTGTTAGAAGCATGCTGCTCATCATCCAGATAATCAGAAATCAGGAACTGATTTAGGAGTAATAGACAGAATAATAGATGGTTAGGAGAGGATAGAAGGGAAGGCATTGGAAAGATAGAATCTCTAGGGCTAGGCTGTGGTGACAAGCAGGCATAACAGGAGCACCAAGAGTGGAGGTTAAAGAAGGCAGTCACAGCCAGGTTACTGGGAGATTACTGGCCCTTAACAGGTTAAGTGACACTGGAGATCAGTTTTAGTATAAAGCAGGTAGGGTGGGCAGAAGTCATTTTCCAAGAGGTTAATGAGTGAATAGGTAGGTGCCATTTTCAGATGTTAGTGCGGGGAGGATAGAGAAATAGACCAAGATGCTGAATGTTTCTATTAGATGATCTTCCAGAAATCAGTTTTATTTTTTTGAAACGGAGTCTCACTCTGTCGCCCAGGCTGGAGTGCAGTGGCCTGATCTCAGCTCACTGCAACCTCCGCCTCCCTGGTTCAAGCGATTCTCCTGCCTCAGTCTCCCAAGTAGCTGGGATTACAGGCGCCCGCCACCATGCCTGGCTAGTTTTTGTATTTTTAGTAGAGATGGGGTCTCACCATGCTGGCCAGGATGGTCTGAACTCCTGACCTTAGGTGATCCACCTGCATGGGCCTCCCAAAGTGCTGGGATTACAGGCATGAGCCACTGTGCCCAGCCAAGAGATCATTTTTAATTGAGACGGGAAGAAGAAGGAATATCACAGTGTCAAGGAAGGAATGGGTGGTGAAATGGAAGCTGTGAACGAAACTGTGGACATCTCTGTCTGGCTTTGAAGGTTATGGGAGCCTTAAGGGACTTCAGAGTGAAGGGAAAGTTCTCTGTTAGCATATAAGAGACCTAACATGTTCGTAGGAAACAAAACAAAACAAAACAAAACAAAACAGTCAAGAGGGATTAAGGTGGATAATGGCTGGAATGAGGTTTTGGAATTAACAGGTAGAGATGGGATTAGCCTTCAAAGTGATGACCACAATGTCCCTCATGTGGAAGTCACGGACGGCATCACAAAGTAGGAAGCCATGCAGCTATAGAACAAAGAATTAGGAAACTCTCTCTGTACTGAGTTGGAACGATCTCCAAGTTAACTCATTACGTTTAAAAAGCAAAATGAGGCCGGGGTGGCTCATGCCTGTAATCCCAGCACTTTGGGAGGCCGAGGCAGCCAGATCACGAGGTCAGGAGATCAAGACCATCCTGGCTAACACGGTGAAACCCTGTCTCTACTAAAAATACAAAAAAATTAGCCGGGTGTGGTGGCGGGCACCTGTAGTCCCAGCTACTCGGGAGGCTGAGGAAGGAGAATGGCATGAACCTGGGAGGCGAAGGTTGCAGTGAGCCGAGATCGCACCACTGCACTCCAGCCTGGGCGGCAGAGCAAGACTCCGTCTCAAAAAAAAAAAAAAAAAAAAAGCAACAAGTGGGACAGTGGATACAATATATCACATTCTGGTTAAAGAGAAAGAGAGAAAACAAAAATAAGGAATAACATTTATATTTGCTTCCCTCTGCCTAAATAAACTCTGGAAGGAAACGTAAGACATTAAGAAAGGAGGTTACATACTGGGATGGTGATGAGAACTGAAAAGAGAGGAGAGAGACTTTTCACTGTGTGCCATTTTATTCTTTGTTTTTTTTTTGTTTTTTTTTCTTTGCAGCATAAAGTGTATTAATGATTCAAAATGAAAAAATTACACAAATTGAAAAATCAAAAAGAATTTAAAAATTGGAAAAATGTATCTTTACTATAGAATGCTACGCAGCCATTTAAAATAACATAGAAAACATATGTACTGACTTGCAAAAAGGTCCATGACATATGAGGTGCAAAAATCAGGTTGTAGAATAAAGTATACAGAGTATCTGACAATCAGTGAATAGTTTCAACTTATTTCAAGTCCTTGGAAAAGGTATTCAGTTCTTTGGAATACATAATGTGGCCATTTAAAATGGAATTCAATGGAAAAGGTATTTCAGTTATGTGGAATATATAATGTGGCCATTTAAAATGGAATTCAAAGCAGAAGTGGTGGCTCATGCCTGTAATCCCAGCACTTTGGGAGGCCAAGGTGGGCAGCTGACTTGAGGCCAGGAGTTTGAGACCAGCCTGGCCAACATGGCAAAACTCTATCCCTACTAAAAATACAAAACTTCGCTGGGCGTGGTGGTGTGCACCTGTAATCTCAACTACTTGGGAGGCCGAAGCACAAGAACTGCTTGAACCCAGGAGGTGGAGGTTGCAGTGAGCCAAGATTGCACCACTGCACTCCAGCCAGGGTGACAGAAATTCTGTCTCCAAAAACACACACAAAAAAAACAAAAGAAAACAAACAAACAAAAAATGGAACCCAAAAAACTTATGTAATAGTATGTAAGATTTTAACAATATAAACATATTCACAGTAAGAAATATGGGCCAATTTCAACAGAGATGAAAAAATATAAAAGTAAAATCAGCTGTGTTGTTGTGACGGGACATGTAGCAATTTTTAGCTTAAAAATATATTTAATATTATTACATATGATTATGAAAATAATTAAAATATTTGAATGGTATCTCTGTAAAGAAAGAGGGTCATGTTGCTGGAGCTAACATTGGCAAGAAGGTATGTGAAGAGAGAAGCAGTGACACGGTGTAGACGAGGAGCTTTAGGAAAGGGGAGTTCTGGGTAGAGCAAGGCAGGAGACTCCAGGCAAGACGGGTCAGCAGCAGTGATGGCTCAGCTCGTGTGGCTGATGACTGTGGGGATCCCAGTTGGCCAGGCTGGTGATTTCCTTCAAAAAGCATGTAGACCAGGCGTGGTGGCTCAAACCTGTAATCCCAGCACTTTGGGAGGTTGAGGTGGGTGGATCACGAGGTCAGGAGTCGAGATCAACCTGACCAACATGGTGAAACCCTGTCTCTATTAAACATACAAAAATTAGCTGGGCGTGGTGGTGCACGCCTGTAATCCCAGCTACTCAGGAGGCTGAGGCAGGAGAATCGCTTGAACCTGGGAGGCGGAGGTTGCAGTGAGCCGAGATCAGGCCACTGTGCTCAAGCCTGGGCGACAGAGCAAGACTCTGTCTCAAAAAAAAGGAAAAAAGAAAAAAGCATGTAGTAGCCTGGAGAGCCCACGGTGAGAACTACAAATGTTGGAAACTGCAAAGAGGTAAGTGATTCTGGGCTGCACCATTTGAAATGCACCGTCGAAAAGCCCATCTGTGGGATCTAGGATTATTAGAGAACTAACTGCTGGTATGTAACTCTGGAAGGATTGGAAGGTTTGTCTGCACCATTCTCTCTGTTTAGCAAGTTTTCCTTCTTTTTTTTTTTTTTTTTGTATTTTAACTTTTCATTGACATGTAATATATCTACAAAATGCAGCATTCTCTTTTATGTACGTGCTTTTTTTTTTTTTTTTTTTTTTTTTGAGAGGGAGTCTCGCTCTGTCGCCCAGGCTGGAGTGCAGTGGCGTCATCTCGGCTCACTGCAAGCTCCGCCTCCTGGGTTCACACCATTCTCCTGTCTCAGCCTCCCGAGTAGCCGGGACTACAGTTACCTGCCACCATGCCCGGCTAATTTTGTTTTTGTATTTTTAGTAGAGACAGGGTTTCACCGTGTTAGCCAGGATGGTCTCGATCTCCTGACCTCGTGATCCTCCCGCCTCAGCCTCCCAAAGTGCTGGGATTATAGGCATAAGCCATTGAGTCCGACCTTATGTGCTTCTTTCTATCTTTTATATATGTCCTTTTAAAATCTGAGATCAGTACAAAACTATATGTCCAGAGCCATCACAATTTTGTAAAATAAAAAGAATTATATATTTTAAAACACAATGTTGTATACCATAAATATATATAATTTTTGTGTCAATAAAAAATAAAGAAAATAATTGGTTTATAAATGTATAGAAGGAAAGGCATCATAATATAAATAATGATTATCTCTGCGTGGTAGGATATTTGTTGCTCTCTATTTGTGTTACTTTTCCTTTTCCCCAGATTTTCTTTAGTGAATATGTTTTATTTTTATTTTTTTGAATATGTTTTATTTTTATTGGCAAGAAAAATTTTTGTAGTTCTTGTTTTCTCTTTTGGTTAGAAATGTTTTCAAATGCACAGAAAAGTAGAAATCCAGAAACATCTACAGTATTCCCATTACCAAATTTTCCCATTTTCTCATGTTTCCTTCTTCCATTTTTGAGCTATCATGTCATTTAACCCATTAATTTCACTTTCATATCTAAAAATAATGACTTTTTATATAACTATGATAATGTTATCATTCCTGATAAGTTTAACAATAATTTCCTAATATAATTTTGTGCCCAGTTCATACTTAAATTTCCCCAATTGACCCCAGAATATCTTACAGCTGGTTTGTTCAAACCAGGATTTAATCAAGAACTAGTCATTGCACTTGGTATTATGTGGGGTTCTTTTTGAGAAACCTGACGTAATTAGAACTTCATAAGCAACATAATGTTTCATGAAGAAGGTGGCATTTGAAATCTGAGTCCTCAAGGATATGTCAGAATCGACATGGGTAGAGAAGTGAGGTCACTTTAGGAGCAGAGATCAAAGTGAGCAAATTCAGAGAGACAGAAAGGGGGCAGGTGTGTTTGGCTAGTGGCAAGTAGCCCCATGTATTTGGATCAAAGGGGAGAGAATAAGGTGGGATACAATTAGTAAAATAAATTAGAAACAGATCATGGAGGGCCTTGAGGATTGTTTCCAGTTCCAGTTCACTCTGTAGACAACTTGAGATTTCTAGTGAGCCCCGGTGATAACAACCCATCAGTCCATAATGCCTGTAGGACTCTGCCCGTGTTGCATTAGTATGTGTACCCCTGGCACCTAGCAGAGCATGGGACACAGGATGTATTCAGTGTTGAAAACATGGTGCTCGGCTAGGTGCGGTGGCTCACGCCTGTAATCCTAGCACTTTGGGAGGCTGAGGTAGGTGGATCACCTGAGGTCAGGAGTTCAAGACCAGCCAGACCAACATGGCGAAACCCCGTCTCTACTAAAAATCCAAATCTAGCCAGGTGTGATGGTGTGCCTGTAGTCCCAGCTACTTGGGAGGCTGAGGCAGGAGAATCGCTTGTACCCGGGAGGTGGAGGTTGCAGTGAGCTGAGATCGCGCCACTGCACTCCAGCCTGGGCAACAGAGCAAGACTCTATTTTAAAAGAAAAGAAAAAAAAAAAAAAGAAAACATGGTGCTGTTGAAGGATTTTTAGTTGGAGACTGACGTGTCAAAATCTCCTTTGGGAAGATTTAAAAAATTAGGTGGTAATGATGGTGACTAGAATAAGAATTTAGAGAAGAGAACTAGCAGAATGGGTTGCAGTAATTGAAGAGGAGGTGAGGCTTGGTTTCCCCAGATGGGGACACAGCCTAAGCAAAGATGAGCGGTTGGGAATGAGTTCAGGGTGGCATAATGACTACAGAGGAGAAAAAGCTTTGTGGTGTTTTGAGAAATAAGACTCCAAAAGATAGGGTCACGATAGTTTAGGGGGTCTAATATTGGTCATTTGCCTCTGTTGTTACTTAATAAATGACCTCTGATCATATTCAAATTCAAGATTTGGGGTTTTAAAAATTGTTTCTACTTATTTTTTTTTCATATAAGAATCACTTTTAGTTCAATAAGAAAGACAAAATTAGATAAGAGTATTCTGAGTCTAAAAAGAATTAATAACTCAGGAGAGCCTAAACTAAGGGAATATTAAATCAGAAGTATATTGGATTGTGTTTACTTCAAATGTATTAGACAATTAGAATACGACACTGAGCACAATTGCATATGTGAAATGGGACTGTGATTGGCAGTGCTCAAAAAAGGAAGGGGGTAGGGATAGCATGACACATTTAGAGGAAGCTTAGCAAGTTTAGTTAAAATAAACTTAATAAAGAAAGCGGAACATTTGCTTCAACCTCACAGGAAATTGTGTGCTCTTATTGAAGCTTGACAGTTTGTTTCCTCTTCAAAAAGAGTTTGGACCCTTCTTGATGATAATCAAGTTAAGTTGGTAGGTGTGGGGATTGGTGTTAAACTAAAAAGGAAAAAAAAAAACTAGTTACATTTACCTTGCTGTCCAGTAAATGATTCAAACTTGTTTGAATTATTTATTGGTGGTTCTTAAGATTTTCTGAGCTCAGGGATTGTTTGGTGAGTTTGTTGAAAGAGCAGATTTCCAGGCCCTAGCCCCAGTGATTCTGATTCTCGGTTGAGAGGTTAGGTTGAGCAAACAAGCACACTGAAAATTTACCTTCTCTAACAAGCAGCCTGTGTAATTCTGATGTGGATCATCTATGGACAATACTTTTGAAAAACATCTCTAAAGGATCTAGTATCTTTCCTTAGGTAAGCATAGGGCTTGCACAATTAAAAAATAAGTTCTAGTTTAAATTTTTTTTTGTTTTGCTTTATTTTGCTTTTTTGAGACAGGTCTCACTCTGTCGCCCTGCCTGGAGTGCAGTGGCACAATCTTGACTCACTACAACCTCTTCCTTCCAGGCTCAAGCAATCCTCCTGCCTCAGCCTCCTAAGTAGCTGGGACTACAGGCACATACCACCATGCCCAGCTGAATATATATATATGTATATATACACACACATATATATACACACACATATATAAATATACCATATATATAACACATATATAATATAAAAATATATATTATATATATATATTTTTTTGGGGGGGTGGGGGGGTAGAGATGGAGTTTTGCCATGTTGCCCAGGCTGGTCTTGAACTCCTGGGCTCAAGCAATCGGCACCCTCTAAGGCTCCCAAAGTGCTGGGATTACAGGTGTGAGCCACTGCACCTGGCCAATCTTTTTTTTTTTTTTTCTTTTTTAAAAAAAGCTTGTTAGGACTATGTTCAGCTGCAAGTAACAGAAAAACAACCAACCATGGCTTAAACAAGTTTTGTTTTGTTTTTATTTGCTTTTTGTCTCAGGCAACAAGAAGTCTGGGGACAGACTGTTCAGGGCTGATCCTTTGCACTCAAAGACTTACTAAAGTCCTCAAGGAGCCAGGAGCCAGGCTCCTTCTATTTTTCTGCTACCCCATCTTAGGGAGCAAACTTCATTCTCATGGTCACAAGGTAGCTGCTGCACATCCAAACATCACACTCACATTCCAGGCAAGGAAAGAGAGAAGCAAAAGTTACACGCCAGACACATTTGTCCCTTTTACAAAATATTCACAGATGCTTTACCAGTAACTTGTGCTAATATCTCATTGGCTAGAACTGGGCCACATCATCACCTCTGAGTAAATATTGCTAACTGAAGGTACTACTCCCCTGAAGGAAAAAAAAGTGGGGTTCTATTAAGAAAGAAGGGCAGAAATGATATGAGTAGGAAACTAGAATGTCTGCCCCAAATTGTTTATTTTATTTTATTTATTTTTTTGAGATGGAGTCTCTCTCTGTTGCCCAGGCTGGAGTGCAGTGGAACGATCTGGGCTCACTGCAACCTCTGCCTCCCGGGTTCAAGTGATTCTCCTGCCTCAGCCTCCCTAGTAGCTGGGACTACAGGCGTGCGACATCACGCCTGACTAATTTTTGTATTTTTAGTAGAGACGGAGTTTCACCACATTAGCCAGGCTGGTCTCGAACTCCTGACCTCAGGCAATCCACTTGCCTCGGCCTCCCAAAGTGCTGGGATTACAGGTGTGAGCCACCACACCCGGCCCACAAAGTGTTTATTATATGTTAAAATGTCTATCAGAATATCTGTATGCATTATTTCAGATGCTTGTGTGAGCCTAATGTGTAAGTTAAGGTCCACAGAATTGGTTATAAATTCATTTAATAAATATGTATTTCTTGGCAAAAGCACACAACGATGAAGGAGCCACTGTCAGTACCCTTGAGAAGCTCACGATCTAACTGGGGAGTTAGACATGTGTATAACTGTAATGGAAGTTTTGGATGGTCTACCATATCCCTATGTACCCATAACTGCTCCATCCCCATCCATAGATGTGGTGGCTATTTTGTACCATGTGATCCTGCCCACCCACCATCCACTCCCTGAAGATAAGTCCTGATCTAAACTGGGCCAATGAATTCCTTCCCTCTCAAAACACAGAGATACTCACTCACTCTTTGTGTGGCTAAACCTCTAACAGATACACTTGGTAGCAGAGGGACACCCATGTTTTTTTGCCATGGGGACTAAAGAGTGAAATAGTTGATTTGCTGCAGGAGAATGAACCAGTCACCCAGGGAAGAGCACAGAGGAGAGAGACTTGGAGAGAAGAGTGTTTAATTCCTGGATTAATCCCTCAGGCCCAGCTGGCCACATGCAGTTTAGTCTGAAGAGTTTCCTTGTTATTCTTTTAATAGACTTCCTGTTAATCTAGTGTAAGTTAGTTTCTCTTTCTTTCAACCAAATAATTCTTATTATTACAATGGCAAACTATAGGATGCAATAAATAGTACAAGGAAAATATGAGCAAAGCTCTTTTGGAGCAGGAGGAAAAGAGAACTTGACATGGCTAGAAGGGAAGTGGGCCGGAATGAAAGGGAAGCGAAGTGCTGAAGAGGAGAGAGCAGTGGCATTTGAGCTGAGCTAGAGGAAGGAGGAGGATTTTGCTGAACAGAGAAGACAGGAAAGTGCATGGTGATCCAGAGGGGTGCAAACGTATGGTCAACAGGAGGCAGCCAGTGGTCCATGCGTAAGGCCTATGAAAGGAGTGGCAGATGAGGCTACCCACGGAGACTGGCACCCAACCATGCCTGAGGATAAGATTAAGCATGTCTGTTCTTGTCAGCATGGTTATACCTGTTTAAGTATGTCATATAGCAAAAGTTATGCTAAATAAGGCAGCAAAATAAAAGATCAGAGGAACTTGAAATAATAGGCAGAGTCAACGTGAAACAACTGAAACAAGTAATTTAAACAAAAGAATGGGCTTAAGTAGGAAAAGATGATTTTTAAAAAACTTTATAGGCCAGGCACGGTGGCTTACACCTGTAATCCCAGCACTTGGGGAGGCTGAGGTGGGTGGATCACCTGAGGTCAGGAGTTCAAGACCAGCCTGGCCAACATGACAAAACTCCGTCTCTACTAAAAATACAAAAATTAGTCAGGCGTGGTGGTGCATGCCTGCAATCCCAGCTAATCGGGAGGCTGAGGCAGGAGAATCGCCTGAACCCGGGAGGTGGAGGTTGTAGTGAGCTGAGATGGCGCCACTGCACTCTAGCCTGGGTGACACAGCGAGACTCCATCTCAAAAACAAACAAAACAGTTTATGTCATGGAATCAAATATATATGAGGTAAAGATAATAATAGTACAACAAAGGCCCATGAACCCAACCCCCAGCTACAATAGTCATCGACTTGTAGCCATTCTTATTTCATCACCACTCGCACTTACTGCCCCCACCACAGGACTATTTTGAAGTAAATCCATGGCATATCATTTCCAAAGTGATGATATTTTTGAATTATGTATTTACTAGTCATCATTATTACATTCTTATAAATTTACATCTAGGCAGAATTCCAGGCATTTTCCTTGCACTGCGAGTTTTCATAACACATATTACACATGATAGAAACGAGTAATTATGAAAACTTTGGAAACTTTCCTCTATAGCAGTGGTTCCCTACTAAAGGTGATTTTGCCTCCTAGAGACATTTGGCAATGTCTGGAAACATCTTTGGTTGTCACAGCTAGTGGGTGCTACTGGTACCTAGTGTCTAGGAGCCACGGCTACTGCTAAATGAAGCCAGGACAAGGATTAGGTGAGTGAGGTACCCAGGGCCCAAAGCTAGCTGTCTCACTCAACTCACCCTAGTCTCAGCACTGCTGCTAAACATTCTACGGTGCACAGGACAGCACCCCACCACAAAGTCTTACGTTATGTCAACCTAAATAGCAAACAGAAAGGGAGACTCTCCAAAAGAAAATCATTTTATTGGGGAAGAGGCATTGCAATAAGAATACACGTGCCATAGTAACTGAGGCATATTCAGGGAGGTAAAGGAAGATAAAGGTTTTTAAAGGAAAAGTGAGAAGGATTACATAATTGTTTTGAGATAATTATTCTCAGCTACATGGATCAATAACAAGGGAGGCTGGATGGTCAGTTGCTGTGCAGATGTACATCCTTGCAGAAGTATTTTTCTGTGTAAAGTTGAGATGGCCTTTGTGCAAGGTTGTGGTTTTGTAGAGTTTTTTGTAATAGTTCTTATTATCAGGGATTCATGCATGAGAACCCTTCCTTCATGGACTTTGCCACTCTATTTGCCAGGGTTTTTAACATAAGTGGCTCCATTTTGATTCTTTCGTAGTTAATAATGCCAAGATTGAGAAATTCTGCTCCATAGTATACCAAGGAAACTTTATTCAGCCTAAGCCACCTTTGGGTCCAGACTTCAAGTTAACTAACCAAACAAACTATCAGAACCATTTCTAACAACTTGAGCTAACAATATGAAGTCCAGAATCTCTGCTTAGTGAGCTCATAGCAATCCATTTAGCCTGGCCCCACTTTATATTTCTTTCACCCTGATCCCATACTCTGAGGACCCAATCCCACACATATTCTCCAGAATGATATAAATTGGTTGATATAAATTGGTATATGCGAGAGGTTCTGCATCTGTAAACTGTTTTCAGTCCGGGAATTGGTTGACATAAATTGGTAAAACAATGTAATTCTTCAACATGTGTTTTGTCTCTTCACAGGTTACACTTTGTACCTCATTCTGAGGGACCTGCTATAAGCTAAATCACATAGGTCTAGGAGCAATGAAAGTAGTAGATATCAGTCCTAAGGGGACCTGCAGCCCCTTGCAAAGTGTCTACCTCTGGGGAAGACCATTAAGGGTTCTTCAGGCAAGGGGAGTCCGTCACAAACTCCTAATGGAATGACACAGGAAAAAGAAATAAAAAATATTGAAGTATAATTGAATTTTGCATTTCAAGTATGATCAGTTCATTACAGATATGATTTTGTTAAATAAAAATAGATGAAATTGGCTGGGCGCAGTGGCTCATGCCTGTAATCCCAGCACTTTGGGAGGCTGAGGTGGGCAGATCACGAGGTCAGGAGATCAAGACCATCATGATCTTCATCATGGTGAAACCCCATCTCTACTAAAAATACAAAAATTAACTGGGCGTGACGGCGGGGGCCTGTAATTCCAGCTACTTGGGAGGCTGAGGCAGGAGAATTGCTTGAATCTGGGAGGCAGAGGTTACAGTGAGCAGAGATCATGCCACTGCACTCCAGCCTGGAGACAGAGCTAGACTCTGTCTAAAAACAAACAACAAAAAATAAAGATGAAATTTGTCTCTTGTTGAAAGAGGTCGGATATAATTGGGTTTCATAGACTACATTACCTCTATTATTAAATTCATGTATTTGTGATAGTACTTGCAGGGGGTAGAAATTACCTCTGGCAATTTTGACTAAGATTAGTCTTGGATTTTATGTCACCTTGATTATAGGAGAATTGTGACTCACCTTTTCAAGGTGATGTATTTGTAATAGGATACTATTCTCGGTGGTACTGTGTGTGGATACTCACCGTGGATAAAAACCTGTGATAATAGATTTAATCTGTGAAAAGAATTTGGATCCTTGCATCCAGAATGAAGTTATGCTTACAGGAGTGTTCAAACACAGCACAGCAAACAAGCTGTGAGCACCCATTTCATGTCAGGCATTGTACCAAGGGCCGGGGTACAAACGTGAATGAGGCAGCCTGTGCTCGCTTTGGCAGCACATACACTGAAATTGAACAACACAGCCTTAGCCCTGACCTAAGGAGCATGCGATCTAGCCACAAGCCTAGCTACATTGTTTGGATTCAAAACACAAGTGACTTCTGCTTTACCAATAATGTCCAGAATGTAAATTTGAAAAGAATCATGATAATTCCAGAAACAACATACCAACACCTTTTTAAATAGAAAAAAAATTACTTCAAACTATTGTACAATTAGGACATATTCATCATAAAAATATATAAACAATAAAAAAGGAAGAAAATGAAAATCACTGCCACTGCCTTCCAGAGTTTTCTCTGGGCACATGCATACACATATACAAACACGTATTTTTCACAAAAAATAAGCCTGACATTTAATGTTTCCAGAGACCTAAACAACATCACGAACAATGTCTGAAGTTTTTATTTTTTATTTTATTTATTTATATTTTTTGAGACAGTCTTGCTCTTGTCACCCAGGCTGGAGTGCATGGCGCGATCTCAGCTCACTGCAGCCTCCACCTCCTGAGTTCAAGCGATTCTTTTGTCTCAGCCTCCTGAGTAGCTGGGATTACAGGTGCCCGCCACGACACTTGGCTAATTTTTGTATGTTTAATAGAAATGGGGGTTTCACCATGTTGGCCAGGCTGGTCTTGAACTCCTGACCTCAGGTGATCTGCCGGCCTCAGCCACCCAAAGTGCTGGGATTACAGGCATGAGCCACTGGGCCCAGCCAATCTCTGGAGTTTTTAAAGAACAGGGAAAGAATTCTGTGATTGCTATTTGAACAATTCTCTGATAATCCTGCTAATTTTATTTACGTAGCTATTTTGAGGTTAATTCGTAGTGAGCATTAAAGTTGTAAGCGTCCACTTTGATGCTGAATTTGATGTGTTCATCAGGGTATGTTTTGCCTGATGGTTTGAGAGAAGGCAAGCCTGAAAACCAAAGGAAAAGGAAGAATAAAGTGATCTTAAAACAATCTTGAATAGATATTAAGAAGCAGCAAAGATAAGTCATTCACAAAAACTTGGTTAAACTAAAAAGTGGTCAAATCAGCCTGGTTTGTCTGATAGTGCTAAAGCTGGGGCAGTCTGGGATAAACTGGGATGACTGGCCATCCTAGACAGAGCCTGGGGTGTTGCGGAATACATGCTATATGCACCTTATTACTGCCTAAACCTGAAACGTTCTTCATTCTGAAACCCATGTCTCCAAGGGACCTGGATGTACACAGGCTATCTCTGGAAGGAGACAAAGGCCCCAGCCACAGCCTCTGGGGAAGGAAACTGGTGGCTGGAAAGCAGGGATAGGAGAGAGAGTTTTCACTGCATATCCTTTTGCCTCTTTTGACTGTAAACCATGTGAATGACCAGCTACTCAAACAACAAATACAGGCCAGGCGCAGTGGCCCATGCCTGTAATCCCAGCACTTTGGGAGGCTGAAGCAGGTGGATCACCTGAGTTCAGGAGTTTGAGACCAGCCTGGCCAAACTGGTGAAACCCTGTCTCTACTAAAAATACAAAAATTAGCTGGGCATGGTGCCAGGCACCTGTAATCCCAGCTACTTGGGCGGCTGAGGCAGGAGAATCACTTGAACCTGGGAGGCGGAGGTTGCAGTGAGCCCAGATCGCACCATTGCACTCCAGCCTGGATGACAGAGTGAGACTCCGTCTCAACAACAACAACAACAACAACAACACAAAAAACAAAAAACAATACAGAAATTATTGGGGAAAATAAGTGGTAAGCATTCATTTGGTGTCTTTATGCATCTAGTACCATTAAGTTTCCTGGCTATTTATCATATAAGATCTTTGGTTTCCAGTATCACTTTAAGTTGCTCCCCTACCTTTTTGGGCAGGTATATAATATTACTATGAGATTAATTGCTCCTCCCACCAAATACGTAACCCCAGTGTGATGGTATTTGGAGATGGGCCTTTGGGAGAAAATTGGGTTTAGATGAGGTCATGAGGATAGGGCCCTTATGATAGAATTAGTGTCTTTATAAGAAGAGGCCAGTGCAATGGCTCATGCCTGTAATCCCAGCAATTTGGGAGGCTGAGACAGGAGGATCATTTGAGGCCAGGAATTTGAGACCAGCCTGGGTAACATGGCAAGACCCTGTCTCAGCAAAAAGTAAAATAAAAAATTACTTGGGTGTGGTGGCACGTGCCTATAGTCCTGGTTACTCAGGAGGCTGAGGTGGGGGAATCACTTGAGCCCAGGATTCGAGGCTGCAGTGAGCTATGATAGTTCTGCTGCACTCCAGCTTGGGCAACAGTGAGACCCTACAGTAGCCTGAGCTGAGACAAACATTATTTCTATACATATCACTTCACCTCCCATGACAGTGAGGAATAGTGTTAGCCGACGCAGCTCTTTGGAGACATGCTACTTTAAGAGTTTCCAAAGTGGGATACGTTAGACTGGACAATGGTCCAGGCAGAGGAGGGGACCCTCCTCATAAAGTGAAGGGACAATGAGTCATAGGAAAATGACATTTGCAACAATGCTTACTAAGTGCCAGTCACCGTGCTAAGCACATGGTATCTGAAAAGTTGGGAAAAAGGATAAACAGACTTTTAAATTGCATGTCATTTAACTTTTCAAATAGTATGTTCAATTGAAAAAAATTTTTTTTTGAGATGGAGTTTCGCTCTTGTCACCCAGGCTGGAGTGCAATGGCGAGATCGCAGCTCACTGCAACCTCTGTCTCCAGGTTTCAGGCAATTCTCCCGCCTCAGCCTCCCAAGTAGCTGGGATTACAGGCATGCACCACCAAGTCCGGCTAATTTTTGCATTTTTAGTAGAGACGGGGTTTCACCATATTGGCCAGGCTGGTCTTGAACTCCTGACCTCAAGTGATCCACTCCCGCTCGGCCTCCCAAAGTGCTGGGATTATAGGTGTCAGCCACCGCACCCAGCCAATATGTTCAACTTTTTTAACCCCAGGACATCTTTTCAGGTGAAATATCTCTAAATTTGAAGTAATTAATCCATTTGTTAATGTGAAAAAAAGCTTACTTCAGATTAAATATATATATTTTTCCTATATTTCCAGAATTTTTGGACACTTTTTAGTGTATTTATTATACTTTTTAAAGATTAAAATCGGATTCATTGCTTTATTTTATTTTATTTTATTTTTAAGACAGGGTTTTGCTCTGTCACCCAGGTTGGAGTGCAGTGGCATGATCACTGCTCACTGCAGCCTCAGCTTCCAGGGCTCATGTGATTCTCCCTGCTCAGCCTCCCAAGTAGCTGGGACCACAGGTGTGGGCTGCCATACCTGGCTAATTGTTTGTATTTTTATCTTTTTGGTAGAGACAAGATTTTGCTATGTTGCCTGGGGTGGTCTCCAACTCCTGGGCTCAAGCAGTTGGCCTTCCTTGGCCTCCCAAAGTGCTGGGATTACAGGTGTGAGCCACCGTGCCTGGCCTGGACTCATTGTCTTAAATAGGGGGTTGTCCAAGGGTTGAAGAAAAAGATACTGACCATATTATTTGAAAAGCTGACTAATACACTGTTTAAAAATAAGTTTACCCAGTGTTTCCCAACTTTTCAAACTTCTTTTTTTTTTTTTGGTTTTTCTCTCCCTGTTTTGTTTTGTAACCTAAGGAAGCAGAGGCTCTGAGACCACACACAGCAGCGTCGCCCGTCCCTAGAGGCACGCCGGCAGGGACCAGCAGGAGAGGAGACCCCCGTTCCTGCGTGCGCAGTTGTCGCCCCGCCACGGTGCTCTCCGCAGGGGTGAGGCAGGAGGGTGGGTGGAGGCGCCAGCCTGTCCTCAGCTGGAAGGGCGGGGCGTGGACAGGGACGGTGGGCAGGTCACCAGCGGGACGCGGGGAGCCTGGCCACTGTTACACGGCGGTGCGCGTGGGTGTGCCGGGCTGGTTCAGCCCCAGGGTTTTACACAACTAGCAGGCAAAATCCGCTTCTTTCACCTCGGACCGCTTGATGAAGGCGTGGTTTGTGAGCATCTTTAGGTCCGCCCGCTCCGTTGGGTTTTTGATGAGGCATTTATTGACAAACTCCTGGAAGTCGGGGGTGAACACACCGTTGGGCAGCTTAGGAGGCGGCTCTTTCACAATATAGTCCAGCAGTTCGAAGATGGCCATGGCGGGCAGGCTGTCCATCCCGTAACCGCTGTTGGGGCGCCCGGGGGACCCTGGCCAAGAGGAGATGCTGTGAGGCTCTCCTTCTTCCCTGTCGACCACGGGCTGGCCAAAGATGGCCTCCAGCTCCTTGGCGTCGGGCGGGGGGATGGGGTACCTTTCGATGGCCAGCTCCACCAGGGACAGGTCCATGCTCCAGATGACCGACTGCACCGAGTAATGTGTGCCCTGCAACCGCTCCGGAGCCATGTAGGAGCGCGTGCCCACGAAGGAGTTGGCCATGGAGTCGATGAGCTGGCCGCTCACCCCGAAGTCACACAGCTTGATCTCCCCTCTAGAGTTCACGAGGATGTTGGAGGGCTTCACATTTCGGTGCATGATCTGGTGCTTCTCTCGGAGGTACGCCAAGCCCCGGAGAACCGCAATGCTGACTTTCCCCAGGATGTCCTCGGGAATCCTCTTGGCCTCTTTCAGCCCCTGGTCCAGGGAGCCGCCATCCATGTGCTCCATGCAGATGCTGATCTCCCTGTCACAGTAGAAGGCCCCGTAGAAGCCCACGATGTACGGTGAGTTGCACTCGTGCAGGACCTGGTGCTCGCGGATGATCTGGTTCCGGATGGCCGGCTTGATCTCAAGGTGGATCAGCTTCCTGGCCATGATGAGGCCCGAGGGTCTGTGCTGGACTTTGGTGACCACCCCGCCGTTGCCCGCGTCCAGCTCTGAGGTCCTTTCGAAGTCATCGTCTTTGAGTTCGCCGACCTTGGCTTTCTGGGTGAGAAAGGCTTCCAGCCGCTTCTGCTGCTCGTCAAGTTCCAGCTCCTCCAGCTTCTTCTGCAGGTCCACCAGGTTTGCCTCGGAGGCGCCCTCGCTGGTTGGGGACGGGCCCTCGGCGATGGTAGGGTTGATGGTGAGCGCCGGCAGCATCGGCTTCCTCCGGGCCAGCATCCGGGCTCCGCGGGCCGGTGGCGGCGGCGCCTCTAGCCTGGGCCCGTAGTGGGCGGGCCGGGAGCGTTCGGCGCCTACGCGAGCCCGGGGCTGCGACCGCGGCCCAGGCCGGCGTCGGGGCGGCCGAGGGCGGGCGGCGCTGCGGGCCTGGTCCGAGGGTAGCCGAGGGGCGCTGGGGCTGAGGCGAGCGAGCCGCCGCCGCTGCCGAGGCCCGAGGGAGGCTGACGCTGCAGCCGGAGTCCAAGAGCTTTTCAAACTTCTTATATTTTAAATGTGTTAATTCATTTAATCCTTAAAACGATGACATGAGGTAGGTACTATTATTATCCGCACTTCACAAATGAGGAAACTGAGGCAAACAGAGGTCACCTAGCTTGCCCAAGGTTAAACAGACAGCCACATCCAGAAAGCTATAGAGTCTGGCTTTAAACCCAGATAGACCAGCTCTAGGTCTGTGATCATAACCACTGAACTTTACTGCTTCTTACAGCAAGAGTGTATCTGACGAAGTCGTGACTTGGAACTGGCCAAGTCTAGGAAGGATCCAGAGTTTAATTCTGAAGAAGGGAAAGGAGGCTGATATTAAACATGCAATATTTCCAGGCTGTGCTCAGATCTTCATGTAGCTCATTTATGATTACAGAATACATTGCTAAAGAAAAATGGTAAAGAAACGATACTCGTATTTTGAGCAAATCCCCCTCCTCAGACTCCATTTCTAATTACTGCCATTTTCTGAAAGAGTTGTAAGCAATAAATTCTAACTCTGTTAGAAGAGAAGAAAATGTACTGCTCAGGAAGAGTCCTGCAAAACAGAAAAACTTCAAGACAAGCTTAAGCAGTGGTTGCAGATTTATTGCACATTACATTATTTGGATGGACAGGTGAATTTTCTTTGTCCCATAATGTCTTAAAATTTTTGAATTTGAGCTGGGCACGGTGGCTCATGTCTGTAATCCCAGCATTTTGGGAGGCCAAGATGGGAGAATCACTTGAGCCCAGGAGTTCAAGACCAGCCTGAACAACATAGAAAGACCTCTGTCTCCACAATTTTTTTTTTAAAAAAAATTAGCTGGGCATAGTGGTGAGCACCTGCAGTCCCAGCTACTCCGGAGGCTGAGGTGGGAGGATCATTTGAGTCCAGGAGTTTGAAGCTGCAGCGAGCTGTGATCATGCCACTGTACTCCAGCCTGGGCAAGAGAGCTAGACCTTGTCTCAAAAAAAAAAAAAAAATTGAATTTGAATGCTTTTAGCTTGAGCTTACTCTCTCCAATTAGCCATCATCTTTACCACTCCTAGTTACAAACACTATATTACTTCCCTGGACCTAGTAGGCATGCATAGAGGGAGATAGAGATCATTTGTGCAACTAGAGTGATACAGCCAATGAGTAGTCAGTAAAGAACGGAAATTAGGGGCACGCCATTATCAGGGACAGGTCTGTTAGAATCCCATAAAAAATTCCAGTTGTATTCAACCTCCACTGACAATGACGTGGTTCCAGATCACAGTGGATGGAGGAGACTCACCATGCAGAACTGAGTGACGCAGCAGGAGTAGCATCGTGGCAAAGGTAAGAGGTGAGGCTGTGCCAACCAGAACAGGCTGTATTGAGGAGGAGCAAGAAATAAGGTTGGAGGTGTTCGCGAAGGGTTTCAAAGGGCAGGCAGAAGAGTTCAGATTGTGTGAGGTGGAAAACAAATAAGGTTTGTTATTTGGGGCCCTGGAGTGCCTTGGAGATATCCTGTCTCTGGAATATCTGGAATTGCAACGGGAGTAAGAAGTTAGAAGAGCGGCTGTAGATGTGAAGAGGAGGAAAGGATCCAGGGGAATCGAAGTGAGGAGGTTGGCTTTTGTCTGTAGAATCAGGTCTGGTCAGAGAGGAAACTGGGCAACGCAATCATGATCTCAGGGGAAGCATCATGATTTGGTGGAGTTGAGACTGGGGCCGTGGACTGCAAACAAGGGGTTTGGGGATATTTCCTATCAGGAGCAGTCTCACATCCATATAGGGGTAGGCCACTGTGCACTTTTTATGTGAGAGGTTCCATAACGTTTCTCTTCCCTTACTTCTCACCCTCACCAACTTGTCTGAAATTCCCACCATTCTCTAATCCAATTCCCATTATGGTTAGGTTAAGGTGTGGAATCACTATTTAAAATTCAAATATAGGCTAGGTGCAGTGAGTGGCTCACGCCTGTAATCCCAGCACTTTGGGAGACTGAGGCAGGAGGATCACTTGAGGCCAGGAGTTCGAGACCAGCCTGGGCAACATGGCAAAACCCTGTCTCTACTAAAAATACAAAAACTAGCCAGCCGTGGTGGCTCACACCTGTAGTCCCAGCTACTCCGAATGCTGAAGCACAAGAATCGCTTGAATCCGGGAGGCGGAGGTTGCAGTGAGCCAAGATCGCACTACTGCACTCCAGCCTGGGTGACTGAGACACTGTCTCAAAAAAATAAAAATAAAAATAAAAATAAAATATTAAAAAGAAAATGCAGAAAATGCAAAGATTTCTAGGAGGGATACCCAGACCAATATCTGCACTTCAAATCTTAGAAGTTAAACATTTATCAAGACATGATTCTGTACACCCTCCATTCAAGCCACCAGAAATCTGAGACAGAATCTCATGTGTCTGAGACTCGACCACTCTGATTTTGAAGTGAAATTATTTCAAATGCTTAAATGGGTAGCACTGAGTGTTTGTCTGTTATTTTTCCAAGCCCAGCACCTATTCCCCGTTCTGGTACCAGCATGCTAGATTTCCTTTGGGATGCCACCCCACCTCCTGTCTCAGGCTCAGTGAGCATGGGAGAGATCTACCCTTCCACCTGGCAGGTGGAACGCCGGACTCTGTTCTGGCCAATCAGAGCCCAGGGATGGTTATGCGCTCTAACTTGGTCCAGTCAGAATGAAGCCTCTAATTTAGTTGGGGAGGAGGACCATTACTGAAAGGGATTCCCTCTCTCTTTTGCTGGGACCCCCTGGGATTACAGATGACCTGCAGCCACTGGGGGCTACCCCAGGGCTCCTGAGAGAGAAGGTAACACTGAGGAAAGGTAGAGCTGAGACAGGGTTAAACCAAGTCCCAGTGACATAGTTTGAGCCACAAGATCAGTGGTGCCTGAAACAAGCCCTAACCTTAGACTTTTCAGTTATGCGAATCAGTGAAATTGTGTGGTTGTTGTTTGTTGGTTTGGTGTTTTGTTTCATTTTGTCTAAGTCAGATAAAAATGGATTTTCAGTTATCTTGAAACTGAAAATCTGCTGACTGGCACGCCATCCCGCTGGCTTGTGTGCTGTGCACATTAACAAGACTCACCTTTTCTTAGGATTCATCCTATGTGCAAGATTACCAGGATGTAGCCAGATTCAGGATGCCTGTTTTTATAGCTTAGCTACAGAGTTTTTCTTCACCTCTAGCAATTGCCTATGCCCTTTCAGCGGCCTCAGCAGGGAGAAGCACAGTGGGACTCCTTGAAAGGCAGATCCAGAAGGCTGGTTATGTGGACAGTTCACCACAGTTAACTGGGGTAACCACAGTTGGCCTGGGCAGTCCAGAAGCAGATGACCCACCCCCATACTGTGGGCAGCTCTTCCTGCAGTGCTTAACTCCAGAAAAAAACCCTCCACCAGTTCCTTACTAAGGTGGTAAACAACCCTAAGAAATCTGGCTCTCTAAGCTTGGGACAGCCAAGAAATGAGTCAGCCTTCTGGAGAAACCCCCCTTGCCACAGCCTGTGCTTCCCCATTTCTGCCAGGGCCCCAGCCCCAGCCCCAGCCCCCATGTCAGTAAAGCCTATGCATTTCTTTCAAGAGCATGACAAAACCTCATATCTGAAAAGCACTGAAGTGCTGTACCTCTTTCAAAGTACTTGTGCATTCATTATCTCATTAGGATACCAGATTTGCTATTTTTTTCTTCAGATTCTTTTTTTTTTTTTTTTAACTCAAATCCAGCAGAGTTTTTTCATGTGGTTCTCAATGAGACTTGAGAAGAGAAAATCAGAATTCAATCCAAAAGCACAGCTTTTCTAGAGACATAAATATAATCCTCCTCTCTCATGCCAAAAATAACAAGGGGGCAGAGGTTAGATTCTAGAGGAAAGAACATTGAGTGTGAACTGAAACCTTTCTAGTTACAGATCTACCACTAAGTAGCTGTGTGACCTGGACAAGCCCCTTAATCTCTCTGCACTTCAGTTTCTTCCTTTGTAAAATGGCAGCATTGAGGCTTCCTGGGAACCCTGGCCTTGATATTTTCTAAGCATCTTTGAAGCTCTGAGGTTTTATGGCTCGGTGAATTGTAGAATCTGAGGAGACTGATTTATAAGCAAGTTGGCACGTTTTTTAAGCCCAGTCATTCCTTTGGTGTGTGCAAGGGAGAGCCCCTGCTCAGAGTGTCAGGAGCCATAGCACATTGGGATGTAGACTGAGCATGGCCCACTTCCCAGAGACCCCAAGGCCTGCCTTAGGCCCACCTCTGATGGTGGTGGTTGGTTGGTGGTGGTTAGTTGGTTAAATGAAGGGTGAGATCCTGACCACTCACTAAATGCTGAACTCTTGATAGATTAGGAGGAAGCTCTGCTATCTGTGGGATGAGGCACAGCAGATGATGTGGTTTGGCTGTGTTCCCACCCAAATCTCATCTTGAATTCCCACATGTTGTGGGAGGGACTGGGTGGGAGATAATTGAATCATGAGGGCAGGTCTTTCCCATGCTGTTCTCATGATAGTGAATAAGTCTCATGAGATCTGATGGTTTTAAAAATAGGAGTTTCCCTGCACAAGCCCTCTCTGTGCCTGCTGCCATCCATGTAAGATGTGACTTGCTCCTCCTTGCCTTCCGCCATGATTGTGAGGCTTCCCAAGCCATGTGGAACTGTAAGTCCATTAAAGCTCTTTCTTTTGTAAATTAGCCAGTCTCGGGTATGTCTTTATCAGCAGTGTGAAAACAGACTAATACAGCAGATGTCAGATTGGTTCTTGGAATGGAAGGTAAGCGAACTCTAGTGTTTACTGAAGACAGGGCCTATGTAGGGATTGGCAGGGTAGGGTGGTAGGCCCTATTTAGCAGTACAGAGACTGACCCAAGGCACTTTTCTTGCTGAGTTCAACCTTCTTTTGCAACCCTTTCTTCTGGCAAGTGCTTTCTGCCCAGTGGGGAGGTGAAAGGGTCCCTCACCTTCATGAACCCCTTCTGTGTGAATATACCCTCCAATAAATCCTGGCTCTTCTTTCCATTTCCAATGACTACTTTGAGAAATTAGGATGTCAGTGGTTCATCTTGTCTCATGCAAGCCTGAATTATGTATTCTTTAAGAACAGTGACTATGATCCATCAGACTGTCTTCCACCTGTCATTCAGCATGGCTTTGGCTCTGAACTCTCCACCAACCTTTTTCCTTCCCTGCAACACACACATTCAAAACTAAAATAACCCATTACCACCACCACTAACAACCCCCCCCCCCAACCATCCCATTATAGATCATATCCTCCCAGGAAGTTTTTCTTTGTTCCTAAATTAATTCATACCAATGTGGTGATGGCCACTCAGGCTTGTTACTTGTCTACCTGCCCTACCACGACTCTAAATATGTATTTCCATTTTAACAGGAGATGTTGGATCCAATTTGTCAAAAACTATCTCATTAAAGGAACAAACTTGTTTCAGCATCAGACTTATGATGTGATATTTTTGTCTTAATCCCTCAAAGTACTGAGAGAAGGTTGGGTACTAGTGAAGTCAGAGCTATTAGGGGGCACCCTGGCTAATCAGGCCTTCCTCTGGGCCAGCAGTGCCATCCTATTTATACCTACAGTTTTAGCATTCAGAACAAAATCTTACTACACAAAGAAATTTATAGATTTAATGCAATTCCTATCAAAATACCAACGACATTCTTCATAGAAATAGAAAAAAAATCTTAAAATGTATATGGAACCACAAAAGACCCTAAATAGTCAAAGCAATCTTGAGCAAAAAGAAAGCTGGAGGCATCACACTACCAGACTTTAAAATATCCTACAAAGCTGTAGTAAGCAAAACAGCATGGCGCTGGCATAAAAACAAACACATAGAACACTGGAACAATAGAGAACCCAGAAATTAATCCATGTATCTATAACCAACTGTTTTTTGACAAAGGTGCCAAGAACCCTTATTGATAGTCTCTTCAATAAATGGTTGAGGCAAAACTGGATATTCATATGCAAAAGCATGAAACTAGATTCCTGACTTTCATCCTATACAAAAATCAACTCAAAGTGGATCAAAGACCTAAATGTAAGACCCAACCCTATAAAACTACTAGAAGAAAACATGGGGAAATGCTTCAGGACATGGGTCTGGGAAAAGATTTTATAAGACTTCAAAAGCATAGGCAACAAAAGTAACAATAAACAAATGGGATTATATCAAACTAAAAAGCTTCTACACAGCAAAGGAAATAATCAATAGAGTGAAAAGACAATCAACAGAATGAGAGAAAATATTTGTAAACTATTCATCCAACAAGGGATTATTATCTAGAACATACAAGGAATTCAAACACTTCAATAGCAAAAAAGCAAATAATTCAATTTAAAAAATGGGCAAATGGGCCAGGCATGGTGGCTCACACCTGTAATCCCAGCACTTTGGGAGGCCAAGGCAGGCAGATCATTTGAGGTCAGGAGGGTGGATCACTTGAGGTCAGGAGTTGGAGACCAGCCTGGCCAACATGGTGAAACCCCCTCTCTACTAAAAATATAAAAAATTATCCGGGTGTGGTGGTGGCACATGGGTGTAATCTCAGCTACTCGGGAGGCTGAGGCAGGAGAATGGCTTCAACCTGGGAGGCAGAGGTTGTAGTGAGCTGTGATCGTGCCACTGTACTCCAGCCTGGGTGACAGAGCAAGCCTGTCTCAAAAAAAATAAAAATAAATAAAATAAATAAATAAAAGGGCAAATGATCTGAACAGATATTTCTCAAAAGAAGACATACAAATGGATGGTCAACAAATATATAAAATAATGCTCAATATTACTAATCATCAGGGAAACACAAATCAAAACCATCAAGAAGTATCATCTCACTCTGGTTAGGATGCTATTATCAGAAACACAAAAAAATAACAAATGCTGGTGAGGATGTGGAAAAATGGAACTCTTATTCACTGTTGGTGGGAATGTAAACTAGTACAGCCACTATGGAGAAGAGTTGGAGGTTCCTCAAAAAACTACAAATAGAACTACCATATGATACAGCAATCCCACTACTGGGCATTTATTCAAAGGGAAAGAAATCAGTATATCAAAGAGACATCTGTGCCCCTATGTTTATTGCATCACTATTCACAATAGCCAAAATATGGACTCAACCTAGGTGTTCAATAACAGATGAATGGATAAAGAGAATGTGGTATACGTACACAATAGAACACTATTCGGCTATTAAAAAAAGAATGAAATCCAGTTATTTGAAGTAATGCGGATAGAATTGGAGCACATTATGTTAAGTGAATTAAGCCAGGAACAGAAAGTTAAATACTGCATGTTCTCACTCCTTTGTGGAAGCTAAGAAAAGTTGACTTCATAAAAGTAAAAAGTAAAACAGAGGATACTAGAGGCTTGAAGGGCAGAGGGAAGTGGGAGTTAGAGAGATGTTTATTAAATGATACAAAATTACAGCTAGATAGAAGGAATAAGTTCTAGAGTTCTATACCAGTGGTCCCCAACATTTTTGGCACCAGGGACTGGTTTCATGGAAGACAATTTTTCCACAGACCAGGGAGTGGGGGATGGTTTCAGGATGATTCAAGCGCATTACATTTATTATGCACTTTATTGCTATTATTATTACATCGTAATATTAATATGTAATGAAATAATCGTACAACTCACCATAATGTGGAATCAGTGGGAGCCCTAAGTTTGTTTTCCTGCAACTAGACAGTCCCATCTGGGGGTGATGGGAGACAGTGACAGATCATCAGGCATTAGATTCTCATAAGGAGCCTGGCATGTGCAGTTCACAATAGGGTTCGCACTCCTGTGAGAATCTAATGCTGCCATTGATCTGACAGGAGGCGGAGGTCAGGCCGTAATGTGAGCAATGGGGAGCAGCTGTAAATACAGATAAAGCTTCACTCAGTAGCCTGTTGCTTACCTCCTGCTGTGTGGCCCGGTTCCTAACAGGCCATAGACCGTTGTTATGCGACCATGGCTCAGGGGCTGGGGACCCCTGTTCTATACCACTGTAGGATGACTGGATGTAACAATATATAGCTTCAAATAGCTAAAACGGGCCAGGCACAGTGGCCCATGCCTGTAATCCCAGGACTTTGGGAGGCCGAGGCAGGCGGATCACTTGAGGTCAGGAGTTCGAGACCAGCCTGGCCAACATGACGAAACCCCATCTCTACTGAAAATACAAAAGTTAGCTGGGTGGGGTGGCATGCACCTGTAATCCCAGCTACTAGGGAGGCTGAGGCAGGAGGATTGCTTGAACCCAGGAGGCAGATATTGCAGTCAGGTGAGAGTGTGCCTTGGCAACAGAGCAAGACTCCGTCTAAAAAAAAAGTAGCTAAAAAATGGATATAGAATGTTCTTAACACAAAGAAATGAAAAATGAGAGAGCAGGACATCTGGTTTCTGAGTAGGAACCTTCACAGTGCCAGTGACAAAAGAGAGAATTAAATATGGGTGATGTTGAGAAAAGCACGAATATTTGTGTTCAGAAGTGTGCCCAGTGCCACACCACGGAAAAGGGAGGCAAGCACAAGACTGAGCCTAACCTCCATGGTCTCTTTGGGTGGAAGACAGGTGCCATTGGATTCTGCTACACAGACACCAGTAAGAACAAAGGCATCACCTGGGGAGAGGACACACTGATAGAGTATTTGGAGAATCCAAAGAATTAGATACCTGGAACAAAAATGATCTTTGGCGGCATTAAGAAGAAGGGAGAAAGGGCGGACTTGATAGCTTATCTCAAAAAAGCTGCTCATGAGAAATAATTGGCCACTGCGTTATTTATTACAAAAGAGAAATGTCTCATGAATTTTTTATATGTATCGTAATTTAATAGATTTCATACACCAGAATTCAAAAAGAAAAAAGAGAAATGGTAAATGAGATGATGGATATGCAAATTACCCTTATCTAATCACTGTATATTATATGTATCAAAACATCTCTATGTACCCCATGAATATATACAATTATTATATGTCAATTTAAAAAAAAGAACAAAATGTCACATTGCATTTGCCAGTCCCCCAGCTTTCATAATGTTATTTTGCTGTTTTGTTTCTGGGATCTTCTCTCTTTTTCCTTAAATCCTTACCCAGCCTCAGATGCTCCTAGCTCTGTACAGGCCTGAAACTGGAACGTGGAATCTTGACACCCTCTGAAAACTCCTCTGGATTTACCCGCCCTGTGCCCCTCCACACACCATTCCTATTCCCCTTACAGAGGCTCCTGCTCCTCACCCTCAAGCCCCAGGACATCATGGCCCAAGCTTAAAACAGGACCAGAGAAAGGGACCAGAATCCATCAAGTAAAACCAAATTCAGGTTAATAGCAGGAAACCAGCTGAAAATCTCAGGAGCTTCTGGATGTATATTACAAGGGGACAACTTTCTATTCCAGGAGTTTGCCAGCTCTGAATTTGGTCCCAGGCCAGTACTCTTTGCCACTCACCTATTTTATTTTTAAATTATTATTATTATTATTATTATTTATTATACTTTAAGTTCTGGATACATGTGCAGAACGTGCAGGTTTGTTACATAGGTGTACATGTGCCATGGTGGTTTGCTGCACCCATCAACCCATCATTTAGGTTTTAAGCCCCGCATGCATTAGGTATTTGTCCTAATGCTATCCCTCCCCCTGTCCCCCACCCACTGGCAGGCCCTGGTGTGTGATGTTCCCCTCCCTGTGTCCATGTGTTCTCATTGCCATCCTATTCTCTTACACAAGGTTGAGAATGTCTGTGAACAGGAACATTCCTCAATTCTCCCATCTTGGAAGTCAGCTTGATTCTTTGAATGTAAGGGTTAGAAGGGTCAGACTGGCCAGGTGCAGTGGCTCACACCTGTAATCCCAGCACTTTGGGAGGCCAAGGCGAGTGAATCACCTGAGGTCGGGAGTTCAAGACCAACCTGACCAACATGGAGAAACCCTCTTTCTACTAAAAATACAAAATTAGCCAGGCGTGGTGGCTAATTAATTCCAGTAATCCCAGCTACTTGGGAGGCTGAGGCAGGAGAATCTCTTGAACCCTGGAGGCACAGATTGCAGTGAGCTGAGATTGTGCCATTGCACTCCAGCCTGGGTCAACAAGAGTGAAATTCTGTCTCAGGAAAAAAAAAAAAAAAAAAAAAAGAGAAGGGTCAGACCCAGCCCTGGGACATCCTCAAATGTTGAGATGCTCTGGATTTTGATGGCCTGTACTGGCATTAACACACAACCATAGGCAAACTATGAAACAATTTGCACTGGTGTATAAAATATGGTGGCCAAGCTGAAGTAATAACATGAATAAACAAATAATATAAGGCAATATCTCTTAAGCTTGGAATTCTAAAAGCAATGGAGAGTCCCAAGGGAAAACAATACCACTCTTAACTATCTTATTCCTACTCCCACAGCCTGGGGCTGAGTCTTGGTGCTGGAGAGAAAGGAAAGAGCTGGCTTTCTTCCAGTCCCTCATTCATCTTGCCTGGCTCTGCCTGGTCCACACTTAAACTTGTTTGTTAGAAATATGGTCACTTTAGTCATCTTCTACCCAGTCATCAACTCACCCTTTCTGCTCCCTGATATGGATTTGGTAAAAGCCATGGCAAGTGCTCAGGAGAGGGAATCACCAGAAACCTTTGTTAGTCCAGAGTTTAGAGATTAAGGGTAAGCCTCATAGGGGTTGGGAGTCTTATGGGGACTACATAAGAGATTACTAACGAAGGAGGAAAGAGGCATATGAGGGCTGATGCTGAGGGAATCTGCTAACAGCAATCCAAGGTCATCCCTGCAGGTAGGTCTGTGGCTGAGTAGATTCCTGTAGAATAGATTCAGGTAGACTATGTTCAGCAACACTGGAGCAGTCAAGCAGGCTTTGTTCCTAACTTCACTTCTCTTATCAAGGAGCTTTATCATCATCTCTATGCTTCTAAAACCTCACTGCTGTTTCCCAGCTTATTACCCCAGAAACAGACTTGGGCCAGCATGGATGACAGAAAATGTTATTTGCTCAGCTCTCTGATTCCTATACTTGCCAGCAGCAATCACGACCGCCAGCACCAAAAGGACAGAGGGAGTCTGGGTCAGCCCTGCTTTATGCAAAACAAGGTATGGAAATCCAGATATTTTTCCCAAAATGATACATTTGGGAGGAGCATATGTATTTATTTGCTTATTTCATTTAAATTTTTCTTTCCAAAAACATCTCTGAAGGGTTTCTTTAGCTTTTACATGGTTCTATTTTTTTAAGTTATCTTTGGTATAAAATTATATCATCACTTTACCAAAAAATTTGGGAAAGAATTGAAAAAAGAAAATAATCACGCATGACTTCATTGTCAATACATCTGTCACTTGCTAGCATTTGGAATATTTCTTTCCTATCTTTTCTCCTATACACATTTTTTCTTATAAACATTAAAGATTCACTTTGTTTTAAAAAAAATTTTAAGTAGTTCATGCACATAATAAAAAGTATAAAAAGTGACAGTCCCTCTCCTCCACCCTTATCCCCAGTGACCACTTTAAGTCTTGTACATCTTTCCAGAAAATAACTTTTCTTTTCTTTCTTTCTTTCTTTTTTTTTTTTCTGAGATGAGGCCTCGCTCTATTGCCAGCCTGGAATGAAGTGGTGTGATCTCAGCTCACTGCAGCCTCCACCTCCTGGGTTCAAACTATTCTCCTGCCTCAGCCGCCCTAGTAGCTAGGATCACAGGCATCTGCCACCACGCCTAGCTAATTTTTGTATTTTTAGTAGAGATAGGGTTTTGCCATGTTGGCCAGGCTGGTCCTGAACTCCTAACCTCAGGTGATCTGCCTGCCTCAGCCTCCCAAAGTGTTGGGATTACAGGCGTGAGCCACCGTGCCCGGCCAAATAGCTTTGCATATAAGGTGTCTTGCTGGGGATGGGGGTTGGCATGTACTGTGAGGGGCAAGGGGCAGGCAGCAGATCTGCTTCTGCTAGGAATGTGGACACATGAACCACATGAGCAACCCTTCCATGGTGTCAGAATTGCAAGATGTAAACTTGGAGCTACCAGGGATGGTGTTTCTGGCCATGTTACTAGAATAAGTGACGGGAGAGCTGGAGACAGCACCCTGGTGCTATTAGAGATTATGAATCTAGCTCTTTTCTGAAGTCTATGTCCTTGGCCTTCCATGAATTAGTGTTGTTCAAACTTCCTCAGAATTTATGAGCAATAGTTTTTTTTCTGTTAAAATTTGTTTGGCCAGGTGCAGGGTCTCACATCTGTAATCCTAGCACTTTGGGAGGCCGAGACCGGCAGATCACTCAAACCCAGGAGTTCAAGACCAGCCTGGGCAACATGGCGAGACCCTGTCTCTACAAAAAAATACAAAAAATTAGCCAGGACTGGTGGTGTGTGTCTGTAGTCCCACCTACTGGGGAGGCTGAGGTGGGAGGATCACCTGAGCCTGGGAGGTCAAGGCAGCAACGAGCCATGATCCTACCACTGTACTCCGGGCTGGGTGACAGGGCAAGACCCTGTCTCAAAAAAAGCAATTTTTTTGGTTTGAATTAGATATATATCATGTTCTAACAAATTAGCACATTCAGCATAAGCATTTTCTTTCTCTGTACAATCTTCATAACCACAATTTTTAAGGATAAAGAAGAGCAACAAACAACAAAGTATTAGATGAACTGGATGTCATCAAACTAAAAACTTGTGTGCTTCAAAGGACACTGTCAAGAAAGTGAAATAACCCACAGGATGACAGAAATGTGCAAATCATATATCTGATAAGGGACTTATATCTGGAATATATTAAGTATTTTAACAACTAAGTAATAAAAAGACAAACAGGCTAATTTAAAAATGGGGAAAGGATTTGAATAGACATTTCTCCAAAGAAGATGTCCAATGAGCACATGAAAAGATGCTCAACATCATTAGCCACCAGGAAATGCAAATCAAAGCCAAAATGAACTAGTACTTCACTGCCACCAGGATGGCTATATTAAAAAGGCAAGTAACAAGTGTTGGTGAGAATGTAGAGAAACTGGAACCTTCATATACTGCTGGTGGGAATGTAAAATTGTGCAGCTGCTTTGGTAAACAGTCTAGTATTTCCTCAAAAGCTTAATCATAGAGTTACCATACAACCCAGCAGTTCCACTCCTGTGTATATCTCCAAGAGAAGTGAAAACGTATCCATATAAACACTTGCACATGAATGTCCATAGCATCATTATTCGTAATAGTCAAAAAAGGGTGGAAACAACTCAAATGTTCATCAACTGATGAATAGATAAGATATGGTATGTATATATCATGAAATACTATTCAGCAATAAAAAGAAAGGAATAGCTGGGTGTGGTGGCTGACACTCGTAATCCCAGCACTTTTTGAGGTTGAGGTGGGAGGATCCCTTGAAGCCAGGTGTTCTAGACCTGCCTGGGCAACAAAGCAAGACCCTGTCTTTACAAAAAATAAAAATTAGCCTGGCATAGTGATGTGTGCCTGTAGTCCCAGCTACTCGGGAGGCTGAAGCAGGAAGATCACTTGAGCCCAGGAGTTTGAGGCTATGGTGAGCTATGATCACATTGTGCTCCAGCCTGGGCCACAAAGCAAGACCCTCATCCCCTCCAAAAATAAATAAAATAGGCTGGGCATGGTGACTCACGCCTATAATCCCAGCACTTTGGGAGGCTGAGGCGGGCAGATCACCTGAGGTCAGGAGTTCGAGACCAGCCTGGCCAACATGGTGAAACCCCGTTTCTACTAAAATACAAACATTAGCCTGGTATGGTGGTGCACACCTGCAATCCCAGCTACTTGGGAGCCTGAGGCAGGAGAATTGCTTGAACCTGGGAGGTGGAAGTTGCAGTGAGCCGAGATCACACCACTGCACTCCAGCCTGGATGACAGAGCTCTGTCTCAAAATAAATAAATAAATAAACATAAATAAATAAAATAAAATAAAAATAAATAAACAAAGGAATTACCAAAACATGCTACAAGTTGGATGAGCCTTGAATACATCACGCTAAGTGAAAGAAGCCAGTCACAAAGAAGCACATAGTGTGTGATTCCATTTGTATAAAATGAAATGTAGAATAGGCAAATCCACATAAAAACAGAAAGTAGATTTTCCTAGGGGTGGGAGCTTGGGGTAGGATGGGGAATAATTACTAAATGGTGTGATGAAAATGTTCTAGAATTATGGTAATTGTGAAATTCCATGTATTTATTAAAGCCATTGCCTTTATACTTTAAATGGGTTAATTGTATGGTATATGAATTATATCTCAACAAAACTGTTATAAAAAAGAATAGTATATTGGGTGGATGTACCACTGAGATTAGTTACGTAGATGTCAGGTACAAGCTTTTCCTCTGTTGTTCATACTGCTTTGTGTTTCATATCATTTAACAGATATTTACTGAGTATCTGGGGTACAGGAGATATAAAAAAGCATGAGAACATCTCATGGCCCAGCCAGGGAGGCAACACCCATGCACAGAAGGTAGCTAACTGGGCAAAGCACACATAGCAAATGCTAGTGGGTTCAGAGGCATGCTTGCCATCATGGGCTGTGCACCCAAAAGGAGGCTTCCCTGATGAGTGAAGAATATTAAAGAATAAATAAGCAGGGCATAGTGGCTTACACCTGTAATCCCAGCACTTCAGGAGGCTGAGGTGAGAGGATTGCTTGAACCCAGGAGTTCAAGACCAGCCTAGGCAACTTGGTGAGACCATGTCTCTACCAAAACAATAAAAAAAAAAATTAGCCAGGCATGGTGGTGCACACCTGTGCCCCCAGCTACTCAGGAGGCTGAGATGGGAGGATCATTTGAGCCTGGGAAACAGAGGCTGTAGCGAGCTGTGATGGTGCTACTGCAGTCCAGCCTGGGTGGCAGAGGGAGACCCTGTCTCAAAGACAATTAAAAAAAAAATTTTTTTTTAAGTTGTAAAACAGAACACAATTATATAAAATCTGAAAATTGTTCTAAGGGCATAGAGCAAATGGAGAAATATTATTGAAGTTCTTACTAAATCTTAGTAATAACAATCTGTCTATGGCATTTAAGGCATGACCTATTCTTTTGCTCCTCCTCCCCCCTCCCTGTTATGGAAACTCTACCTGAGAGCTCTATTCTTGGTAAGAAGGTTTTTACCCAGGTAGGGGCAGGCCACCAGGGTTTCTAATCCCCTCCCTAGTCCTCTGCTGTAGAAGCTGTATTCCAGGCAGGATCTGGTCCCTCCCCTCACCCAACCCCAACTGTAGGAGAGAAATTCTGTTCCAGGCATGGCAGGCTGAGAATACTGGGAGCAGATCACTTCACCTTTCTCCTCCCAGCCAGTTTGTAGAGTGGAGGAGGTTCTACACCAGGAGGGGCAAGCAGAGAGGATCAGTGGCTTTTCCTGCCTCCTCCACTGCCCACTCACAGAGCCAGGTGTCACTACAGGCAACATGGGGCCCCACCCCCAGCTCTGATGCAGTGTCCTGGGGTTCTCCCAGGAAGAAAAGCAGCCCATAATGACAAAGAGCTTTAGAGCTTTACTTGAGGACACAGGCTGTATTGGAACAGAGCCTGGAGAACACTGCCTAAGGGTGTTGTGGAAAACAACAGAGACCTTGAAAGAGAGCAGTTAAGAGGAGGCTGGTAGCTCCATGACACAGCAAAATGGCAGAGCAGCTAGAAATTTCATATAGAGAGCCAGGGAAAGAGAAATCAAAGTACCCTGCAAGCACATTCAGCTCTAGGGCTCAGGAAAGGGTGTGCACATGTTTCTGGTTGCATGGGGCAGACTTGAAAATATTCTCTAAGCCACACACAGGCCCCTTAACAAAGGGCAGAAGCCTCATTGGCACAAAGGCCTTAAACAGAACCTGTGGATAAACACTGACTGAACAATAAACTACTCTGACCAGGGCAACTCCTAGGAAGCCAGGCTTGGAACTAAAATCATGCTCTTCCCTAGTAGTCGAGAACATTCTGGGCACACCCAAGACTGCACCCTATCATGAGCCATCAGAGAGGGAACCTCCATGCTTCTAGGCCCTGGCTAACAATGGGGCAAAAAGAGGTAAAGGGAGATAGGATGACAATGTCTCATCAAATAGAGAATATCAAGTACTATGAACACAGTGAAAAATTCACTACAGGGACTTAACGATAGATTTGTTCTGTCAAAAATAAGAAGCAGGCCAGGTGCATTGGCTTATGCCTGTAATCCCAGTATTTTGGGAAGCCAAGGCAGGAGGATCACTTAAGTTCAAGACCAGCCTGGGTAACATAGTGAGATGACCCCATTTTTACAAAAAATAAAAAAAATTAGCTTGGCATGGTGGTGCATACCTGTAGTCCCAGCTACTTGGGAGGTTGAAGTGGGAAGATCATTTGAGTCCAGGAGGTCAAGGCTGCAGTGAGCTGTGACTGCACCACTGCACTCCAGCCTGGGCAACAGAGTGAGACCCTGTCTCAGTAAATAAATAAATAAATAAATAAATAATCAGAATCAGTGAATTTAAAGCGGATCAATAGAGGTTATACAATCATAAGAGGAAAACAATGGGCCGGGTGCGGTGGCTCACACCTGTAATCCCAGCACTTTGGGAGGCCAAGGCAGGCGGATCATGAGGTCAGGAGATCGAGACCATCCTGGCTAACACTGTGAAATCCCATCTCTACTAAAAATACAAAAACAAAATTAGCCAGGCATGGTGGTGGGTGCCTGTAATCCCAGCTACTTGGGAGGCTGAGGCAGGAGAATGGCATGAACCCGGAAGGCGGAGGTTGCAGTGAGCTGAGATCGCGCCACTGCACTCCAGCCTGGGCAGCAGAGTGAGACTCCATCTCAAAAAAAAAAAAAAAAAAAAAAAAAAGAGGAAAACAGTGGATAAAAATGAACAGAACATCAAAGAAGAGTGAGACACCATTAGATGCACCAACATACACATAATAGTAGTACCAGAAGGAGAGGAGAGAGAAAGAGATGGAAAAAAATATTCAAAGAAATAATTGAATACATTGACACACGGAGGGGAACACCACACATTGGGGCCTGTCAGCAGGGGACGGGGGAGGGAGACCATCAGGAAAAATAGCTAATGCATGTGGAGCTTAATACCTAGGTGACGGGTTGATAGGTGCAGCAAACCACCATGGCACACGTTTACCTATGTAACAAACCTGCACAGCCTGCACATGTACCCTGGAACTTAAAATAAAAAATTAAAAAAAGAAATAATGGCTGAAAACTTCCCAAAGTTGATGGAAAATAGTAATCTTCACATCCAAGACTTGGCCTACTTTCTCCTTGTTGCTGATAGTAAAATGCAAAAGGGAAGAAACAGAGGAAGGAACTGTTAAGCGAAAAGTAATCAGAACTTCATGGAATGCTCTGTTTATTCACTTTGCAAAAGATGAGAAAGTGTGCTCTGGATAAAGCATCAAGGCTGTGGCTCAGCAACCATTTGCTAAGGAGATCAGGCCTGTGACTCATGGATCCAACCATCTCAGCAGAAGGTAGGCATGTAACTCTCCAGGAAGAATCTGTGACAAACCCTCGTGTCTAGTGGCGTGGATTCCCTTGACATCACAGAAGGCAGGGTTTCTGAGAATTTTATACCAACACAAACACAGCCAGTCTGGACTGAATGAGACAGAGATGGAATAAAATGGAGGAAGAATGACTCTGAAGGCGGAGCCATAGATGCAGAGGCCAGAAAGTGTAAAGCCAGGGCTATCATAGAGGCCCAGAAGACACAGCATGGAGCCACAGAGGATTACTCTCAGGCTTTGAAACCTAATGGAATTGGCCCTGTTAGATTGCAAAGTTGCTTTAGACCAATAACCCCCTCTTTTCCTTCTATTTATTTCCCTTTTGGAATGGAACTATATTCATCCTATGCCTGTTCCGCCATTGCATTTAGAAAAGAGATCACTTGTTTTCTAGGTTTAACAGGTCTATGAACAGAGAGGAATTTTGTTGAAAGATGGATCATTCCCAGAGTCTCGCCCATACCTTTTTAGATAATTTAGATGAGGAGATTTGGGACTTCTCGAGTTGATATTTAAATGAGATTTGGGATTTAGAGTTGACACTGGAAGGGTTAAGACTTTTGGGGGTCTTGGGGTAGGGTGAACGTATTGTTCACATGGGGTGTGTGTGAATTTTGGGTACCAGTGAGTAGACTGTACTAGGTTGAACAGTGTCACCTCAAAATTCGTGTCCATGCGGAACCTCAGAATGTAGCCCGGTTTGGAAACAGTGTCTTTGAAGATATAATTAGTTAAGTTAGGATGAGGTCCTGAGATCAGGATGGGTCCTGACTCCAATATGACAGGTGTCCTAGAAGAAAGGACACACAGAGACAGACACAGGGAGGATGCCACGTGACGAAGGCAGAGATTGGAGTCCTGCATCTACAAGCCAACAAATGCCCAGGGATGCCAGCAGCTATGAGAAGCATGAGAGAGGGGTAGGATGGTTTACCCTTTGGGGCCTCCAGAAGAACCAACCCTGATGACATCTTGATTTTGAACTTCTGTCCTCTTGAACTGTGACATGTAAAAAAGTTCTGTTGTTTTAAGGCACCCAGTTTGTGGTCATCTGCTACAGTGGCCCTAGGAAATAAGTACAAATGTCAAGTCCATTCAACAAGGGAAGAACTGTCTTTTCAAAAATGATGCTGAGACAACTGGGTATCTGCATGTAAAAGAAGGGAGTTGGACCCATACCTTACATCACACACAAAAATTCACTTAACATGGTTTACAATACCTAAGTGTAAGAATTAAAATCAGCCGGGTGTCATGGCTCATGCCTGTAATCCCAACACTTTGGGAGGCCAAGATGGGCAGATCACCTGAGGTTGGGAGTTCGAGACCAGCCTGACCAACATGAAGAAACACCGTCTCTACTAAAAATACAAAATTAGCCAGGCGTGGTGGTGTGTGCCTGTAATCCCAGCTACTTGGGAGGCTGAGGCAGGAGAATTGCTTGAACCTGGGAGACGGAGGTTGTGGTGAGCTGAGATCGTGCCATTGCACTCCAGCCTGGGCAACAAGAGTAAAACTCCATCTCAAAAAAAAAAAAAAAAAAAAAGAACTAAAATTATAAAACTTTCATAAGAAAACCATAACCATATAGGTAAACCTTCGTGACCTTGGATTAGGCAATGGTTTCTTAAACATGACACCAGAAGCAAAAGCAAATAAAGAAAAAACAGATAAACTGGAATTTATCAAAATTAAAACTGTATTTTTTATTTAAAAAATTTTGTAGTCTGGGCACAGTGGCTCATGCCTGTAATCCCAGCACTTTGGGAGGCTGAGGTGGGTGGATCATGAGGTCAAGAGTTCAAGACCAGCCTGGCCAAGATGGTGAAACCCCGTCTCTACTAAAAATACAAAATTTACCTGGGTGTGGTGGCAGGCCCCTGTAATCCCAGCTACTCTGGAGGCTGAGGCAGAAGAATCGCTTGAACCTGGGCTGCAGAGGTTGCAGTGAGCCGAGATCTCGCCACTGCACTCCAGCCTGGGCGATAGAGTGAGACTCCGTTTCAAAAAAAAAAAAAAAATTATGCTGTAAGGGACACCGTTAAGAAAGTGAAAGGACAAGCCACAGAATCGGAGAAAACATTTCCAAATCACTTATCTGATAAATGACTTATATCAAGAAAATACAAAAAGTAACTCTTAGGTCGGGCATGGTGGCTCATTCCTGTAATCCTAGGACTTTGGGAGGCCACGGTAGCCAGGTCACCTGAGGTCAGGAGCTCAAGACCAACCTGGGCAACATGGTGAAACTCCAGCTCTCCAAAAAAAGAAAAAGATAAAGAAAAAAAATACAAAAAATTAGCTGGGCATGGTGGTGCACATTTGCGGTCCCAGCTACTCAGGAGGCTGAGGTGGGAGGATCTCTTGAACCTGAGATGTGGAGGCTGCAGTGAGCCGAGATGGTGCCACTGTACTCTAACCTGGGTGACAGAGTGAGACTCTGTCTCAAAAACAAAAACCAAAAAACAGAAAAACAAAAAACAAAGACAGATTAAAAAAAAAGTAACCCCTACAACTCAACAATAAGAAGACAAATAACCCAATTTAAAAATGGGCAAAAGATCTAAATAGACATTTATCCAAATAAGAGATAAAAATGGCCAAAAAGCAAACGAAAAGATGCTCATCATTAGTCACCAATAATCATCGAGGGGTGAATTTTATGGTTTTCGAGTTAGAGTTCACATAAAAAGCAGCTGTGTAAAATAACATGTATGGAATTATATTTTTAGGACGATGACATGTAAAAATGTAATATACTTGACAATAACAGCACAAAGGAGGCAGGTGGGAGCAAAGCTATATGGGAGTGAGGAAATAACAGCAGATAGGAACTGAAATCCATAGGAAGAAATCAAGAGGAACAGGAAGGGTAAATAAGATTAATATAACTAACTCTATAAATATGTACTTGGTCTTCTTCTCTCAGGTTCTTTCAAAGTAATAATTATAGCCAGGTACAGTGGCTTATGCCTGTAATCCCAGGACTTTGGGAGGTCAAGATGGGCCAGGAGTTCGAGACCAGCCTGGGCAAAATAGTGAGACCTTGTCTCAATTAAAAAAAAATTAAATAAAAATTAAAAAGTAATAATTATAACACCATACTGTTGGATTTATGATACAAAGAAGCAATATGTGTAACAATAATATCACAAAAAGAGGGAGAAAGGAACACCACTATTTAAGAGTAAAGTTTATATATCTCACTGAACTATTTAAAATATAAATGCCTACGTCTGCTGAATCAGAATTTCAGGGAAATGGCCAGACCTTTCTTAGCCCTTACAGTGCCTTTGTGTGAGTTCAAAAAAGCTTCCTTTTCTCCAGTCAAAGGTAGTTCCATGCTAGGGCCAAAGGCTTAGCAAGGAGAGCGTGAGCTGGAACAACCCCCTCACCCTAGTGCAGTGAATAACCTACACAGCTGTCTGAGGGAGGTGGCCCCAGGCATGACCCACATATTTATTTTAAAATGGCTCCTCTAATAATTCTAATGGACAACCAGTGTTGAGAACTACTGGGTTAGGGAAGCATTCAAAAAGAATCTAGTCTAAAGTATCAGAAAACTGATTAAATATGAGAGATAATTGTTAGAGAGGATTTAGAGGGAAGATTTTCAGGTTTTTTAATCCCAGGGACTGAGAAATTGGTAACAGAAATAGAGGAGATGGAAGGAAAAACCTGATTTGGAGGGAATGAATTCACTTTTAATTATTTTGATTTTGGGCCAGGCATGGTGGCTCATGCCTGTAATCCCAGCACTTTGGGAGGCCAAGGTGGGTGGATCACTTGAGGCCAGGAGTTCGAGACCAGCCAGCCCAACATGGCGAAACCCCGTCTCTACTAAAAATACAAAAATTATCCGGGTGTGGCGGTGGTGCACGTCTGTAATCCCAGCTACTCAGGAGGCTAAGGCACAAGAATTGCTTGAACCTGGGAGGTGGAGGTTGCAGTGAGCCAAGATTGGGCCATTGCACTCCAGCCTGGGCGACAAAGCAAGACTGTCTCAAAACAAAAACAAAGGCCGGGCATGGTGGCTCACGCTTGCAATCCCAGCACTTTGGGAGGCCGAGGCAGGCGGATCACGAGGTCAGGAGATCGAGACCATCCTGGCTAACACGGTGAAACCCCATCTCTACTAAAAATACAAAAAAATTAGCAGGGCGTGGTGGCGGGCGCCTGTAGTCCCAGCTACTCGGGAGGCGGAGGCAGGAGAATGGTGTGAACCCAGGAAGCGGAGCTTGCAGTGAGCCGAGATCGTGCCACTGCACTCCAGCCTGGGCGACAGAGCAAGACTCCATCTCAAAAAAAAAAAAACAACAACAAAACAAAAAACCAAAAAAAAAATTATGTTGAATTTGAGGCCATGGCAAGATATTACATTGCAGTTGGAATGCCACACTGAGAACTGAAAGATAGATGGTTCTGAACTCAAAAACTTTGTATTTAGGAAGCACCACATAGCACAGTGATAATGAAAATAGATACCCCATATAAAGAGCCTACTCAGTGCTTTACCCAGTGCTGGACAGTGTGTATAAATACGAGCAGCAGTTGGCATGAGGCTGATGGAAGATGGTCACTCATAAGCAATTATTTACCCTAAAAACACATGTGTTTGGCCAGTGACCTGGACTGGACTGGATGAAGGCCAGGGTCAGAAAGTGAAGTGTGACTGGGAGGATGGAGGTGGCCTGTAAGTGATGCCAGCAGGTGGCTGAGGAGGATGCCACCACTTGAGGTTCCAGGGCACCACCCTGAGATCTTGAAACAGGTGAGGCTCAGTATTATTGTGACAAATGGGTGATAAAAATGACAATGGCTTCCCAAGTTCCACGGCCAGCTGCCATGGGGTCTCATGTGGGACAAACCCCTTTCCGCCCCTCATCCCCACTACAGTGTGTCTGGCATTGACATTCACCAAAACCAGAAGCCTGAGTGTGTTTGTGTCTGGGTTCATTGGACTGGCCCTGGTTGATGAACTGGCTCAAGATTCAAAACTTTTGTGGTTTGGCCCATGGATACTTTCCTGCAGAAAAAAAAAAAAAAGGCCAGAGCTTTGCACAGTGGCAGTATTGTAGCCGATGAGGTTTATCCAAGGCATGATTATTGCTAATTGAAATTCAAAAAAAGCTGGGGGGAGAAAAAGGCCAGCATGAAGAAAAAGAGGAAGGTACAGAATGATTGGAATTGGCAGGTTATTGGAGGAGGGGCACACAGCAAGTCCCACCCCATAGCATAAAGGACACTTAACTGTATGGGCATACACACAGCTATAGTTGTCCCCATGGGCCTCAGTGCTGTGGACAGGCCCAGCCAGTCTCAGGGCTTGGCCAGACTGGTGAGCAGGTGTAGACAGGTAGCCAGCCTACATTTGTGCCATACCACAAGTCTACCATTTCTGTAAGGCCACCTCCTAGGGCATCTGAGCTGGTTGATAGCATCATTATGCTCAAGCCACCCTGGAAGTTTGCGCATAGGTCAAATCCAGAGCCAGGAAACCGAATGCCATGAAAGAGAGGCTCACTCTCTCCTTCCTTAGCTGAAATGGCAGATGATTGATGCCTGCTGGGGTCTGTTGTATTCCAAATGGTCCCATGAGGAATACAGCAGAATGGATTCTGTTTAGGGTCTCTCTGACTACATGAGGGGCACAAACCATTTCAGAGTTTCTCAATAGGTCAGGAAAACAGAAATTATTCTATGATTTTCCTTGCCCGCAAAGTATGAGGCCAGGAAGGTCAAAAAATGATGCCAACGAAGCAGGCTAGCATGAGACAGCAGAGGCTTTGGTGCAGTGTTGGGGAAGAGGAAGAAGACTGTGGACTTGGCCTGCACTGGGGGAGGATGGGAATGGCGCTGCAGGCTCAGAACTTTGGCTCCTCTGACTGTAAAAGCTGGAATTCACCTCTAGAAGGAGAAAGTTTCTTTGCAACACCAAGTTAGCCAAGCGGAACGAATGCAGAGCCCCTGCAAGCTCTTCCTTCTCGCCTGACTGGGAATCTCAGAGCTTGTGAGTTAGTTACTGAATAACTGGTAGCAGCAGCTGACGTGACCCAAAGGCCTTTCATAGAATCAGCAGTTTAAAGAACTGCAGCCAGACAGTGAGTCCAAGGTCAAAAGTTGGGAGAAACCAGATCCTGGGCTTCATTGCAGAGCTACAGGGCAGGGAGAAACCAGTCCAACACATGTAATGCAGGAGCAAGTATATGCAGCAGAAGGGAAGAAAGGAATGTGTGCAGGATTGAAATCTGCCCTCAGCTCGGGCACAATGGCTCACGCCTGTAATCCCAGCACTTTGAGAGGCCAAGGCGGGCGGATCACCTGGGGTCAGGAGTTCAAGACCAGCCTGACCAACATGGAGAAACCCCGTCTCTACTAAAAATACAAAATTAGCTGGGTTTGGTGGTGCATACCTGTAATGCCAGCTAACTCAGGAAGCTGAGGCAGGAGAATCACTTGAACCCAGGAGGCGGAAGTTGCGGTGAGCCGAGATCGTGCCATTGCACTCCAGCCTGGGTAACAAGAATGAAACTCCATCACAAAAAAAAAAAAAAAAAAAAGAAATCTGCCCTCAGATTGTCTTGATGCAGTGGGTACTGAGCCATCACCTACCCAACTGAGCTGGACATGATGAGTTTTGTGTCTTTAGAGTGTCTATAAACATAGACCCTTGGAGTGGATCATGAGTTGTCATCCCCTAATTCCTCTTGTCTTCTACTTCTAACATGCCAAGAGGCATGTTACTAATTATATGGCTCCTTTGCAAAACCTCCCAAGGGGCCTGCCTTCCTCTCGCTATTCCCGTGGGCGGAGTTCGCTTAGCACTTAAGCACATCTATTTTTTCACTTAACTTGCTCCACTGAGAGTATTTCCATAGCTCTTTCTCTTCACTGGATTGTGATTTATTGAGGGTAGAGCCATTTCGTATTCAGTTGTATTTATGTTAGCAGGGCTCGACTCAGTATTGGGTGCATAGGAAGTACTCAACAAACACCTAGCAAATGAAGGACTCATTGAACCCCAGTTTCAAGGCATACTTACATTAACCTGGCCCTCCTCTCCTTCTGCAGTCTCACCTCCCATTCACTCTTAGCTCCAGCCACTTCTTTCTATCTGAAGTTCCCAGCCAAGAACACAGCCCTTTGTATCTACATCTTTGTGCTTTCTCTACTGCTCTCCCAACATTCTGAAATTCTCTTCTTCCCTCTCTTTGCTTTTGGACATGCAATTTCACCCTTACCTCTCCACCCACTGGGCTGGGAGCTCCTTGAAGGCAGGACAGTGGGCTTATTTTTATTTCCCACAGAGCCGGTCTGGTGCCTAGCACTCAGCAGAGGCTCAATTGGTGTTTGCTAAGGGAAGGAATGAATTACTCTGGCTTTGACTGAAACTATGTTCTGGCCTCCATCAGGCAGCTCCTCATTATGTCTTAGTTAATTGCCATTTGTTTAGGAGGATTTGCTCAGGAAGGAGGAGATGAGTAACTAACCAGTGGGGAAAGTCAGTATTAAATGGGGCTTTGAGCAGGAGTAGTTTGAAAATTGTTGGCTTAATCAAGAGTGGCTAGCTACTTCCATTTCACCAGGTCCACACATTTAATAGGGTGAAGCCATCTTGGATTTGTTATAGGGGATGTCCTGGCTCTCCCTTATTCCACAAGAGCCAAATGGGTTCAGGAAAGAGGTCAGTGTGGAGAGACATCTCCACCCCACTCTCTGTTCCTGCCCCAGCCCTGGAACAATGCCAGATATACACAAAATTATGAAGTGGATAAGGTTTGGCTTTGTCCGTGTCCTATTAATACTTGTATGTCTCTTTTCCCTCGTTGTCTCCTTCTAACTCTTTCCCAGTTTATAGACTAAATGTTTCTGCTCTGTTTTCATCCCTCCAGGGTGGAGGGAAGGGAATATAATATGATTAATCAGTAACCAGGGATGAAAAACTCTAACCCTCTCAGAGGCCAAGGGAAACAAGCCAAGTTGGCTGGGTAGGGACAAAGTGACCATGTCCTAGTGAAAGGGGCAGCTGCTTCCCTGCTCAGGTGGTTGGTTGTTCACAGGCACCATGGGCCCAGGGCTGCGTGATCTTGTGTCTTGCAAAATCGCCCTTGCTATGAGCCTTGACATTGCCAGGAAAAACTGTTAAAGACTAGGAAAAGGGCAAAAGAGATTATTGGGTGTCCTTTCAGTGGATTGTAGGGTGTAGTCTCACACATTCTCTAAGGATGATGTTACTCTATAGGAGCTTGTGCGGTCGACAGATTTTTTTTTTTTTTTTGAGACAGAATCTTGCTCTGTCGCCCAGGCTGGAGTGCAGTGGCATGATCTCTGCTCACTGCAGCATTCGACTCCTGAGCTTAAGCGATTCTCCTGCCTGAGCCTCCCGAGTAGCTGGGATTACAGGCACCCACCACCACACTCGGCTAATTTTTGTATTTTTAGTAGAGACAGGGTTTCACCATGTTGGCCAGGCTGCTCTCAAACTCCTGACCTCAAGTGATCCATCCGCCTCAGCCTCCCAAAGTGCTGAGATTACAGGCGTGAGCCACTGCGCCCAGCCCCATGGATCTTGAGATGGGGAGATTGTTCCTGATTATACAGGTAGGCCCAAAGTAATTACAGGGGTCCTTATAAGTGAAAGAGGGAGGCAGAGAGTCAGAGTCAAAGGTGTGACCATGGAAGCAGAGAACCTGAGGTGATGCAAAGTGAAAAGCACACAACCAAAACCATTACTGGCTTTGGAAATGGAGGAATAGGCCATGAGCCAAGGAATGTGAGTAGCCTCTAGAAGGTAGAAAAAGCAGCCAGGCACAGTGGCTCACAGCTGTAATCCCAGCACTTTGGGAGGCCAAGGCAGTCAGATCATCTGAGGTCAGGAGTTCGAGACCAGCCTGGCCAACATGGTGAAACCCTGTCTCTATTAAAATACAAAATGCAGGGCGTGGTGGCTCACGCCTGTAATCCTAGCACTTTGGGAGGCTAAGGTGGGCAGATCACTTGAGGTCAGGAGTTCGAAAACAGCCTGGCCAACATGATGAAACCCTGTCTCTACTAAAAATACAAAAAAAATTAGCTGGGTGTGATGGCGGGCACCTGTAATCCCAGCTGCTTGGGATGCTGAGGCAGGAGAATTGCTTGAACTCGGGAGGTCGAGGCTGCAGTGAGCTGAGATCATGCCACTGCACTCCAGCCTGGGTGACAGAGCGAGAGCTTGTCTCAAAAAACAAACAAACAAAAAAACCTTGTCCCGTGGAGAATATAAACCTCTGTAGGTAAAATTCTCATTAGAGTTTGTTTCAACATCTTATTGGTTCCTTTATTAATTGAGTTGAATAAAATATTTGATGCATGTTAATTTGATATTTGCGTAAGTTCATGTTATCAACTTTTTTTTAAAAAAAAACTCTACTTTAACAATGAAACGTTCATATTCTGCACCCCTGTGCCTTTGAATTTAAGCTGTAGTCATACTTTTGAATCCACTGTGACATCACTCACTAATTTGATTTCTATTTTTCAAGCAGTTAATTATCACACATTTCAAGAAGGCATGTGCTAGCAAGGCCTGCAGTTGGGATCCCAATGGGAAGGTGTTATATTTACCAAGATTTTGGTTACGATGAGCTACTGCATTTGGACTTGAGAAAGTGTCAAACAGTATATTTTTTCAACAGCTAAAGCCTTAAGGAGTATTTTCTACTGAGCCAATAGATATGCATTTTAACACTTTTTTTCCTGATAGTGATAGTTCATACTAATATCTACCATGTTACTGCTGAACGTATTTGTCAACAGGGAGTGGGAAGATCAAAAGCACTATGTGCATGAGTAACTAACTAGTCTACCTTGCAAATTGTTGCCAACATGGGGCAGGGCTGGGTGGTGCATGAACCAGCAGCTAAGCGATGGAGTGGGAAGGACGGAGACTTGCTCCAAGCAGCTTGCAGCAGGTGCAGTGAGACATAGTAAATGCTGCTGCTGCTACAAAATGCAGAGGCCAGCCTCATAGTTGGGACACCGAGGCTCAGAGATGTGAAGTGGCTTACTCGGGGTCTCACTGAGAGTGAATGACTGAGTGCCAAACCCAGGTCTTTCTCAGCCAAACCTCGGCTTTTTGGTTACATTGCATATTTCAGGCTGGAAATATGCTGGACAGTGCTTGTAGTGTAGTGTCGTCAGTAGGACAAGTACCACCTCAAGGAGCTGTGGGTTGTCACAATGATTGAGGGACCCTACCACCCTTTAGGGGGCATGGGGCCAGGGTTGCTATGTTGTTCTGCAATGAATGTGACAATCCTGTAAAATAAAGACTTGTCCAGCTTTCGAATGTATCCTCAGATATTCATGTAGGTGAAAAACTGTCCATAATTATCTGAGCCTAAAACTCAGATAATGATTTAAAAAACATGTCAAAAATTAACACAGTTAATTTCCCTGGAATACAACTACCATATAAAAGATTATTGTACTTTGTTTCATTCACAGTTTTACCTAGAGCTGTTCACCAATGTGGAAAATTACGTCAGGGACAGCAGAGACAGTCTGTTTGTAGAGGAAAGTATCTAGCATTCCATTACATGTTCTAATACAGCTGTGCCCAGAATTTATTATTGTTTTCCTTATAATTATTTAGTTATTAATTATTCTATTTGTAATCATTGTAATTATTATTTTAGTTTGAGACAGAGTCTCGCTCTGTTGCCCACGCTGGAGTGCAATGGTGTGATCACGGCTCACTGCAGCCTCAACCTCCCAGGCCCAAGCAATCCTGAATGATCCTCCCGCTTCAGCCTCCCAAGTAACTGGGACCATCGGCACGTGCCACCACATCTGGCTATTATTTTTTTTAAAATTTTTGTAGAGACAGGGTCTTCCTATGTTGCTCAGGCTGTTCTTGAACTCCTGGGCTCAAGCGATCTTCCCACCTTGGCCTCCCAAAGTTCTGGGATTACAGGCATGAGTTACTGTGCCGGGCCAGTAATTATTTATTATAAATTACTATCCTTTTATTTCTCCTTTATATCATAGAGGCAATATATGGATTATCTTTTTTTTTTTTTTTAGAGATAGGGTCTCACTATGTTGCCCAGGCTGGAGGGCAGTGGCTATTCACAGGTATGAGCATGGCATATTACAGCCTCAAACTCCAGGGACTCAAGCAGATCCTTTTGCCTCAGCCTCCTGAGTAGCTGGGACTACAGGTGGGCACCACCGTGCTTGGCTTGATTATCTTTTGAAATTATAAATTTAATTTCATTGTAGTAAAGGGGATGATATAAAATATTTATTATAAAGGTGGAGGAATTCAATGGAGTTGAGAACTATTATGGTGAAATGAGTATTTGGTCAGGAAGTTGCAAAACGTTGAGAATCTTGGTTCTGCCACTTATTTCGAGCATGTCACAACCCCTCCAAGATGGCTTCCTTCTAGGTAAAACATAACCTCAGTCTTCTACTTTCCAGAGTACTTGCTGTATTAGCCAAATGAGATCATGCAAATACCGTACAGGTGTAAGGATTATCTCTCTATGTCGCTCATGAATAGAACTTGCTTGTTTGGGATTAAACTGAATTCTTAACAATGCTCTTATCACATTCATGGTGGATAAATTCAGACTTTAAATTGTTTGCCTAAAAGCCTTAAATAGGCACTTGACAAAAGAAGATATCCAAACCAAATGGCTGATAAGTTCCTGGAAAGGTGCTTTAGTTATTAGGGAAATGTAAATTAAAAGAACAAGGCAATAAATACTATTACTCACATACCAGGATAACTAAATGAAAAATAACATACCAATTGTTGTAAAGAACATGAAACTCTCATATATTGCTGATGGGAATATAAATTAGTACAATACTTTGGAAAGCTGGCAGTATCAGTGAAAGCAATCCTATGACCCAGCAATTTCACTCTTAGTTATGAAGCCAACAGAAATGTGTGCATATATTTCCCAAAAACTAAATACAAGAATGGGCTGTGATCGGCAGACTTGTGATCTGTAGGTACTTGGAGATCCGTAGGGAGAACACCAGGACACCCTAGAAGCTGGGAAGTGAGTCTGTTGACTTTCAGGGATGTGGCTGTATTCTCTCCAGAGGAGTGGGGATGCCTGGACCCTGCACAGCAGAATTTGTATAGGGATGTGTTGTTAGAGAACTACAGAAACCTGGCCTCCCTGGGTTTTGCTATATCTAAGTCAGACGTGATCACCTGCCTGGAGCAAAGGAAAGAGCCCTGGAATGTGAAGAGACAGGAGCCAGGAGCCAAACACCCAGTTATGTCTTCTCATTTCACTCAAGACCTTTTGCCAGAGCAGGGCATAAAAATTCATTCCAGGCCGGGCGCGGTGGCTCACACCTGTAATCCCAGCACTTTGGGAGGCTAAGGCGGGCAGATCACGAGGTCAGGAGTTTGAGACCAGCCAGTTCAAGACCAGCCTGGCCAACATGGTGAAAATCTGTACTAAAAATACAAAAATCAGCTGGGTATGGTGGTGCACACCTGTAATCCTGCTACTCAGGAGGCTGAGGCAGGAGAATTGCTTCAACCTAGGAGACGGAGGTTGCAGTGAGTGGAGATTGCACCACTACACTCCAGACTGGGCAACAGAGCAAGACTCCGTCTTGGAAAAAAAAAAAAAAAGATTCATTCCAAAAAGTGATACTGAAAAGATATGGAAGCTGTAGCCTTCAGAATTTACATTTAAGGAAAGACAGGAAAAGTTTGGGTGGACATCATTCATATACACTTTTCCACGGAAGATTAAGAACTCTGAAATGTAAGAGGCATGAAGAAAATCTAGGTGGACAGGCCATTTGTGATTTACTTTTAGGTTATGTAAGTGATGCATGAGAGACAGGGTTTTGCAATGTTGCCTAGGCTGGTCTTGAACTCCCGGTCTCAAGTGATCCTCCTGCCTTGGCCTCCCATAGTGTTGGGATTTCAAGCGTGAGCCACTGTGCCTGGCCTATTTCTCACTTTCATATATGATCTCTTCCTTTATTTTCATGGGTGCAGTTCACAGTCTACAGTTTTTATTCTTAGTTACCTAACTATAGCCAAGTCCTTGGTCATTCTCTCTAGAAAATTCTCAGAGACTGTGGAAGCTTTTGTTTCTGTTTTGTTTGTTTTGTAGCAATGGGGTCTCACTATGTTGCCCAGGCTGGTCTCAAAATCCTGGACTTGAGCCATCCTCCCGCCTCAGCCTCCCAAAGTGCTGGAATTACCGGTGTGAGCCACTGTGCCTGGTCTGCGGAAGCTTGTGGTTTGAAACATTTCTTCAGTGATTTTGGATGCAAACTTTATTCTGTGTTCAGAGCGGCCAGAAATGGAACTGTTACCACTTCCTGTCTCTGTAGTGTCTTCCACGCCATCACCATCAGCACTAGAAACTCCAGGTGCACAAGGTTAAAGTCAAAGTCCTAAAGCACTTCAGTGGCTTCCGTGTTGTATGCCATGTGTTAAACATGCTGGTAATCATCAGAGTTTGTATGCTTAGGACTAACTAGTGGAACAACAAAAACACCACAAGAACTATATATTTTTGATAATTTCAGCTAAGGTTATGACAAAGACACAGACTCAGTATTTGGAATACAGATATCCTTTCTTTTTTTTTTCTGAGACTCGCTCTGTTGCCCAGGCTGGAGTGCAATGGCATGATCTCGGCTCACTGCAACCTCCACCTGCAGGGTTCAAGCGATTCCCCTGCCTCAGCCTCCTGAGTAGCTGGGATAACAGGCACGTGCCACCACGCCCGGCTAATTTTTGTCCTTTTAGTAGAGACAGGGTTTCGCCATGTTGACCAGGCTGGTCTCGAACTCCTGACCTCAGGTGATCCATCCACCTCGGCCTCCCAAAGAGCTGGGATTACAGGTGTGAGCCAACCATGCCCAGCCTACTGCTATCCTTTCATAATGTGTTCCAAAGTTTTATTTACTTTTTTTGGCCAGGCATAGTGGCTCACACCTCTAATCCCAGCACTTTGGGAGGCCGAGGTGAGGGGAATGCTTGAGCCCAGGAATTCAAGACCCAGCCGGTACAACATAGTGAGATCCTGTCTCTACACACACCCTCCGAACAGCCAGGCATGATGGTGCACGCCTCTAGTTCCACCTAGCTGGGAGACTGAGGTGGGAGGATCGCTTGAGTACAGGAGGTAGAGACTGCAGTGAGCCATAATTTCACCTCTGCACTCCAACCTGGGTGACCTTGAGACCCTGTCTCAAGGAAAAAAAAAAAAAAAAAAAAATATATATATATATATATATATATATATATATATGTAGCTATATATAGGTAGATAGATATTGATATATAATTTATTTACTTTTTAAATTGTCAGATAAAATTTTATGCATTTATCATTTACAACATGATGTTTTGAAGTATATATACATTGTTGAATGCTTAATTCTAGCCAATTAAGTGCTTTACCTCACAGAGTTATGATTTTTGTAGTGACAGCACTTAACATCAAGTGTCTTAGCATTCTTCAAAGATAGAATATATCATCATTAACTACAGTCATCATGCTGTGTGACAGATCTCTTGAGCTTATTCCTCCTATCTAACTGTAATTAGGTGTGCTTTGGCAGACATCTCCCCAAACCTCCCCGTAAAACCCCAGCCTCTGGTAACCACCATTCTGCTCTCTGATTCAATGAGGTCAACTTGTTTAGATTCCACATATGAGTGAGATTATGAGGTATTTGTTTTTCTGTGTCTGGCTTATTTCAATTACCATAATGTCCTCCAGGTTCATCCACATGATTGAAAATGACAAGATTTTCTTTTCTTATGGCTGAATAATACTCCATTGTGTATATACACCACATTTTCTTTACCCATTCATTTGATTATGGACATTTTTAGGTTGATTTTTAATCTTGGCTATCATCAATAGTGCTGCAATAAACATGGAAGTTCAATAAATAAATAGGATTCATAATGCCTGTTGTTTTCTTATATCCATATATATAAATCATGTTTCTAGGTATATAAATGTCCCATTAATCCCTTTGATCACTCTAGAAAATGCTGTTTTTTCTTGAATACAAGAATGTTCAAAGAAGCACTCTTATAATAGCCCTAAACTATAAATATCCAAAATGTCTACCATGAATAAAATGGATACATTGTGGTATATTTCTACAATGGCATACTAGCACAATAGGAAAGAATGGTGTGCAACAACATAGATTAATTCACAGTGCTCAGCAAAAGGCATATATGTGAGTACATATTGTGTGATTCCTTCTATATGAAATTCAAAAGCAGATAAAATTAATCTATGATGTTAAAAATCATAATAGGAGTTACAGTGGGGGTGATTTGTGACTGGGAGGAACATGAAGGGGGGCATTAGGGAATGCTGGTAATGTTCTCTTTTTTGATCTGGAGGCTTAGTTACACAGGTGTACTCTGTGAAAATTATTTGAATGGTACATTTATGATTTGTGCATTTTTCAATTTTTGTTATAATTTGATTAATTTTTTTTTTTAGATGGAGTCTTGCTCTGTCACCCAGTCTGGAGTGCAGTGGTGCAATCTCTACCTGGTGCAACCTCTGCCTCCCGGATTTAAGCGATTTTCCTGCCTCAGCCTCTTGAGTAGCTGGGACTACAGGTGCACGCCACCATGCCCGGCTAATTTTTGTGTTTTTGGTAGAGATGGGGTTTCACCATGTTGGCCGGGCTGGTCTGGGACTCCTGATCTCAAGTGATCCACTCGCCTCAGCCTCCCAAAGTGCTGGGATTACAGGCCTGAACCACCACGGCCAGCCCATAATTTGATTATTATTTTTTTAAGTTAATTAACTAGCTGGGTGTGGTGGTACATGCCTGTAATCCCAGCTATTCGGGAGGCTGAGGCAAGAGAATCGCTTGAACCCTGGAGGCAGCGTTTGCAGTGAGCCAAGATCAGCACCACTGCACTCCCACCTGGGTGACAGAGTGAGACTCCATCTCAAAAAAATAGGCCTGGCGCGGTGGCTCATGCCTGTAATCCCAGCACTTTGGGAGGCTGAGGCTGGTGGATCACAAGGTCAGGAGATCGAGACTATCCTGGCTAACATGGTGAAACCCCGTCTCTACTAAAAACACAAAAAATTAGCCGGGCGTGGTGGCACTCCCCTGTAGTCTCAGCTACTCGAGAGGCTGAGGCAGGAGAATCGCTTGAACCCGGAAGGTGGAGGTTGTAGTGAGCCAAGATCGAGCCACTGCACTCCAGCCTGGGCGACAGAGGGAGACTCCATCTCAAAATTAAATTAAATTAAAAGTTAATTAACTAGCCAGACTAGTTACACTACTGTACACTAGGTACACTAGTGTGTACCTGTAATCCTAGCTACTTGGGAGGCCGAGGTGGGAGGACTGCTTGAGCCCAGGAGTTCAAGTCCAGCCTGGGCAACACACTGAGACCCCTGTCTCTTAAAAAAAAAAAAACAGTTGATGAAACAAAAATAATTGTTTAGCGGCCTTGTGCCGCTTTGGTCATATGTTTTGCTCTCTCTTCTTGTGACCAAGCCCTGGCAAGTTTAAGACTCTATTTGTGACCACAAAGCTAAGGGGTCCTTACAGGGGTGAAGGTTATGATCTCAGCTCCAAGATAACTGGTCCTGGAACCTAAACCAAGGGTGTGGGCAGGCCTACCCTTTTGCAAAATACTAGAAAGGCATTTGTAATTTTTTTTCAGTTTTTTTTTGTTGTTGTTGTTTGTTTGTTGTTTTTTCCATTTTTTTCTTCTCATTCTGGAAGAGGAAGAGAAGTGAGAAAAGGCAGTGAGAGTGGCTTACATAAGATGAAGTTTGTGAAAACACCTTGTAAACTGCAGGTTTTCTCATTACAAAGCAGTTTTTAATAGTGGGCAACGATAAGTGGGAGAACTGGGTTTGGGAAGCAGAAAGGGTGAGGAAAAAGAGAAAAAGTCATAATGAAGAGCGTCCCTCTGGTGATACCTTTTTTCCCTCCTTGCACCTGCCTTGGATCCAAGAAGAGCTTCCGGTCTTTGTTACAGTCAGCCCCTGGCGTCTGTTCCCCTAGCCAGGCGGAGTCCCGCTTTCTACCGCAAGAGGGCGATATGGCCACACTGAGCTGGGACCCAATTGCAGAATTGAGAGGAGTCGCTGTGGCCTGGGTTTAATCTGGCTTTGAGGGCTAGACCCCCGACTGGCCAAACCCTCCTCTGTCCCCTCCTGCCCCAAGCCAAGCTATGGAGAAACTGTGGAGCAGAAGAGCAGGGAGGCATTTCGCAAGTTGCATTTCATCTCTGGCGCATTGAAATTTAGGGCATGGGGTTGGGAAATTTGAGGGTGTTTTTTTTTCTTCCTGTGGTCTCATGGAGAATAAAATGTGCATTGCCTCTGCAAAGAGCTTGAAGACCAGGGCCAGGAATCAAAGTCCTTCTGGACCAGGGTCACGGGGGCTTTCAAAAGTGGAATGCTGGCCGGGCACGGTGGCTCACATCCGTAATCTCAGCACTTTGGGAGGTCGAGGCAGGCCGATTACTTGAGGTCAGGAGTTCAAGACCAGCCTGGCCAACATGGGGAAACCCTGTCTCTACTAAAAATACAAAAATTGGCCAGGCGTGGTGGTGGGTGCCCGTAATCCCAGTTACTCGGGAGGCTGAGGCAGGAGAATCGCTTGAACCTGGGAGGTGGAGGTTGCAGTGAGCAAAGATCCCACCACTGCACTCCAGCCTGGGCGACAGAGCGAGACTCCTTCTCAAAAAAAAGAAAAGAAAAGAAAAGAAAAGAAAAAAGAAATAAAGTAGAATATTGACACAATAGGCTTTTTAAAAAAACAAAATTTTCCCCACTGTTGAATGGTTTTCTCCTTCACTTTTCCTTTCCCAATGCTGCAGCCCACTTCTCTTCAACAACCTCACCTGAATCACACACATCAGAGCCAGAAGGGACCTAAAAGACCATTTGCTCCTGTGCTGCTCAAATTGTGCCCAATTGTCACTAGCACCAGAATCAGCTGTGCTTGTTAAAATGCAGATTCCAGGACCCTGACTCAGACGCCACTGGGTGGGTCAGAAACCTACATTTTAAATGGGCACGCACCCTCCTCCAGTATATACATGTGGTTATCCATGCGCACTAAATTTTGAGAAGTTCTTTAGTTCAGCTCTTTCCATTTACAAGGGAGGAACAAATCTCAGAGGTCAAGTGTCATGCCCAAGGTTATCCGGCAGAGTGGCAGCATCACTAGGACTGAAATCAAGACCCTGTACCCTGACCTCACATCAGGGTAAGTTTTTACTCCACGTTTCTGAGAGCCCTAGAGTTTTGAAGAGGTGCTTCAGAGGTTCTGCAAATATTTAATTGCAAAGTGACCTGTTTAAAAGAAAACAGAAATTTGGCATTTGCAACTTCTTATTATGTGAATCAGGATTTTAAAAAACCTTGTGGTTGCAAGGATCAGCCATCATGTTCATTTAATGTTATTGAGATCACTGCAAAAGTCCTACCTTTATTACTGGCTGACTTAGATAAAATAAACGGTTGAAATGCCACTTTTATTTATCTATTGGAATTCTTTTTAAAGTTTCATACGACAAAGCAATTCTACTGCTCTATATAAAATGTATTGGGCAATCACTAACTCTGCGAGCACAGTGTTAAGCACTGTGGAAATAAACAAAAACCACCCAAGTGAGAAGAAACAGAAGCTGTTTATTCAGCGCTTGCTTTAGCCAGGGTCTCAGCCACCATCACTCGCATTTGTCAGAGACTCAGGCAGGCAGGGCTGTGCAAAGCTTTATAGTGAAAAAAAGGGAAGTCTTCAGCTATGCCTTGATTGGAGCTTGTTGGCATGGGAAAGCTAGAGGTAGGCTGACTAGAAATTGAGCATCCAGTGTGATTGGATTGGGGACCATATTTGGCTTTCTGTGCTTGGTCCTGAGTTGGAAGTGGGGGCAGAAGTTAGGGCAGCTGCACTTACTGACTTGGTCAAGTTCTGACTGTTCTGGGATGATTGCTGCAGAGGCTGTGGTTTGGCTTCCTGGATGGGTTGCTGCAGAGGTTGTGGCCCAGAGTTCTATTGTCATATATGATCTGGCCATTGTCTGTTTGTATTTTCATTCTCTCAGCCTTATCTGCATTACTTCATCTAAGCCCTTTCACAACCCCATGAGATTGATAATATTATTATTTCAGCTTTGTGAATGAGAAATGGAATTGCAGAGAAGTTAGGTAACTTGGCCAAAGTCAGACAGTTATGAAGAGGTAAAGATAAAACTTGAACCTAGGCAGACTGACCTCAGAGCCCTGGGTTTCTGTCTCAGCTTTACAGGGAAAAAAAAATTATAGAAACTGACAAACTGTCTAAAAATTCCCATGAAAATGCAAAGGATCTAGATTAGCCAAAACATCTTTGAAAGAGAATAACAAAGTTGGAGGGCTAACACCACCTGATTTCAAGGCTTCATAAAAAATAATAGTCATCAAGATGAGGTGCTATTAACATCATGATAGACAGCTCAAATAGAACAGATCAAATGGAACAGAATAGAAAGTTCAGACACACATACACACACATATACAATTGATTTTTAAAAAGACCCAAAGGCAATGAGAAAGGATAATTTCTAATGAATAGTTTCAGTGAGTTGGGCTAGAACAGTTGGATAGCTATATGCAAAAAAAGAAAAAAAGAACTTCAATTCATACCTTATACCACGTATAAAAATTAAGTCAAAATCGATTATGCACCTAAGTGTAAAATCTAAAACTATAAAACTTCTAGAAAACATAGAAGTAAAATCTTTGTGACCTTTAATTAGATAATATGTCTTAGATATTACACTAAAAGCACAGTCAATAGGAAATAAATTTGATAAATTGGACTTCATCAAAATTAAAAACTTCTTTTCCTGAAAAGATGCCATGAGAAGAATGAAAAGACCAGCCACTGACTGGGAGAAAATATTTGCAAAGCCCATATCTGATAAAGGATGTGTATCCAGAATATATAAAGAACTTTGGAAATCAAATAAGAGCAAAGAATTCAACTTTTTTTCAAAAAGTAGGCAACAGATCTAAACAGTTATTTCACCAAAAAAATGGATGGCAAATAAGCACATGAAAAGATGTTCAACATTATTCACATTAAGGAAATATAAATTAAAATCACAATCAGAAACTACTGCATACCTATTAGATGTCTGATTAAAACCATGTGTTAATAAGAGTGCAGAGGAACTAGAACTCTCATACACTGTTGGTGGGAATGTAAAATGATAAAACCACTTTGGAAAACAGCTGATCAGTTTCTTAAAAAGTTAAACATACTTACCATATGATCTAGCCTTTCCACCTCTGTGTATTCACCCAAAAAAAGCACATATTCATACAAAGACTTGCACACAAATGTTCATAGTAGCTTTATTGTTTTCTTCCTCAACTTTATTGAGGCATAATTGACAAATAAAAATCATAGCAGCTCTTTTTTTAAGAGATAGGGTCTTGCTATGTTGCCCAGGCTGGACTCGAACTCCAGGGCTCTAGTGATCCTCCTGTCTCAGCCTCTCAGGTAACTGGGATTACAGGCAGGTGCCAGCACACCTGGCTTGAAGCTTTATTTTTTAATTTAATTTAATTTAATTTAATTTAATTTAATTTAATTTTTTGAGACGGAGTCTCACTCTGTCGCCTAGGCTGGAGTGCAGTGGCATTATTTTGGCTCACTGCAAGCTCCACCTCCTGGGTTCACGCCATTCTCCTGCCTCAGCCTCCCAAGTAGCTGGGACTACAGGTGCCGGCCACCATGCCCGGCTAATTTTTTGTATTTTTTAGTAGAGATGGGGTTTCACCGTGTTAGCCAGGATGGTCTTGATCTCCTGACCTTGTGATCTGCCTGCCCCGGCCTCCCAAAGTGCTGGGATTATAGGCGTGAGCCACCGCACCTGGCCTGAATTTTATTTTTTATTTTTATTATTATTTTTTATTTTTATTTTTATTTTTTGAGACGGAGTCTCGCTCTGTCGCCCAGGCTGGAGTGCAGTGGCGGGATCTCGGCTCACTGCAAGCTCCGCCTCCCGGGTTCACGCCATTCTCCTGCCTCAGCCTCCCAAGTAGCTGGGACTACAGGCGCCCGCCACTACGCCCGGCTAATTTTTTGTATTTTTAGTAGAGACGGGGTTTCACCGTTTTAGCCGGGATGGTCTCGATCTCCTGACCTTGTGATCCGCCCGCCTCGGCCTCCCAAAGTGCTGGGATTACAGGCGTGAGCCACCGCGCCCGGCCGAATTTTATTTTTTTTAGAGATAGTGTCTCGCTCTGTTGCTCAGGTTGGAGTACAGTGGCATGATCGTAGCTCACTGCAGCCTCAAAATCCTGGGCTTAAGTGATCTTCCCACCTCAGCCTCCTGTGTAGCTGGGATTACAGGTGCAAGCCACCATGCTGGGCTAATTTTTAAATTTTTTGTAGAGATGGGGTCTTGCTATATTGCCCAGGCTGGTCTCGAATTTCTGGCCTCAAGCCATCTTCCCATCTTGGCCTCCCAAAGTGCTGGGATTACAGGTGTGAGTACTTCACTGGTCTGCAGCTTTATTTTTAGTAGCCAAAAATAGGAGCCAATCCAATGACTCAATAAATGAATGGCTAGACAAACTGAAGTATATTCATATAATGGAATGACCTCAGTAAGTGAACATTTTTTCAGTAACAGCTTTATTGAGATATAATTCACATAGGTAAAAATTAGCCATTTTAAATATGTAATTTTGTAGTTTTTAGTATATGTACGGGTTGTGCAAACACCATCACAATCAATTTGAGAATATTTGTATTACCCCACAAAGAAATTCTGTACCCTTTAGCAGTCACCTTCATTGCCCCCAGCCACCCTCACTCTGACCTGGGCAACCACTAATCTACTTTCTGTCTCTATTTGCCAATTCTGGACATTTCACATAAAAATGGAATCAGGCTGGGCATGGTGGCTCACACCTATAATCCCAGCACTTTGGGAGGCCAAAGTGGGCGGATCACTTGAGGCCAGGAGTTCAAGCCCAGCCTGGCCAACATGGCGAAACCCCATCTCCACTAAAAATACAAAAATTAGCTGGGTGTGGTGGCGCATGCCTGTGATCCCAACTCCTTGGGAGGCTGAGGCAGAAAAATTGCTTGAACCCGGGAGGTGGAGGTTGCAGTGAGCTGAGATTGTGCCACTGCACTCCAACCTGGGTGACAGTGACACCCTGTCTGAAAAAATAAAAAATAAAAATAAAAATAAATAAAAATGGAATCATACAATATGTGGGGTTGGTATGTGTGTGTTTGGCTTCTTTCACTTAGCTGAATGTTTTCAAGGTTAATCTGTGTTGTGGCGCGTATCAGTGCTTCATTCCCTTTTATGGCTGAATAATATTTCACTGTATGGATAGACCACATTTTGTTTATCCATTCCTCAGTTGGTGGACATTGGAGTTCTTTTCACATGTTGACTATTATAAATAATGCTGCCATTGGCCAGCTGCCGTGCCTCACATCTGTAATCCCAGCACTCTGGGAGGCCAAGGCAGGCAGATCATTTGAGGTCAGAAGTTTGAGACCAGCCTGGCCAACATGGTAAAACCCTGTCTCTACTAAACAAAATACAAAAATTAGCTGGGTGTGGTGGTGGGCACCTGTAATCCTAGCTACTCTGGAGGCTGAGGCAGGAGAATCACTTGAACCCAGGAGGCAGAGGTTGCAGTGAGCCGAGATCGCGCCACTGCATTCCAGCCTGGGTGACAGAGCGAGACTCCGTCTCAAAAAATAATAATAATAGGCTGGGCGCAGTGGCTTACGCCTGTAATCCCAGCACTTTGGGAGGCCGAGGTGGGCGGATCACGAGGTCAGGAGATGGAGACCATCCTGGCCAACATGGTGAAACCCCATCTATACTAAAAATACAAAAAATTAGCCAGGCGTGGTGGCGCATGCCTATAATCCCAGCTACTTGGGAGGCTAAGGCAGGGGAATCACTTGAACCCAGGAGGCGGAGGCTGCAGTGAGCCAAGATCACGCCACTGAACTCCAGCCTGGCGACAGAGCAAGACTCCACCTCAAAAAAATGTATAATAATAAATAAGGAATAATGCTGCTATGAACATTCATATACTGGCTTTTGTGTAGACACATTTTCTCATTTCTCTTGGGTATATACACTTAGGAGTGAAATTTTGGGGTCAAAAGATACCTCTATGTTTAAATGTTTGAGAAACTGCCAGACTGTTTTCCAAAGTGGCTGCATCATTATACAAGTCCACTCACTAGCAGGGTATGAGAGTTCCAATTTCTCCCTACCCTCACTAACAGTTGCTTTTGTCTGTTTTTTAAATTTTTGTCATCCGAATGGGTGCGCAGTGATATCTCATTGTGGTTTGTTTTTAGTAACAGCTTTATTGAGAGATAATTCAAATAGCGTACGACTCACCCACTTAAAGTACATGCAGTAATGTGGATAGATCTTAAAATAATTAGACCAAGTGAAATAAACCAGACAAGAGTAAGGACTTTTGAATAAAAGCTATGTTAACTGGAAATAAAAGAATAAATATTGTACGATTGTATTCCTATAAAATTCTAGAAAATATAAACCAATCCATAATTACAGAAAGCAGATAAGGGACAATGGGGGGTTGAGGAGAGAGTTTGGGGGAAGTTTCCAGGAAGAAGGGATCACAGGAGGACACAAGGAAACTTTTGGGGGCTGATATTTATTTTTATTATCTTTTTTTTTTTTTTGACAGCCTCTCACTCTATCGCCCAGGCTGGAGTGCGGTGGCATGATCTCAGCTCACCGCAACCTCCACCTGCCGGGTTCAAGTGATTCCTGTGAACCACCGTGCCTGGCCTATTTTCATTATCTTGACTGTGGTCATGGTTTCACGGGTGTATATGTATGTCAAATCTTATCCAATTACACTATAAACATGTAGTTTACTGTATGTCAATTATATCTCAGTAAAGCTATTTTGAAAGAATACAAAGGACTCTACAATATTCTGTCACCTCCCCTTTGTCATGTCACTATACTTTTACCCTGAAAGCTCCCTCCAAACCATATCCCTTAAAATTTATTTATTTATTTATTTATTTATTTATTTTGAGACGGAGTTTCACTCTCGTTGCCCAGGCTGGAGTGCAATGGCGTGATCTCGGCTCACCGCAACCTCTGCTGCCCAGGTTCAAGCAATTCTCCTGCCTCAGCCTCCCGAGTAGCTGGGATTACAGGCACCTGCCACCGCACCCAGCTAATTTTTTTTGTAGTTTTTAGTACAGACGGGCTTTCACCATCTTGGCCAGGCTGGTCTTGAACTCCTGACCTCATGATCCACCCACCTAGGCTTCCCAAAGTGCTGGGGTTACAGGCGTGAGCCACCGCGCCCGGCATGACCTCTGTTTTATACCATTAACTATGAGATTAACAAAAACCTTTACCTTTGTGCAGAAGGTTAAAAAAAAAAAAAGCATAGTCAAGGAAAAGGAGATGTGTTACCTCTTCATACACTCCTACAACCATGGCATTGCAAAAAATAAAAATAACCACCTTTAAAAAAAAACCTAATTTAAATTGCTGTTCAATAATAATAATATATGTAAGATGATTAGATCAGTTCCTGGCATATGGTAAATATAGGTAAGTGTTTGCTATTTATTTTTGAAGCAAAAATGAGGATTTGTCAAAAATTGGGTGAGCAGCTACTTATGGAGGATAAAAGAACCTTTCAGGCTGTTTGGGAAAAGCTTCATTCTAAGTTTCTTCTTTGTAAGAGGACCTATTGCTGCCAGCACTTCTCTTGCTAACAATTCTGGTGGGTGATTTATCTTCGTTCTGCATTTCTTTCCGTAGCTCCTGTAGACATTGAAGGTAGGGTGAACCTGTTACTAAGGGGAGATACAAAAGTAGTGCAGGGGGTAAGATTAATCGCATGGGAATGAAATATGCTCTGAGCTTCTGAACATTTGTTACGTGAACCTGAGGAATGAAATGATATACTGAGCACTCCACAAGCTGTTTTTTCCGGTCAGTTGTCTGGTCAGAAATTTGTTAACTCACTCCTCCCTGATTCATCACACTGTCAGAAAGCTTGTATAACACGGAGTCTGAAGCATTCCAGAATCTTTCTTTTTTCTTTTTTTTAATAGAAATGAAGTCTTGCTATGTTGCCCAGGCTGGTCTCAAACTCCTGGGCTCAAGTGACCCTCCCACCTTGGCCTCCCAAAGTGCTAAGATTACAGGTGTGAGCCACCACATCCAGCCTAGAATCTTAAATTTACTATTGTACTTTGGGACCACAAGAACTTAAAAGTAAGAGGAATAAAATTATCATGAATATTAGTTAGAATTCAGTTTGATAATAACAGAAAAAACCTAAAACACCGGCTGGACGAGGTAGCTCATGCCTATAATCCCAGCACTTTGGGAGGCCAAGGTGGGTGGATCACGAGGTCATGAGACCATCCTGGCCAACATGATGAAACCCCGTCTCTATTAAAATACAAAAAAGGTTAGCTGGGTGTGGTGGTGCAGGCCTGTAGTCCCAGCTACTTGGGAGGCTGAGACAGGAGAATCGCTTGAACCCTGGAGGTGGAGGTTGCAGTGAGCTGAGATTGCGCCACTGCACTCCAGCCTGGGCAACAGAGTGAGACTCCGTCTCAAAAAAAAAAAAAAAAAAAAAGAAGAGGAAGGGGAATTATTACATCAGAGGGCAATTAGCAATCATTTTTTTTTTTTTTTTTTTAGATGGAGTCTCGCTGTGTCACCTAGCCTGGAGTGCAGTGGCTCGATCTTGGCTCACTGAAACCTCCACCTGCCAGGTTCAAGTGTTTCTTGTGCCTCAGCCTCCCGAGTAGCTGGGACTACAGGCGTGCACCACCATGCCAGGCTAATTTTTGTATTTTTAGTAGAGACAGGGTTTCACCATGTTGTTCAGGCTGGTCTCGAACTCCTGACCTCAAGTGATCGGTCTGTCTTGGCCTTCCAAAGTGCTAGGATTACAGGCGTGAGCCACCGTGCCCGTCCTAATCATAGAAAGTTAATAATAAGATCAATATATAATTAGCATGTGACAAAAAAGCCTGGCTCCTAGGATTTGATTGTTTAAATTAAAAGATTGAAAAAAATCTGTTTGTTAGAAGGGGCATTGTTTAGCATGGATTCTTGGAAGAGGACACTTCTGGGAGGTGGACATAGGCATTGCCCATCCATGTATTGGGCACAAAGGAAATCACAGCCTTTAAATGACAAAACAACTTATAATGGAGATGTGGAGGCAGGAGGTTGTAACCAATGGGATGTGAGTACTCTGCAGTAAGTAACCTGTTGGTGAGACCACCTCTATTATAGGATGACTGGCCTAGGCTATCTTAGCCTCACCTGTTACCACTGAACCCTGGGGCTTCGTCTAATTTCCATGTGTTTTCCATGGCCACTTGGCAGTCAACTTTCTCATTTTCATGGCGACCTACCGACCAGAGAGAATATGCTGCAGAGAGAGACTTGTAGGGGAGAAGTAGCTGACCCTGTAACAGTCCCAATTATCATGGTCAATGAGTGAATTGGCAGCCCGGCGTCTCCCTCAGCCTCCTATGTCCCTTTTCCAATGTGAGTCTGTTCTCAGAGTCTGGTCCTCGCTGTGTATTGCCAGGGGTGAACCTGTGGTCCTTCAGGGTGGAAGTTCTGATCCTGAAAAGTGTGATTGCCTGGCCAGGCGCAGTGGCTCACGCCTGTAATCCCAGCACTTTGGGAGGCCGAGGTGGGTGGATCACGAGGTCAGGAAATCTAGACCATCCTGGCCAACATGGTGGAACCCCATCTCTACTAAAAATATAAAAAATTAGCTGGGTATGGTGGTACGCACCTGTAGTACCAGCTACTCGGGAGGCTGAGGCAGGGGAATCGCTTGAACCTGGGAGGCGGAGATTGCAGTGAGCCAAGATCACGCCACTGCACTCCAGCCTGGCGACAGAGCAGACTCCATCTCAAAAAAAAAAAAAAAAAAAAAAAAGGTGATTGCCCTGAAGGAGACTTTTCCAGCTCCAAACCACTTCCCTTAGATGACATCAATCAGCTCTCTGCTGGTTCGAAGAATATGTTGAAAACAGTGTCAGAGTTAGCTATTTTCATTTTATTATAGTTCTTTGAGAACTGGGAAGAGACAGTGGGAGTGTCTTGGAATATATATTAGGTTTGGTATCAAGAAACTGGTCTAAATTCTGTTATTGCCAGTAACTACCTTTAAACCTCAGTTTCCTCATTCATTTGTAAAGTGGAGCAAACTCATAGCTGTCTTGCTCGCCTTAAAGCTTTTAATGCAAATGGTAAAACTCCTTTCTAAAGTAGATTATTATTCTGTGAACACCTGTGGTATTCAGAGTTTAATATAAAGAAATACGATCAATATCCATTATAATTACACCTTGTTTACAACTTTTTTTTTTTTTTTTTTTTTTTGAGACGGATTCTCGCTCTGTCGCCCAGGCTGGAGTGCAGTGGCGCGATCTCTGCTCACCGCAAGCTCCGCCTCCCGGGTTCACGCCATTCTCCTGCCTCAGCATCCCAAGTAGCTGGGACTACAGGCACCCGCCACCATGCCCGGCTAATTTTTTTGTATTTTTTAGTAGAGACGAGGTTTCACCGTGTTAGCCAGGATGGACCTTGTCTATAACTTTCAAGCAAAATGTCTTAGTTGGTAGAATACTCAGCACCTGTACCATGTCAGATAGTTTACAGTACCCAGAGGCACTAAAACATGGTTTTTGTCCTCTGTGAGCTTGTGGTTTTCCCCCTAATATGTTCTCTTTTTTTTCCACAATGAAAATAGCTTTTAAAAACATAAATATCATATATGCTGGTAGAGAAAAATAGAAAAGTATAAGAAGAAAGTAAAAATCTCCTTAAGGCCGGGCACAATGACTCACACCTGTAATCCCAGCACTTTGGGAGGCCGAGGCAGGAGAATTGCTTGAGACCAGGAGTTCCAGACCAGCCTGGGCAACATAATATTTGTCTTATAAATTAACATACTGAGACCCTGCTTCTACAAAAAATACAAAAATTGGCCTTGGCTACAGGTGGTGCTTGCCTGTAGTTCCAGCTACTTGGGATGCTGAGGTGGGTGTATCACCTGAGCTAGGGAGGTGGAGGCTGCAGTGATCTGTGATCGTGCCGCTCCACTCCAACCTGGGTGACAGAGTGAGACCCTGTTTCAAACAAAACAAAACTCCTTCAAATCCATTGCTCAGAGGTAATCACTGCACATTTTGTTTGTTTGTTTGAGACAGAGTTTTGCTCTTGTCATCCAGGCTGGAGTGCAAAGGCACCATCTCGGCTCGCTGCAACCTCTGCTTCCCAGGTTTAAGCAATTCTCCAGCCTCAGCCTCCCTAGTATCTGGGACTACAGGCTTGCACCACCACGCCTAGCTAATCTTTGTATTTTTAGTAGAGACAGGGTTTCATGATGTTGGCCGGACTGGTCTCAAACTCCTGACCTCAGGTGATCCGCCTGCCTCAGCCTCCCAAAGTACTGGGATTACAGGCATGAGCCACTGCGCCCGGCCGATCACTGCACATTTTGGTGCTCTCCCTAGCTGGCCTCATTTATAGAAGTGTACAAATGTAATTAGAGGGGGAAAATTGTAATCATCAGAATGTAAGAGGGGAAGGCTTGTGTTCCTCTTGTGTTTCAATATAATTTTTTTTTTTTTTGCAGGAGGGAAAGGTAACATGCATGCATGATAAATGATTCAAATAGTAAAAAGTGTATAATCCTGTAAAAGTATGTCTTTCTACTTTCCTTGATTTACAGCATCCTTCCCCAGAGGAAACTTGTGACCACCATCTTGTGTTTCTTTTTTGAGAATTCTTTGCTTAGCTCTGTATTCCTTTGGATGAAGTTTTAAAATTTTTGCCTTATAAATTAACACACAGAACAGGCGAGGTGACTCACACTTGTAATTCCAGCGCTTTGGGAGGCCAAGGATTTGGGAGGATTACTTGAGGCCAGGAGTTTGAGACCACCCTGGGCAACATAGCAAGATCCTATTTCTATTAAAAAATTAACAAAGAAGGCTGGGGGTGATGGCTCATGCCTGTCATCCCAGCACTTGAGAGGCTGAGGCAGGCAGATCGCTTGAGGTCAGGAGTTTGAGACCAGCCTGGCCAACATGGTGAAACCCTGTATCTACTAAAAATACAAAAATTAGCTGGGCATGGTGGTGCATGCCCATAGTCCCAGCTACTCAGGGAATTGAGGTGAGAGGATTGCTCGAGCCCAGGAGGTCAAGGCTGCCAGTGAGCTGTGATCACATGCCCCTGGACTCCAGCTTAGGTGACAAAGCAAGACCCTGTGTCCAAAAAGTAAAATAAAAAAATTAAAATTTAAAAAATTAACAAAGAAATTAACATACAGCAATATTGACCCTTTTTTAAAAGTACTACAAGTTTTAACACATGCAGATTCTTTTAACCACCTCCACAATCAGCATACAGAATGGCTTCATCACCCCTCTAAACTCTCTTAGGCTATCTTCTTTTGAGACAAGGTCTCATTCTGTCACCCAGGCTGGAGTGGCATAATCATGGTTCACTACAGCCTTGACCTCCCTGGGCTCAAGTGATCCTCCCGCTTCAGTCTTCCAAGTAGCTAGGACTACAGGTGCACACCACCACACACAGCTAATTTTTTAAGGTTTTTGCAGAGACAGGGTCTCATGTTGCCCAGGCTTGTCTCGAACTCCTGGGCTCAATCAATCCTCCCATCTTGGCCTCCAAAAGTGCTAGGATTATAGGCATGAGCCACCGTGCTTGGCTTTATGCTATCTTTCTGTAATTATATCCTCCCCTCAATTCCATATCCCTAGAAATCATTAATATGTCCTTCAACACTATAGTTTTGTCTTTTCGAGAATGTCATATAATAAAATCATACAATGTGTAACTTTTTTTTTTTTTTGAGACAGGATCTTGCTCTGTTGCCCAAGCTGGAGGTGCATTGGCACAAACATAGCTCACTGCAGCTTTGACTTCCTGATCTCAAGTGATCCTCTCACCTTAGCCTCTAGAGTGGTTGGGACTACAGGTATGTGCCACCACGTATGGCTAATTTTTGCATATTTTGTAGGGATGGGATCCCACTATGTTGCCCAGGCTGGTTCAAACTCCTGGTCTCAAGTGATCCTCCTGCCTTGATCTCCCAAAGTGCTGGGATTACAGGTGTCAGCCACTGCACCTAGTCAATATGTAAGTCTTGAGACTGGCTTCTCACACTCAGTGTAATGCCTCTGAGGATCATCCCAGTTGTTACCAGTGTCATAATTTGTTTCTTTCCATTGTTGACTGGTATCTCATTGTATGAATGTACCAGTGCAAAAAGTTTCTTGGCCGGGTGCGGTGGCTCACACCTGCAATCCCAGCACTTTGAGAGGCCGAGGTGGGCAGATTATAAGGTCAGGAGTTTGAGACCAGCCTGACCCACATGGTGAAACCCCATCTCTACTAAAAATATAAAAATTAGCCGGGCGTGGTGGCGGGTGCCTGTAATCCCAGCTCATCGGGAGCCTGAGGCAGGAGAATCGCTTGAACCAGGGAGGCACAGCTTGCAGTGAGCAGAGATAGCGCCACTGCACTCCAACCTGGGCGACAGAGTGAGATTCCATCTCAAAAAAAAAATAAAAAGTTTCTTTATAGTTTCAGCCACTGAAGAACATCTGGATAATTTCTAGTTGGGGGCAATTATGAATAGCGCTGCTATAAACATTCACATGCAGAATTTTGTGTGCACCTATGTCTTCATTTCTGTAAATACGTAAGCGTGGGGTTGCTGGGTCATGTGGTAGGTATATGGTTAACTTTATAAGATGCCAAACTGTTTTCCAAGAGGCTGTACCATTTTCCATTCCTACCGGAAATGTATGAGTTGAAGTTGTTTCACATTCTCGTCAGCACTATTTATTCCTAATATCTTTTTTTTTTCTTTTGAGACAGAGTCTTGCCCTGTTGCCCTGGCTGGAGTGCAGTGGCTCAATCTTGGCTCACTGCAACCTCCACTTCCCAGGTTCAAGCGTTCGAGCGAGGAGTCTCGCTCTGTCGCCTAGGCTAGAGTACAGTGGCTCCATCTCGGCTCACTGCAAGCTCCGCCTTCCGGGGTCACGCCATTCTCCTGCCTCAGCCTCCTGAGTAGCTGGGACTACAGGCACCCGCCACCACACCCAGCTAAGCTTTTTGTATTTTTAGTAGAGTCGGGGTTTCACAGCGTTAGCCAGGATGGTCTCCATCTCCTGACCTTGTGATCTGCCTGCCTTGGCCTCCCAAAGTGCTGGGATTACAGGTGTGAGCCACCGCGCCCAGCCTCAAGCAATTCTTGTGCGTCAGCCACCTGAGTAGCTGGGATTACAGGTGTGCACCACCAGGCCCAGCTAATTTTTGTATTTTTAGTAGAGATGGAGTTTCACCATGTTGGCCAGGTTGGTCTTGAACTCGTGGCCTCAAGTGATCTGCCCACCTCAGCCTCCAAAAGTGCTGGGATTACAGACGTGAGTTGCCATTCCTGGCCTGTTATTTTTTATTTTTATTATTCTATTAAGTGTGTAGTGATATCTTAATTTGTATTTCCCTAATGGCTAATGATGTTGAACATCTTCTCATGTACTTATTTGTCTTCTATATATTTTCTTTGGTGAATTGTCTGTTCAAGTTTTTTGCCCATTTTTAAATTGGGTTGTTTGTCCATTTCTTATGACTGAATTTTGGGAGTTCTTTATATATTCCAGATGCAAATTCTTTGCCATGTATGTGATTTGCAATATTATGCCTCATCTGTAGTTTATTATTTAATTCTTTTAAAATTGTCTTTTACAGAGCAACAGTTCAAGTTTGATGAAAACTGGAAGAAAATATTTTAATAAACGTTTGGGTTAGAGGTAAAAATTAGTGGTCAGTAGAACACCCAAGAAAGGAAACAGCCTCCCTGCACTGTTTGGGGGTGGTAGCTGGCAGGCACCTAAAAACACACCAGTTTTTGAAAACTTCTCTAGCTTTCTCACTGTGTTACTTTCACACTGTGCTATGGTTTGAATGTTTGTGTGCCCCCAAAAGTGATACATTGAAACCTCATCTCCAATATGATGACATGAGCAAGTGGGAGTTTTAAGAGATGAGGTCATGAGGGCAGAGACTTAATCAATAAAATTAGTAACTTTATAAAAGAGGCCCCAGAGAACCTCACGGCCACTTCCACCATGTGAAGACACAGCAAGACGCTGCAATCTATGAACCAAGAAATGGGCCCTCACCAGACACTGCATCTGCCTGTGTCTTGATCTTGGACTTCCCAGCTTCTAGAACTGTAAGAAATCAATTTCTGTTGTGTATCAGCCACCCAGTCTATGGTATCGTAGCCCAAATGGACTAAGACACACTGCTTTCTCAAATATTCTTTCTCATAGTCTCAACAACCATTGTGTCAATGTATTGCCTTCAAACACTTTGAAACGTTGACATTTTCGGAGACTGTGCCAAAAAGGAGGAAATATCCCTTAAGCCAGGCTTCCATCCTGAATTCTACACACAAGATGAAGAGAAGAGATTCTTTTACTCCTTCCAGAAAGGGGTGAAAGAAGGAAAGAGGAAGCTAATAGGAACAGAAAAGCTGTGACCTGCCCATGTGACCATTCCCTGCCACCTCCAAATGGTCACCAAGCATTTCCAGAAATACCTCATGAATGCTCTGAGTTGCTCCATCTACATGATAGGGAGTTCTACGTGGGATTCCTTGCAAGCAGCTCTGATGGCAGGAGGGGAGACCATGGGAAAAGGAGCACTGGGGCTGGCAGAAATCTACAAGGATAGTTTTGGATTTCGACAGCCTGTGGCCTTAGCAGGGAATCTGTGTAAACTCTGCCGGGAATCCCAAGAAATGAGGCAGTGAAGGAGTGGGGGTGGGGTCTCTGCTAACTTCTGGTATGTGCATGCATGTATAAATATAAAAATATCTTTTTTTTTTTTTTTTGAGACAGAGTCTCACTCTGTCACCCAGGCTGCAGTGCAGTCGCATGATCTCAGCTCACTGCAACCTCTGCCTCCCGGGTTCAAGCGATTCTCCTGCCTCAGCCTCCCGAGTAGCTGGGACTCTAGGCACATGCCACCACGCCTGGCTAATTTTTGTATTTTTTAATAGAGATGGGGTTTCACCATATTGGCCAGGCTGGTCTCGAACTCCTGACCTCGCGATCCACCCACCTCAGATTCCCAAAGTGCTGGAATTACAGGTGTGAGCCACCACACCCTGCCAATATAAACATATCTTAAAATTTGCATGTAACTGGAACCACATTACATATGGTTAGAGAGGCCATTTTCCACTCAGCCGTATGTCAGCAAATATACAATATTTCATGAAACATAATATGCTATCACCTGTTAAATGCCCTATAAGTTTAGGTGCCATTAAGAAAGAAAAAAATGCTGCCAAATAAACTGCGATATGCCATGGAATGTAACAACTGTGAAAAAGCATAAAATAATCATTTTAGAATTGGTGGCATATGGTAGTATGCATCATTCTTTGTCATGACTGCATAGTATTTCACTCTGTGGATGTTTCAGAATTTAACTACCTGTCCATAGGTGTACATAGTGTTTCCATTTTTCACTTATGTGGGCAATACATTGTCAAATAATCTTGTACATCTATCATTGCTCACTTGTCAGATTACCTAGTTGGAATAAATTCCTAGGAATGTAGTTTTGAGGGTCAGAGGTTACAGATATTCAAAATTTTGGCATAGATTGCTAGAATTCCCCTCAGCACTCCAAGATGACACCCTTTCCCGCACAACCTTGATAACATAGACAAATCTTTTTCAATATGCAAACTGTTTCCAATATAATTGAAAAGTGCTGCCATTTTGCTCTTTACTTGCATTTTCATTGACTACTGGTGAGGCTTAACATCTTTTCATGTATCTATTAGTCTTTTGTGTTTCTTTAGGAGCCTGTTCATATCCCTCATAAGAACTGCTTTTTACTTAACTATTTATTTATTGACACAGGGTCTTGCTCTGTTATCCAGGCTGGAGTGCAGTGGCGCAATCACAGCTCACTGCAGCCTGGACCTCCCAGGCTCAAGCAATCCTAGAGCTGCCTTTTGAAAAGGAGACCACACATAGGCAGTTATAGTAGGCAAATTAGTGATTCTTCAAGAGGAAAGCAGCAGAGTCATAGAAAACAAAGAACACCAAATAGGACAAATGTGTTTTTTATTTATTTTTGAATTCAGAAACTGTGGTGAAATGAGCAGAATTGCCTGGAAGCTGCTCTGGAAGCTCATTCAAGGTTACCTGGGCCAGCCAGCTGGAACTGCAAGTAAGCCTATTCCTGGTGGAAGGAGCTCAGCCTCCACAGCATGGGCAGACTCCCTCCTCACACAGGGTGACTGCACCTTCCCACAGGCCCAAGGTCTCCAAATACTGGGAAGCAGGAATTCCTCCCATCTCCTCTGAACCCCTGGCACCCTACATCCAAGCTGCCCAGCACCCAAACCACTCATGTGTTCCCTACTCACAGACTGGTTTCTTACATTTATTCCCTAACTAATACAGCAGAACATGGACCTATCCTGCAGATCCAGCTGAGACCCTGACCTTCACATACTTCTCTATGGGACGGAGAATAGAATGGGAGACTCCTGCTTCCCCTTTGCTTGTTGACCCAGCCTTGTAAGATTTCACTTTCCCTAATAAAACCCAATCCGTAGCCCACGCAGAGTGACATATTAAAATTCATCCTAAATCCTGGAACACATGGGCAATGACCCATAAAGGCCAATGTGCCATGACAGAAACACTAAGAGTCATATCGTCCATCACTCTGTCTCAGTTCCTGTTTATTGTTGGCCAGAGAACTAGGATGATCCTCTGAGCAGACATGTCCTTGGAGGATAATTAAATGGGAACTATATAAATATTTCCATAAATTAAACCAAGGAAGTGTATTAAGTTCAGCTGAATCTGGATACCAACTGCTTCCTTTGACCACATCAGAAAGTCTCCTTTTAAAAGACATTAAAAAAGTTTTTAAATAACTTTTGCCAGGCACAGTGGCTCATGCCTGTAATCCCAGCTACTTGGCAAGCTGAGGTGGGAGGATGGCTTCAGCCCAGGTGTTCAAGGCTGCTGTGAGCTATGACTACACCACTGCACTCCAGCCTGGGTGACAGAGGCCATATGTCTTTAAAAAAAAAAAGACAGAGAAAATTACTTTTTATTGTGGCAAAATAAAAAAAGGTATAATATAAAATTCACTATCTTCACAATTTCTAAATGTACAGTTCAGTGTTAAGTATATTCGCATTGTCAGCAAACCAAAACTGGGTCCATTTGCCAGCATGCAACAGAAAGCCAAACACCAAAACACACAGTTTTTGCAGTGAGAAAGGTTTGTGAGTTGACAGACAAAGAGACAGGAAGAAATGTTCAAATCTGTCTCCTGGAGCTGGAGGCTGGGTTGGATTTTAATTAGCATAGGGTAATGAGGAGTGATCTGACTAGATCCTGCCATAGGGTCACCCCAGAGCTCAATCTGATTGGATCATGGGTCCTGCCATGGTGTCTGCTTTTATTTTTATTTTTATTTTTTATTTTAGAGATGGGATCTCACCATGTTGCCCAGGCTGGTCTCGAACTCCTGGGCTCAAGTAATCCTTCTGCCTCGGTCTCCCAGAGTGCTGGGGTTACTGGCGTACACCACCAGCGCCCAGCCTGGTGTTTGCTTCTTAATTCAGCCTGGTTCCTTGGTCCGAGCACTTAGTTCCCATTCATGGTTGCACACGATGTTCATCCGGGCATTGCCCCCTCCAACCTGCAGGGCCATGACCACTGAAAAACAACTCACAACTTTGCTACATAGAAGTTGAACCAGATTGGTGTAATGTGGTTACAACATCGCTGTGCAGCCAGTCCTCAGAACTCCCTCATCTTGCAAAACTGAAACTCTGTACAAATCAACTCTCCATTTTCCCCTCCCCTCGGCCCCTGGCAACTGCCATTCTACTTTGTTTTTGTGAATCTGACTATTCTAGTTACCTCCTATGAGTGGAACCAAATAATATTTGTCTTTTTCCGACTGGTTTATTTCACTAGTATAATGTCCTCGGTTCATCCGTATTGTTGCATGTGTCAACATTTCCTTCCTTTTTAAATGGACTGTGGTGATGGTTGCACATTTCTGTGAATATACTAGAAACCACTGAGTTGTAATACTTTAAGTGGGTGAATTGTATGGTGTGTGAATTATATCACAATTAAGTATGGTGTGTGAATTATATCACAATTAAGCTGTTTAGGGGAAAAAAGGGAGAATTTGTTAGAAAGATACAGACTCATGTAACCCAAAGACAGGGACTGGGCCTGCTGGATGCTCACAGGCTGGGTGGGGACTCTGGGGAGGATGCTGAACTAAGCTCTCTGGTTCAGCCCTCTGGCCCAGAGCAGGGGTCCTCACCATTAGTCAAGCCCCTAACCTGTAGTGTCGGTACCACCTGGGAATTCCTTAGAAAAGCAGATCCTTGGGCCACACCCCAGGCCTCGTGACTCAGAAACTCTAGCAGTGGGACTCAGCAGACTGTGGGGTTTTTTTTTCTTTCTTTCTTTCTTTCTTTTTTTCCTTGAGACAGTGTCTCGCTCTGTCACCCAGGCTGGAGCGCAGCAGCGTAATCTCAGTTCACTGCAACCTCCTCTGCCTCCTGGGTTCAAGTGATTCTCTTGCCTCAGCCTCCCAGGTAGCTGGGATTACAGGTGCCCACCACCATGCCCAGCTAATTTTTGTTTAGTAGAGACGGGATTTTGCCATGTTGGCCAGGCTGGTCTCAAACTCCTGACCTCAGGTGATCCACCCACCTTGGCCTCCTAAAACGCTGGGATTACAGGGGTGAGCCAGCGTGCCCAGTTTAGCAATCTGTGTTTTGACAAACTCTCCAGGTGCTGGTGATGGAGGCTCACATCTGAGAATCCCTGGCCCAGACCACTGCGGGAAATTGGGGAAAGTTTCCATCTCACCTCTGCTCTGCATGTGCGTTTCCTCTCTTGTTGCAGACAAGCTGTCTTCCACTGACCATTCACCTCCACATCCCTGCAAAAGTCTTCACGGTAGAAAATGACCACAGACAATTCCTAAGTTGAAATCTCTTTTGGGGCCGGGTATGGTGGCTTACACCTGTAATCCTAGCATTTTGGGCGGCCAAAGCGGGCGGCTCACTTGAGGCCACGAGTTTGAGACCAGCGTGGCCAACATGGTGAAACCCCATCTCTACTAAAAATACAAAAATTAGCTGGGCGTGGTTGCAGACACCTGTTATCCCAGCTACTCAGGAGGCTGAGGCAGAGAATCACTTGAACCTGGGAGGCGGAGGCTGCGGTGAGTCGAGATCTCACCACTGTACTCCAGCCTGGGTGACAGAGCAAGACTCCATCTCAAAAAAACAAAAACAAACAAACAACAACAAAAAAACTCTTTTGGAGCACAAGGCAACCTGAGACGGGCATCTAGTTCCAGTTGCAAATTCCCAGGGAGGAACTCAGGTGATCCGGCTTGCATCAGCAACTTCCTCCAGGCTTTTCCTAGTATATCCCTAAATGGAGGAAGGCTGGGCTGGGAAGGCCTAGATCCCAGAAAAGGCATGAGGGAAACAGAAAAAAAAAAATTTTATCTCTTAGGGAAGACACTACAAGAAAATCTAGGATGACCAATCATCTGTGTTTGCCTAGGACTTCCCTGCATTTGGCGCTGAAAATCTCATGTCAGGCCTGGTGCGGTGGCTCATGCCTATAATCCCAGCACTTTGGGAGGCCAAGGCGGGTGGATCACGAGGTCAGGAGATTGAGACCATCCTGGCTAACACGATGAAACCCCGTCTCTACTAAAAATACAAAAAATTAGCCGGGCGTGGTGGTGGGCACCTGTAGTCCCAGCTACTAGGGAGGCTGAGGCAGGAGAATGGCATGAACCCTGGAGGCGGAGCTTGCAGTGAGCCAAGATGGCACCACTGCACTCCAGCCTGGGCGACAGAGTGAGACTCCGTCTCAAAAAAAAAAAAGAAAAAAAAAAAAAGAAAATCACATGTCCTGGAAAACCCCTCAGTCCTAAGCAAATAACAATTGGTCATATAAGAACTGAAAAGCTGGCCGGGTGTGGTGGCTCACGCCTGTAATCCCAGCGCTTTGAGAGGCTGAGGTGGTTGGATCACTTGAGGTCAGGAGTTCAAGACCAGCCTGGCCAACATGATGAAACCCTGTCTCTACTAAAAATACAAAAATTAGCTGGGCATGGTGGCGGGCACCTGTAGTCTCAGCTGCTCCAGAGGCTAAGGCAGGAGAATCGCTTGAACCCAGGAGACGGAGGTTGCAGTGAGCTAAGATCACGCCATTGCACTCCAGCCTGGGGTGACAAGAGCAAGACTCCATCTCACAAAAAAAAAGAAAGAAAGAAAGAAAAAAGAAATGAAGAGCCAGCTGGGCATGGTGCCTCATGCCTGTACTCCCAGTGCTTTGGGAGGCTGAGGCGGGAGGATTGCTTGAGTTCAGTTCAAGACCAGCCTGGGTAACATAGGAAGATCTTGTCTCTGCAAAAAAATTTAAAAATAAGCCAGGCATAGGGGCATGCACCTGTGGTCCCAGCTACTTGGGAGGCTGAGGTGGAGGATTGCTTGAACCCAGAAGGTCAAAGCTTCAGTGAGCTGAGATCTTACCATTGTCCAGCTTGGGTGACAGAGCAAGACCCTGTCTCAAAAAAGCAACCAAAAACCTGAAGAGCCATGGGGTATGTATGCTTTGACTCTTAAGAAGCGCATGAAAGGAAGAAGAGTTGATGAGATTCTCAGCTAAGGGCATGTGGAGATGTTTAATGTATTTTTGGCTACTGCTATGACTGGGGTGTGTTAGTGACAGGCTGCAGTGCTTCCTTGCACAAGGAAGAATTCCCCCGAATGCCAGTGGCTCTCCCGTTGAGAAACTCTTCTGTAACAAAATGAAGGCATGGCTATCAACACAGTTGCACATTAGAATCACCGGGGAGCTGTAAAATACCTAGATTGGCACTCCAGACCTAGCCCCAGAGTTTCTGATTTGATTGCTCTAGGAAGGCACCCAGGCATTGGTATTTTTAAAAGTCCCCCAGGTGATTTCACCTGCAATGGGTTGATAGCCGTGATTAAGAATCAGAGTGACAACCAGAGAGGAATGAGTCCTGGAAGTTGGAGTCCTGGAAGGTGAGGATTTGGGCATTGGAGGAAGAGGGAAATTGGAGGCTGCAGAGAGATCTAGAACGCTGGAGGACATTGATGAGGGCTTTGAGTTTGTTCAGGGAAAGAGCCTCTGGGGTCTAAATGCAGTGGTGTGGAACCAGAGCAGGTACGTACTCAGTACCCACTAAGCAGAGTGACAGGGAGGGGGAGAGTTATGAGTGGATGTAAATATCTAAATTCTTCAGGAAGCAATAGCTGGCTGCCAAGCAGTTTGGCCCCAGGAAGCAGGAAGCTGCAGGCAGTGTGGTAATGTGACAGTGGTCTAGGGTGCTTGGCTGGTGGGGTAGCCAAGACTTTGTCTTGTTTCCTGACTTGGTAACTCATTAAATACACGATTCTTCCGATGTTCCAAAGGGCTATTGGGTTTTGGTAAAAATCTGTAAATTATTTCCCTTTTTTTTTTGAGACTGAGTTTCGCTCTTGTCGCTCAGGCTGGAGTGCAGTTGCTCCATCTCGGCTCACTGCAACCTCTGCCTCCCAGGTTCAAGCAATTCTCCAGCCTTAGCCTCCCAAGTAGCTGGGATTACAGGCATCTGCCACCATGCCCGGCTAATTTTTGTATTTTTAGTAGAGACGGGGTTTCACCACGTTGGCCAGGCTGGCCTCAAACTCCTGGCCTCAAGTGATCCACCTGCCTCAGCCCCCCAAAGTCCTGGGATTACAGGCATGAGTCACGGTGCCCGGATTCTGTGAATTATTTCTAAATATTATTTCTAAGACCAGAAGTTACTGACTCCACATATTTGTAAAACAGTGTTTAATCATTTTATAGTTGTTTACAGTGAACCAATTCCAAGCCACTTTCACATTATCTGGTTTTCCTGTATGTTGGATTGGTAGGTATTATGAACACCTGCCTCCCAATGCCCCGCTTTTTTTTTTGGAGGGGCATCTAACTTTGTCGCCCAGGCTGGAGTGCAGTGGCGTGATCACAGCTCAGCTCTCTGAAGCCTTGACCTCCCAGGCTCAAGGATCTTCCCACCTCAACCTCCAGAGTAGCTGGGGCTACAGACTCATGCCATATTGCCTGGCTAATTTTTTTATTTTTTGCAGAGATGGGGTCTCACTATGTTGCCCAGGCTGGTCTTCAAGTCTTGGGCTCAAGCCATCCTCCCGCCTTGGCCTCCCCAAGTGCAGGGATTACAAGTGTGAGTCACTGTGTCTGGTTCCCCTTTTGGTAGGGGAATCCAGCTTAGGAAGGTAGTTATTTGGCTGGAGTCACCTGGCTGGAAAGAAGTGGTGTTGGGATTGGCACCAAGGAGTCTGGTTTTTAGGACAGCTCTCTTCCTAGTGCTGTACGAGAGTCACTTTTCCCCTTACAGTGAGCGGTGCTTTTTGTATTTGTGGGAGAAGAGCATTGATCCATCAGCCTGGTTGTCCAGCAGTTCGGCCAGATCACACCAGCACCAATGCATTGCTCACCACCCTGAAGTATACTTCAGGGCTGGGTATCAATAAACTGGATATAATATGAATTATATAAATTAATCTTTTTGGGGTGAAAGCTACTTTTCTCCCTCCTCTACATCTGGATTCCAAAGAGAAAACCGTCAAGGAAAGCCTTTGAGTGTGATTAAGAGAGATGGGGTCAGGGGTAGTTTGGTGCTCCTTTTACTGAATTAGGATTTTTTTTTTCTATTCTGTTTCCCTGGGGTTCTCTGTATCATATTTCCTTTTCTGAAATGAATTTCACTCTGTTTATGTTCAGAAGAATGCAGACCTACTTAGTACTTTCCCACCCCAGCATGTCACAACTGTCCCTCAGAAAATCTTCCAGCAAGGCTCCTTGTGGCTGTAGGCAGTTAATTTGTGCTCTCATTGAAACAGGAATTAAAAGAAATTAAAGAGTGTGTAAGCAGAAACTCAGCTGTATGTAAGAAAACCCAATTCCCCCGAGAAAGAAAAAGAGCTGGAGTCCTTTAAAAATTAACTGCCTATTTTTCTGTGGCTAGTAAGCTTTATCTCTCCTCTTTTCCCAGGCATTGTGAAGACCCTATTTCCCTAGCTATGCAGCTGCAAGGTCACTAGACAGATAAACTCAAGTCATAAAACATGTTTTTCCTTGAAAAGTAAGAAATGATGTAATGCATGTCTCAATTAATTGAAAAACTGTCTTTGCTTCTCGCTTCTGTAGTATACTTTCCCCTGCACGGATCTCCCTCCACCCTACGAAATGCTTAAAAGGTAACAACTCTTTCTTCAAGGCTCAGTCCTTTGGATGTTAATCTGACTGAGCCGGTGCACCTAAATAATAAATATCCTCCTGAACCCCACTGGTCTCTCTGATTCCTTAAAAAAAATTCTGTAACATCATGATTCATGGAAGTTCAAGATCTCGGTTCAGTGTCCTCCACCTCCAGCCCCTCCCACCAGTTTGCATTTGCTTTGCAATTGAAATCCAGTGAAATGCTGGCTATGACTCAGGGTGGTTCTGAGCTGAAGAGCCAGACAAAGGCAGATGCTGTCCTCAGCACGCAAACCCTGAATTGGGTTTAATTGAGGGAAAAGAAATGTGTTTGGTGCTGGGTTTGTGGCTGTCTTAGGTTGTGCAGCTGCAGGAATTTGGTCTAGAGTATGTGCCCTGAGGGCTGGTAAGTCAGGAGAAGTTGAGTCAGGAGAGGTTGGTGCCATGTGGCCTTTTCTCCACAAACAGCCACCAAGATTCAGCCAACACTGGCCCCTGACAATTATAACTTCAAGTTTATAGTGTCATTGTTTTGGGGGGCAGGGAAACTCCAGCTGTGTTGTTTTTGATAAAATATGCTTGTTAAGAATGTAAGTAATCACTGGGTGTGGCGGCCTGTGCCTGTAGTCCCAGCTACTTAAGAGGCTGAGGCAGGAGGATCGCTTGAGCTCAGGCATTCAAGGCTAGCCTGGGCAACATAGCCAGACTCTCTCTTTAGCTGTGCAGTGGAACAGGCTGGGCTGCGGGCAGCGTTGCCTCACACGGAGCAGAGCTGAGCCGAGGCGGGACCCAGAGCCTGAGCAGCCGCCGCCATGGTGATCAAATTTCTGCAAGTCATCAAGCCCTTCTGTGTCATCCTGCTGGAAATTTAGAAGCTGGAGAGGAGGATTCAGTTTAAGGAGAAAGTGCTGTGGACCACTATTGCCCTCTTTATCTTCTTAGTGTGCTGCCAGATTCCTCTATTTGGTATCATGTCTTCAGATTCAGTTGACCCTTTCTATTGGATGAGAGTGATTCTAGCCTCTAACAGAGGCACATTGATGGAGCTGGAGCTGGGGATCTCTCCCATTGTCATGTCTGGCCTTATAATGCAACTCTTAGCTGGCGCCAAGATAATTGAAGTTGGTGGCACCCCAAAAGACCAAGTTCTCATCAATGAAGCCCAAAAGTTACTTCACATGATCATTACTATTGGCCAGTTATTGTGTATGTGATGACAGGGATGTACAGGGACCCTTCTGAAATGGGTGCTGGAATTAAAAAAAATTAATTTTTAAAAACTATAATAAATGTAAACAATCACTATAAAGAAAAAATTCAGGCTGGGCGTGATGGCTCACGCCTGTAATCCTGGAATTTTGGGAGGTTGAGGCAGGAGGATCACTTGAGGCCAGGAGTTTGAGACTAGCCTGGGCAACATAGCGAGATCTTATCTCTACAAAAAATTTTAAAAATTAGCATAATGGCACAGGCCTGTAGTTCCAGCTACTTGGGAGGCTGAGGTGGGAGGATCACTTGAATCCAGAAGTTTGAGGCTGTGAGAGCTATGATCCCACCACTGCACTCCAGCCTGGGCAACAGAGCAAGAACCTGTCTATAAAAAAAAAGATTCAAATGATGTGAACCTTATTAACGCATTCAACAACTATTTATTTTCTGTCTACCATATGCCAGCCACTGTTCAAAGCACTGGGGATATGGCAGTGACCAACACAGAGTTTCTGTTTGCATTGTTGACCTAAATGAAAGAGGCAGAGACACAAAATACAATTTGAAGAGTTTACTAGAGGCCAGGCAAAGTGGCTCACGCCTGTAATCCCAGCACTTTGGGAGGCTGAAGTGGGAGGATCGCTTGAGGCAAGGAATTCAAGACCAACCCTGGCAACAAAACAAGACTGCATCTCAACAACAACAACAAAAAATTTAAAAAGTAGCTGGGCATGGTGGTGCACAACTGTAGTCCCAGCTACTTGCTAGGAGCTACTCAGCAGGAGTATTACTTGAGTCCAGGAGTTGGAGGCTGCAGTGAGCCATGATTGCGCTGCTGCACTCTAGCCTGGGTGACAGAGAAAGACCCTGTCAGAAAGAATTTATTTGAGACAAAGTGAGAAGAGCTGCCCAGAAGTCTCAGACCCAAGTACCCTTGGATATGAGCTCCATTTGGCCTTTACTATAGCAGGTTTTTAAAGTCAAAAAAGGGGGAAACCTAGTAGGCCGATACAAAGTTATCTGTCAAAAATTCTAATTGGTTTATAGAAATAACATTGACTATTGAGTGCCATACACTGTTAAGCTACAGAATGTGGGTTATGGTGTCTGGTATGGCATTATTAGGTTAATTTTAGTTAATTTTTAGCTACTTGTGGCAATAGCAAGGAGTTCAAGAGACGAATACATAGTTCAAAATGGGGAAGTAGGGCGTGATTGTTTCATTTTCATGCCTCTCTGCGCCTGATAATTTAAAAGAATTCTCATTCCTCAGATTAAAGCTATTTTCTTTTCTCATCAGGGAACTTACACTTTAATGAAGGGAGTAGCTAAAACAACAAAAGTATGGAATGTGTCAAGTGGTGATAGTGCTATGAAGAAAAACACAAAAAGGAAACTATAAACTGGCTGGGCGCAGTGGCTCACGCCTGTAATCCCAGCACTTTGGGAGGCCAAGGCAGGTGGATCACTTGAGGTCAGGAGAACGAGACCAGCCTGGCCAACATGGTGAAACCCCATCTCTACTAAAAATACAAAATTAGCCGGGTGTGGTGGTGAGCACCTGTAATCCCAGCTTGGGAGGCTGAGGCAGGAGAATTGCTTGAACCTGGGAGGTGGAGATGGCAGTGAGCTGAGATGGCGCCACTGAACTCCAGCCTGGGCGACAGAGGGAGACTCTGTCTTAAAAAAGAAAAAAGAAAAAAAAAAAAGAAAAAAATATAAACCATTCAAAATCTCATCACCAGAGATAACCATTGTTAACATTTTGTTGTCTATTCTTCCAAACCCCTCTCTTTGCCAATATACAAATATGTTTTTGTATCAACAAGCATTTTTAACAGGCTGATTCATAACCTGTTTCTTTTCCAATAATATTTCTGAGATATCTTTTTGTGTCAATAAACAAAAACTGATACAATTTTGTTTCCAGCTTTTACTTTTTTCTGTCATGAGTCATCAAGCAATTTTTTTTAATATGGAAAACTTCAAACATATAGAAAAGTAGAGAGAATGGTAAACACATTTATTTATTCCCTATAACATTATTATTTTGCCATATTTGCTTTACCTTTTTTTTGGTTTTTATATGTTAAACTCAATTATAGACATGATGAACAGCTTACCTGTTCTGTTTCCACCCCAACTAGGTGAGCTATAATTCAATTCAAAGGGCTGTTGGTTATTTAAAAAACAGCAACTTTTTTTTTTTTTTTTTGAGACAGGGTCTCGCTCTTGTTCAGGCTGGAGTGCAGTGGCACGATCTTGGCTCATTTCAACCTCTGCCTCCCAGGCTCAGGTGATCCTCCCACCTCAGCCTCCCCAGTAGTTGGGACCACAGGTGCTCACCACCACTTCTGGCTAATTTTTGTTTTTTGTTTTTGTTTTTTTTTTTTGTAGAGATGGGGTTTCGCCATGTTGCTCAGGCTGGTCTCAAACTCCTGAGCTCAAATGATCCACCTGCCTTGGCCTCCCAAAGTGCTGGGATTATAAGCATGTGCCTCCATGCCCAGCCCAATTCTGATGTTATTTACCCAGAGTTAGTATCAGACTCCATGGCGTTAAGGGCTCAGTCTTTTATAAGATGCTCTCATTTCAGACATCAGCCTCACTTTGGGATGTCCCTAAGCCCTTGCTCTTTTGACCAACTGGCTGCAAACTCAGGGGTTCCCACAGTCCCCACATGCTTGATAATTTGCTAGAACAACTCACAGAACTCAGGAAAGCATAATACTTATGATTAAAGTTTTATTATAAAACATGGCCTGGAGCAGTGGCTCACACCTGTAATCATAGCACTTTGGGAGGCAGAGGCAGGTGGATCACTTGAGGTCAGGAGTTTGAAACTAGCTTGGCTAACGTGGTGAAACCCCGTCTCTACTAAAAATATAAAAAAATTAGCTGAGCGTGTTGGTGTATACCTGTAATCCCAGCTACTTGGGAGGCTGAGGCAGGAGAATTGCTTGAACCCAGGAGGTGGAGATGCAGTGAGCTGAGATCGCACCACTGCACTCCAGCCTGGGTGATGGAGTGAGACTCCATCTCAAAAAAAAAAAAAAAATTGTTAGAGGCCTGGGAGGAAGACAGAGTTTCCATGCCCTCTCCTGGAATCACGGGGCATCACCATTTCAGCACACCAATGTGTTAAACTAGGATCAGCCACTGAACTTTGGTGTTCAGAGTTTTTGCTGGGGTTTCAAAGTGTAGGCATGATTGATTAAACAATTGACCACATGATTGAACTCATCTTAAGCTCCTCTCTCTCCTAGAGTTCCTACCAGAGTTCCAAGGGGCCCAGAGTCCCAACCTTCTAAACACATGGTTGGTCTTTCTGGTCACCAAACCTCATCCTGAAGATATCTAGGGGTCTGCACAGAGTCACTTCATTACTGTAACAAAGGCATTGCCATCACTTGGAAAATTTCAAGAGCATTTGAAGCACTGTGCCAGGAATGGGGGATGAAGACTTGATATATTCTTTATTATACTACATTGTGCCTAAGTATTTTAGTATATGCAAAACCATAGTACATTGAAGTTATTGTAAGTCAAAAGTGCAGACCGGGTACAGTGGCTCACACCTGTAATCCCAGCATGTTGGGAGGCCAAAGCGGGTGGATTGCTTGAGCTCAGGAGTTTGAGACCAGCCTGGGCGACATGGTGAAACCTCTCTACCAAAAGTAAAAAGAAATTAGCCGGGTGTGGTGGTGCAGGCCTGTGGTCCCCGCCACTTGAGGGGCTGAGGCAGGAGAATCACTTGAGCGTGGGAGGTCGAGGCTGAAGTGAGCTGAGATTGCGCTCCTTTACTCCAGCCTGTGTGACAGAGTGAGACCCTATCTCACACATAAAAAGTGCATTTTCAATTTATGATTTTTGTTTTTCTTTTCCTTTCTTTCTTTCTTTTTTTTAGAGACGGGGTCTCACTCTGTCACCCAGGCTGAAGTGCAGTGGTGTGATCTCGGCTCACTGTAGTCTCAACCTCCCTGGCTTAAGTGATTCTTCTGCCTCAGCCCCCACAAGTAGCTGTTTTGCACCACTATAAAGTCAAAAAATCATGTCGGGGACTGTCTGTACCTCTAAATAAGTAAGGACATTTTCCTATATAGCCCCAATATCATTACCATATGTAACAAAATTAATGAGAGTCATTTCTGCTTGATTTTCAGTGGCTGTCTAGTATCCAAAGCATGCATATATCCTAAAGTTCTTGATGGACATCAAGATGCCTATTGATGGACATTGAGGATATTTCTACTTTTTCATTAGGGGAAACCACACTAGGATGAACATTCTTATGCATACATCTTTTTATCCTGTAAGTGTCCCGTTACTACCAGAGAAAATTGTGACTGCTTGTTTTCCTAGCAGGGAGCTGTGAAATCCAATTCAAAGGCATGGTCTTTAAAAAAAAAAATCTTTCTTTTCTTTTGTTCACATCAGGCAGGTAATGTGCAGATGTGGTAACAAGGTTGGAGGGAGGTATATCTCACACATGCACGTGAAACTCCAGTCATCATGCTTATCAGCTACAAAAGAATCAAGGTATTGTCTTTCAGTGAAGCATAACATATCCCTGTCCCTAGTGCAGTCAGCATGGCTTTGCCTGAACTTTTACTATAATCTGTGTACCAAAGAAGTCTGATGTTATCGTATTCTTTCGGGCAAGGATGAGGGCCTTCTACTAACTCTCCAAGGCCAGTGGGCATAATGACAGATGTTATGGACTGAGTTGTGTCCCCCCAAAATTCATATGTTGACACCCTAGCCCCCAATGTGACTGTATCCAGACATAGTGTCTTTAGGAGGTAATTAAGGTCACATGAGGTATAAGGTAGAGCCCTAATCCAAGAGGACTGTGGCCTTACAAGAAGAGGAGCAAGAAAGTGGTGATCTGCAAGCCAGGAAGAGGGCCCTCTCCAGAACCTGATCAGGCTGGTACCCTGATCTCGAACTTCCAGCGTCCAAAACTGTAAGAAAATAAATTTCCCTTCTTCAAGCTGGTATTTTGTTATGGTAAGTCGAGCTAAGATTTTGATGAAGTTGGACTTCAGAATTCTTGGTGGAAGTGACAGAAACTTAATTTGAATTAGCTTGAGAAAAAAAGAATATTTCTTCAAAGAACTCTAGGAAAGAAAACAATGGGTATTAGAGTAAAACCACTGGCCTCTGACACACTGCCTTTGCAACTTCTCCCCAAAGTGCAGTGGCTCACTTTACCCTGAGGTTGGAGGATGATGTGGGGTGGGGTGGGTGTCAAGAGGCTACAAGAGAATTAAGGAGGCCTCTGTGGGGCCACAACCTACGCTTATTATTGTAACCTGAGGTTCACCACAAATCATGGGTGCCTTCTCATGGCAGATCAAAGCTTTTTTTTGGCGGGGGGTCGGGGGTACAGAATCTTGCTCTGTTGCCCAGGCTGGAGCTCAGTGGCACGATCTTGGCTCACTGCAACCTCCGCCTCCCGGGTTCAAGTGACTCTCCTGCCTCAGCCTCCTGAGTAGCTGGGATTATGGGCACATGCCACCACGCCTGGCTAATTTTTGCATTTTTAGTAGAGACGGGATTTCGCCATGTTGGCCAGGCTGGTCTCAAACTCCGGACCTCAGGTGATCCACTCACCTCAGCCTCCCAAAGTGTTGGGATTACAGGTGTGAGCCACCTCGCCTGGCCAGATCAAAGCTTTTATGGAAGGCTTCATGGCATTGCCTGTAGAGAACTGGAGTGCTTGAGGTACAGCCCTCAATCTTTGGATAATCTCACCCCAAGTCAGTAAAAGAAACACTCATTATCTCTTTCCTTCTTTCCTTCAGAGAATCCATATTTAGCTTGCTTGCAGAAGGAAGGAGTCAGGGCTCTTTTTGTTGGGGGTGGGTTTGGTCTCATGAAACTTTGCATTAGAGTCCAGTTTTCCTAGGGTTACCATTGTGCCTAATGACAAAAGTTATGGGGTTTTGATATTTTAAATATTTTATATATTTCTAATATTTTATTTCAAATGTATTTTCTAACAATATTCGACATCTCTGGTGCATTTATTTGGTGCTTAAAGATGCGCGTCTCAATCACTCCTTTGTCTTTAGCCACCAACTAGAAACTGACAACTCGCAAATCTGGATTTTCAACCCACCCCCTGGGCTTCAGTCCCACACATGCTACAGCCTGCTGGTCTTGGCTGTCTGTTAAGTGCCTCAATATTCAACATGGCTAAGATTAAACTTATCTTCATCCTCATATCCCTTTCTGTTTCCATAAAAGCCATTTCTTCCTTTAGGTTCCATATCTCAAAAGCCTGGGTTTTCTTCCCTCTTGTCACACCTTGCAGCTTAAGTAATCACCATATCAAGATTCTTCCTCTGAAGTTCCTAAATACCTCTCTATCTCCATGCCCACCGCCAACACTTTACTCCAGGCTACCATCACTCCTCACCACGATTATTACAATCTTTTCTTATTTCTGTTCTAGCCACCTTCCCTGCCCAAGCCATTTCATGTCAAACTAGACTTTTTTTTTTTTTAAGACTAAGGAACAAAGAAACATGTCACTTAAGACATTTGCTAAGCACCCACTATGTATCAGGTAATGGCATGAGGTCACAAAGATGGGTTAAACACTGTTTAGCTTCATTTCTTACTCCTACCCAATGTCAACTCTATCCTTCAGCTACTTTCAGTCTTCAGAAGGTAATTTTTTCCCTTGCCTCCAGGCTTTCATACTGTTGCCTCTGCCTACAATACTAAACCCTTTGCCTAATTGCTTCCTATTTATCTATCAGTCTGGTCTCAGTTTAGACATAATTTCTCCAGATGGTGTTACCAATCTCTCTACTCTGGGTTAGGTATCACCTCTATTTTTTTTTCTTTTTTCTCCAACTGTTAGCTAAATATCCATGTGGTGTTTTAATAATTCCTAACCATAGAACTTTTAAAAATAAGTTTTATTGAAATATAGTTCACATTGCCATAAAACTCATCCTTTTAAAACATATAAAAAACATATGCCAGTGGTTTTTAATATATTCATGAGGTTTTTCTGAACATCGTCAATAATTCCAGAGCATTTATTTCCATCAATACAAAAAAAAACAAAACCCAAAACAAAAAACCAACCCTGGAAATGACCAATCTACTGTCTATATTTAGAATTTTGCCTACTCTGAACATTTTATGTAAATAGAATCGCGTAATTAATGTGCCTTTTGTGTCTGGCCACTTTCACTTAGCATAATTTTTCAAGTTTATCTATATTGTAGCATCTATCTGTACTTCATTCCTTTTAAGGGTCAAATAACCTTTCATTGTATGGATATAGCACACTTTGTTTATCCATGCATCAAATGACGGATATTGGGGCTGTTTCTGCCGTCTATTATGAATAATGCTGCTATGAATATGCACGTGCAAGTGCTTGTATGCACACACGTTATCATTTCTCTTGAGTATATACCTAAGTGTAGAACTGCTGGTTCATATGATAATTCTATGTTTAACATTTTTTTGAAGAGCTGCCAAACTTTTTCAACATGGCCGCACCATGATACAATCCCATGAATAGTGCATGAGAGTTCTGATTTGTCCACATTCTCACCAGCATTTATCATTTTTTAAATTTTAGTTTTTCTAGTGGGTGTGAAGTTGTATCTCATTGCAGTTTTGATTTGTATTTCCCTGAGGGCTAATGATGAGCATCTTTTCATGTGCATTTGTATATCTTCTTGGAAGAAATGTCTATTCAAATTCACTGCCCATTTAAAAAACTGAATTATCTGAGGCCAGACATGGTGGCTTACGCCTGTAATTCCAGCACTTTGAAAGGCTGAGGCGGGTGGATCACTTGAGGTCAGGAGTTCGAGACCAACCTGGCCAACGTGGTGAAGCCCTGTTTCTACTAAAAATACAAAAATCAGCCAGGCATGGTTGTGGGCACCTGTAATCCCAACTACGTGGGAGGATGAGGTACAAGAATCGCTTGAACCCAGGAGGTGGAGGTTTCAGTGAGCTGAGATTGTGCCATTGTACTCTAGCCTGGGCAACAGAGCAAGACTCCAACTCAAAACAAAAAAACAAAACACACACACACACACACACACACACAAAACAAACCCAAAAACTGAGTTGTCTTTTCATTGTTGAATTGTAAGAGTTCTTTATATACTCTGGATACTAATCAGTTATCAGATATGTTATTTGCACATTCCCTTCCATGTTGTGGACTGTTACTTCACTTTCTTGATAGTGTCCTTTGATACACACAAAAAAATTTGTTTTGAGATATGGTCTCACTGTTTCCCAGGCTGGAGTGCAGTGGCACAATCTCTGCTCACTGCAACCCCCACCTCCTGGGCTAAAGCAATACTCCCACCTCAGCCTCCTGAGTAGCTGGGATTAGAAGCACCCACCACCATGCCCTGCTAATTTTTTTGCATTTTTTTTTGTAGAGATGGAGTCTCATTTCATTACCCAGGATGGTCTTGAACTCCTGGCCTCAAAGGTAATCCTCTTGCCTCGGCCTCCCAAAATGCCGGGATTACACAGTTGTGAGCCACCAAGCCCAGCACTAAATTTTTTTTTAATGAATGAATGGATTAGGTAACCAAAATATCAAGTTTCTTTTTTCTGTCTAAAATTGTATCAACTCTGTGCAGTAACATTGTTTTCATCATGTTGTTGGCAGTTAAAAATTCCTTGACTAACAATTCAGAAGCAAACGAATGCACAAGATGATAGGGATTGTGTGATTTAACAGGTTTTGGAGCAACACTGATCTGGATTCAAATCCTAACTTTAAGAACTGTATCCTTGGGCAAATTACATTACTATTTTTCTTTCTTTAAAATGCGTTTTTTTGTTTGTTTTTTAAGTGCCAGGGGTTTATTTCCCTCACATGTGGGATGGCTCACATACACAACACACAAAGGCGTTGGCACCGTGGGAGAGGGCAGCACCCCTGGCTTCTGCTTGGCCTCACAGTGTAAGAAGGGAGAGGATGGGTTCTCTCTCCTCCCCTCACTAGGGCCTAGGGGACCCAGGAGCAAATTCCATCCCTTTCACCTCTCAGCCAAGGAGAAGCCACATTGGTGACATTTAGTTCCAACAATTACAGTAAGTGGAGAAGGGATTGGTCTGGTCCCGACCATTACACGGTGAAGGTATACATAGTAAAGGAAGATACAGTTTGGATGAGGCCACAATAGGGTGCAGATGACACCATCAGAAGCATGTGCAGGGGAGGGGCAGTCACTCAGCTTCTGGGCTGCTTAGTTCCTGGGTTGGCAGGAAGGGTAGGGAAGACGGATGGGGCTCATTGTTTGGCATTGATGATGTCTACGAATTCGGGCTTGAGGGAAACACCACTCATGAGGAAGGCAGCCACGTCAGGCTGGCTGGCCAGCTCCTTGCAGGTTGCCTTGGTCACAGAGCCTCCATAAATGATACCAGTGCTCTGAGCCACTGCATCAGAGATGTTGGACTTAAGCCATCCTCGGAGCTTCTTGTGTACCTCCTGGGCCTGTTGGGGTGTTGCAGTCTTGCCAGTACCAGTGGCCCACACGGGATCATAGGCCAAGATGACCTTGCTCCAGTCCTTCACATTATCTGCGATGACCTTTGTCTGCTCAAAAACAACCTTCTCAGTGATGCCAGCTTCCCTTTCATCTAGCTTCTCCCCAATGCAGGCGATTACTCCGAGTCTCTCTGCCAGAGCATGGGCCACTTTTCTGCCCAATCAGCTCATCTGACTCCCCAAAGACACGCCTTCTGAGTGCCCCAGGACCACACCACCCACGTGACTCCTAAGTCTTTGACCATGCCAGGGCTGATCTCCCCAGTAAAGGCCCCATTAGTCACTTTGTAGCAGTTCTGCGGAGCCACAGCAATCTTGGGAGCTAGCTTCTGCCGGGCCAACTCGTTATACGCAGTGGCGAGAGCACAAATCACCTTGGTGTCGGCAGGCACAGTGGCCGCGTTCTGAGTGCCGATGAGCTCCCCCAGACATTTCTTCCGCCCGTTCATCTTCCAGTTCCTCCCCACGAAGAACTTCCTGGAGGGCGCCATGGCGCTGGAGCTGAGGCGCTGTAGGTCAGTGTCAGCGCCTAAAACGGGTTTTATTAATACTTGGCAAGGTTGTTAGGCGGATTAAATGAGATCTTGTAACTACAGTGTTTTACACATTGTGATCATTTATCAAATAGCAGTTATTTACTAGTGCAAAGGACTAGCAGCAATGTTAATATCAATATACTGTTACCTTTTGTCCCTAATTTCTCCATAGTACAGTTTCCAATATTTCTGTTTTCTTTTGTGAATTGTTAGACCACTGGTATTGGATTCGGACAGAAAGGCATTCACAAAAATACAGTTCAATGTGAGAATAACCCTAAAGATGTATGCAAAATGCTCTGGAGTTAGAGCACCAGGAGCTGTAAGCAGAATGAAGACCTCTTTTGGGCTTAAGAACTAAGTAAAGGGGAGCTGAACAAAGATTCTAGGCATTTTGGATTTATCTCAATGTGGCACATATTTCAGGTTTGTAAAATAGTTCAGTTGACTACGTGTCTGTCTCCTCCACTAGAGCCAGCGTAGGTACCATGTCTTAAGTCATCTTTGGATCTCCAGTACTGTGGCCACTCTAGGGAGAGTTGAATTGACGCGCCTTGATCACCAGGGCAGAAAAGGATTCTCTGGAGAGGGATGGGGCAGTCGGAAGGGGTAGGAAAAACCTGGATCCGTTTCCAAGGAGCTGAAGGCAGCTCAGATATGGGGCACATCTCGGCGCTAATGTCCCAAGCTGCTAGCGAGGAACAGAGAGAACACCGGCTCTTCTTCCCGGCTCCTGGCCCGGCAGGGTTACTTCCGGGAGGGGGCGGGGAGACAAGAGGAGGCGTGCCGGGAAGGAGGCCGTTTGTAGTGTACCAGGCGGAAGTGTGCCAAAGGTATCGGTGCTGTCGCTTCCGGTCCGGGTAAACGAACCTTAGGTACACTGGTGTGTGGCCTCCCAAGATAGGCTTCTGAGGGCAAGTCAGCGACTGAAGACGGGAGCGCCAGAATCTGTGGACTCAAGAGTCTAGAATCAAGTGGAAAAACCGGAAAAAAGGCCAGGAACCTGAATACGACCTAATAGCTGTTTCCGAGGGGGCAACTTCCACGGAGAGCCTTCTGCCCTGGTAACGGCCAAAGAGGAGGAGATGGCGCCAGTCAGGGAGCGGCCGTGGCCCAGACAGTGAGGAAGCGCGAAGGCGGAGCAACCGAGGAATCCTCCGGAGAAGAATCAGAGCCGTCGCTACCGCCACTACCGCCACCACCATGGAAGGAGCAAAGCCGACATTGCAGCTCGTGTACCAGGCAGTGCAGGCGCTTTACCACGACCCAGATCCCAGCGGAAAGGAGCGCGCCTCTTTTTGGCTTGGGGAGCTGCAGCGTTCGGTGAGGGGCCCAGAGAGGCAGTTCTGTGCCGCACGGCCGGGGCGGGGTGGAACCTAGGCTCCGGGGGAGAACCTGAGCCCGGCAGTTGACCTCGTGAGGTCCTCCTTGGGGAGGAGCTGCTGTCGTGGGGTGGGGCTGCGAAGCTACATCTTTGCCGCTTTTGGGAAACTAGTCGCACCTGATCGGTCGCGAACTGGCCCTTTCCCCACCCGGCAGAATCTGATTTGTAGGTCTTATACTCTTCGATTGTGGCATCAATCTAATCTTGTTTAAGTTCTCCCTTTGCCGTTGCTTCTTGGGCCGTGCTTTTCCGTTTTGTCTTCCTCCCACCAAATCCAACCCCAGTGTTTCTCCACCTTCCGCTTAAGAAGGCTTTATTCGTCTCCCCTCCGTGTCCAAGACTTGCATCTGGCATTTTGCTCCCAGTCGTAGCCTTATGCCTCACTCTTTTTGCCTATTTTCACTCCAGTTTGAGTCTGTTCTTCTCGAAACTTCTCAGGTTTCTAGATTCTTACTCATGCGAGTTTTCCCCTTGCTTTGGAGTGGCAACATAATATGAAGAAAAAACAGTAATTCTGCTTTCAGAAAATCTTTGGAGTTCTCATTTTGTTTCATATTAATCCTCTAACCTTGTTATTTCTCTGGCTTTTAGATTTTTATTTATAAGATGGGTATCACTGCTGCTTTGATTATTCCATATAAAACTGTGTGTGCATCCGGTGAGATATTTAATTGTAGCTTATATCTGTTGTATTTCTGCATTCTTTGATTCATGTTTTATGCTTCCTGCCCTAATTTTCACACCTTTGCTGTGCTTCATTTCTGTGTAAATGTGTATTCTTGGTTATCTGGCTGACTTAGGTTCTAATGTAGGATGTACTTTAAAAATTAAGTACTTTGAAAACTAAAGAGGCTTTTTTTACAGGCTGACAAAATACTCACCTTTACCTTTATTTTTGCATTTTATACTCACAACCATATTTTTTTTGGCCCCCTTCCCTTTATTTTAACTCATAACTGATACTTAAAGGTGCTCTGCCTTATTAAATCAGCTCCTAGGCTGCAAGTGCATAATATTTAAAAATTTGCAACTTTGACTTTTTAAAAATCTGGTCTTGGTATGGAGCAACTTTGCCTTTTTTTTTTTTTTTTTTTTGAGACAGAGTCTCGCTTTGTCGCCCAGGCTGGAGTGCAGTGGTCCCATCTCAGCTCACTGCAACCTCCTCCTCCCGGGTTCAAGAGATTCTCCTGCCTCAGCCTCCCGAGTAGCTGGGATTACAGGTGCCTGCCCTGACACCCGACTAATTTTTTTTTTTTTTTCTTGAGACAGAGTCTGGCTCTGTTGCCCAGGCTGGAGGAGTGCAGTGGTGCTATCTCGGCACACTGCAACCTCCTCCTCCCAGGTTCAAGTGATTCTCCTGTCTCAGCCTCCTGAGTAGCTGGGATTACAGGCACACGCCACCACACCCAGCTAATTTTTGTATTTTTTAGTAGAAACGGGGTTTCGCCATGTTGGCCAGGCTGGTCTCTAACTCCGACCTCAGGTGATCCGCCCGCCTCGGCCTCCCAAAGTGCTGGGATTATAGATGTGAGCCATCGCCCCCCGCTGCAACTTTGACTTTGAATATTAAACCTAAAAAACTGGCACCCAAGTCCTCTTCAGAAAATAAAGGAATACGACTCACTGTAGGCTACACAAGAAAATCATTCACATATGGTCTCATTTAGTGTTTCTGTGATCTCTGGAGAGTCAACAATTCCCTGATCTTTGTATAGTTTTCTAAAGTGTAATTAGGAGAAGTGCTACACTATACTAAAAAAGTAATCTCTTTCTAATTAAACCTGCTTGTTGTGTGTATTTTAAATCAATATTTGAGTGCTTACCATGTGCCAGCAACTATGCTGGGTGTTTGGATTTGGAAATGAACCAGACAAAAATCTCTGCTTACCACAGAAGGTAGTTGTGATTAAATGAGTTAATATTCTACGAAGAGGTTAGAAAAGTTCTTGGAACATAGAGATTAAAATGTTAGCAATTGTTATTTAAGTATTAGTCACTTTTCTCTCCTTACTTTCCAATACTCTATTACAACCTTACATCATCTTCACCATCACAGTTAATAGTCAGAGTCCAGACAGGAACAGATGGCACACTTGACAGGATAATCTGAGTTTATTTTATAAAGATACTATTATAAAGATTTAGGTATAGTGGTGTGACAAGAAATAGTTTGGTAACCTATAGCTGAACGGTTAACATCCCATAAAAGAGGGAATAGTTACTTGAAAAGTATGGAGTTGGCTGCCTTGAGAGGAATGGTGACTTTCAGCCGAAGGGACATAGCTAGTTTCAGGTGACCTTGAGAGAATGAAGCTGGAGGAATGAATATCCTGACCCTGTTCTCTTAATTTCTTGCTGGGATTCCCCATTGGCCAAACCCAACCGGAAGCCAGGGGCACAGTGACCTGTTGGTAAAGTCTATACAGGTCAGCCTATTGGAGCAGAAAACATGATAGAGGAGGGTGGAAAAGTGGATCTGGAAAATATCCAGCAGTAACACATCACGTTTAGGCAACTTCAGCATCTGGATTGACAGTTCAGCTAACACTTTGGCCTTCTGATTCCTTTACCTCTTCATTCTCTTTAGCCACCTGGTCACACAATCACACCCTGGATCTTGTCTTTACTAAAAAGCCACCACCCAGGCTGGGCGTGCAGTGGCTCACGCCTGTAATCCCAACACTTTGGGAGGCTGAGGCGGGCGGATCGCTTGAGGTCAGGGGTTTGAGACCAGCCTGGCCAACATGGTGAAAACCCGTTTCTACTAAAAATACAAAAATTAGCTGGGCGTGGTGGTGCGCACCTGTAGTCTCTGCTACTCAGGAGGCTGAGGCAGGAGAATCTCTTGAACCCAGGAGGTGGAGGTTGCAGTGAGCTGATATTGTGTCACTGCACTCCAGCCTGGGCGACAGAGCGCGACTCCATTTCAAAAAAAACAAAAAAGTTGCCAGCCAGGCCAGGCCCATTGGCTCTTGCCTGTAATCCCAGCACTTTGGGAGTCCAAGGTGGAGGATCCCTTGAGCCCAGGAGTTCAAGACCAGCCTGGGCAACATAGCGAGACCTCATTTCTACAAAAAAATAGGAAAATTAGTTGGGTGTGGTGACATTTGCCTATAGTCCCAGCTACTCAGGAGGATCCCTTGAGCCCAGGAGTTCAAGACTGAGTGAGCTATGATTTCGCTACTGCACTCTAGCCTGGGAAACAGCAAGATTGTACAAAAAAAAAAAAAAAGTCACCACACCTCCAAATCACTGATTCAGACATTCTGCTGTGATCATAACCCACTGTTTTCCAGTTTGCTGGCTCAAAAATATCAAATAATGTCACCTAGTTTTTTTTGAAATCTTTATGTAGTTTTACTAATATTTAAGTTTTATTTTTAAAACAAAATTTTGTGGAACCTTTTTTTTCCTGTTGGTAATCAAATACCTCTTTTTTTTTTTAACATTTTGTTTTCTGGGTATCCACAATAAGTCACCCTCAAATCTCAGTACTGTAAATATCCTCATTGTTCAGACTGGTGATTTGTTTTCTTTTTTGGCTAAAGGAAATATGTATCCCAAGAGCCCTCCATTTCCCTGCTCCAGTCTGGCCTGGTTCGCTAGGTCTGTTGGATAATTACTGTCATGGGATTCCATAAACACTGTCCTAGGGAATTCCCTTTGCCTCTTTGTTGTGCTGGATCCACTGATTCTTGGATTCCATGATGTTTTCTTGGGTTACTCTTCCATTTAATGGATCATCGAGAAGGGAACCTTCATCCTTTCTCTCATTGCTTTTCTGTTGGTCTGTTTTTCTTGGGCTGCTTTTACCTTGAGTTCTCTAGTCAGCCTGGGGGTTATAAGCTAGACTGCCAGTGTTCTAAAGCCAGTTCAGGGAATGAAGCCAGGGGATGGATCTCACAACTAAGTATGTAGGTTTTAATTTAATCTCTTGTTTTTCAGCATGATACTCCTGTCTTTAGCTGAGTCTGTTGTCTAAGAGTCCAGAGACCACCTACTTCAATCTTTCCACAGTAAACCTTGAGTCTTCTGTTATGGTGGGAGAGTAGTAGCCTGGTTGCTCAGAGTCAGAGAGGAAATTTAGGAGTCTACTGCTTCTTACACAGATTTTGACCCTTTTATTTATTTAAACTTTTTTCTTTTTTTGTTTTAAGGCTGCATTACTAGCCGATTCCCCCCCCACCCTTTTTTTTTTTTTTTTTTTTGAGACAGAGTCTCGCTGTCTCCCAGGCTGGAGTGCAGTGGCGCCATCTCAGCTCACTGCAAGCTCCGCCTCCCGGGTTCACGCCATTCTCCTGCCTCAGCCTCCAGAGTAGCTGGGACTACAGGTGCTTGCCACCATGCCCAGCTAATTTTTTGTATTTTTTAGTAGAGACAAGGTTTCACCATGTTAGCCAGGATGGTCTCGGTCTCCTGACCTTGTGATCTGCCCACCTTGGCCTCCCAAAGTGCTGGGATTACAGGCATGAGTGACTGCGCCCAGCCCACCCCACCTCACCCTTTTTAAAAAAAGAAAAAAAAGAAAAGAAAAGTTGGGGTCTCGCTATATTGCCCAGGTTGGACCCGAACTCTTGGTCTCAGGCAATCCTCTCTCCTCAGTCTCCTGAGTAGCTGAAATTACAGGTGCACACCACCACATCCAGCTCCACTCCTTTATTTTTTGTTCCGCCTGTGCATCTGCCTTCAGATGTACCTGTGCTTCCAATTCCCCAGTCTTCCTGGGTTTTGCAACATGAATAGTTTGTCCCTTGCCTTCCCTATTCTCGTCTCATCCTCCCTCCCCACCCCCAGGCAAATATCAGCCTTTTCGGATCTGCTAAGACAGTTAACACTGTCCTTTAGCTTTCCAGTTTCCACAGTTCTATTGATATCTGTCACCTGTTTCCATTTTCTTTGTCTTTATGTGTTTTTGCCTTTTTTAAAAAAGATCTTTACTCTGATTTTTATTGGATTTTTGGAAGGACCTGAAAGCAGACAGCTGTGTTCAATCAGTTAGTTTAGTCATTTTAAACAGAAGTCCCTGCATTAGTTCTTGAATTTTATCAAAACCTCAGTTCATTGACTGTTCCTTACTTCTTCTTTATTAGGTCTTCTTGTTTTTACTTCTCTCCTTACCAAATGTGGATTCCAAGATCTATCATTCTAGTCATTTTATAAATACACCATCACCTTTCCCCTCCAATTTGGTCAGACTTCAGCATGGTTGTATGCAGCTGCTTCTCCTCTTGTCAGATCTAGGTGCTTTGCATCTCTCAATCTTCTGAAATTTCTGGGACCTTGATCTTTTGGTTTATCCTATGTCTTGTCTGCATCTTTAGACTCCTTTACTGAGTCTTTCCCATCAGCATCCAAATAGCTGAAATATTTCTCATAGTACACAAATATTTTGGGGTAGAGTGGATGCCGCCTTTGCCCAACTTTACTTTCTTCTCTGCTTTTACCCTTTCCCAACCCTTTCTTCAAATGCAGAAACTAACTCATCTTTTGAAAGCCCAACCTAAATTCTGCTTTCTCCTTCAAGGCTTACCTGCTTCTCTTCAGCCAAAAGTGATTTCAGCCCCCAATGAATGCCTAGAGAACTTTACTTCATTGTGTTTGCCTTTTTATAAACCTTTTTGAAAATAAGTGTTTTGCCTCCCCTACTAGACTGGGATTCTTGTCACATTTGTTTATGTAGTCCAATACCCATAGTTGAAGAAATAAACCATGGTTATTAAGATAAACAATCAAGACACTTCACACACAGGTTCTTAAAAATGTTGATTGTCAGAAGTGCATACATGCAGATACTCAGTTGGATAACTCACATTTTTCTTTATCTGCGAGTTTTATTTATTTTTGCTGTCACTTTTCACCATATACATGGTTAAAAATAAACAATATTCAGCACCTTTAATGCTCTTCAGTCTTTCCAGTCTTTTTTTTTCTTTCTTTTTTTTTTTTAAATCCTTTATGAGATGTATATGTTGCCCTCATTTCATACTTGCAAATATTCAGGTACAGAAAGGGAGAGGAACTTTTTGACTCAATAAGGCTCTCTTTGTTTATTTATTTTTTGAGACAGAGTCTCACTCTGTTGCCCAGGCCGGAGTGCAGTGGCACCATCTTGGCTCACTGCAACCTCCGCCTCCTGGGTTCAAGCAATTCTCTTGCCTCAGCCTCCCAAGTAGCTGGGACTACAGGCACATGCCACCATGCCCGGCTAATTTTTGTATTTTTAGTAGAGATTGGGGTTTTGCCATGTTGGCCAGGTTTGTCTCAAACTCCTGGCCTTAAGTGATCTGGCCGCCTTGGCCTCCCAAAGTGCTGGGATTAGAGGTGTGAGCCACTGCACCTGGTCTATTTATTTAGTTTTTTGAGACAGGGTCTCACTCTGTTACCCAGGCTGTGGAGCGCAGAGGTGTGATTACTGCTCACTGCAGCCTTGCTCACCTGAGCCTGGGTTCAGGTGATCTTCCCACCTCAGCCTCTTGGACAGCTGGGACTACAGGCATGCACCACCATACCTGGCTAATGTTTTGTATTTTTTGTAGAGTCAGGGTCTTGCCATGTTGCCCAGGCTGGTCTCAAGCCCCTGGGCTCAAGCACTTCTCTCACCTCAGACTCCCAAAGTGCTAGGATTACAGACATGAGTCACTGTGCCTGGCCAAGGCTCTCTTTAAGTGGTCACTAAATGGCATTTGTAACCAAAAGTAATGTGTGTGGTGGTTTTTTTCTTTCCGGAAGATTTTGTCTACTGGAACAAAAGCGTGTTTTAACTGTAGTAATAACTATAGTGTTTTAACATCCATTTGAAATTGGTAAGGCATAGAATTTGTGTGGTTTGCTAAAAAACTACTTTCAAGAATATGTATTTGTGAAACTATTATCCTTATTCTTCTCTACCACCCCACCTAACTAATCCGAGAGTAATTGAGTATAGTTCGAATGACCTGGTGACAGTAGACGTGGTATAGAGGTATAATTTGAATATGCTTTAGCCTGTACTGTGAGTTAGCATCTTTTCTCTTTCTCTAATATTTGTATAAAACAGCCATTTTCTGAAGAATCTGTATTCATTGCTCTAAACTTCCACCAAAATTTTTGGAGATGTACAGCCATGGTTGTTTTATGTGATAGATAGATATCACTGATAACTTCAAAGTGTTCTGAAAGAGAGTATTTTGAGGCAGATCTTAAAGGAATCTTAGTAGCCTGTCCTGTATATTTAGTAGTTTCATTTGTCCACCCCTACTAACCAAAATTAGTAGAAGTTGTAGAGAGCTATTGAAGGAAAGACCATCTCTTCATAGGGCCAATTACTTAAGCGACTCAGTTATAAGTTTTTAATTTAAGTTGTAAGTAGGAGATAACTTTTACAGAGACAATCTTTGGGTTAGATATTACCTCAAAAGTTTTATAGTTCAGTATGGAAACTGAATAGGCATGCTTCAGCATGGGTGTATGCAGCTTTTTGATGGAAAGCATCAAAAGCACAAAGCAGATGAAGTAAAGTCATGCTTTGATAGACTAAGTTGGCATTGTCATGTTTGGTTTATCACATGTCCATAGGAATTTTCTTCTTAGATATCATATCAGAAAGGTCTTGGGTTGATATGGTTTGGCTATGTCCCCACCCACATCTCACCTTGTAATAATACCCCCCGATTTGTGGCAAGGTGGGGCCAGGTAGAGGTAATTGAATCATGATGGGGGGTTCCCTCATACTGTTCTTGTGGTAGTGAATAAGTCTCACAAGTTCTGATGGTTTTATAAATGTGAGTTCCCCTCCACAAGCTCTCTCTTGCCTGCCGCCATGTAAGACGTCGCTTTGCTCTTCCTTCGTCTTCCGCCATAATTGTGAAGCCTCCCCAGCTATGTGAAACTGAGTCAGTTAAACCCCTTTCCTTTATAAATTACCCAGGCTTGGGTATGTCTTTATTAGCAGTGTGAGAACACATTAATACATGGGTCATGGAATATCAGCTTCAAACTTCTTTGCTAGTACTTTTCCTTTTTGGAATTTATTGATTCTTTAGCCTGGTTATAAAACCTAGGGTTTTTGGCTTTTCTCTGGTCATTACTGATTTATCTTGAAAGTTTAGGCATTTTTTGTGTGTGCTTATGCTTGCACCTTCCAGTCAAAACATGCTTTTGAAAGGAAAGCCTTCTAGAAAATAGAAAATATTCCTATACAACTTCAGTAGATGAGTTCAGTCTAGGAATACTCTGTGCCTTGCACTGATAGAAACTGGGAGTATGTAAATAATGAAAACCAAAGATCTTTCTCCCAGAGAGTGTACCAATGTAGCTGTGTCATCCAGTGTAGTAGCCACCAGTCTAGTGTGACTATTTAAACTTAAAATTAAGTAAAAGTTAAAATCAGTTTCTTTTTTTTTTTTTTTTTTTTTTGAGACGGAGTCTCACTCTGTCACTCAGGCTGGAGTGCAGTGGTGCAATCTTGGCTCACTGCAACCTCCACCTCCCGGGTTCAAGCAATTCTGCCTCAGGCTCCCGAGTAACTGGGATTACAGGTGCATGCCACCATGCCTGGCTAATTTTTTGTATTGTTAGTGGAGATGGGGTTTCACTGTGTTAGCCAGAATGGTCTCAATCTCCTGATCTCGTGATCCACCCACCTCAGCCTCCCAGAGTGCTGGGATTACAGGCATGAGCCACTGCGCCCGGCCTAAAATCAGTTTCTTATTTGCACTTACCCACATTCCAAGTACTGTACGGTACAAATATAGAACATTTCATGTCTTTGAAGTATTGGAGTCTATGTTTGTGATTTTGTGACAGTATTTCTGTTGCCATGGTAGTCTGTTATGTGGTGGCATTTCTCCATATTTTGATTAGTTTCTTGTCTTGCCAGGCCTTGGGCCAAAGTTGATAGTTTGATTTAGGATGTAAAATTATCAGGGTACTACTATATTTTCTAATTACAATAGTTTTTCCAAAGTTTTTCAGATATTTCTTCAGCATTCTTTTACAGTGATTGATTGCACTGATGTTTATGGAGGAAATGGAAAGTAGGTTTTATAGATTTTTTTTTTTTTGTGGCAAAACATTCAAAACATAAATTTAGCATTTTAACGTTTTTTTTTTTTCTGAGACAGGGTCTTGTTCTGTTGCCCAGGTTGGAGTGCAGTGGTGCGATCATAGCTCACTGCAGCCTTAAACTCCCAGGCTCAAGCTATCTTGCCTCCTCAGCCTCCCAAGTAGCTGGGATTACAGGCATGAGCTACCGTGCCCAGTCATTTTAACCATTTTTAAGTGTGCAGTTCAGTGGTATTACATACATTGACATTGTTGTGCAACCATCACCATCATCCATCTTCAAAACTTTTTCATCTTGTAAAACTAAATCTATGCCCACTAAACAAAATAGGTGCCCATTTGCTCCCCGCCCCAATCCCTGGCAACCACCATTCTACTTTCTGTCTCTATGAATGTGACTATTCTTGGTACCTCATGTAAGTGGAATCATACAGTATTTAGCCTTTTTGTGATGGGCTATTCTCACTTAGCATAATATCTTCAGGGTTCATCCATGTGCGTAGCATTGTCAGAAATTCCTTCCTTTTTAAGGCTGAATAATATCCCGTTGTATGTATATATACCACGTTTGGCTTATCCATTTATCCATCAATGGACACTTGCTTGCACCTTTGTGAATAATGCTGCTATGAACATGGGTGTATAAATACTTGTGGGAGTACCTGCTTTCAATTCTTTAGATATACAGTATACCTAGAATTAGAATTGCTGTATCATATGGTAATTCTATATTTATTTGTTTACTTATTTGGGGGAACTGCCATACTGTTTCCCAGATTTTTAAGCTCTGTTAAACTTAAAAACAAATTTATTTCTTAGGAAGTTGATATTACTCAGACTACCTGTCCTGTATTTCCCTCACTTGTACCATGGTGCTGAAATGTTACCAGAGAGTATTTTTACAGCTGTATAGGTGAAGCCTCTAAGATAAACCTTATTTCTCTTTACTGGAAGTTAACAGTATTGCTACAAGGGATAGTTTTGTAGTGTTTGTTATGTACATACTCTTAAAAGTACTAATTTAATTTTCTTCTTCTGGTAGAGTATCCAAAATGAAATTAGAAAACAAGTATTTTTCCTTTTGGTGGGTTTTCTGTTAACAGAGTTTGCATAATGGTTTTTACTTATTTTTTTCTCAAGCCCACAGCACAATTCTTTTTTCTATTTTGTGTTCATTGCTTCCTAGTTGTATTTTCTGTCTCAGTCATAGTGTAATATTTTAACAGTTATCTTCAAAGCAAGAGAATATATTTGGAACTAGACATGAAAACATAGATGTTTTGAGCAAGGCTCCATCTCAAAAACAAAAAAACTAAAAAAGGCCAGGCGCAGTGGCTCATGCCTGTAATCCCAGCATTTTGGGAGGCCAAGGCAGGCAGATCACTTGAGGTCGGGGTTCAAGAAAATATACATGCTTTTATATAAATAAGCATTCAGAGATTTAATTACCACTTTAATGCGTTATTACAATACTTTAAGTTAGACATATTACATTTATGTAAGTTTGAAAAATTTGAGTCTTAAGCACTGTTAACATATGCTTTGTATGTACAATAGAATTCTCATCTGGTTTATATGGGTTATAAAACTGAGCAGGTAGGCAGAAATAGAGACCAGTGTTGAAAGAAGATAAATTTTCTGTATTTTGGCTTTCAGGAAGCCTTTGCATGGGCTAACCATTTGTTTCAAATGAAATGGTTTCAAGCTTGGCATTTTCTATTTTTAAAGCAAGACTGCCTAGTATAAATAAGGCCCACAGTGAAAAGATTATCGAGTAATGCTTGACTTGGTCATTCCCAACTGAAGTTGGCTTTATGGATCTAAATTTATTTGTCTTTTTCAGGGCCATTCTTGAGATTAATACCAACATTCATAGGTAATTGAGGATTATTATTTTGGATAGGGATTCTTGTCATGAAAAAATTGGGGCAAGATATCTTAGTACCATCTTATGTGTGACCAACAACTATGTAGTTCAGCCAAAATTCATTTGTCAGAGGTCATTATGATATAGGATTATTTAAAAATGCTTGTCTCAGAACTTCTGGGATTTCAAAGAATCCGGGAAGACCCCACTGTGCAGTGCTGTCATTGGCCTTATTGATTCCTTTCTTTTATTTTGATTCAATTTCAGTTTATTTTAGAGATAGGGTTTCACTCTGTCACGCAGTCTGGAGTGCAGTGGCAGGATCACAGCTCACTGTAACTAGGGCTTCAGTGATCTTCCCACCTCAGTCCCCTACCCCCACCCCCTGAAGCTGAGACCAAAGGTGCGCACCATCACATCCTGCTAATTTTTTTTTTTTTCCTGTAAAGACTGGGTCTTGCTATGTTGCCCAGGTTGGTGTAGAATTTCTGGTCTCAGGTGATCCTCCCACCTTGGCCTCCCAAGGTGCTGAGATGACAGGTGTGTGTCATTGCACCTGACCCTTCCTTTTAAGTAATTGTTTTTAGCTACGAATATCTTTCCTCCTAAGGAAAATACTTGTTTTCCTTTTGATTATATATTTAGCTCTTATGGAGATGGCTGTGAAAATGTAAGTTGACTGAACTTACCTCTATAAGGGAACTTTTTTGCTTCTAGAAAATGTATTTATGTATACCCAAGTGTATTTTGTGAATCTGGGAGCTTGCTAGGAGATTTATGATTACTTTTCTTTTACAATTTTTTTTTTTTTTTTTGGAGGATGGGAGTTGTTTTATCACTGCTTTGGTGAAGATATTAGCTAAGTTTGATTTCATCTTGGTTTCTGTGTTTCAGGCCATCTTGCAAAAGAAGTTATATTGAAAAATATTTTTAGGTAGTGATGGTTATCTTATGTGCCCCTCAGTTTATTTTTTTCTTAATTAGTATCCTTTCAAACCATTTTTCTTCCCACTGTCCGAGAAAATTATCAAGAAGTAATTTGTTGTAACAAATCTAGCAATTTATCTCGTTTTGTAAAATTCTCATAAAGGATTAGATAAAAGAAGTTAAGGTAGTTGATGACTTAAAAAATTACTTTTTCTGTTTGAGGTAAATTAGACTTGTTCTTTCTTTACCCGTCTCATGAAAATGATTTTTTCTTGATATGGGAAATTCTGACTTTTCTAGCTCTATACCACATGGTTGCAGGGCATATATCTAAAATATTGTTTTGTTTGACCGATTTGTAGTTTTCTTTTTAAGAGTTCTTTTTACTCTGTGTTCTGATGTAGTCTTCCTTCCCAGAACTTTCCCCAATATACTATAAATCTTTGAAAATCTTCATTTAGTAAATAATATCGTTCACTCATCGAAATGCTTAAAAAATGCAGCAACCTGACACTTATGTTACTTTTCAAGTGTTATTGAATTATCTGTATTTCCAGAACTTTATTTTCTATTTGCCAGAGCTCTTTGGTACTCAGTGAAGTATTTTAGGTAATTCTGCTTAATTTGAGGAGTTTTTGTGTAGGATTAACTAGCAGCTGTAATCTGCTTCTAATTCTTGGCAGCTAATGAGTCCTTAGGCGCCTGTCTGGGTGTGTGCTTGCATTGTTGAGGGCCTGCTCAGTGATTTTGGTTGATTTGGCAGTTTTAGAAATGTTAGTATAGAAGTGAGTCTTGGAGCAACAGTGCACCATTAAACAAAAAAGGGAGCAAGTACTTTAGGATCTGCTGTGAAGTATAATGAAGGGCTTAGAGCATGTTAGTGAAAGGATTGCTGGGCCATAGCCTGCCTCATATTCATCACATAGTCATGGAAATATCTTTTGAAAAGACTGATATAAAGGCCTGTTCTGCTACTGCTTTGTGAAATGGAAGATTGGAATTAGATGCTTAAATGGAAAATGTTCTCTTGTTGCAGCCTCTTTGAAATGTGCTGCTAGTGGGAGCTGCAGCTTCCTCCTGCTGACTCTGAGCCCCAGGCTTCAGTTGAGATGGTCCTTTCAGAAATGTGGAGCTTAGTCCAAGCCTGGATTTCAGTGGGTAGCACCTGGCATCTGTGGCTAGAAAGTCCTATGAAGTGTAAGTGCTTTATTCTCTCCTTATAAAGAATCCCTTTTCCTTCCTTGATTCTCTTCCTTCCCTTCCTTTTTTCTGCTGTTTAGCAGAGGGGAAGAACAATGAGCAATGTACTGTAGTTTGTAGGGTATCAGGATTTGGTTGAATTTTCTTTATGACTCAGTAGCCAAAACAAGATTTCATTTTGTTTTCTTTTTTGAGACAGCATCTCACTCTGTCACCCAGGCTGGAGGGCAGTGGTGTGATCGTAGCTCGCTGCTGCCTCCAGCTACTGGGCTCAACCAATCCTCCTGCCTCAGCCTCCTGAGTAGCTAGGACTACAAGTACACCATGCCTGGCTGATTTTTAAATTTTTTTTAGAGACAGGATCTTGCTATGTTGTCTCCAGGCTGGTTTTGAACACCTGGCCTTAAGCAAGCCTCCTGCCTAGGCCTCTGAAAGCTCGGGGATTACAGGTGTGAGCCACCATGCCTGGCTGGATGTCAACAATTCTTAAACTCTCCTGGAATTCAAAATAAAGTGATAATTATGACCCTTAACATTTAGTATGGGCAATGTCATCACGGGTGATTTTTCGTTGACGATGTACTTAGCAGTAGCCTTGATACCCAAGTTTGCCAAATGATTCTTTAGGGGTCACTCTCATATTTAGTTATTATTCTGAAAAAACTAATACAGTATTTGAAAGGAGAAGTGCATTTGACCAGTGGGTAAGACAGTATCAAAGTAAATAAGGGTGCTTGAATTTAGAAGATAGTGCCTTCCTTTTGCTTCTACTTGATACATTTGCACAAGAGTAAGTCAATGATTTTTCTAAGACTAATTTCCCATAGCATTGTCCTGAGAAATTCATATAGCTGCCATCCATAGTTTAGGTTAAAAAAAAACCCAAACTAGATAATAACATAATGAGCATTAAAAGGTGCAATTTCCAACTTGCAGAAAAATAATTTTTTTAACGAGAGGTAATTTTCTTACATAAAGTGCACCATCTTAAGTGTGTAACTCAATTTTTTTCTTATATGTATATTTTAAGTAATCGCAAATAACATCAAGGCATAGTACATTCTATTACTCTAGCAGATACCTGAATGCCTCTTCCCAGTAAATCATTCCCCTCCCATAACCACTATTCTGACTTACATCACCACAGATTTGTTTTGCCTGTTTTTTAAAAAATAGCTTTAGTGAAATATAGTTCACACAACTACATTTCACTCATTTAAAGTATACCGTTTAATGGTTTTTAATATAGAGATTTCTTTATCCATCAAGTTTTGGACATTTTCTTTTTTTTTTTTTTTTGAGATGGCGTCTCGCCCTGTTGCCCAGGCTAGAGTGCAGTGGCACGACCTTGGCTCACTGCAACATCTGCCTCCTGGGTTCAAGTGATTCTCCTGCCTCAGCCTCCTGAGTAGCTGGGATTACAAGTGTGCACCACCACGCCCGGCTAATTTTTGTATTTTTAGTAGAGACGGGGTTTCACCGTGTTGGCCAGGCTGGTCTTGAACTCCTGACCTCAAGTGATCCACCTGCCTCGGTCTCCCAAAGTGTTGGGATTACAGGCGTGAGCCACCATGCCCAGCTGGACATTTTCATCATACCAGAAAGAGACCTGTACCCCTTGGCCTGCCACCTCCCACCTCATTGCTAGGCAGCTACTAATCTACTTTCTGTCTGTAGAGTTTTGCCTATTCTGGATATTTCATATAAATGGAATCATATAGTTCATGATCCTTTGTGACTGTCTTCTTTCAGTTAGTATGATGTTTTCAAGGTTCATCCATGTTATAGTATATATTATTACTTCACTCCTTTTTATGGCTGAGCAGTATTCCATTCAACATATATACCACATCTTATCCATTCATTGGTCAGTGGACATTGGGACTGTTTCCACTTTTTGGCTATCGTTTGTGAATAGTGCTATAATGCATTCATGTACAAGTGCTGTTGAAATTTTTGGATTATATGATAACTCTTATTTATTTATTTTTTTTTAGACAGAATCTTCCTCTGTCACCCAGGATGGAGTGTGGGGGTGTGATTTCTGCTCACTGCAACCTCTGCCTCTCCAGCTCAAGCAATCCTCCCGCCTTGGCCTCCTGAGTAGCTGGGACTACAGGTGCACACTACCATGCCCAGCTAATTTGTATTTTTTCTAGAGATGGGGTTTCACTATGTTGCCCAGGCTGGTTTCAAACTCTTGGGCTCAAGCGATCCTCCTGCCTTGGCCTCCCAAAGTGCTGGGATTATAGGTGTGAGCCACTGTGCCTGGGTGATAACGCTCTATTTTTAACCTTTCAAGGAATGGCATCCTGTTTTCAAAATGGCTGTACCATTTTACACTCCTACCAGCAGTGTATAAGGGTTCCTGTTTTTCTGCATATTCACTAGTACTTGTTGTTGTCTGTCTTTTTGATTATAGCCATCCTGGTGGGTATGAAGTGATATCTCATTGTGGTTTTGATTTGCATTTCCTGATGGCTAATCATGTTGAGCATCTTTTCGTATGCTTTTTGACCATTCGTGTATCTTTGGAGAAATGTCTATTCAAGTTCTTTGTCCATTTTTAAAAAAACTTTTAGGTTCAGGGATACACATGCAGGTTTGTTGTATAGGTAAAGCTGTGTCATAGGGGTTTGTTGTACAGATTATTTTGTTACCCAGGTGTTAAGCCCAGGACCCATTAATTATTTTTTCCGATCCTCTCCCTCCTCTCAACCTCTTACCTCCAGTTAGTCCCAGTGTCTGTCTTCTTTGTGTTCATGTGTTCTCATCATTTAACTCCCACTTATAAATAAGAACATGTGGTATTTGGTTTTCTGATCCTGTGTTAATTTGCTAAGGATAATGGCCTCCAGCGCCATCCATGTTCCTGCAGAGGACATGATTTCATTCTTTTTTTATGGCTGCATAGTATTCCATGGTGCATATCTACCACATTTTCTTTATCCAGTCCACTGTTGTTGGGCATTTAAGTTGATTCCATGTCTTTGCTATTGTGAATAGTGCTGCAGTGAACATTTGCATGCATGTGTCTTTATGATAGAACAATTTATATTCCTTTGGGTATACATCCAGTAATGGGATTGCTGGGTCGAATGGTAGTTCTGTTTTTAGCTCTTCAAGGAATCGCCACATTGCTTTCCACAATGGCTGAACTAGTTTACACTCCCACCAACAGTGTGTAAGCATTTCTTTTTCTCTGCAACCTCACCAGCATCTGTTATTTTTTGCTTTGTCCATTTTTAAATTGGGTTCTTGGTGTCGAATGCTTTCATTTTAGAAATATGGTTTCATTGGCTTTAGAATTCTTTCCTTTTTTTCTTCCCATTTTTTAGCTCTACCTCTCCATGTCTTCTGGCATCCTCATTGTTGACAAGAAGTCTGCTCTAGCTTTTTACTTTTGTTCCTCTGTATTTAATGTGTCCTTTTTCTCTGCTTCCCTTCAGTATTTCTCTTTATCTCTGGTTTTCAGGAGTTTGAGTATGATATATTTAGAATTTGTTTGCTTATTTGGGGGAGTAACATTCTCTGTTGCCCTGGTCTACCCTAGTCTTTAGCATTTCTGTTGTCTGCCATTCTCTCTGGTAGGGCGGCCTCAGTGATCCTAGTTTTTCTTGTGTCATTCATTCTTTGCCTTGCATCTGGCAGGTATTGTGCAAAATAGTTTTTTTTTCCCTTCTCTCAGTGGTAGGAGACCTCTCATGGTGTTGGTAGTATTATTATAGGCTCAAGACTGTTTTATGCCTGTCCCCTAGGGGTAGAGGTTTTTCTTTTACGCTTAGTGCAACTGCAGTGAGTCTTAACCTGTACTTTGAGGGTGACATGCTTTGCTGCCCCCTCCCCGTAGCCTAAGGCTTTTGTTCAGGGAAGGGTTCAGTCAGAGATTTTTGTGCTTTTTCGCAACAGAGGCTCTTCCCCTCCTCCAGGACTGCACCACCAAAGGAGGTGGTCTTCTGCCCTACCCCCAGTCTTTCTCTTGAGTATCTGGTCTGCGAAGGTGATCTGCTGGGTGACTGTGAGTTCTGCTTGTGTCTGCGAGTCCCAGGGGTTCTATATGCTCATCCTAGCCCACATGCAGCCTTTCTCAATTTGTTAGAAGTGTTAGCAGAATTTTTATGAGCTGGTTGCCAGGTGCCCTGAATTTCTTCCTCTGTCCTGTCGTAGATGAGCCAGTGCTTGCCTTCATTTTCCTTGTTAGAGGTCTGTCCTTAGATTTCAGTCAACTTGGTTGCCCTAAGACCTCAACTTTCTGATGCATTTAAGCAAGGTTATTTTGTAGTTTATTTGCTTTCGTGTATTGTTAACTTACGGAAAGCAGTATTGTTTCTGTCATTATATATCTTAGGTGGATGTGGAACTCTTCTGAGGCATTTTTATTCTTCATATATTTTAAATACCACAAGATATTATTGCTTTATATAATCAGTGTTAATTGGATTTACCCATATACTTCACTGCTTTTCCATTGTTCTTCATTCATTCCTGATTTCTGTTTTCTCTTTTCCTGCTAGGATTTCAATTATATGTGTCTTAGCCTTTTTCACTGTGTCCCACATGTCACTTGCATTCTTCTCATTGTTTACCTTCTATCCTTTTTTTGACTTTGTGCTTCAGTCTTTTTGTTTTTTATTGACCTGTTATCAAGCATAGCAATCTATAATTCTTCAGTTGTCTGATTTGCTGTTTGGCCTTTTCTAATGGTTCTTAATTTCAGTTACCGTATTTTTTTACTTCCAGAATTTCCTTTTAATTCTTTTTTATATATTCCATTTATTAATGGAAATTCTCCAGTTTTGTCTTCTAAGTCTTTGCATATATTAATCAGCTATTCATTTTTTCCAACTTTATTTCTTTTAACCTTTTAGAAATACACCTTATAAAGCCCTACTCCTTAAACTTTTCCACTTGTATCTTGTAAGAACAAGGACATTTTTCTAAAATAAACTAAAATGTTGTCACTCTCAAGAAATTTGACATTGATATGATGGTATTATCAGTCTGTATTCAAATTTTCCTAATTGCTCTAGTTATAGATTTCAAGCTTTCTAAAATTTTATTTTCTCTAATCTAGGATCCTTCAAGGGTAATGCTTTTCTTTTGGTTGTTATGTCTCTAGTTACCTGGGTATTTTTTTTTCTTTTATGATGATGATATTAAAAAACAAATCCAAGACAGGTACGGTGGTGCACACCTGTAGCCCCAGCTACACAGGAGGCTGAGGTGGGAGGGTTGCTTGAGCCCAGGAGGCCAGACTGGGCAACCATGTCAAGACCCTGTCCCTTTAAAACATATACACACAGCTGGGTGCGGTGGCTAACGCCTATAATCCCAGCACTTTGGGAGGCCGAGGTGGGCGGATCATGAGGTCAGGAGTTCAAGACCAGCCTGGCCAATATGGTGAAACCCCCGTCTCTATTAAAAATACAAAAATTAGCCGGGTGTGGTGGCAGGCGCCTGGAGTCCCAGCTACTCGGGAGGCTGAGGCAGGAGAATCACTTGAATCCGGGAGGCGGTGATTACAGTGAGCTGAGATCACACCACTGCATTCCTGCCTGGGTGACAGAAGGAGATTCCATCTCAAAAAAAAAAAAAAAAAAAAAGAAAAGAAAAGAAAAAACACACATACCCCACACAAATCCAGGGTGGGCCATTTTGTCTTAGTTTTTAGTATGCCTCACTATTTAGATTTATCTGGTTCTTTTCTCATGATTGCATTCAGGTCAAACATTTTTTGGAAGAATACTGCATAGACGATAATTTGTCATTTTTACTCAATCACATCAGGAGTCACATAAAATCTATTGGTGATGTTTTATTACTTTGGTTAAGACATCAGTTATTTTAGTCTTTGATAATTCATTATCTAGATAATGGTTACTTTGTATTGTCTGTTTCTTTCTAGTTGTTGTCACTTGGTTTTGCTTTTTTTTTCCCCCCGACGTGGTCTCGCTCTGTCATCTAGGCTGGAGTGCAATGGTGTGATCAAGGCTCACTGCGGCCTTGACTTCCTGGCTCAAATAAATGGACCTCCCACCACAGCCTCCAAAGTAGCTGGCATTACAAGCATGTACCACCACATCTGGCTAATTTCTTTTTTTCTTTCTTTTTTGTGTAGAGACGAGGTCTCACTTTGTTGCCCAGGTTGGTCTTGAGCTCCTAGCTTCAAGTGATCCTCCCACCTCAGCCTCCCAAAGTGCTAGGATTATAGGTGTGAGCCAATGTTCCTGGCCTGGCTTTGCTTTTGTTTGATAGATGCTTGATATGTTGTTGTTGTTTTGAGACGGAGTCTCGCTCTTTCGCCCAGGCCGGACTGCAGTGGCTCTATCTCGGCTCACTGCAAGCTCCACCTCCCGGGTTCACGCCATTCTCCTGCCTCAGCCTCCCGAGTAGCTGGGACTACAGGCACCCGCCACCGCGCCCGGCTAATTTTTTGTATTTTTAGTAGAGACAGGGTTTCACCATGTTAGCCAGGATGGTCTCGATCCCCTGACCTCATGATCCGCCCACCTCTGCCTCCCAAAGTGCTGGGATTACAGGCGTGAGCCACCGCGCCCGGCCGATATGTTGTTTAAGAAAAGTTGAAGAGATAAATGATGTTTCCTTCCTGAGATGATTTTCTTTTGCTTCTGGCAGGTCTTTTTTTTTTTTTTTTTTTTGAGACAGAGTCTCGCTCTGTTGCCCAGGCTGGAGTGCAGTGGCGCGATCTCTGCTCACTGCAAGCTCTGCCTCCCGGGTTCACGCCATTCTCCTGCCTCAGCCTCCCGAGTAGCTGGGACTACAGGCGCCCACCACCATGCCCAGCTAATTTTTTTTTTTTGTATTTTTAGTAGAGATGGGGTTTCACCATGTTAGCTAGGATGGTCTCAATCTCCTGACCTCGTGATCCGCCCGCCTCAGCCTCCCAAAGTGCTGGGATTACAGGCGTGAGCCACCGCGCCTGGCCTCGCAGGTCTTTATGACAGGGACAGATCTCTTTGAAATTCAAAAAGTAATTGAGCAGATTCTAAGCTGTGTTTCAACCTTTTTTTGTTTTGTTTTGTTTTCCAAGACAGGGTCTTGCTCTGTCTTCCAGGCTGGAATGCAGTGGCGTGATCATGGCTCACCGCAACCTCTGCATCCTGGGCTCAAGCAGTACTCCCACCTCAGTGTTCCTGCCCACACCCCCCAGTAGCTGGGACTACAGACATGCCATCATGCCCAGCTATTTCACCTTGTTGCCCAGACTGGTCCTGAACTCCTAGGGCTCAAGCAGTCTTCCTGCCTCAGTCTCCCAAAGTGTTGGGATTACAGGCGTGAGCCCCTGTGCCTGGCCTACTTTCTGTTTTTATGAGTCTTGCTACTTTAGGTACCTTATATAAGTTAGAATCATTCAGTATTTATCTTTTAGTGATAAGTGTATTTTCACTTAGTATAATGTCCTTGAGGTTCATCCATGTTGTAATGTGTGTCAGAATTTCCTTCCTTTTGAAGGCTTAGTAACATTCCACTGCATATATATACATTTTGTTTATCCATTTATCCATAGATGGGCATTTAGGTTGCTTCTATCTCTTGGTTATTGTGAATAATGCTGCAGTTGGCTGCAGTTGAACACGGGTGTGCAAATATCTTATCTGTTTGAGATCTTTTTTTTTTTTTTTTTTTGAGTTTAGCTCTGTTGCCCAGGCTGGAATGCAGTGGCATGATCTTGGTTCACTGCAACCTTGGCCTCCCGAGTTCAAGTGATTCTCATGCCTCAGCCTCCCAAGTAGCTGGGATTACAGTCATGCGCCACCATGTCCGGCTAATTTTTGTATTTTTAGTAGAGATGGGGTTTTGCCATGTTGGCCAGGCTGGTCTCGAACTCCTGGCCTCAAGTGATCACCCGCCTCCTAAAGTGCTGGGATTACAGGTGTGAGCCACTGTGCCCGGCCCTGTTTGAGATTTTATATTCAGTTCTTTTAGATATATAGCCAGAACTGGGATTTTTGGAATATATGGTAGTTCTATTTTTAATTTTTTGAGGAGCCTCCATCCCCTTTTCCATAGTAGCTACACCATTTACATTCCCACCAGTGATGCAAAGGGTTCTAGTTTCTCCACATTCTTGATAACACATATTATTTTCTGAGGTTTTTTTGCTTCGTTTTTTTGGATAGTGGTCATTCTATTGGGTGTGAGGTAATATTTTGTTGTGGCTTTGATATGCCTTTCCCTATGGTTGGTGATGTTGAGCATCTTTTCATATGCCTGTTAACCATTTGTATATCTTCTTTGGATAAATATTTATTCCAGAAATGTCATCCAAGAAATCACTGTCAATTGCAATGATTATGAAGCTTTTCCCCTAGGCTTTCTTCTAAGAGTTTTATAGTTTCAGGTCTTACGTTTAGGTCTTTAGTCCTTTTTGAGTTAACTTTCATATGTGATATAAGGGACTAACTTTGTTCTTTTTCAGGTGAATATTCAGTTTTCCTAGCACCATTGTGTAGTCTTGGCACCCTTGACAAAGATCATTTGAATCCTTTACAGGAGGGTTTCTTTCTGGGTCTATTCCATTATATTGGTCTGTGTGTCCATCTTTATGCTAGTACCCATACTGTTTTGATTACTATGGCTTTGTAATAAGTGTTGAAATTAGAAGTATGAGACCTCCAATATTATTCTTTTTTAAGATTGTTTTGGCTATTTGGGGTCTCTTGAGATTCCACGTGAAGGAAACAATTCCATTTTTTGCAGAAAACGTCATTGAGATTTTGGTGAAGGTTACATTGAATCTGTAGATTATGTTGGGTAGTACTGAAATCTTAACAATATTAAGTCTTCTAGTCTGTGAACATGAGATGTCTTTCATTTATTGGTGTCATCTTTAATTTCTTTCAGCAATGTTTTGTAATTTTCAGTATACAAGTCTTTTGTCTCCTTGGTTAAGCTTATTCCTGAGTATTTTATTCGTTTTTATTCTATTGTAAATGGAATTGTTTCTTTTCAGATTTTTCATTGTTAGTATGTAGAAGCAACTAATTTTAATCTGTTAATTTTGTGACCTGCAACTTTGCCAAATTCATTTATTAAGTCTTAACAGTCTTCTTATGGAATCTTTTGGGTTTTCTACAAGTAAGATCATGTTGAATGATCTTACATTATATGTGACCAGAGATTATTTTACATCTTCCTTTCAATTTAGATGTCCTTTGTTTTTCTTGCCTAATTGCTCTGGCTAGAACTTCGAACACTATGTTGAATAGAAGTGGCAACAGTAGATATCCTAGTCTTGTTCCTGATCTTACAGTTTTGAAAAGCTTTTTGTCTTCACTGTTGTGTGATGTTAGCTGTTGGTTTTTGCATATATGGCATTTATTACTTTGAAGTTGTTTCCTTCCTGGTTTGTTGAGTGTCTTTATCATGAAAGGGTGTCAAAGTCTGTTAGATGCTTTTTTTGCATAAATTGAGATGACCATGTCTTTTCCTTCTTCATTCTGTTAATGTGGATTACATTTATTTTCATATGTTGAGCCACCCTTGTATTCCAGGTATAAATCCCACTTGATGATGATGTATAATCCCTTCAATATGCTGTTGAAAAGCCAGGCGTGATGGCTCATGCCTGTAATCTGACTTATTTGGGAGGCTGAGGCAGGAGGATTGCTTAAGGCCAGGAGCTCGAAACCCATCTGGGCAACATAGCAACACCCCATTTCTAAATTTAAAATTTTGAAAATAAAAATTTAAAAATTGAGAAAAAATATGCTATTGAATTCCATTTGTTGGTATTTTATCGAGGGTTTTTGCATTACTATTCATAAGGGATATTATTAGTCTGTAATTTTCTTTTCTTGTTTCTTCATCTAGCTTTGGTATCAGAATAATGCTTGTCTCATAGAATGAGTAGAAAGTGTTCTTTCCTCTTCAGTTTTTGGAAAGAGTTTGAAAAGGATTAATGTTATTTCTTTACATGTTTTGTAGAATTCACCAGTAAAGCCATTTGGTCCTGGGCTTTTCTTCATTGGGAAGTTTTTCATTACTGATTTAATCTCTTGGCAAGTTATAGGTCTGTTCAGATTTTCTGTTTCTTCATGATTTAGTCTTGTTAGGTTATTTTTCTAGGAATTTGTTTATTTCATGTAAGTTATTCAATATGTTCACTTGCATTTGTTCATAATACTTTTTATAACCCTTTTTATTTCTGTAAAATTGGTAGTAATATCCTGACTTTTATTTCTGATTAGTTATTTAAATCCTCTTATTTCTTTCTTTCTTTCTTTCTTTTTTGACATAGAACCTCACTCTGTCACCGAGACTGGAGTGCTTGTGGCATGATCTCGGCTCACTGCAACCTCTGCCTCCCGGGTTCAAGCAATTCTCATGCCTCAGCCTCCCAAGTAGCTGGGACTACAGGCAGCTGCCATCAGGCCTGGCTAGTTTATTTATTTATTTTTTTGTATTTTTAGTAGAGACAGGGTTTCAACGTGTTGGCCAGGCTGGTCTTGAACTCCTGACTTCAAGTGATCTGCCCGCCTTGGCGTCCCAAAGTGCTGGGATTAACAGGCATGAGCCACTGCACCCGGCTCTCTCTTATTTCTTAATCTAGCTTAAGCTTTGTCAATTTTGTTGTTGTTGTTGTTAATTTTGAAATACTTTACTTTTAAAATAGGTCACAACACTAAGCTTTTGGCCCATTCCGCCATTGTACAAGCTACAGATGCTTGCTTAGCAGCCAAGGGGCACTCTTGAGTAGCATATCAGAAAAGTGAATAAAAATCCATATAAAACAAATATTTAAATAGTTTCCATAGGAACATATATAATGTGTGACCTATATCCTAGTCTTCCATATTGCCACATCCGTATGAACCCAACTCTTAAGAAAAGTGAATAAAAATCCATATAAAACAAATATTTAAATAGTTTCCATAGTAACACAAATAATGTGTGACCCATATCCTAGTCTTCCATATTGCCATGTCCATGCGAACCCAACTCTTACGAAATCCCTTAATTCAAGCTGGACTCATGGTTAACAATTACAAGAGTGATATCTACATATTAATACTAGCAGAAGCACAAGTTGCTGATTGATGTTTCATTCTATTTTCCCAAGCAGAAGACACAGGATGCTAATGTCCTGTTCCTCTACTTGGGGTGGGAGATCGTGCTTCTAGATACACTGCATGAGTTTCGATGCTGGTCCTGACATCACATGTAGATTGTTGGCCTCTGGAATCCATTAAAAGTACAAGTAGCAGCAACAGTGTCAGCGCCCATGTTTTTAAAGAGCATCCAATTACCTACATATATTTTGGGCAGATCACAGTGCTCAACAATCTGATCAAGGCCATCACATGTTCTTCCCATATACTGGATGAATAATACTTCTCACTGATCTAGGTCTCTTTTGCAGCAGGGGCTTTACATGTGCATGATCATAAAGGATTGATTAAATGATCCATATACTTCATCATTCATGTAATACATAAAGGTCTGTTCGCTTGACTCATCTTCCTCTTCAGAGCCTGTCTGTTCTTTTTTTTCTTTCTTTCTTTTTGAGACAGAGTCTCGCTCTGTCACCCAGGCTGGAGTGCAGTGGTGTGATCTGGGCTCACTGCAAGCTCCGCCTCTCGGGTTCACGCCATTCTCCTGCCTCAGCCTCCCGAGTAGCTGGGACTACAGGCGCCCGCTGCCGTGCCTGGCTAATTTTTTGGGTTTTTTTTTTAGTAGAGATGGGGTTTCACCGTGTTAGCCAGGATGGTCTTGATCTCCTGACCTCATGAACTATCTCCCTCAGCCTCCCAAAGTGCTGGGATTACAGGCATGAGCCACCGCGACGGCCCTGTCTGTTCTTTTAATATGATTTTTTTGGCAATGAAAGCTGATGCCACATGAAATATCTGCCTGGCTCAGCTGTGACTCTCACTCTAGAGTCTGGTGGAAAATACTTGTCTGATGCTGGGTTGATTACACTGGTAATACTTCAGATTTAAGCCTCACGTCCTCAGATCCAGGAAAGCAACTGCCAGTATTAAGCAGTTACATTCTGAAACCAAACTCAACTCCCGTGTCAAAGACACAGTGGACATTGGAGGCTGCCTGCATGAAGGTCTCAGGATTGGTACAGCTACTTCCTACATGGAAGCTGACACCAGTGACATCAATATTTAGTTCTTTTGCTCATTCCAAAAGAAGCCTGCTGGCTTTGAGCATGGCACCAGATTTAACACTGATGTGACGGGCTGCTTTGAGTGTGTTCTGGCAACTGACATCAACTTGACCTCATTACCGAAAATCATCATCTGGACTCCATTATTGGCAGTGTACTTAATTTGAGACATTTGTTTACAAGAATTTGCATACATAAACCTCTCTGGGGGCATCCCCAGAATCTGCACCAATTGTATTTCAGCCTTGCTAGCACAGTCAAATCCTGTCCCGATGGCAGCAAGAGTCTTCATGATGGCTCTGCTGTCATTATAATTGACTGCATAAAAGGGGGTGACATGAGGAAGAGCTTTTAACTATCTTAGATGTGTCTTTAGAATGTCTCTAAGGTCCATGACATAGAAGGCATCCTAATCATCATCAGAAGAAAATTCATTAATTTTTTGGTCCAGAATGTCCTTGGCAGTAAAACCTTCATCAAGGAAGCAAGTGGCAGTGAAACTCTTCATTATTAAACTCTTCATGGTTTCTTGATGTTCCTCTGAAACACAACAAAATGGAAAACTAAGAGATGGAATTGAAAGAAATATTTCCAGCTTCTCACAAAGACAGTTCTCCAGGAATTCCAAATCCTGCCTCTTGTGCCCTCAGAGCAGCAGTGGAAACATTCTCAGAGCACCTGGGTACCACAGAGAGTGAAGATGCTGCTGTCTGAGCCAGAGCTACAGGACCTCTCTGCTGTGCCTGTCAGTGCCTTACTTCTGCCCGCCAGAGATGCTGGCCCAAGGTAGTGCTGGAGCTGTTGGCAGAGGGGCGGCCAGTGACTGTGGCTGCCGGGACTGACCTTGTTGATCTTTTTGTAGCATTCCCTTGATTTTCCTATCTATTTTGTTAATCTTTGCCCTAAATCTTTATTATTTCCTTCTTTTTGCTAGCTTTGGATTTAGTTTGTTCTTTTTATGGCTCCTTAAGGCATAAAATTAGGTTGTTGATTTGAGACCTTTTTTCTTTTTTAATGTAAGCATATATACAGTTATACATTTTATTCCTCTTAGCACAGTTTTTGCTGCATTCTATAAGTTTTGGTATGTTGTGTTCTTATACTAGTTCAGTTTAGTTCAGTTTTATACTAGATTTTATACTAGTTCAGTTTAATATGCAACATTGGGGTTTTTGTTCTGTTTTATTTTCTAAACATAAACACAGAAACACAATACAAGTGTATAACTTAGTGAATTACTATATGTGGATGTCCTTTTAGCCACCACCCAAGTCAAGAAACATCTTCATTTGTCTGAAGATGTTTTCTGATTTCCCTTCCTTGACCCATTGGTTTTTTGAGTATGTTGTTTAATTTCCACATATTTGGGAAATTTCTAGTTTCCCTTTTGCTGTTGACTCCTAGTTTTATTTAATTGTGATCAGAAAAGATGTTTTATATGATTTCAGTCTTTGAAAATTTATTAAGACTTATTTTGTGGCCTAACGTATCAGTCTTTTTAAGGAGTGGTATATTTCTTGTTTCCTTCACTGGGTCCCAACTCAAGAGTTTGGAGTATTTACCAGGGCTTCTCTTCGATATTTCTGAATTCCAGTTTTTATTTCCCCAGTCTTGAGAGGCTGTCCAGAGCCCTTCAGCTTCTTAGCCTCTTGTCTTCCACTTTCAAATTGGCAAATGCCATGAGGGGAAAAGTGGAGCCAAAGAGTGAACTGAACTCTCTGCTCTTCCATTCCCTTCTTTCTGGGAACTGTGGCCTCATATTTTAGCTTTGGTGTCTTTAAAAAGGTTCTTTGTAGGGAGTATTTAGTGAATTTTTTGTGTTGTTTTTTTTTTTTTTTTTTTTTTTTTTTTTTTTTGAGACAGTCTTGCTCTGTTGCCCAGGCTGGAGTGCAGTAGTGTGTTCTTGGCTCACTACAGCATCCACCTCCCGGGTTCAAGCGATTCTCCTGCCTCAGCCTCCCAAGTAGCTGAGATTACAGGTGTGTGCCACCATGCCTGGCTAATTTTTGTATTTTTAGTAGATATGGGGTTTCACCATATTAGTCAGGTTAGTCTCAAACTCCTGATCTCAAGTGATCTGCCCGCCTCGGCCTCCCAAAGTGCTGGGATTATAGGTGTGAGCCACTGTGCCTGGTCTTAGTGAATCTTTTCTGGTAGTTTATGAATTGATGTAATACCAGATGGTCTGTTATAACCAAAGTTGAAACACCCGATAAATGTCATGAGAGAGATAGCTTTATTGTTTAGGGAGCATATGGACATGAAACTAACTCCTGTGTGTTGTTAAAAAAGCTTTGCTACCTTTTCTAAACAAATTTTACAGAAAAAAATCTTACAGGCCAGGTGTGATTGTTCGTGCCTGTAATCCTAGCACTTTGGGAGGCTGAGGCAGGCAAGCCCAGGAGTTTGAGACCAGGAGATAGCAAGACCTGTCTCTACAAAAAATAAAAAAAAATTAGCTGGGTGCCGTGATGTATGCCTGTAGTCCCAGCTATGCAGGAGGCTGAGGTAGGCAGATCACTTGAGCCCAAGAATTTGAGGCCACAGTGAGCTGTGATGGTCCCACTGCCCTCCAGCCTGAGTGACAGAGAGAGGCCCTGTCAAAAAACATTTTGCAAGATCTGTATCACTTTTTTAAAAAATTGTATATAAAGTACAAGTTATTTTTAATAAACAGGTAATTACAAAAGACACTTTAAAAATATTCAAACAGCCAGGTGCAGTGGCTCATGCCTGTAATCCCAGCACTTTGGGAGACCAAGGCGGGCAGATCACCTGAAGTCAGGAGTTTTGAGACCAGCCTGGCCAACATGGTGAAACGCTGTCTCTACTAAAAATACAAAAATTAGCTGGGTGTGGTGGCACATGCCTGTAATCCCAGCTACTTAGGAGGCTGAGGCAGGAGAATCTCTTGAACCTGGGACGTGGAGGTTGCAGTGAGCCGAGATTGTGCCATTGTACTCCAGCTTGGCCAACAAGAGCAAAACTCCCTCTCAAAAAAAAAAAAAAAAAAAAAAAAATTCAAACGTCATCAAAGGAGCTTGAAAAATAAATCTCCTGTGCATCCCTACCCTCCAAGTTAACCAGTTTTGCATCTCTACCTCTAAGATTACTGGTTTGCCTGGGGGCAAGTAATTGTTTTGTTTTTTTGCTTCTGCCCTTCATTTTTGAGGTCTCTACTTTTAAGGAGATAGAAATGTTTAAAGTCAGAAGTACAGATAATTGAGAATGATATGGTTGGTGTTTTCTGTCATTTAGTTTCTGCACAATTTTTTTTTTTTTTTTTTTTGAGACGGAGTCTCACTCTGCCGCCCAGGCTGGAGTGCAATGGCATGATCTCGGCTCACTGCAACCTTCCCCTCCCAGGTTCAAGCAATTCTCCTGCCTCAGCCTCCTGGGTAGCTGGGACTACAGGCACACACCACCAAGCCTAGCTAATTTTTGCATTTTTAGCAGAGATGGGGTTTTACCATGTTGGCCAGGCTGGTCTAGAACTCCTGACCTCAGGTGACCCACCAGTCTTGGTCTCCCAAAGTGCTGGGATTATAGGTGTGAGCCACTCCGCCCAGCCTACATTGGGATTTTTATTGTTGTTCTGTTTTATTTTCTAAATGTAAACACAGAAACACAATGCAGATGTGTAGCTTAGTGAATTACTATATGCAGATGGCCTTTTAACCACCACCCAAGTCAAGAAATAGAACTTTGAGCACAGGGCTCACACCTGTAATCCTGGCACTTTGGGAGACCCAGGCAAGAGGATTGCTTGAACCCAGAAGTTTGAGACCAGCCTGGATAACATAGTGAGACCCTGTCCCATTTTTATAAAAAAAGAAAAGAAATAGAACTTTACTGGCCATTCCGCTCCAGAAGCTTTTCTTGTACCATTTGACATAACCGCTTCCCTCCCTCTAAAGGTAACCACTGTCCTTTTATAGTAATCCTTTGTGTTTCTTTATGGTTTTATACTTAGTGGCTTAGTGGGCAATCTCACACTTCATAGTTGAGTCCAGCTGGTTTTTTTTTTTTTTTTTTTTTTTTTTTTTTTTTTTTTTTTTTTTTTTGTGACAGAGTTTCACTCTTGTTGCCTAGGCTGGAGTGTGGTGGTACGATCTCGGCTCACTGCAACTTCTGCCTCCCGGGTTCAAGCAGTTCTCCTGCCTCAGCCTCCTGAGTAGCTGGGATTACAGGCACCCACCACCACGCCCGGCTAATTTTTTGTATTTTTAGTAGAGATGGGGTTTCATCATGTTGGCCAGGCTGGTCTCGAATTTCTGACCTCAGGTGATCCACCCGCCTTGGCCTCCGAAAGTGCAGGGGTTACAGGTGTGAGCCACTGCGCCCGGCCTGTTTTTTTATATAATGTATTTTGAGTGTCTTAATCTGCAGGTTCTCTCTGTTGTTTTATTTTATTTTTAAGACTGTCTCACTCTGTAGCCCAGGCTGGAGTGCGTAGTGTGGTCATGGCTCACTGCAGCCTTAAACTCCTGGGCTCAAGGGATCCTTCCCCTCAGCCTCCTGAGTAGCTGGGACTAAGGGGCATGCCACCACACGTGGCAGATTTTTCAAAAATTTTTCATAGAGGCTGGTCTCAAACTCCTGGCCTCAAGTGATCCTCCTGCTTTGGCCTCCCAGAGTGCTGGGGCTACAGGTGTGAGCCACCACACCTGGCCTCTGTAGGTTATTTATCTGTTGAAGTATCAGGGCCATTTGACCTATAGAGTTTCCCACAGTGGATTTTGCTGATTTTATTGTCATGATTCAGTTCTACTCTCCCTTGTTTTTCCGGCAAATTAGCTGCTGGATCTAGAGGCTCAATGAGGCACAGATTTGATTCCCTTGTTATTGTGGTATCTCCTTTCATCAAGAGGCATATAGTGTTTGGTTTTCTGGTGGTTCTAATTGTTTACCACTGTGAAGCAGATTACCCCAAAACTTAAGTGATTTGAAATAAAAACCATTTTATTGTATCTCATAACTTTGTTGATCAGGAATTTGAGCGGGCTCAAATCAGCATCCAGGATGCTGATTGTGCTCCTTCAGTTTTCATCCATTTGGTGGTTGGGCTGGTCTGGAGGTTCTAAGATGGCTTCATTTACGTGCCTGACAGTCTGGTGGGAATGACTGGAAGCCTGGATTCAGTTCGGCCCCTCTAGCTTTCCATGTAGTCTCAGGGCTCTTCCACATTCTCTCCAGCAGAGTAGTTTTAAGTTTTCACAGGCAGTGGCTTTCCTCAGAGTTAAGTGTTCAGGATACCAAGGCAGAAGCTCCAAAGATTCCTTTGACTTAACCTTGAAAGTCCCAGAATGTCACTTCCTGCCATATTCTATCAGTTAAGCAAGGTATCAAGGCCGGTGCAGATTCAAAGGCATGTAGATTCTACCTTTCAGTGTAGGATTAGCATTATATTCGCAGCTATCTTCAATCCACCTCATTCTTTTTTGTGTGTGATGTAACTAGCTGTTATTGTTCAGTGCTTAATCCATTAATTGTGGGTTGTGAAGTGTTAATATTCTAAATCTGTTATTTCTTTACTTACATGCTGTTAGGTTGGTGCCAAAGTAATTGTGGTTGTTGCCATTAGAATACTTCTATAAAGTGACTCTTCTCTGTTAGGTTACTTAGGAGTACAGTTTATATAGGAAAACCAAGATAAATACGTGATTTTTACCCTTGTAAGATAATGAGTTTATGTCTGCTTGTAATTGTTACCAAAAATGGCCTGTGGTGGCCAGTTTGTTTTTTCCTTGTATCCCTTGCTGAATCCTAAATTGTCCTGTCTCTGGCCAGCTGGTTGCCTCCTTTGCCTCTCAGTACTTTTGAAATGACTCTAGTAGTCTTATTGTCTTCTGTCCTTTCTAGTATGACAGGATGTATCATGGGCCCATCTTGTGTATTTAATATTGGTATCTTTTAGTGGGAAATTGAATTTAAAGACTACAATGTAGGCACTAGGGATGCAAGTTGTTACTGAGTTGGACAGTATGTTTAGGGCTTTCAGTGGATAGAGCTAGGGAATTGTATATTTTTATATATCTATATAATATATATAAATTATCTACACGTGTATGTATACAAGTGTAGAAAAGTATGTATATAAATAGTGGGTATAAATACTTAAAGGTAAAATACCTCATGAATTTATAGAGATATTGCCTTTTCAACTACAGCACTATAAAGTTTTTAACTTAAGCCTTTTTATGTCTACACCTCCTTTCTTCCATACTGAGAATCCAGGTTGTGAGGGACACAGAAGGTGACAGAGTATCTTATAATTACTCAGTAGCTCTGTCTCACATTAACCTAGTCAGTAGCCTCAGACTAACAATACTAACACTACTACTATCAGTATATACACCAAAAACAAGCATAGTTTTGCATGTGCTCTCCCCTTTCTTCCACACTGTATCTGTACAGAGCTTGTAATCATTACATACCACTTCTCTTTCGACTTTCATTTATTCTTAATTGTTGTAATAAACTATGTTTAATATTCATCCCCAGTCCTTATGTTGATGCCTTGTTCTCTCTAATCAGTTTGATTTTTTAAACAGATTGTTTAGGAAGGGCTTATAGGAATAATATCTACATTTTTGCAAGTAACAGTTTCTGGCCTTTATAATTGAAAATCGGTTTGACTTGACATAAAATCTTTGTCACATTTTCTTTCTTAGCACATCTTTACCCTGTTCTTTCTTCTTTCATGAAGTGTTCAAGTCACAGTAGATGATAATCTAATTTTTTCCTTTATAAATCAGTTGCTCTTTTTATATAGATGTCCAAATTATTTTATCTTTTTCTTTAAGTATATTAATTTTACCAGATTATGTCTCAGTATTGGTTGTTCTGCGTTGGTATTTTTAGGTATATGATATACTCTTTCAATGTATAGTTTCATGTCTTTCTCCCCTACCCCCCAACATTTCAGAAACCTTTTCTTTTTTTTTTTTAAGAAACGGGGTCTTGCTCTGTCACCCAGGCTGGAGTGCAGTGATGGGATTATATTCATTTATTTACTCTTCCTCTTTTGATAACTTTGATACCAAATTTTTTTAATTAAAAAAATTAGTGGCAGGATCATAGTGCACTATAACCTCAAAACTCCTGGGCTCAAATGATTTTTCCTCCTCAGCCTCCTAGTAGCTAGGACTACAGGCACATACCACCACACCCAGCTAATTTTTAAATTTTTTGTAGAGACAGAATCTTGCTATGTTGCTCAGGCTGGTCCCAAACTCCTGGCCTCAAGTAAGCCTCCCACCTCCACCTCCTAAAATGCTGGGATTACAGGCGTAAACTGCCTTGCCCAACCAGGAACATTTTCTTGAATTACAGTTTTTGATAATTGTTCTGTTTCCTTGTTTTGATTTTCTTCTTCAGAGATCTCTGTTGTCTATATGTTAGATATTTGCCTATGTTCAATATTTGTCATTTCCTCTTAAATGTTTTAAAATTTTTTTGTTTAAAAAAAAACACTCCTTTTCATGTGTTTCTCTTAAGACATTATCTGATGTGTTTAGTCACATGTGAAATTCCTCCTAGTCTTTATCTCTGAAGGGATTTTTTTAATTTCTGATTTTTTTCCTGAGATTTTTACCTAATTTCTGAAATGTTCCTTCTCAATTCTATTCTTCCGTATCTTGTATCATTTTCTTAATGTTGTTTAGCTCATTTTGAAGTAATAGGCTAGGTTTTTAAACCTGTTTTTCTGGTCTTCTTTCCTCGTAAGGTATTACTCTGCTTATTTTCTCTTTCAGCCATATATGACATTTGACCTCAGTTGCTTATTTTCTGTGAAATTAGTTTTTCTGAATTTCTAGAAGGAGGTTTGATTAAGGATAATACTTCCAACCTTTTCTTCCTTCATCTCTATTATACTTGTTCTATATTATTTTGTTTTTTTTCATAGCAGTTTTTCCTCAATTGGGGTCTCTTCCTGACTGTTTGGTTTCAAGGTTTTATAAAGGCTAAACTGTTGGCATCCCCTTCACACTTATACTTACTGGCTATTGGATTGGGTCAAACCTCCTCCTTTTTCTTTCTCTTTTTTTTTTTTTTTTGAGACGGAGTCTCACTCAGCCACCCAGGCTGGAGTGCAGTGGTGCGATCTCGGCTCACTGCAACCACCGTCTCCCGGGTTCAAGTGATTCTGCCGTCTCAGCCTCCCGAGTAGCTGGGATTACAGGCACCCGCCAACATGCCCAGCTAATTTTTGTATTTTAGTAGAGACGGGGTTTCACCATATTGGCCCGACTGGTCTTGAACTCCTGACTTCAGGTGATCTGCCTGCCTTAGCCTCCCAAAGTGCTGGGATTACAGGCGTGAGCCACCGCGCCCGGCCAAACCTCCTCCATTTTCAACTGCCATCCTCAGATTGGCTCCTTGTACTTTCCAGTGAATCTCTGTTGGTTCTTGGTGTTTCTCTGTTCTTAGGTCCAGTAGACACCCTGTTGTTTGCCTCTGCTTCCACATTTACTGAGACTAAAACCACACAGGTCTTACAGATGTCACTGGTTTGTCTCCTTCCACTTATATTTTGGGGTTCTTGTAGATACCCTTGGAGATAACTAGACAACACCTAGTTTTGTTGCTATCTAATGCTCTGTTTTTTTTGAGGGATTTGTGGAGATTGTATAAAGCTTCATAGAATCTTTTTGCTATTTAAAAATATATCAGCTAGGCATGGTAGCTCACGCCTGGAATCCCAGCACTTTGGGAGGCCAAGGCAGGAGGATCACTTGAGTTTAGGAGTTCAAGACCAGCCTGGGCAACATGGCGAAACCCCATCTCTACAAAAAAATACAAAAATTAGCCGGGTGTGGTAGCAGACACCTGTAGTTCCAACTACTAGGGGGCTGAGGCAGGAGGATCTCTTGAGCTCAGGAGGTTGAGGCTGCAATGAGCTGAGATCGTGCCATTGCACTCCAGCCTGGGTGACAGAGCGAGACCCTGTCTCAAAAAATAAAATAAAAAGATATTAACATGAGCAAAGTAAAGATATTCTGATGGTCTATTAAATCATAGGTGTGCTTGGGTTACTGGTTAATCAATGGCTAAAATCTTTGGAAGATTTTTTTACTTGAGAAAGGAAAATTGGTGCTATTAGTACTACATTAATTAATTAAACATTTGTTGAATACATTTAAGACACGATGTTTGGACTAAAAAGTACAAAAATTAGTAAAATATACTATATCTGTAAAGAAGTTAACACCTCATGCTTACTTTGCACCCCTTATTTCATTGAAAGCTAAGGTTGGGGTTTTTTGGTGGGGGGCGGGAGGGGTGGTTTTTTTAAAAACAGGGTCTTACTCTGTTGCTTGGGCTCAAGTGATCCTCTCGCCTCAGCATCCCAAGTAGCTGGGATCACAGGTGCATGCCACCATGCCCAGCTAATTTTTTATTTTTTATTTTTTAAGTTTTTTTAGGGTCTCACTCTCACCCAGGCTGGAGTGTGGTGGTGTAATCTCGGCTCACTGCAACCTCTGCCTCCTGAGTTCAAGCTATTTTCCTGTCTCAGCCTCCCAAGTAGCTAGGATTGCAGGTGAGTGCCACTACACCCGCCTAATTTTTTTGTATTTTTAGTACAGACCGGGTTTCACCATGTTGGCCAGGCTGGTCTTGAACTCCTGACCTTAGGTGATCTGCCCGCCTCTGTCTCCCAAAGTGCTGAGATTACAGGTGTGAGTGACTGTGCTGGGCCCCAGCTAATTTTTAAATTTTTTTGTAGAGGCACGGGGGTCTTGCCATGTTGCCCAGGCCAGTGTCAAACTTCTGGGCTCAAACAATCCTCCTGCTTTGGCCTCCCAAAGTGCTGGGATTATAGGTATGAGCCACACGCCCAGCCTAAAGCTAAGTTTTATGTCAGTAAATCTGTAATTAGGAAATTCAGGGTCTTTATTTTCCATTTACTTTAGGAACTTGTACAAGCCATTTATTCTACCTGTTTCTATATCTTAACTTGCTTCGTATCAATCTTTGGAAAGATCTTGAAGGATACACAAGGATTATGTATTACTTGTGAAGAGCTCTGTCTTCATAAGAAATTGACCCCTTCTCTTTACAATAGACACTATTCCTAAATTGAGGTTGAAATTTTTTTCAGTCCATTATTGCCAGTCCATGTTAGTCTTCTTCCAGAGGCTGTTGAGTGTAGAATTGGATTAGAATTAATCTAATTAATTAGTTGTCTACAATCTACTGCACGATATTGTTTCCAAAGTTGTCTTCAAAATATGACTCCCCTTTATAATTGTGACTGGCTACTAGAGAGCAGATTTTATACTTTGGTTCTTTTTATTATGTCTATAGATAAGTTTATTTTTCCATTGAAAATGATTTCAGTAACATGTGTAGCACTTTGCCAAGTAGTAATACATCAGAAAATAATTGAAGGGGCCAGGCACGGTGGCTCATGCCTGTAATCCCAGCATTTTGGGAGGCCGAGGCAGGGGGATCACCTGAGGTCAGGAGTTCAAGATCAGTCTGGCCAACATGGTGAAACCTCGCCTCTACTAAAAATACAAATATTAGCTGGGTGTGGTGGTGCACACCTGTTATCCTAGCTAATCAGAAGACTGAGGCAGGAGAATTGCTTGAACCTGGGAGGCAGAGGTTGCAGTGAGCCTAGATTGTGCCACTGCACTCCAGCCTGGGTGACAGAGTGAGACTCTGTCTCCAAAAAAAGAAAGAAAATAATTGAAGGATGTGAAATATTTACTTGAGCCAACATAGTTTTTCTGCTATTTTGTCGGGAACTAATAATTGAAATGTAGGGCTACTGAGACCAATATGAAGTATATTCTCATATTTATAGATATATTAAAACAGCTTCTGGATTCAATTCTTAGAGTGAACAAAGCTTTATTTTAAGCAAGAAAAGAGAAGAAACATGCAGCCATAGATTAGGATTGGAAATTATACAGTGACATTTTAGTTTAGTGGAGACTTTTGGGACATTTTTCTTCATACTCTTGACACCCACACAGTCATTCAAATCAACAAGATTGTATCTACTAATTTAACTGATAGCTCTCATGCCTTCCTAGAATGAGTCAGATTTTAGGTAATTATTTTGTTGAACAGGGCCTATAACAATGTATATTGAACTGTTGGCTGAATTACTGGGTAATTTAGCTTGTCAGATTTTTCTTTCTTTATACTTTGGGCTAAATATGTTTATATAAGTATTGAGGTTATGTCATTAAAATTAGAAAAGTAGTCTTCTTTAAGACATCTTTGTCTAATACGCTTTCAGGTTCATGCATGGGAGATCTCAGACCAGTTGTTACAGATCCGGCAGGATGTGGAGTCATGCTATTTTGCTGCACAGACCATGAAAATGAAGATTCAGACCTCATTTTATGAGCTCCCCACAGACTCTCATGCCTCTTTACGGGACTCATTGCTAACCCATATCCAGAACTTGAAAGACTTGTCACCTGTTATTGTAACGCAGGTAAATCCTGTGCTTCTCATTAGAGAAATTTGTATGGCCATTTGGATTTATCAGGATTGTTTTAATTCGTATTGCTAGGCCATGTGAGGTAATGTTAACTTCATTACAGATGTACTGCTATGTTCTTGTAAGTGGATAGAAAACGAAATTGTTAATCTTTTGTATTAATCTTGGAGTTCATTTGGTTTCAAACTAACTTGATACCAGAAGTGGATAAGGTGAGTATGTGTTTTCACAGGCATGCTAGGTCAGAGGTTTAGGTAGTTGCCTTTTAAGAAATCCTTTCAGGGCTGATTGGCTTTAGTAAAGGTCTCATGAATGAAACGTTGAACTAGAGCATCTGTCCTTTCCCCCTTGGACAGGGAAATACATTAGATAGGAAAACTGGAAACTTCTGTGAGTACGTACTCACATGTGTTCTCTGCCTGGCATAGAAGTGCCCTTAAAGAGGAGGCTTTTCTTAAGTCTTCAAGATGACAAATGCAAAGAGAAGGGAAATGGCAATCCATTACTTGAGAACTGAGTCAAAGGTCTGACTTTATTAGTAGCTTTGACCTTTGGCATAGTATAATTTATATGTCTGTGAAGTTCTGTGGTATTGCCAAATAAAAGTAAATATTGATATATTTTGAGGAATGTCTATAGTCTGTTGTTTCTGACTTCTTTTCTTTTCTTTTTTTTTAGTTTTTAAAGGTTAACTCTTAAATTTCAGCAATTTGTAGCTAACCCAAAAAAGTTTACATCAGATGTATAGAATTGGAGGTTGGGAGAAATGGGGGAAGGGGGTTAGTCTTAGTTGTCATATTGTTTGGAAGAAATGTTTCTTTGCTTCCCAATTAATATTTATTGTGACCCTATTTCTGTTCATCTGTCTTCATTTATTTAATCTCTCTTATTCAGCTGGCTTTAGCAATAGCAGATCTTGCCCTACAGATGCCTTCCTGGAAGGGATGTGTGCAAACACTGGTGGAAAAGTAAGTAATTTGTATTGACTCTATATTAGCATTTGGAATTGCCATTAACCTACACAGAGAAATTTGTTAGCAATAGCTAGATATTTGACTATTTCCCTGAACTCTTAACATAGAATTATGTTATTAACCTTTGTTAGATTAAATGAAACTTATCTAAAATTTTAAATACTACTGAAATATATTGTGTGGGATGTAAAAGACTAGTGATTTATGTAACACACACTTCTTGAATTAATTGCAGCAAAGTCTTTTATTGCCTTGTGGATCACTCTCACTAACTGGCATGACAGCCATTTTGTAAAAATATAGAATTTAAGATTATATTAAATGGGAGGTTGTTATGAATATGTGTTCTTACTAATTGGAGTTTGTTTCACGTTTATCAGAGGGGCAATATTCTTTTTAGACACACAGAGCTTGCTACTTTGAAACAAGTATTCCTTCTGGGTCCTGGCAAGATAACCTTGATATTTGCTTGCATTTGGTTGGGAAGTTATTTTTGAACAAAGTAGAATTACTTTTTACCTCCAATATAGTGTGTCATTAAAGCATTTTACGGATAACTTATTATTTATTTTATTTTATTTTGAGATGGAGTCTCGCTCTTGTTGCCCAGGCTGGAGTTCAACGGTGCGATCTTGGCTCACTGCAACCTCCACCTCCTGGGTTCAGGTGATTCTCCTGTCTCAGCCTCCCAGGCGGCTGAGATTACAGGCATGTGCTACTACGCCTGGCTAATTTTTATATTTTCAGTAGAGGCGGGGTTTGGCCAGGCTGGTCTCAAACTCCTGACCTCAAGTGATCTGCCCACCTCGGCCTCCCAAAGTGCTGGGATTACAGGCGTGAGCCACCTCATCCAGCTTGGATAACTTTTTTAAAAATTATTTTTATTTTTTTGGAGACACAGTCTTGCTGTTTCACCCAGGCTGGAGTGCAGTGGCACAGTCATGGCTCACTACAACCTCAGCCTCGACTTCCCGGGCTCAAGTGATCCTCCCACCTCAGCCTCCTGAGTGGATAGCTTATTTTTTAAATAAAATTTTTATTGGGGAAATTGATACATGCTCCTTGAAAAAATTCTAACAGTATGGAAACCTTCAAAGTGCAAAATGAACCCCGTCCTCTCTCCCTATCCTTATATTTTATTTTTGAAACAGGGTCTCACTCTGTCACCCAGGCTGAAGTGCAGTGGTGTGATCATGGTTCACTGGAACCTGCAACTCTTGGGCTCATGAGATCCTTCTGCCTCAGTCTCCCGAGTAGCTGGGATTACAGATGCATACCACCATGCCTGGCTGATTAAAAAATTTTGAATGTAGAAACGGTCTCCCTGTGATGCCCAGGCTGGTCTCGAACTTGTGGACTCGTGATCCTCCTGCCTTGGCCTCCCAAAGTGCTGGGATCATAAGCATGAGCCACCACAACTGGCCCTTAACCCTGTATTTTATAAGCAACCACTATTAACAATTGGCTATGTAGAGTTTCCTTTATGCATTTTAAAATAAATAAGTGCATATATATTTTAATGTACATATACCTATATATTTGTTCACCCATATTCAATATGTTTCATACATGTTTTTCACTTACTACATTATGGACTTTTTTTCATGTTAGGACATATAGATATCATGTTCATTATAATGGCTATGTTTCATTGAATAACTGTGTCCTTTTTTTAATCTTAACTAATTATGGAGGACATTTATGTTTGTATCTTTTTTCTCCCCCTTAACAGTGGTGGGAATGTTGCTTTTGTTGTTGTGAGTTACTCTGATGGCTGTTATCTTATGTGATTGTGTATTTTCTGGCTATAAATAACATATCTCCACTTTTTTCTTTTGCAGATACAGCAATGATGTGACTTCTTTGCCTTTTTTGCTGGAGATCCTTACAGTGTTACCTGAAGAAGTACATAGTCGTTCCTTACGAATTGGAGCTAATCGGCGCACAGAAATTATAGAAGATTTGGCCTTCTACTCTAGTACAGTAGTATCTCTATTGGTGAGTAAGTTTGAAATACTAAGTTGCTGCATAAAGGCAGAAAGCCATGGCGGTTATTTTGTAATCAATTGCATTATTGTGAAATAGCTTTCTTTGCAAAATTTAATGATGATGCTTTGGTATTTATGTAACACCTTACCATGACAACATACTTTCAGAAACTATGCTTTTTAAGTTTCTGTATAATCCTCTAAAGGTGACGTTATCTCTTTTATGAATGAAAAATGGACTTTAGAGTTACACAACTGTTAATTCAGAATTGGAACTAAGGCCATCTCATTATTTATCTTGTGCTCTTCTACTGCTTAATGCTCCAAACTGTTGGCTGTTAATAAAGGATCATGCAAAGGGAAGTGTGTATAAATCTACTTTACTAAGAAAGGATCCTTTCTTTTTTTTTCTAATTGATACATGATAGTTGTACATATTTATGGGGTTACATGTATTACTTTTATTTTTTGAAGCAGGGTCTCTGTCTCCTAGGCTGTAGTGCAGTGGCATGATCTCAGCTTACTGCACCCTCCTCCTCCTGGGCTCAAGTGATCCTCTCACCTCAGCCTCCTGAGTAGCTGGGACTACAGGTGTGCGCCACCATGCCCAGCTAAATTTTTTATTTTTTGTAGAGATGGTGTCTCTCCATGTTGCCTAGGCTGGCCTCGAACTCCTGACCTCAAGTGATCCACCTGCCTTGGCCTCCCGAAGTGCTGGGATTACAGGCGTGAGCCACTGTGCCCAGTGACATGTATTATTTTTGTCCAAGTATGTAATATGTGATGATCAGATCAAATCAGGTGATGATCAAATTGAGATATCCATCACCTCAAACCTTTATCATTTCTTTGTGTAGGGAACATTCTAAATCTTCTCTTTCAGCTATTTTGAAGTACTCAATAAATTATTAACTATAGTCACTCTGTTTTGCTGTGTAACACTATAACGTATCCTTTCTATTCAGCTGTATTTGTGTACCCGTTAATCAACCTTTCTTGGTCGTCCCCTCCCCGTTACCCTTCCTAGCCTCTGATCACCGTCATTCTACTCTTTACCTCTATGAGATCCATTTTTTTTCACTCCAACATAGCAGTGAAAGCATGTGATATTTGTCTTTCTGTGCCTGGCTTACTTCACTTAACATAATGTCTAACAGTGCCGTCCATGTTGCTGCAAATGACAGGAGATTTTATTCTTTTTGTGGCTAACGAATATTTCATTGTGCACCTATACCATTGTTTCTTTATCCATTCAGCCGTTGATAGGTACTTAGGTTGATTCCATATCTTGGCTATTGTGAATAGTGCTGCAATAAACATGGGATTGTAGAGATCTTCTTGATATACTGGTTTCTTTTCTGGGTATTTACCCAGCAGTGGGATTGCTAGATCGTATGGTAGTACTATTTTCAGTCTGTTGAGAAACTTCCGTACTGTTTTTCATAATGACTGTACTGCTTTACATTCCAGAGCGTTCCCTTTTCTCTGCATCCTTGCCAGCATTTGCTATTGATCTTTTGCCCATTTTTTAATTTTTAATTTTTTTTTTTTTTTGCTATTATTTGGGTTTCTTATATATTGTGGTTACTAATCTCTTGTTGGATGGGTAGTTTGCAAATATTTCCTCCCATTCTGTAGGTTGTCTCTTTACTTGGTTGATTGTTTCTTTTGCTGTGCAGAAGCCTTTTAGCTTGACCTTTGTCGACTTTTTTTGCTTTAGTTGCCTTTGATTTTGAGGTCTTACTTAAGAGATCTTTGCCCAGATCAATGTCCTGCAGCATTTCCCTAATGTTTGCTTGTAGTAGTTTTATAGTTCACATCTTACATTTAAGTCTTTAATCCATTTTGATTTGATTTTTGTATATTATGAGAGATAAAAGAAAGGATTGTCTCTTAAAGATGAACTGAAAGGTGATAGAAGATTTTACTTGACCTTTGAGGAGTATCGCATTATGGATGAGCTAATACACATTTTTTAAAAAATTAGATGTGATTAAGCTCCTTTCAGTTAGTTGACATTTTTAATACTCTAGAGCAGGAGTGTGTAAATCTATAGTTTATGGGTTGGCTGCCTCTTTTTGTAAATAAAGCTTTGTTGGAACACAGTTATGCCCATTTGGTTATATTTTGTCCATTATTTTGGTCTACATCAGCATAATTGAGTATTTTTCAGAGACCATATGGCTTGCAAAGTGTAGACGGTTTATCTGGTTCTTTATAGAAAATGTTTACTGGTTCCTAAAGTAGATGCTAATAAATTGATTAGCCCATATCTCATTTTTAAGTCTTTATAGTCCAGCTTAATTTTCTCAATAATGTGGATACAGGTTGAATATCCCTTACTGAAAGGCTTGGGACCAGAAGGGTTTAGGGTAGGGTAAAAAAAGTAGTATTTAGGATTTCTGAGTTTTTAAAATTTTGGAATATTTGCATTATACTTTGTGGTTCAGCATTCCTAATCTGAAATGCTCCAGTGAGCATTCCCTTTGAGCGTTATGTTGGCACTCAAAAAGTTTTGGATTTTGGAGCATTTTGGAGTTTTGGATTAGGGATACTTAACCTGTAGTAAATTATTTTTCAGAGATGTGTTTCAGTATAGCAAGTTCATAGATCTTTTAGTTTGAAAAAAAATTAAAATTCTATTAAAAATTGTGTTCAGTTTTGTATTAGAAATTCATTGGAGGGCTGGGTGCAGTGGCTCACCCCTGTAATCCCAGCACTTTGGGAGGCTGAGGCGGGTGGATTACTTGAGGTCAGGAGTTTGAGACCAGCCTGGCCAACATAGTGAAACCCTGTCTGTACTAAAAATACAAAAATTAGCCAGGTATGGTGGTGCACTCCTGTAGTCCCAGCTAGTCGGGAGGCTGAGGCAGGAGAATCTCTTGAACCTGGGAGGCGGAGGTTGCAGTGAGCCAAGATTGCACCACTGCACTCCAGTCTGGGCAACAGAGGGAGACTCCATCTCAAAAAAAAAAAAAAAAAAAAGAAAGAAAAAGAAAAAAGAAATTCATTGAAAAATAATTCTTTTAAGTTAAATATATGTTTTTCACTTAGCCATTTATTTTAAAGAAATAGTTTTATGGAAAATTAGAAAATATGTACAGCAAATTTCACTCAAACCATCTGGAGATCATACAGTTAACCCTTTAATACATATCCTCTATGAACATATTTATGGATATATATACAGATTTTTTAAGCCCAAATGAAGTTATACTTTACTTATTCTTCTGCATCTTGCTTTTTCAGTCATCTGCTTACCTTTTCAAGTTAGTAAGTTTTCATATCATCTGATAAACCCAGACCATATTCACATTTCACCAGTTGGTCCTAAGATATTCTTTACAGGCTGGGCGTGGTGGCTCATGCCTGTAATCCCAGCACTTTGGGAGGCCAAGGCTGGCAGATCACAAGGTCAGGAGCTCGAGACCATCCTGGCCAACATGGTGAAACCCCGTCTCTACTAAAAACACAAAAATTAGCTGGGCGTGGTGGCATGCAGCTGTAGTCCCAGCTACTCGGGAGGCCAAGGCAGGAGAATTGCTTGAACCCGGGAGGCAGAGGTTGCAGTGGGCCGAGATGGCACCACTGCACTCCAGCCTGAGCGACAGAGTGAGACTCCATCTCAACAAAAAGAAAAAACAAAAAAAGATACTTTTTACAAAGAATATCCAATCTGTAACTATGCCTTGTATCAGGTTCTTAGTCACAGTCCCACATTCTGTTCCTTGTTTAAAATAACATGACTTGTTGAAGAGATTGTACCAGTCATTTTATAGAATTATCTTACCTTTATGATTTTCTGATTGCCTCTCCTTCGTTTCCTTTAGCATGTTTTTCTTTTCTCTGTATTTCCTCTAATTGGAAGTTGTATCTAAAACAGCCCTTCTCAGTAGGGGTTCCTCAAGAGAATTAAGCCTAAAGCTATTCGTTATATGTAATGAATTCTTTCCTCTACATTAATAATGGTTCTAGCTATATACCGCCCTTAGGATAATTAAGAAGATGGGCACTCAGATAATTTTCTGAAGGGCTTAATTCTATACAATTTTTTTTTTTTGTAGATATAGAGCTTCTCTATGGTCTCAAACCTGGTCTCAAGTGATCCTCTCTCCTTGGCCTCCCTTAATGATGAGATTACAAACGTGAACCACCACACCCAACCTATAGGATATAATTCTTTCCTAGAATCCTGATTGAGAAAAACTGAGAGGCTTAGAGGATTAGTTTTTTAAAGTTAAATATTTTGGGCTAGAATATATCATAGGTACTTGATGCTATGTCTTAGTATATATACAGCGTTCAGTTGACCTTCTATTAGTGATGCTAGGGTTGACCACTGGATTAAGATGAAAGTCTGTTCCTTCCATTTTTAAAGTTCACTTTCCTCCTTTGTAATATAATGTAGTTTGTGTGATGGTAGCTTGTTAGTTTATGAATGTTCAATTCCCTATCAGACTTTAGCCTAATTGTTTTACATTCCAGTAGATAATCCCTACCTTAATCAATAATTTCATTATGGGCCAGGCAATGTGGTTTATGCTTATAATTCCAGCACGTTGGAAGGCTGAGGTGGGACGGTTGCTTGATGTCAGGCATTCAAGACCAGCCTGGGCAACATAGCAAGAGCCTGTCTCAAAAAAAAAATAATACATTAACCAAGCATGTTGGCATGCACCTGTAGTCCCAGCTACTCAAGAGGCTGAGGCAGGAAGGATCACTTGACCCCAGGAGTTCAAGGTGGCAGTGAGCCACGATTGTGCCAGTGCACTCCAGTCTGGGCAACAGAACAAGACTGTCTCTAAAAATAATAATAATTTCATCATGGGTTGCAAAATGATATTTGACTATTTCTGTTATTTCTTGTACATATAAGTTGGCATTCTTATGAGCTCCTACTAGAAAGGTAGGATAAATCTTAATTCTTTTCAAAATGAGGATTTATTTTAAAGCTGCCTTGAATTTTTTTTTTTCTGGCTTTGTCTTTTTGAAGTATGATGGACTCATGTTCATTTAGGTCCAACCAGGTGTCTCCTTTCCAAGTTTCAGAATCCCATTCTTTACCAGTCAGTTTCCTAACTTTCACATGAGAAGTGTGGAGGGACTGTAAATTCACCTGTTGTTTGTAATTCAGCAAGTCACACAACTAAGTTTGGTATACGAGTTTCAGCAGTACTAACTTTGTAGCTACAAAAAGTAAGAGCTGCTTTTAGACTGGGCGTGAAAGCTGTGGTGCTCAGACTGTGGCCTGAGGTGAGAGTTAATGGACTTGAATTTGTCATTTTCTTTTTGTAAGCACTTGTGAATTTAAAATAATCCCATCCACATGTATTTTGTGTCATGGTTACTGCCACAGCAGTCAACTACAGCAGCCACTTGGGCATTCAAGGCACGTGCCTGACTTAGCACATCATGACAATCAATCACAGGTGATATTTTGAGGAACTGTGATGCAGTCTGAAAAATATATTTCCTGTGGTGCTTAAAAATGTCTCTAATTTTGTCATGTAGCTTGTCATGTTATAGAACCCAGGGGATGAAATTAGTCCAAAATGGCCAAGAAAAAAATAGGCATGTGGCTGTAATGCCAGGTTCCAAACCCCTCTTAAGACCTTTTCTCATTTAGTTTCCTGCACACTCTCCTTTAATGATTACATTCTGTCCTATTTCTTGTTAGTATTATACTTTTGTGGTCTGTCCTAATGGACCCATTCCTAAACATGGTGTTGAACTTTTTGAAGTTTTAAACGTGTTTCTGCTTGCTCTCATAGCTAAACTGAACCTGTGCTTCTAACATTTTTGTCTCTTCACTTTCTATTTTGTTAATCTAAGATCTCAATTCTTATTTATCCCTGCTATCTTTTTACTGGTGAGCTCTTCTGGACTCTGTGGCATTTATCTTGAAGCTTTTGAGGACTTTAAGAGGCAGATTTTTAACATAGCATAGCTCTCAAAGAGGAACAGAAGATAACTGTTAGTTCTGATGTTTTAGAATGTATGTTTGATTTAATTTGCAGAATTTCATCTTTTCAAAGAGATTAGTTTTAGAAACAGGTTTTTTTCAGAATTTGGTCTTTCAGTTTGAGTCAATAGTTAGAATGTACAAGCAAATCCTTCCACTTGTACACATCATGTCTTATTAAAATTGAAATATCATTCAGGAAGTCTAAAGGCCAAGTGATTATGTAATGAGTTTATATCAACAGCATCAAAGATTCAATTGAGAGTTTGAGACAGGTTGAGGGGGAGAGAGAATGAGTATCAGCTCTTAAAGAGAAATCTCTCAGTGGCTCCAGTTCATGTTAAGGGAACTTAGTTACTCCGTTCATTTTGCTACTTTCAGCCTTGAACCGTATTAAATTAAGTGCTCCTGTGCATTTATTAGTTTACGTATTACATATTTAAATATATTGCATATATTAGTGTCATAGTCTTTTCTAAAAATTCTGGCCATTTTAGTGCCTGGCATCCCTGAATATTTTCTTTCTGAGTTTCAGGGGAACAAAGAAAGTCTTGAGTAAAAAATATCTAGAAGAACTTAATGGGGCCAGAACCATATTTGTGACATTTTCTTATCTCATCTAGTGTGTTTTCTGGTGACTTTTAAAGTGTTGTTTTATTTTTTAATTTTTTTGTAGAGACAGGGTCTTAACTTTGTTGCTCAGATTAGTCTAGAACTCCTGGGCTCAAGCGATCCTCCCACCTCAGCCTCCCAAAGTGCTGGGATTACAGGTGTGAGCCACTGCACGCAGGCTCTGATGACTTTTTACAAATACTTTCCCCTCTAAAGCAAGGGCTCTTAGTTCTTTCCTTTCCTGCCATTCTTCCTTCTTTTTTTTTTAGACAGAGTCTTGCTCTGTCGCCCAGGCTGGAGTACCATGGCGCAATCTCAGCTCACTGCAACCTCTGCATCCCAGATTCAAGCAGTTCTCCTGCCCCAGCCTCCTGAGTAGCTGGGATTACAGGTGCGTGCCACCACACCTGGCTAATTTTTGTATTTTTAGTAGAGACGGGGTTTCACCATGTTGGTTAGGCTGGTCTCAAACTCCTGACCTTGTGATCCACCCACCTCAGCCTCTCAAAGTGCTGGGATTACAGCCGTGAGCCACCACACCCGGCCCCTGCCATTCTTCCTTCTATAAATACTTGGATATTTACTCTGTGCCTCTTGTGGCTTTAGATAGTGACAGATGTCTCAGAAGTCTATATCCTAGACATAAACTTATGTGTATACTCATAGTTACGTGGTTAATTTCTCTGCAAGTTAGCTGCAACTCCACCTTTTTCCAACAAGCATATATAATGCAATATGCACAATAAATGAAAATGAGCGGAAGTGAGTCTGCATTTAGTTAGCAATCAAGTTCTGATGTTATTCATTACAAATGATGTATACTTCAAGCTGACATGCTTAAAACTAGTAAAATAGTTGGTTCATGTGTGATAGATGATTCTGTTTCCCCATGCTGTTAATATTTCATGGCTTTCTTTGGTAATACACGAATCATTATCCAGGTAAATTAGTATATAGCTAGTTACACTGATAATAATGTATAATATTAGTAAGATAGATTATTGTTGCAGTCTGCCTAACTTTACAGGCTTTTGAAATATAGGAAGTCCTTGATATTAATCATATCTTTGTTCTATGTATGTAAGCAAGTTTGGGAGGTAGCTATCGTGTAATGGTTAAGATCATAGACTTTGAAGCCAGACTTCTTAAGTTTAAGTCCTGGCTATGCTGTTTCCTACCTGTGCCATATTGGGCGAGTTACTTGACTGTCTGCCTCAGTTTTCTCATCAGTATAATGGGGATAATAGTATCTGTTTCATATTGTGGGGATTAAATGATTTAATACATATAAAGCTCTTAAAACAGTGCCTGGTGCACAGAAAGGGCTCAGTAAATGTTGCAATGACTGGTCAGCTTATTTTTCATGTACTTTTCTTCCTCCCCCTGAAATGTAATGGCCTGGAAGAGAGAGAAGAAATAGAAAGAGTCAAGTATATTAATATACTTGGACTTCCTTTCTTCTGTCTTCTGAGAAGGAAAGGTGGTTTTTTGTTTTGTTTTGCTTTGTTTTAAAGGTAGCTTCCAGACCCGAATATCTTAAATAGCCTTCTGTGGGAATGAGCTGGTATACAGTCATTCATTAACCCCTCACTTCTCTTCATCTTAGCAACCTAGCATTCTTTGGAGCACAATAATAAAGACAGTCATCTTCAATGTAGGTTTATGTAGTAGATGAAGCTTTGAACTTGGGAAATTTTCCTGTGTAGTTTATATCTGCATTGTAACCACAAATATCACTATTTAGATCTTATTTAATAATACATTATGGGATTTCACCCCCACTCTCATGCCTCCTGAACCCCATGGAAATTATATTTCTAACTCATTGCTTGCAAGAGCTTTTTTTAAAACATTCTTTGCCTAGAAAAAGATGCATTACATTTTACTTTGGAAAAAATATATATCACAAAAACAGACTACAAGGAGAAACATTGAGTTTTAGTCTAATTCTGTTTTATCTCTTTTATAGTATTTATAGTAGTATCACTTTCTGTGGGATGACATGTTTATTATTCTATTGCCAAAGCTGAAACATTAGCTTTTCTTGTGGAAATATACAGTGGTATGCCTAGCTTACTCTAGCTTATTATCTATTCTGTATCAACCAGGTATATAAGTAAGTAAATTACTTGTAAAATAATTTTTTGGATAATGCAGAAGTGGGAACTAAGAAATTAGTAAGTTATTTCTGAAACAACTTGGGTAAGTCTGTAACCTCTCTCTACTTCAGTTTTCCCATTGAGAAAGTAGAGACAATAATAGCAGCTACCTATAAAGTTGTATTTGGGGATTGTGTTAGTCCAGTCTCATGCTGCTATAAAGAAATACTTGAGGCTGGGCTCAGTGGCTCATGCCTGTAATCCCAGCACCTTGGGAGGCCAAGGTGGGCGGATTGCCTGAGGTCAGGAGTTTGAGACCAGTCTGGCCAACATGGTGAAACCCGTGTCTACTAAAAATACAAAAAAATTAGCTGGGTATGGTGATGTGCATCTGTAATCCCAGCCACTTGGGAGGCTGAGGCAGGGGAATTGCTTGAACCAGGGAGGTGGAGGTTGCAGCGAGCCGAGATTGTGGCACTGCACTCCAGCCTGGGCAACAGAGCAATACTCCATCTCAAAAAAAAAAAAAAAAAGAAAAGAAAAGAAATACCTGAAACTGGGTAATTTATAAAGAAAAGAGGTTTAATCAGCTTATGGTTCTGTGGGCTGTACAGGCTTCTGCTTCTAGGGAGGCCTCAGGAAACTTAACAATCATGGGGGAAGGTGAAGGGGAAGCAGACACATGTTCACACGGCCGGCAGGAGAGAGAAGGAGGGGGGTGGTGCTACACACTTTGAAACAACCAGATCTCGTGAGAACTCTATCACAAGAACAGCAAGGGGGATGTTCATTCCCATGATTCAGTCACCTCCCACCAGAACCCTCCTCTAACACTGGGGATTACAATTTGACATGAAATTTGGGTGGGGACACAGAACGAAACCATTTCGGGGATTAAGTAGATAAGTTGTATTTAGAACAGTGGTGCCTAGCTGGATGCAGTGGCACATGCCTGTAGTCCTGCCTGGGCAATGTAGCAAGACCCTCTCTCTTAAAAGGAAAAAAAAAAAACAGTGACACTTAAACTTAAAAAGCACTTTTAACCGTTGGCTGTTTTATTGCCATCTTTCTCATTATTATACTTGTAAGGTGATTGAAATAATGGTTTAAATATATAGATTAACATTATTCATTTTAAGTTTTTTTCTCTATTCAGATGACCTGTGTAGAAAAAGCAGGAACAGATGAGAAAATGCTTATGAAGGTTTTTCGCTGTTTGGGAAGTTGGTTTAACTTGGGAGTTTTGGACAGTAACTTCATGGCTAACAATAAATTACTAGCACTCCTTTTTGAGGTTTTGGTAAGTAATGACCTTATTTATCAAAGTATTTCTGCCAATCACTTTTCGTAACTAACCTGCTGGGACATAAAAACGTTTTTAAATTTTTGCACAGTAACTGGAAGGCGTGTATTAAGAATGCAGCAATGTTCCTTCCTTGCTACGAGGTACCAAATTAGAAGTATCAGTTTTAATACTCCTAATAGGATATAGTTATGTTTAAGAGGAAAACAGTCTTATATGTTGATACATGATTTACATATTAAAATCCAAATAACCATTGGTATCTTTTTCCTTGTTTTAAAAATATAAAATTATGTATTTCAATAATGGTCATTGAATCCTAGACATTTCCATGATATAATTATGTGTGCATCACAAGTTTAGGAAAAAACAGAACAGGAAGAATTAAAAATTATGTTTAGTGCATCCAGAGACAATTATAGATTAAGATATTATCTTTGTAGTTGAGATTAGTTAAACATCGTATATGCAAAATGGATTTGGGTTTTTGAGATTAGTAGAATAAGTACTAATGTCTTTTTATATACTTGTGCGTTTCTTCTTTAAGCTTTGAAAGTAGCAGTGCCTAGTAATATAGTCTTGGTAGATAGGAGTTAGGGAGTGATTAGAATAAGATTACATTTTAGAACAAGAAACATAACATTATCTCAAGCATAAATATTATTGAAGGGGTCTTTGGAGACATGAAAAACTTTGTCTCTTTCTGCTGGAGGGTTTCCTTCAATGAAGATATATTAGTATGGAAGCTGCATGTATTGTGAATGTATGCCGATGCGCTATTACTCAGAAGATAGTACCATGATGCTAGATTGATGCCACTGTGAATTAAAGAAAAGAAAGACATTTTTCAAGGAGACATTTGGCATGTCATTGGTGTGTATTTCTGTGTCATTTTTGCATCAGAAGCTAAGCCTTAGGAAAATTAGGATGCCAATCATTGTTTTGCTTGCCATTGTCTGTCTCCATTTATGTTGGTATCTTTCCTCAATAATGATAATATTTATTATCACGTCAACAAATAGTGTGAAGAGTAATCACTGTAAATAAAGTCATGTCCCACTTTTGTTTAAAAAATGTACATGTGATTACATATAAATGGAGGACAGTGTAGAATACACTTCAAACTTAACAGTGGTAATTTCTGGGAATTGGAATTGGAGTAAGGAAGAAGTTAATTAGTGTTCCAGGATTATATTATCTCCTCTACTGATCCAGTGTCAGGACTCCTCTGTCACTAGTAAGAGTGTTTATCTAGAGTCAGGGTAAAATATATTCTTATTTTTACATTCATTCAGTGGTTTAAAATCATGCTACTTTTTTTCTTTTTAGGGGGAGTGTCACAGGGAGTCAGGGTGTCTCCCTGTCGTCCAGACTGGAGTAGCTCCATTGGCATGATTGTAGCTCACTGTAGTCTCAAACTCCTGGCTTCAAGCAATCTTCCTGCCTCAGCCTCCCAAGTAGCTGGGATATAGGCATGTGCCACCATGCCTGGCTAATTTTTAATTTTTTCTAGAGACAGGGTTTCTCTTTATTGCCCAGGCTAGTCTTGAACCGGCCTCAAGCAGTTCTCCCACCTCAGCCTCCCAAAGCACTGGGATTACAGATGTGAGCCACCACACCTGGCCATGTCACATTTTATTTTGCTGTATGTTTGGACCATGACTTTCTGGTACAACTTTCCCCCAACAGCTCTTAAAAAAAAAAAAAAAAAAAAACCCTAAAAATTAAAATACTTCATATATACAAAAGAATAAGTATGAACACTTACTATTTATTTATTTATTTTTGAGACAGAGTCTCCTCCCTCTGTCGCCCAGGCTGGAGTGCAGTGGCACAATCTCGGCTCACGGCAACCTTCGCCCTCTGGGTTCAAATGATTCTCCTGCCTCAGCCTCCTGAGTAGCTGGGACTACAGGTGTGTGCCACCACACCTGGCTAATTTTTTGTATTTTTTTTTTTTTTTTTTTTTTTTTGAGAGGGAGTCTCGCTCTGTCGCCGGGGCTGGAGTGCAGTGGCGCCATCTTGGCTCACTGCAAGCTCTGCATCCTGGGTTCATGCCATTCTCCTGCCTCAGCCTCCTCAGTAGCTGGGACTACAGGAACCTGACACCACGCCCGGCTAATTTTTTGTATTTTTAGTAGAGATGGGGTTTCACCGTGGTCTCGATCTCCTGACCTCGTGATCTACCGGCCTCAGCCTCCCAAAGTGCTGGGATTACAGGCGTGAGCCACCGCGCCCGGCCAATTTTTTGTATTTTTAGTAGAGACAGGGTTTCACTGTGTTAGCCAGGATGGTCTCGATCTCCTGACCTTGTGATCTGCCCACCTTGGCCTCCCAAAGTGCTGGGATTACAGGTGTGAGCCACCATGCCCAGCTCGAACACTGACTTTTTATAACTTGGTAATATAATGAGAATCTTTGAACCTACTATTCAATCTAAGAATACCTAATAAATAATTTGCATCTTTGTGCTCTCCCAAACCTGCTTATATACCTTTTTGTCCCACTGGAGATTTTAAATATCCTTTTAAAAAAATTATTCAAGGAAGACTAATACGCCCTTACTAAGTGTATTCAACCTCTCAACTGTACTCTCTTCACTAGAAACCCGGGAGGATTCCCTTCTTGGACCTTTTGGTCTGCTCTGATTTGCATCAGTTGTTCTTTAGATCTACTCCCTGTCATCTTGGGACTTGTCTTTACTGTGCTTTCTGGATTAGGTTAGCTGTTTCTCAAACCCCCTCAAATAACTTCTTCAGAAAAGATATAATGGAAAGTAAACTTGGAATTTTTGCATGCCTGAGAACTATTTTTATTTTGCTTTCGATCTTGATTGATGGCTCAGCTAGGTATTAAGTTGTAGGCTGAATATTATTTTCCTTCAAAATTTCAAAGGCCTTGCTCTCCTTTACTAGCATGCATCATTGTTAATGAAAAGTCAGAGAACTCTGAATTCTGCTCCTTACTATTACCTCCTCCTCTCTTCCCCTGAAATTTTACAGACCTTTGTTTAACTCTGGTATTCTGAAATTTCACAATGATGTGTTTAGGTATGTGTCTTTGATACTTGTTGAGCCCTTTCATTTTAGGTAGTACTTGAGTATCAGAAAAAGGATGGAAAAGATTTTTCACACACTAGAATAGGGTAGGGAACACATGGCTTTCCATTTGGAGGGGCTGGTGTGAACAAGAACATGGAGATTAGAAATGATACGACCATGACTTCGGGACAGAAAGGCTGATTTGCTTGACATATAAGGAAATAGAAATAAGATTGGGAAGATTGATGGATGTTGTCTCATGGAAGGCTATGACTTGACTGTTACACATTTAAAGTACATGTTCAGAAAGAGGCTATAATTGAAAGAAAGAAAGAGGCTCTAATTGTTTTCCTATTACATTTATCCATCACTATCTTCAAAGGATTGGTTCCAGGACCACCCACTACCCCTGCCCCTCTGTGCACAGTTTCCAAGAGATGCAGATGCCCAAGTCCCTTATATAAAATGGTGCAGTATTTGCATATAACCTATCCACATCTTCCCATATACTCTAAATCACCTGTAAATTACTTATAATACCTAATACAATGTAAATGCTATGTAAATAGTTGCTATAGGGTAATTTTTAAATTTGTGTTTTTCATTGTATTATTATTTACTTATATTTTGAATATTTTCTATCGATGGTTGATTGAACCCTAGGGTGTGCAGGGCCAACTGTAGATCACTCCTTAGTGATCATACTTCTTGCTTCCCTATTCCTGCTACCTCCCCAGCAACAGGATAAGACCTCGTCTAACCTACATGAAGCTGCTTCGGACTGTGTATGCTCAGCTCTCTATGCCATTGAGAATGTGGAGACTAACTTGCCATTAGCCATGCAACTTTTTCAGGGAGTGCTGACATTGGAGACTGCCTATCATATGGCCGTGGCACGTGAAGATTTAGACAAGTGAGTAATTGTTTAAGTCTGGAGCCCTGGGTTTACCTACAGTCTGGTCATTCTTTTAAGTCACTTTTTATTATTCGTCTGTCATTTGTGATTCTCAGTGATTCTGTAAAGTACAGATAGTGCTTCCTAAAGATGCTCTACTATGCTCTTCTGAACCTAGAGTGGCAAATTGGGTGCAGGGTTTGTAGAATTACCATAGAAAGGTAAGGCTTTAAAAGTTGGAGACAAATTTTAAAATATCAAGTGTGATTTGATGGGAGTTTTTATTCAAATGTTTTAATAATTGAGAATTTGAACTGACAAGTCACTTGCGTAGGAGTGTACGATCTAGGTAAAGGTGTCTGTCATGGGGATTGTGATACAGCATAGTAAATAATCACTAGATGTCCCTTAGACTGAGGAACCTTTTATTTATTTGATTAACTGTGCCTGTATATACTTATAATATCCAGATTTCTGACTCATTGTTCTCATTCCCCTGTCTTCTACAGAGTTCTGAATTACTGCCGTATTTTCACTGAACTATGTGAAACTTTTCTTGAAAAAATTGTTTGTACTCCAGGCCAAGGTCTTGGGGACCTTCGAACTCTGGAGCTGCTGCTTATCTGTGCAGGCCATCCTCAATATGAGGTAGTGTTTATGCTATTCAAAGGCCATTATTCTCCAAGTTGTGTGCTGCATATTATCTATATTTCATTACCTCGTGCCCAAATTTTTATTGTTGAGAAATTACAGTCTTGTTTTTAATTAATGTGATTTCATCTGTTTTGGAATTTTTTAAAAAAATTATATTTGGGTTTCTGCATTGTGTCCATTTCTGTTTTCTTACCTGGTTGGCTGGGCTGTTGTAGGCCCCTCAAGGAACTCGTTAGAAAGCAAGCCTTTCCAATGAACCCCTTGTCTAGCTTGACTTATTCTCTAGAGTGTTACAGCTAAAAAACACCAAATTCTAACTATACCTCCACAAGTCTTAACACCCCCAATTTTTCTCCAAATGATGGATGAGAATGACAAAGGGATTGAAAGGACTTAAGGGTCTCTGTCATTCAGAATCCTTGACATCCTACTTACCGAGGTTTGCTAGATTTTTTAAAATCTCATTTATTTGAGAAGTTTTACCTCTTTATAGTATAAGAAATGAGAAAGGGTCGGGGTTGGTGGCTCACACCTGTAATCCCAGCATTTTGGGAGGCCGAGGTGGGCAGATCACCTGAGGTCAGGAGTTTGAGACCAGCCTGGCCAACATGGTGAAACCCTGTCTCCACTAAAAATATAAAAATTAGTCAGGCGTGGTGGCTCACACCTGTAATATCCCAGCTACTTGGGAGGCTGAGGCAGGAGAATTGCTTGAACCTGGGAGGCAGAGGTTGTAGTGAGCTGAGATCGGGCCACTGCACTCCAGCCTGGGAGACGAGCGAAACTCCGTCTCAAAAAAAAAAAAAAAAGTGAGAAAGAAGTGCTCCCAAGTTGGGCATTGTTTTAAATAGCTCTGTTTTGGATCCTTGATGGGAAAAGGATGGTAGGGATCCTCTTACTGTGCCTTAGGCACAGTGGTCCTGTGACTCTCGGCCTGTTTTCTGTTATCACATACAAGACAACGTTTATTTGTTTTACATAATGTTACGAGGATACCTAGATTTGAATGGAACCCAAAACATTTCTGGGAGAATGTAACACCACGCAGTTATCACTCCTTTAAACAGTACCATATGGAAAAGAGGCTACGAGTAAAATCCCAGGCTTTTTCTCCCTTTCTCTCACACTCAAGGAAACAGGTGAATAAAAGTGACATGAAGCTGAATCAGTTATGTTCAGGAGTTACAGATGGTTTGCCAAGTAAGAAATGTTCTAATCTCAAACATTCAATGAAATGATTTCAGAATTTTCAGAAAAGTACTTTAAAAAAGACTTCTGGCCGGGCGCAGTGGCTCACGCCTGTCAGCACCTTGGGAGGCCGAGGTGGGCAGATCATAAGGTCAGGAGTTCAAGACCAGCCTGACCAACATGATGAAACCCCATCTTTACTAAAAATACAAAAATTAGCTGGGGTGATGGTGCGCACCTGTAATCGCAGCTACTCAGGAGGCTGAGGCAGGAGAATCACTTGAACCCAGGAGGTGGAAGTTGCAGTGAGCCAAGATCACACCACTGTACTCCAGCCTGGGTGACAGAGCAAGACTCCATCTCAAAAAAAATAAATAAATAAAAATAAAAAGACTTCTGGCTGGGCACAGTGGTTTATACCTCTAATGAGGTTCATACCTCTTAACACTTTTGGAGGCTGAGGTGGGAGGATTGCTTGAGCCCATGAGTTCGAGACCAGCCTGGGCAACAAAGCAAGACCTTGTCTCTACAGAAAATTTAAAAAATTAGCTGGGTGTGGTGGTGCACACCTTTCATCCCAGCTACTCAGGAGGCTGAATGGGAGGATCACTTGAGCCCAGGAGTTTGAGGCTGCAGTGAGCCATGATTACACCACTGTACTCCAGCCTAGATGGCAGAGCAAGACCCTGTCGCTACAGAAAATTTTAAAAATTAGCCAGACATGGTGGCAAGCGCCTGTAGTCCTCCTAGCTACTCAGGAGGCTGTGTGGAAGGATTGCTTGAGCCCAGAAGTTCAAGGCTGCAGTGAGCCATGATTGTGCCACTGTGCTCCAGCCTAGGCGACCCTGTCTCTAAAGAAAATATATATATCTTTTGAGACAGGGTCTCACTCTGTTGCCTAGGCTGGAATGCTGTGGTGCAATCACAGCTCACTGTAGCCTCAGCCTCCTGGGCTCAGGTGATCCTCCAACCTCAGCCTCCTGAGTAGCTGGGAATACAGGCATGTGCCACCTACATGCCTGGCTAATTTTTGTATTTTTTTAGAGATGGTGTTTCGCGCCTGGCTGAAATTTGTTTTAAATAAAATAAAACTATGTGGTGGCTCATGCCTGTAGTCCCAGCACTTTGGGAGACCTAGGTGGGAGGATTACTTGAGGGCAGGAGTTCAAAACCATCCTGAGCAAGATGGCAAGGCCCTGTTTCTACTAAAAAAAAAAAAAAAAAAAAAAATTAGCTGAGCTTGGTGGTGTGTACCTGTAGTCCCAGCTACTTGGGAGGCTGAGGCAGGAGGATCACTTGAGCTCAGGAGTTTGAGGCAGCAGTGAACTGTGTTCATTCCACTGCACTCTAGCTGGGGCAACAGAATGAAACTCCGTCTCTAAAAAATAAATAAAAATAAAGACTTCCATGTCTGTTATTGTTTTCTCTAAATTCAAAATTCAGTATACTTTTGGAGGCATTACCTCAGGACTAAATGGAATGTAAAGCCAGTCATTCTAAATGGAGATTTGGGCCTAACGTGGGAAGACAATTTGGGGAGATAATAGTAAATCTGCTAGAGAAAAGGTGACTTCTTAACTGGCTCCACTCATATTATTTAAAAATATATCTTTCTTCCTATATGGTCGTGGTGATAATAAAATGTCTTCTTATTCTATTCCTTTCCCATTCAAATAAATCATCTCTTTTAACCTAACAGGTAGTAGAAATTTCATTTAACTTTTGGTACCGACTGGGGGAACATTTGTACAAAACTAACGATGAAGTTATTCATGGCATCTTCAAAGCTTACATTCAGAGGCTGCTTCACGCCTTGGCTCGACACTGCCAGCTGGAACCAGACCATGTAAGTTCCCTTCTCTACCTCTTCAAATCTTAATTTCTTCCTCTTGTCAGTGCCAACTTGAAAAGGAACTGAGAAGATAGATAATAAACCTGGCTGGGCACCCTGGCTCATGCCTGTAGTCCAGCACTTTGGGAGGCCAAGGCAGATGAATCGTTAGAGCCCAGGAATTCAAGACCAGCCTGGGCAACATAGGGAATCCCCTGTCTCTACAAAAAGAAATAAAAGAAAATTAGCTGGGCCTGGTGGCACACGCCTGTAGTCCTAGCTACTCAGGAAGCTGAGTTGGGAGGATTGGCAGACTCTACAGCTTATACTGAAGAAGTCAGTACCAGTATAATCTGTTAGGTCTATTTAGGGAAAAAAAAAAGCAAAACACTCCAGCTAAACCAGTAATTCTTTTCCTGGGAGTATATCTTAAATCTGCAGAAGAAAAAAACAGCTATTTTATATACAAAATGTTATCTGTAAAAGTAAAAATTATAAACCCATGTACAGCAGTATAACAAGAGTTATATGAATTATATAAGAAGAGTTATGATTTAGCAACTTGATGCAGCAATTAAAAGGTAGTGAAATGATGATATGGTAAGAGAAAAATCAGAATGTAAAATTATGTACTCTTTTTTTTTTTTTTTTTTTTTTTTTTGAGACGGAGTCTCGCTCTGTCACCCAGGCTGGAGTGCAGTGGCGTGATCTCTGCTCACTGCAAACTCTGCCTCCTGGGTTCACGCCATTCTCCTGTCTCAGCCTCCCGAGTAGCTGGGATTACAGGCACCCGCCACCATGCCAGGCTAATTATTTGTATATTTAGTAGAGATGGGGTTTCACCGTGTTAGCCAGGATGGTCTCGATCTCCTGACCTCATGATCCACCCACCTCAGCCTCCCAAAGTGCTGAGATTACAGGTGTGAGCCACCGCCCCTGGCCAAAATTTTGTACCTTATTAAATAGTAGAAAATAAGTGGTTAGATGAAAACTAATACAAAAGTGAAATATTTGTGTGTATGATTTTGCCCCATGAAGATACACATTTTTTAAATCTTATTTATACTGATTTTGTAGTTTAAAAGAATATAGAAATCTATTTGCTTAGAAAAAAATACTAGAAAATTATTAGTTTATTAGAAAACTCTTCAAACATCATGCTTAGTCTCTTCAAATTTTGCCACATCGATTTCATCCTGTTGGTTGGTTGAATCCGTCCTTTAATCTAGGACCTGCAGTAAGTTTTATTGCTTACAATTAAATCCCACGTGCTGTTCTCTTAATTTTAATGTTAGTATTGTGTTTGAGTCATGGTATTTTGTATCTCCACACAACCTTAGTCATGATTTAGTCTGGTGGTTTTCAAACTGCACCCACCCCCGCTATTTTTTAAAGTGAAGAATCCAACTGGGCGTGGTGGCTCATGCCTGTAATCCCAGCACTTTGGGAGGCCGAGGCGGGTGGATCACTTGAGGTCAGGAATTTGAGACCGGCCTGGCCAACGTGGCAAAACCCCGTCTCTACTAAAAATACAAAAATTAGCTGGGCATGGTGGCAGGTTCCTGTAATCCCAGCTACTCAGGAGGCTGAGGCAGGAGAATCACTTGAACCCAGGAGGTGGAGGTTGCAGTGAGCCAAGATTGCGCCACTGCACTCCAGCCTGGGCAGTAGAGCAAGACTCAGTCTCAAAAAAATAAAATAAAGTGAAGACTCCTGTCTTCAACCACATTTTACTTGGAAGCCTGATTTATAAAGCAGGGCCCCTTTGGTTTAAATGGCTCTGTGCTTGATCCCTTTTTTGCCTTTGCTAATTCTGTGGCACCATTTCCCTTGCGGGTAATTTCTTACACTTGTAAGTGTATAGCGCTTTATAATTTGTATAGTGCTTTATAATGTTAGCCATTATCTCATCTGAGATAGCCATCGTTTCCTCCTCATTCCTTCACCTTAATTTCTTCATCTTAAAGCAAGGAGCTTGAACTAGATTAGCAATTCTCAATAGTACTAAGGGCTTTTCCTAGGTATTTGGGCCCAAGATTCTTGTACGTGCCTTTAACCATCTTATAATTGGTAACTCTGTTTACAGAAGTGTGTCAGAATAGGAAAGATACAGAAGTGTTTGGAATAGGAAACCATGGAATATAAATGATCTTTAAATTTTTTAATGACAAATTTCAAATGCACAGCAAACATAAAATAATGTCATAGAGAATATCTGTATACCTACCACCTAAATTCCACTATTCATATTTTACTATGCTTGTTTTTTATATCTGTCCACCTACATGAAATGTTTTAAGTTTAAAATTCTGGGCTGGGCTCACATCTGTAATCCCAGCACTTTGGAAGGCCAAGGCAGGAGGATCACTTGAACCCAGGAGTTTGAGACCAGCCTGGGTAATATAGTGAGACCTTACCTCTATAAAAAAATTTTAAAAATTAACTGAGGCCAGGCACGTGGCTCATGCCTATAATCCCGGAACTTTGGGAGGGCAAGGCGGGCAGATCGCTTGAGCTCAGGAGTTTGAGACCAGCCTGGGCAACATGGCAAAACCCTAACTCTACAAAAAATATAAAAATTAGCCAAGCGTGGTGGTGCATGCCTATAGTCCCAGCTGCTCCGGGGCTGAGGTGGGAGGATTGCTTAAGCCCAGGAGGTCAAGGCTGCAGTGAGCCGAGATCATGTCACTGCACTCCAGCCTGGGTGACAGAGCGAGACCTTGTCTCAAAAATAAAAATAAAAGTATATTTTCTGTGTGAAGTTATTGTGACAGTGGTTGATTTTGGTAGATCTTGAAACATAAATCTTCAATTTGTTTGTCACTAAAGAGCTGACCTTCTCTAGATAGGCTTATCACTTAATTTACTACTTCTTCCAGGTCACTTCTCACTCTCCCCAAGCCACATTTTTCCAACAACAAAACAAGCTGTAGCTTAGAAATACAAAACACAGCAGGGCATGCCGGCTCACGGTGGCTAACACTTTGGGAGGTCGAGGTGGGCAGCTGACTTGAGGTCAGGAGATCGAGACCAGCCTGGCCAACATGGTAAAACCCTGTCTCTACTAAAAATACAAAAATTAGTCGGGTGTGGTGGCGTGTGTCTGTAATCCCAGTTACCTGGGAGGCTGAGGCAGGAGAATCACTGGAACCTGGGAGGCGGAGGGTGCAGTAAGCAGAGATCGCACCACTGCACTCCAGCCTGGGCGACAGAGTGAGCTTCCGTCTCAAAAAAATAAAAATAAAATACAAAACACACACACAAACCAAAGATTTTCTCCTGGTAAAGGCAGAGAATAGGTTGTCTTGACTTGGCATACCTCACAATTTAGGAAACCCTCTGTCTAAAATAAAATACCCTCGTGATTTAGGCAACTTTTGTTCATTGAAACTTGACTGCTTAATGGTTTTTTTCTTCTTCTTGATTTTATAGAGGTCATTGAAAGCCGCAGTGAGTTTAAAGCAGATGTTATCTGATTTGATATTTTAGGAGGGGGTTCCTGAGGAGACTGATGACTTTGGGGAGTTTCGCATGAGGGTATCAGACCTGGTAAAGGACTTGATTTTCTTGATAGGGTCTATGGAGTGTTTTGCTCAGGTAAGCCTATTTGGAGATTGTTTCCAGTTTTACTAGTCACCTTAATTGTATTCACTTCTGTGTCTTCTGTGAATGTTCCATCTTATTTCTTCAATTTTAGTGGCTGAATGAGATAATAGATATGCAAGTGCCTAGCACACTGCCTGGCATATAGTAGCTATGTTTATTTAACATTTTACAAGTCAGTTGCAGTTTATGGATGATTCGGTTATGGTTTACTCTGTATGCTTGCACTGATTGCTGTTCCACTTGTACAGCTGGAATAGAAGATCATAGATAAGCATTAAAGCCTCTAGGATACTTATAGGGAATTTGGACCTAGCCAGGAACAATAGGCAAGTGTTTCTGCTTTAGTAATTACGTACCAACTCCTGGTAACTCTTGTAGTTATTTGGCATTATCTTTGTCCACACTTATGGTTAGATTCCTGTGCAGTTTCGTCCCAGAGGTGACTATGCTAGAGTAGAAGATTCATAGTCCAGGGGTTTTCCTGACAATCACTGAGTAACATTTTACCTCATAAGGTTACAATCATCATCATTCCATATCACTTAACATTAGTTTAATTTCAGGCAGTTTTCATATTGCTGTATTATATTCTAATGAGCTCTGAAATACCACTTTGGAAGCTTTGTCACAGCAATACTAAACTAACCTAATTTTTTTTTTTTTGGTAACTCAGTCATTTTTTGTATATTTGGGTGTAATATGATCTAAAAAGTATTAATAAAAGTATAACTATTTTCATTATATTAAGCAAAGCATGCTTATTGACCCATCTATGAAGAGTTGAGGATTCTTAGAAAGCCACTTAAATGAGATCCCTGGATCTTAGACAGATGACCTCTGCTCAGATTTCAGCTCATCTCTCTTTAGCTCTATGGCTTTGAGAAATCCTTTGATCTTCTCAATCCTTTGACTTAATTTACAAATTATGTAAATTATCAATGTTGTTCAAGATATAGTCTGTGGAACACCAACCCCATGAGATATTTTTTGCCAAAAAAAAGTTATTAATTAAAATTAGGAAATGGTATAAATAGTATATTAAAGGCTCTGTGAAGTTGTATAATAAGAGAGCTGTTTAATTTTGCCTTTCCTAGCAGTGTCTGTTATTTCACTATAAAAATATTATTTAGTCACATTCTGTAGGTGGATATAATCTGGGAAATTGTGGACCAGAACATCTCTGAGTATTCTGCTAGGTGTACCTTTTTTTAAAAAAATTAATTCTGCTTGGATACAGTATTGTGATAGGTGCTTCTAAACAGCTGCTTTTTAGGAATTCAGTCAGTACTACCAGTGTTGATGCAGACAAGTAGTTAAAACAATAGAAATGTAAAGCCAATACATATATAGAGGATTTACATTGTATCTCTATTTTAAGTGTGTTTATGTATTTATCAGTTATTATCAGGACCAGGAAAAGACACTCATATACTGTGTTTTGTTTTTCTCATAGTAGTCATTTTCTGGGGGCAGATGATAATTTTGATAAACTCTTGCGGGTCTAAATGGGTTTATTTCAAATATTAAAATAGTTACTCCTAGTTAGTGATGATATAAAAAAAAGAAAATAATATTCTCATCTGGCTTGAGAGGTAATTAGATTTAGAAACAAGAAGCAGGATTTACTTTAACTGGATTTTTTGTTTTGTTTGTTTTGGCATTCTGTTTTCCTTTTAATGGATCCATAATCCACCTCTTCTTCTCTAGTTATATTCTACTCTGAAAGAAGGCAACCCACCCTGGGAGGTGACAGAAGCGGTTCTCTTTATCATGGCTGCTATAGCAAAGAGTGTTGATCCGTGAGTGTCTCATAAGTCTTTTGCTGGGAACTCTAAATATCAAGAGGAAGGAAAATGACACTATTTTTTTTTTCTTATATGGTATATACCTGGAGACTTTCAGAACTTCTTACTTCTGTTGTGCCGTCTAGTCTTCTGACTTCTAGAGTCTAGTCCAGGGTAGCCTGAATTGCTGATACCATGTTTTAACAGCATTTCCTAGAGTTGAAATTATTTTATTCTTGATGCTAGGAATAGAATGCTGATTTATTTTTCCAACTGAGGCTCCCTTGTGAAAGTTGGTATGGTAAAGAATTTGTTAGACTGTTTAATTGTTGGTACTTGCTTAAAAGCAATTGAATAGACACTAATTTGGGTTTCCTGCTTTTGTGACCTTGGGTAAGTTATTCTTACAAAATTAATTACATTGTTTCAGAGAGGCAAGGCATAGGCACCTTTTCACCTAAAAGAGCCAGATCTAAAGGGCAATTACTGTTTTTGTTATTGCCATTGAAAAATTTCAAATTATTCAAATTTTACTTCTAATTCCATAGAAATTCTATTTATGACACGAAGCCCTAGAGACAAAATTTACTTTGTGCCATGAGTATATAAATCGATGTTAATATCTGCCACGCTGAATTGTGACCTGATACCTGCAGTCAAGCTCTGTATTCAGTCTTGATTGGAGAGATGGTTAAGGCAGATATTTATAAAAAGCACAATGCTTCTTTCTTAGCTGCCTTTCAGGGCCTCGTCAGTGGCATATTGTTTCTAATCCAGTAAATATTCAAGGAGGTCGAATAGGTTTATTTTTCTCTGTTAAGAAGTCCTGGTCCTTAATTATGTACCACACTATTTACTCTTAAACCAATTTTGGTGTCATTTTGAACCTTCTGTGACAAGTCTGAAGATTATTAAAATCATTAATGTTCTAACTAATATGTCTTGGTTTGAAAAATGATGGCTAGATAGTCTTCGTTAATTGACTTAGTGTCCCTAGGAAACATAAGTCATAAATGAGAGATTTGATATTTTTTTTGTTTATATGCATTTCAAGCCAACTGCATGATTATAATTTTTTAGTGCATATAAAAGGACTTAATAGACTAGTTTATTAGCAGAGGGTGGTCTTGCTGTAATCCAGGATATTATTTACATTTTAAACATCTTTCATTTCTGGATTAAGTTCTGCCACTTTAGGGGTATCCTCCACTCTACTCAAAAGGCCGTTAGCCAGTATATTTTGTGGGGGACAGAGGGAGGAGAGGGAACAGATAAACTCATGGAGCTATGGAAAGTGTTTGGTTAACTTTAATTTTCCCTCATGTTCCAAATCGGGGCAACTTAATCTATTCCTGCAGCTTATTTTCTTGTTCTTTCAATTAGTGAGCTGCCTACCCATACTTAACCTGTTCTTAAAGTTTCCAATATCCAGCTATAAGAAATCTTTTGGAGCAAAACAACAGAGAATGGTCTATGAGAATTATTCATTCATCTGTTTAGCCATTCAGCAATATTTATTGAGTGCCCACTATGTGCCAGGCACTGTTCTAGGTGCTGCAGCTATAGGACTAAATAAAATAGATTCTTTAGAAGAAGACATTCATCCACAGTAAATGTCTGCCTCTCCAATTTAAAGAGCCTGCATTTGATAGCTTGATGTGTCTGTAGGCACTTTACTGGCATTCAGAAGATTAAGGAGCAGTATGCTTTTCCTGAAACAATATCTTTCATTTCTATCTTTTCCTCTTTTTTGAAGATTTGAAAATCTTTCATAACAAATACCAAGTACTTTTATCTTAATGGTTGTTTAGAAAGAAGCCCTTTAGCAATGCTGTGTGTCGTCACAGCCTGTTATTTGGCCAGAATATAACCTCTGAAATCAGTAACTGTGAGTACTTACCGCCTGTACTCAGGGAAAACAATCCAACACTTGTGGAAGTCCTAGAAGGAGTTGTCCGCCTCCCGGAGACCGTACATACGGCTGTGCGATACACCAGCATTGAATTGGTTGGAGAGATGAGTGAAGTCGTTGATCGAAATCCTCAGTTCCTTGGTATGTGTAATCTCTCTCCTCTGCCACTTCTAACTTGTCATTTTTCTGATTTTTCTTCTCATCTCTTACTTTTGCATGTGTTTTCCTTTCTGTTTTTTTAACACGGAGTGTTTATAGAAACTGAGAGTAAACAATATGTTGTAAGTTAGTGCTTATTTGATATAACATTTATAATCTGATCTGGGAGAAGGACCTTTGAAAGATTAGATCTACAGATAGGGAAACAGTGAACAATTTGCTTCTAGTACTCTGTTTAAGCATGAACATTTCTATCTCTGTTAGTCTTTGGCATATGCTTGAGCTAATCAGAATCTCTTACAATTTTAACATACTAGAAGCTACTCAAGGACCAAAGCAAAGGAGATAATTTTTCACTTGTAATACATGCTTCATTTAAAAGCCAAGAATTATTCAAAACTAAATAACTGCAAATTAAAATGAAGACTTATATAACCTCTGGGTGTCCTTATTGACTTGAAAAAATAACTAAAGATCGTAACAACTTTAGAATTGAAGGTAAAGTTAGAAATGATTTATTCTAACCTCCTCTTTTTATAGACAAGGAAACTGAGGCCCAAAGAGACGAAATGACTTTTCCAGGGTAATATATATCAAGCCCTGACATTTAAGAGGGATACATTCTGAGAATTTTAGGAATACCAAAATTTGTGATTAGTATTATATCATTAAGTTTGATGTGTTTCCTGTGTATATCTTTATTATCGCCTTTTTACTTGATTTTATTTTATACATCTGTTTTTAGTGACTGAAACACATGCTAAAAAGAGTGAATGTGTTCTTTGTTTCTATACACTGAGCTGCTTTCTAAGTTCAACGTACTATTTCTTTTTTTTGTTGTTTTTGTTTTTGTTTTTTGTTGTTTTGAGATAGAGTCTCGCTCTGTTGCCCAGGCTGAAATGCAGTGGCCTGATCTCAGCTCACTGCAACCTCCACCTCCTAGGTTCAAGTGATTCTCCTGCCTCAGCCTCCCAAGTAGCTGGGATTACAAGTGCATGCCACCATGCCCACTATTTTTGTATTTTTAGTGGAGACAGGGTTTCGCTATGTTGGGCAGGCTGGTCTCGAACTCCTGACCACAAGTAATCTGCCCGCCTCAGCCTCCCAAAGTGCTAGGATTACAGGCGTGAGCCACCACGCCTGGCCCAACATACTATTTCCAAGTGATTTCAATATGGCTGTTTTTTAGTTCTTAGATTTCTGCACTTTATCTGGCTCAACATTTGGCTTTCTTTTCTGAACCATTTTTCCACCAAGAAACATAGTAGATTTGTTTGTTTTAATACCTTCAGTTAATGTCCAGAAAGCAGCAAATCTAGGTTGACTTGCAGACTCTTATCAAAAGATTTATCATTCAGTGCCACCTTGCAGTATCTCATTCAGATTTGTGCCTCAGCAGTAGACAGATTGCTCTATGTTCATACTCAGAATAGTCAAAACCACAAACACCCAATTTGGGAATCACAGAAGTCTACATTATTAGAGTTGCTTGGGCTAGGTTCTAGATTCTAGGTCTTTTGATTCCTAGACTAAACAGGGTGGGGTTTTGGTTTTGTTTTTTTCTTTTTGGTGGAGGTAGGCAGATTGTGCTGAGTTTGGGCATTGTATTGATCATTAGACTAGAAATGGACATAATGGTTTTAAATGGGCTTTAAGACATTATTATTGGCCAGGCATGGTGGCTCACACCTGTAATCCCAGCACTTTGGGAGGCTGAGGCGAGAGGATCATCTGAGTTCAAGAGTTCGAGACCAACCTGGCCAACAGGCGAAACCTCGTCTCTACTAAAAATACAGGAAAATTAGCTGGGCTTGGTGGCGCATGCCTGTAATCCCAGCTAGTTGGGAGGCTGAGGCAGGGAGAATCACTTGAACCCGGGAGGCGGAGTTTGCAGTGAGCCGAGATTGCGCCACTACACTCCAGCCTGGGTGACTGAGCGAGACTCCATCTCAAGAAAAAAGAAAAAAAAAGATGTTATTATTTTGATTCTTTCCACTTTTTCACAGTTTGCTACAAGGTCAATATAAAGTACTCACAATGACCTTTAACAACACATGGTTTTTTGCCCAGGCGTGGTGGCTTACAGTGGTAACCCCAGCACTTTGGGAGGCTGAGGTAGGCGTATCACTTGAGGCCAGGAGTTTGAGACCAGCCTGGCCAATGTGGTGAAACAATCGTCTCTACTAAAAATACAAAAATTAGCTGGGCTTGACGCATGCCTGTAGTCCCAGCTACTCAGGAGGCTAAGGCAGGATAATTGCTTGAACCTGCGAGATGGAGGTTGCAGTGAGCTGAGATCGTGCCACTGTACTCCAGCCTGTGGGACAGAGTGAGGCTCCGTCCCCAAAAACAATATATGGTTTTTCTAAGGTTTTTTTCCTATAGAAAAAAAATCTGATTTTTATAAAAGAAGATAAAAAGATGAGTAGAATTAGCTCTATAGAAATTCAACTTTATGATAAACTTTCTTGGAGCACTTACATTTGGTAAAATTAAAACATACTGAATTAATTCATCTAGAAGTGCTAAAGATTCATCTGCCTATTTTTAAGGCCTTTTGTAACTAGAAAGAAGCAAGTATAAAAGTTTCAGCTTTAGACAACTATCCTTGTCCTGATTCATATAGGCTGTTTTACCAAGTAATTCATCCCTCGGTATAATTGTAACTCCCTGAGCTTTGCATTCTTTCTTACATTGCCATATTCTTAATACCTGGATTGCCATATATGCTCTTAAGTCAGTGGTTTACAAACTGCTCTGTGAATCCCTGGGAGTTAACGTTGACTGCCCTGAGGGAAGAAATGGAAGATGAAATAGATGGGTCTCAGGGCCTGTTGACAATATGTAAGTGAGATCAGCTCTATTTTTATGTGTTTTATTTATTGTGGTTCTGAACACATTTCACTTTTTAAAAGGGTTCTTTTGCTTTAAAAAAAGAAAAGCAAGTATACCTCTGTTTTAATAAACTAGAAGTTTTCCTTTAGTTTCAGATATGTAATCTCTGCTTGGCTTTTCTTCTTAGACCCTGTGTTGGGCTATTTGATGAAAGGCCTGTGTGAAAAGCCCCTGGCTTCTGCTGCAGCCAAAGCCATTCATAACATTTGCTCTGTCTGCCGAGATCACATGGCTCAGCACTTTAATGGACTCCTGGAGATTGCCCGCTCCCTCGATTCCTTCCTGTTGTCTCCAGAAGCTGCTGTGGGCTTGCTAAAAGGTACTCACTTGATGTTAACCACTAATAGTCACCTCAAAGCCACTACCTGGGGTAATCTTACATCTGTCATATCCCAGTTTTTCAGTTGCAATGTACTTAGTGTTTAAGAATTTATAAGATGAGGAAGATGGCTTTTCCACTAGAGGGGATAGTGTTGACTATATGTACATGCATTCTTTTCTTGGATTATCTTAAGCCTATATAATTAATTAATACTACTTGCGGTATATATAGCACCGACCTAGATTTGGGTAGAGACAACATATTCAAACTAAACACGGCTGCTTTTTAAGTTGGAAGAATAAAAAGGGAGACCAAAGAAGCATTGCCATACCAAAGAGGTAAATGGGAGTTGAAAGGTAGTATACATGGATCAGTGCCATGAGTAGAAGTCAGGGGTCCTGGTCTCTTAGCAGCCTTTAACCATTACTGATCAGCTTATACTGAGTGATTGTCTATCCAGAGGCAAACAGCCATTGTGATGAGGCTCGGACTTAATAGAAGAACTAGAGATATTAAGGCTAGGGGAAAAGACTTAGAACAGCCTTTAAGCATGGTAGCTATTTTTAAATATTTGAAAGATGGTCTTATAAAAGAAGGATCATATTTATTTTATGAGTAGTCACTTGTCAGCCATTTATAGGGAAGCATATACTGGCTCTAGGAAGAAAACACTTAACCATACTTTCTGAACACAGATTGGGGTGCCCTGTGAGGTAATGAAATTCTTATCACTGGTAAATCAGAGAGATTGAGGTATATTAAAGGATTGGGTAAAATAACCTGTGTGATATCTTCTAAGCCTCTGTGACTTGTTAAACAATTAGCCTTGGCAAGAGTGGATGGCTTATTTGTGAATTCTGTCCTTTGTTATTCATATGACCAGATTCCTTACCAGCTAGTGTGACTGTGCTTTTTTATATCAGATTTTCTTTTTGTACCTTGGGTTTTTGTTGTTTCCCTTCATAGGCACAGATAAATCAGAGTCAAATATTCTTGTCATTTTCTAGTGGAATTTATTAACCTTGACATTGAAGTGAGGTCTAACCTGTAGTACAATGTGGCCTCCCAATTTTCAGTGGTATCTAATAGATGTAGAAAATGGTTTTCAATTTTTATTTATTTATTTATTTTAGAGACAGGGTCTCGCTTGTTGCCAAGCTGGGATGCAGTGGCATGATCATAGCTCACTGTAACCTTGAAGCCCTAGACTCAAGTGACCCTCGTGTCTCAGCTTCCCAAGTGGCAAGGACTACAGGTGCACACCACTATGCTTAGCTGATTTTTTAAATTTTTAATAGAGACAGGGTCTTGCTATATAGCCCAGGCTGGTCTTGAACTCATGGCTTCAAGTGATCCTCCTGCCTTGGCCTCCCAAAGTGCTGAGATACCAGGCATGAGCCACCACACCTGGCTGAAAACTTTTTAAAGTAACATACTTTTCTATAGGAATTAATTAAAAGGAAAATCATGCTGAAATTAGGCTTTTCCCTCCTAGTTTTAAAGAAAAGTCTAACTCGTCTATGGCTTATAGATGGCCAAGAAGATTCACTCTGTTTTTTTAATTCAAATTTGAAGGTTTAGGGATAAATTACTGTTCTGTTGAATGAAACTTCAGGAAGTGAAAACATTTATATTCAAGGTGTTTTTTGACCTAGAAGGGACCTAGGCTAATACGTAATCCTTTGGATTTGGGGAAGGTGTTTCAGCAGTTGGTGGGGTTAGAATGGGGATTGCAGCAAGAGGGAGGCTGAGTAGGAAGGGTCTGGACCTTCTGTCTCCACTTGAACCTAACTGCCTCTTTTGGTTTTTCTTTTTAACCTATTTTATTGGAGTTCTAAGTCAAGATTTGTTTAGGAGGGAAAAAGAAAGGGGGTAGGAGGCTTTTGTAACTTTTTTTTAAAATGAAAGAAAGGCAAATTTAACTGTTACTTTGCTGTTCAAGTCACTTATTTCATAAAGAAACTGAAGCCCAAAGAAAATGTCTCTTATAACCTCACAGAGAGTGTTATGGTGTAAGAGTGAAATCTCTAATTGCAGCCCATTCTTCTAAAAGCATTATGTCAGAATTTCTCTTGTGATAAGAATTGCTGGAAGTATTTATCAAAAATAAAGACTCTCTTTGACCCACTAAATCAGAATCTCTGGGAAGTCTGAGAAACATTACACTATGGTATACATTTTAAAATAGCTTTGCCATTGGCTTTGTGAAGGAGATTTTAAAAGTCTTTGACAAATATTAACTTCAGTTGTAAGTGTTAATCAGTCTTAGCCTTCTGAGCCCAATAAAGAATAAAGAAAAAACAACTGTAAATAACAAAGTGTTGTCATTTTAAAAAACAATGCTGATCTTTTTAAAAGAATGGAACCAAACCAGTTCGCTTTTTCTGGTCACTCACATGATGTAGTCCAGTTAAGTTACCTCAATTCAGCGTTTATTTTTCATTTGTATCTTCCTTTGTTTTTCAGGGACAGCACTTGTCCTAGCCCGATTACCTTTGGATAAGATTACCGAATGTCTTAGTGAACTATGTTCTGTTCAGGTTATGGCATTGAAAAAGGTAAGTCCAATTAAGGAAGGTGTGAAACAAATATAAGATGTTTACATGTTAAAAATGAAAAGATGAAATTACTTATTTACAGATCTTTTGTCTACCTAGAAAATCCAAGAAAATGCACTAAGAATTTATTAAAATTAATGTAATCAAAGTAGCTGCATACAATAAATATTTCAGAATTAATAGATTCTCATTATATCAGTGTTAACAGAAAAACCAAATTTTATAAAATGTTTTAAAGAGGTTTGTCCTGAGCCAGTATGAGTGACCACAGCCCAGGGAAACCCAGTCTCGAGGAGTTCTGAGAAAGTGTGCTTGAGGTGGTGGGATTATGGTTTGGTTTTATACACTTCAGGGATGTAGGAGTTACAGGCAAATACATAAATCAAAATATGGAAGGTATACATTGGTTTAGTCTAAAAAGATGGGCTGTCTTGAAGTGGGGGCTTACAAGTCATAAGTGGATTCAGAGATTCTTTAATCTGCAGTTGGTTAAAGGAACAAAAAGCTTGGAGCTAGCAGAAAGGAATGTTTAAGTTAAGGTTGCTATGTCAGGGTCAGCCATAACTCTGACAGTTTAATAAGATTGATGGGCTATAGATGTGACTTAACTCTTGCCTTCTGTGGCCTCAGATCTTGTTTATAATTTGGTAAAGGAGTCTTTGATCAGCCGGGTGTCGTGGCTCATGCCAGTAATCCCAGCATTTTGGAGGCCTAGACAGGTGGATCATTTGAGGTCCGGAGTTAGAGTCTGACCAACATGGTGAAACCCTGGTCTCTACTAAAAATACAAAAAATTAGCCAGGTGTGGTGACGCACACTTGTAATCTCAGCTACTCGGGAGGCTGAGGCGGGAGAATCACTTGAACCTGGGAGGCGGAAGTTGCATTGAACCGAAATCGCGCCATTGTACTCCATCCTGGGTGGCAGAGCAAGACTCCACCTCAAAAAAAGAAAAAAAAAGTCTTTGATTGGTCTTATGATCTCCATTTAACATTAATGCTGGCCACTTGCACCTAAACTCCGAAAGATAGGGAGTATAACAAAACATATCTGACCTCCCTTCCCATCATGGCTGAGAGCTCCGTTTTTAAGGTTTCTCTGGGGTCCCCATGGCAACAGGAGGGACCTATTCAGTTGGTGGGAGACTTAGGATTTTATTTTTAGTTTACATTGGTAATCATCAGTTAGAAAATGTAATGGGAAAAGAATTCATTCAAGTTAGCAATCAACGCCTGAACCTACCATGTTTCCTTAAAGGATATAAAGATGTCAACTCTTCTCCAGTTATATTTATAGTGCAATAACTTTAGACATACCAATGGGATTTTTAGAACTTGATAAAATAATTCTGTAGTTCATCTCTGATGATTTACTAATGGGAGTATCTAAGAAATTTTAGGAAAGAAGAGTAAGAGACAATTTGCTTAAAATATATTACAAAGCTATAATAATTTTAAAGCCTTATAATATAAAGCTAAATATATAATCTTTTACATATTGTGTAACATAACATATATACAATCTATATTATGTAATATGTAATAATAATAATTAAGGTAAATGGGAAAAAAATCAAATGATACTGTTTTCTACTCCTCAGTAATCAGACAGTAAAATGTAGCAATATGTAGTCTTGGCCAGGATGCAATAAGATGGAGGAAAATAATTTGACAATATAAATTAAAATTTGCGCCATTTGAGTAACTTTTAGGAGTTTATATACTTTTAGGACTTTATATAAGGAAATAAGCAGAGATTGAGACAAAGGTTGATGTATGTTGCAGTGTTGGCTGTAGATTTGTACATGTGACAATTGGGTGTTAATGTCCTTTTGTCTCTTCAGCTGTTGTCTCAAGAGCCCAGCAATGGCATATCCTCAGATCCCACAGTGTTCTTAGATCGCCTTGCAGTGATATTTAGGTAAGAAAGGAGACTCTGGATGCCTTACTTGGGTTAAAGGCTCAAATGAAACCATTGTATATTGAAGTAAGCAAGTATTTTTTCCTCATACTTCCAAGTATCTCCCTATGTTTGGAGACTAATTAAGCCAGCTGTTACCTGAAGTTCTGGGGCAAAGGCAAATTCTAAGAATTCATTCCTGGTAGGTCTTTGTGTTAAAATACTCTTTAAAAAGTGGAAGGCCGGGAGCGATGGCTCACACCTGTAATCCCAGCACCTGGGAGGCCAAAGCAGACAGATTGCTTGAGCTCAGGAGTTCGACACCAGCCTGGGCAACGTGGCAAAACCCTGTCTCTACCAAAAATATAAAAAATTAGCTGGGTATGGTGGCATGGGCCTGTGGTCCCAGCTATTTGGGAGGCTGAGGTGGGAGGATCACTTGAGCCTGGGAAGCAGAGGTTGCAGTGAGCTAAGATCACATCACTGCACTCTAGCCGGGGTGACAGAGTGAGAACCCCATCTCAAAAAAAAAAAAAAAGACTCTTTAAAAATGGAATTCTTTTGGTCTCCAGTTCTGTGGAGACCAAAAGACCAAACTTTCACATATATCATCATTCCACATGCATCAGAATCACCTGGGCTTATCAAAACACAGATTGCTAGATCCCATCCCCTCAGTGTCTGATTCATTAGATCTTGGGTAGGACCTGAAAATTTGCATTTCTGATAATTCCCAGGTGATGCTGATGATTCTGCTTGCTAATCCAGAGACCATACTTTCAGAACCATCGCTGTATATAGTGTATGGGTACAAAAATATAATGAAGTTTCTTCAGTGATCAGGTGAAATTAATGCATCTTTGAAGTGAAGAGGAGGAGCCTAATGATTAAAAAGGCATTTGAGTGACAGTTTTCAAAGAGTAATTCTTACTGAGTAACATAATTTATAATTTTTGGGACCCATGTATAACTGGAATGTTATAGTAATCATTGTGTAGAAGCCTATGTGGGATAAATATTTAAAAAGGTGATGTGTTACTAGTTATTGTCAACAGATATCTTTCTCTCAGTTGGTGCAATGTTTTCCTTTTATAATTAGGAGAGCCCTATTAACATGCTATTCTGAGAACCTATTAACAGTAACCCTTATTTCACAGTAAATGAAAGAAAATCTGAAATAGATGTAAATACTTGAATTAAAGTTAAATTTTTATTAAGTTGCTGTTGAGCTTTTTAAAACTAAAGAGTAGCTTTCCTTTAAAGTAGTTTGTAGTTAATTATGTGTGGTTTTTTTTTCCTGCTTTTCTTCAAATTGTGAGCTATCGAACTAGACAGAGGAGTTGTATTTGACTGATTGTGGAAAGTACATTGGATTCAAACTAGAACTACAACATCTTTGGACTACAGTTCCTATAGCTTTTAGTCTTTTAATGCAAGGAATGAAGCAATACTTGGTTTCTAGTAGTGGATTTAGACAACCTGTGTATATTTTTTTGTTAATTAGGAAGAAACTACATATTCAGGTTTGGTTTTGTTGTTGTTGTTGTTGTTGTTTTTGTTTGTTTGTTTTTGAGATGGAGTTTTACTTCATCCGCTTGTTGCCCAGGCCGGAGTACAATGGTGTGATCTCGGTTCACTGCAACCACTGCCTCCCACGTTCAAGTGATTCTTCTGCCTCAGCCTCCTAAGTAGCTGGGATTATAGGCATGTGCCACCACCAGCCTCCCAAGTAGCTGGGATTATAGGCATGCACCACCACCAGCCTCCCAAGTAGCTGGGATTACAGGCATGCGCCACCACGCCCGGCTTATTTTTGTATTTTTAGTAGAGACGGGTTTTCACCATATTGGTCAGGCTGGTCTTGAACTCCTGGACTCAGGTGATCTACCCGCCTTGGCCTCCCAGAGTGCTGGGATTACAGGCGTGAGCCACCACACCCAGCCCATATTTGGGTTTATAAAGGGAAAAATGGAAAAGATAGCCATAGTGCCTCACAGCCCATCTACCCAAAGTTGGATTGAATTTGCGTGTTCTATTGGAAGTGACTTAAAGGTGGCCAAAAAATGATAGGATGATTTAAAGGATGTGCTTATAAAGGTGATGTAAGTAAATGACTTTATCATCTGGTTTTCTTTATTTGGTGAAAATGATACTAAGTAAGCAAGCAGGGATCAGGGCTCTGGGTCCTCAGTGAAATTGGTCTTTGTTCACTATTTTGGGCTGTTGTCTTTTCCCAGGCATACCAATCCCATTGTGGAAAATGGACAGACTCATCCGTGTCAGAAAGTCATACAGGAAGTAAGTGCTAATGGATGCTTGTGGAATCAAGGCTTGCTTCTTTTTTCCTTACAGGGCTTTGGGTAACTCACCTGAGAAGATACTGTCTTCCAAGTTCATAGGGAGATTCAGTTTGTTGATGTGGTTTCAATGAAATGAGGGACAGAGCCATCCAAATGTCTTTTATTTTAGATTTGATAACAAAACAGGCTGCAAGGGAATGCCTTGAAAGACCAGAGAAGTGGTAGAAAGAGATTCACTGTGTGACTCCTAGAGTTACTAGGAGGCCTGATCAATACCAGCAGAATATTTTTGACAAAGCTAGTGACTTCGTTTTCCTCAGTGATGACATACTTCCCCTCTACTTTTTTCACTGAAGGTTATGTGAGGATCAAAAGTCATGTTTTAAGAATTGCTTTTGAGACTTCAGAGGACAAATTACATCAACACTAAATACTCTTAAGTGTCCAATGGTCTCAAATGATGCCATTTCCTTAACTCTAGTCCTTTTGTTCAAATTCTTCCACCTTCCAGGAACTATCTTTAAACATCTCTTCCTATATAGCTCGTACCAATTCTTTTCATAGCCTTTCGGGAAGTCTGAAGTTTAGGAAATTGTGTATCTCTGTCATTTAGCAAAGTTAGACATGCTCTTCCAGTTCTAAAGAGGCACTGTTTTCTCTTGTTAAGTGATAGGGTTTTGTGGTGGGTAGTCTATTGAACCTGAGCATGCTGGCCATGTGTGTTCCTATACAGAAAGTTTTGTCCCAGTTATTTAAAAGCTAAATGAGGTGTTACCAACTTAGCAGTTTTTCAGGTCCTAGTTGTTGATTATTTTCTTTCTTGTGCTCTTTTACTTTTGACCCAGATATGGCCAGTTTTATCCGAGACTCTAAATAAGCACCGAGCTGATAATCGGATTGTAGAGCGTTGTTGCAGGTGCCTGCGCTTTGCTGTTCGCTGTGTAGGCAAAGGATCTGCAGCACTGCTGCAGCCACTAGTCACACAGGTAAAGTTATCTGTTGCGGGGGGACGTGTTCCATGTACAGAATTTGAAATAGGCAGGGTGCGGTGGCTCACGTCTGTAATCCCAGCACTTTGGGAGGCCTATGCAGGTGGACCACCTGAGGTCAGGAGTTCAAGACCAGCCTGGCCAACATGGTGAAACCCTGTCTCTACTAAAAATACAAAAATTAGCCAGGCATGGTGGCGGGCACCTATAATCCTAGCTACTCGGGAGGCTGAGGCAGGAGAATCGCTTGAACCCAGGAGCTGCACTGCACTCCAGCCAGGGTGACAGAGCAAGACTCCATCTCAAAAAAAGAATTTGAAATAGGAGCCTTTAGAACAAAAACTTTGCTGATGAAATGAAACACTTTTGTATTTATTAACAAACTAAAAAAACACTTGAAAGAGATTAGTGCCTGTGATAGGTACATTGTCTATAAGGGAAACAGCCTAAAATCGCTTCTGTATAGTAGCTATAGCAGTATTCTAAGTAGCAACACAGTCCATTGTGAAATTCTGTGAAGCGAATGACTTGGGCTCAGTACTTATATACTAATGGTAAGCATTTTTATATTGAGATCCTTGGGGAAAAAATGTAGCAAGTCAGACTTTGCTGTTTCTTTGCCCAAAGGGATTTTCTTCAATCTTGGCCACAGTTAGTTGTCCACAGAAGTCTCTTGTCAAAAAATAAATTTGACTCTTTTAGTCATTAAGATTGATATGTAATTATGATGGTATGACTCACTAAATGATGTTCTCTAAAATCATATTCTCATCTAGAACTGTATGAGATGCCTATGCTTAAGTCACTAAGTAATTGTGTTGATGTTAACCTTAGAGCAGGGCCAGGATGCCAGTGCCTAGGGCACAAGATTTAGGGACACAAGGCAAAGTGCCAATCCTGCATTTGCAGGACTCTGAGGTGCTTTCTGAAATTTTGTACCCATGCTGTGAGGAAAACAGTCACAGAGCTCCAGGCTAGAGTCATACCCCACCCAACCTGAAGTGACCATGCTCCACCTAGGGAGAGGAGAGCACCTAGGGTGCAGATTTTAAGGAGGTCCTGGCCTTAAGAATGAGTTCCCCCTGGCCAGGTGCAGTGCCTCACGCCTGTAATCCCAGCACTTTGGGAGGCCGAGGTGGGTGGATCACGAGGTCAGGAGTTCAAGACCAGCCTGGCCAAGATGGTGAAACCCCATCTCTACTAAAAATACAAAAAATTAGCCAGGCGCAGTGGCAGGCGCCTGTAGTCCCAGCTATTCATGAGGCTGAGGAAGGAGAATCATTTGAACCCGGAGGGTGGAGGTTGCAGTGAGCTGAGATCGTGCCACTGCACTCCAGCCTGGGTGACAGAGTGAAACTCCATCTCAAAAAAAAAAAAAAAGAAAAAAGAAAAAAAGAATGAGTTCCCCCTTAAATTCTGCATCATAGGTGCCCTCAACCACAGGCACAGGCATGCTGGTGCGGTGTTGGTACTTGGATAACCTTGCCTCTCTAAATTATAGATTTGATTAAAGATTGTACAGGTAAATATTTCAACAGAATTTTAATTTTTAGTGATTTCTCTACTTTCACTATATGCTGAGCACAATAATGTATGTTCGCATTTAGGCGATTGCCACCTCTGGTCAAGTGTCCCCTTCAGTGCAATACATTCTGGGTCTACTACAACTTGATAGACTGCCCCTTTGCTGTTGGAGGATACCCTCATGACTTTGATACTGTTTTTTAATTCCTGCCAGTTAAGTATATGACTAACCCAATAGAGTAGGTAGCACTATTATATAGGAAGTGTGTTCTAGAGTCAGTACATGTGACAAAAATGAAAATTATCCTTAAAAAATCCCTTAACTCAGGAGCCAGCAATTGATAGTCAGTGGCCTTGCCACCTATTTTTGTTTTTGTGTTTTTTTTAATGTTTTACTGAGCTATAGCCATAATTCATTTACGTATTATCTATTGGTCATTTTTGTGCTACACTGGCAAACTTGAGTGGGCAGAAGACTGAATGGTGGATAAGATCTATACTTTTTACAAAGTAGCCCTTTAAGAAAATGTTTGGCAACCCTTGACTTAATCATTCCTTAGTAGAGCATATAATTTTGAGTTTACAACATGGAATGGATTCATAGCTCCCATCTCATGCTCATTCCATGGCATATGCCAACAGAAGAATTAAGTTACTGTATCCTTTCAGTCCCAAGTTCATAGAGTTGAATTTATGTAATAAGATCAATACATATGTACTGTGGTGGCATTTTAAATAGGTGAGTGTACAATTGTTTCTTAATTCTGGGAGGATAGTGGAGTAAAAATTCTAAACAAATCATTTAAGCGCATATCGTGGCCGGGCATGGTGGTGCACACCTATAGTCCCAGCTGCTCGGGAGGCTGAGGTGGGAGGATCCCTTGAGCCTGGTAGGTTGAGGCCACAGTGAGCCAAGATCTCACCACTGCACTCCAGCCTGGGCAACAGAGCGAAACCCAGTCTCTTAAAAAAAAAATAATAATGTGCATATTGTGTTAAAATTTTTGCTGTGTTGAAATCCAAATATCTTCGTAGAAAACACTATTTTTTACTTAAAAGATAAAATAGGTTTAGGAGCAACTCAAAATTTAAACAATGCTTTCACTGTCTTCTCCAAGATGAAGGTGTTTGATACTGTTTTCCCAACTGTGGCTATATATCCTATTTAAAAGTATGACTTATCTACAGTGCAAATGAGAGCAACTTTTACGTACTGGATGAAATATTCTGTGCTGGGGTTTTGCAAATAATCCATGAGTTCCCTGATAGCTTCTAGCTTTAACTCTTATACAGCATTGTCTTGGGAAGATGAAAGGTCAAAGGGTTGGAAGAATAGAGAACCTGAAAATCATTGAGATATTGAGCCCTGTGTTTCACAAAATAGTGCTAAGAAGCTTTATACTATGTTGCCTTAAAGAGAAGAAGCCAATCTATCTCTGAATTTCTTCCTGGAGACAGCTTCGTAAGTTGGTACTTTTTGAAGGACGAAGCATTGAACTAATTGTTTTTTCCCTCAACAGATGGTGAATGTGTACCACGTACATCAGCATTCCTGCTTCCTGTACCTTGGCAGTATCCTTGTGGATGAATATGGCATGGAAGAAGGCTGTCGGCAGGGACTGCTAGACATGCTCCAGGTATCTTTTCCATGAGGAGTGTAGACGCATCAGGCCTAGAGGGTCTGAAGGCCTAGCAGCGTATTCTTTACCATGTCTTTAATTCTGTTGCTTCTTTATGTTTTCCCCCAGGCATGTTGATTTCCTAATAACAGGGAGGTGGAAGCTTCCCAGTTGTTCTCTGAACAGGCCTGTTTGAGAGAATGAGAGACTGACCACATGAGTGTAATGATTATTACATGTTACTGCCTGGTTTATGCTCTTCCAGAGATAGGGTGTTTGGAGGGGGGAGGAGGTGAGAAAAATGAATCTCTAAGCTCAAGCATTATTGTATTTTTAACTTCTTGCCTGGAACAGCCAACTGACTAGTTTACTTAGCAGCAGGGAGGGTTTTAGAATTAATAATAGCATTGGAAACAGCTCCTCAGATACTGCTTTTCCCTCCCTTCCAGCCACAGAGGGGAATATTGAGTTGAAGAATGTTGTTTCTTTTCCCAAGATGTCTTTTCATTTAAAATTGATATTTCATAATTATTATAAAAACTTCCACTCCCTTAGTGGACTATACCTAAATAGAATCTTTGCTTTCAGAAATTTCTAAAACTTTGAGATGACATCTGTTGAGTTTTATCAGCTAAAATCTGTTTTCTCAACCCTTTCTTAAATGTGGACTTCATAGGTGAAAACTGTTTATGTCAACTGGGAAGGATTTATGTGTTTCTTTTCCTGATCAGATTCTCATTACAATCTTTTTCTTTTCCCAGCTGTGCTTTTCTTCTTTGTTCCTTTTGTACTTATTGTAATAAATATTTGGCAAGTCTGAATGCTGTGGCATTTCTGAAAAAGCATTTCTTTTAAAATCACTGTTTTGTTTTAGGCACTGTGCATCCCCACCTTTCAGCTCCTAGAACAGCAGAATGGTCTCCAGAATCACCCTGACACTGTAGATGACCTGTTCCGGCTAGCCACCAGGTAAATCCTTCTGAAGAGCCCATTTCTTAATTGCTCATCCTATCACTGCTTAGTCTTGCCATCTGACCCTTGGTTGTTTTATTCTTGTAAAATGAAGTCACTGGAGTAAGTAGATTAATGATTCATAACCCAAAGGTAAATTGCAAGCTGATATATCCCCAGCAGTGACGCAGAGTATTGCGGGAAGCAAGGGATAAAGGAGCTGAGTTCCTGCCAGGAAGGAGGGCTCACACACAAGACAATGCAGTGTGCCTGGCAAAACACTTGACTAGATCATCTCTACAGTCCTCTGTAGGTTTTAACTGTTCGTGCTGTTGCGATTTCATGTTTCACCTCAACCTTCTCTTTGAGAAGCTTAGCATCCTTTAGATATAATCAGTTTCGGAATAAAGAATGTTTGGGATTTTAAGATGCCTTAGCAGTTATCTCATACTGTATTTCTCAGCTCTACTCACAGCCTACTTTATCAGTAGCACTGATAATATGATTGCCAAACTTCTGCTTGAATTCCTTAGTCCCTAACTAAGGAATTTGAACCAAAACTGTTACCATATCAGCATTAAAAAAAAAAAAAAAAGAAAAATCATTATTTTCGAAACAACAAAAGCCCAACTGTTATATCATTTACAAATGCAAAGTAATGTTGACTTGATTGTTTCATCTTAGGATTGATTTTTTTTCTTTTTTCTTTTTTGAGATGGACTCTCACTCTGTTGCCCAGGCTGGAGTGCAATGGCATGATCTCGGCTCACTGCAACCTCTGCCTCCTGGGTTCAAGTGATTCTCCTACCTCAGCCTCCCGAGTAGTTGGGATTACAGGTGCCCACCACCATGCCCAGCTAATTTTTGTATTTTTAGTAGAGACGGGGTTTTGCCATGTTGATCAGGCTGGTCTCAAACTCCTGGCCTCAGGTGATCCGCCCACCTTGGCCTCCCAAAGTCCTGGGATTACAGGCGTGAGCCACCGTACCTGGCAGGATTGAATATTGAACCCTTTTTTTTTGTTAGTTTTTGGATAGGTTAGAAAAACCCTTTTTTTTTCCTTTTCTTTTTTTTTTTTTTTCAGTTGATAGAATTGTTGGATGGGCTGTCACCCTCTGTTTTCTTTTTTTTTTTTTTTTTTTTTTTTTTTGAGACGGAGTCTCGCTCTGTCGCCCAGGCTGGAGTGCAGTGGCGTGATCTTGGCTCACTGCAAGCTCTGCCTCCTGGGTTCACGCCATTCTCCTGCCTCAGCCTCCCGAGTAGCTGGGACTACAGGCACCCGCCACCACACCCAGCTAATTTTTTGTATTTTTAGTAGAGACGGGGTTTCACTGTGTTAGCCAGGATGGTCTCGATCTCCTGACCTCGTGATCCACCCTCCTCGGCCTCCCAAAGTGCTGGGATTACAGGCCTGAGCCACCACGCCCGGCACACCCTCTGTTTTCTTAGGGTATGTATTCCTTGGAAAACTAGTCCCTAAAAATGTTCTTTATACAAATGATGAAACAAGTTTGGAGTATACTGTACCTTTTTCTGAAGAGATTCTCCCTGTATATTAAAGGAACTTAGAAACCTGATAGTAGTTTAAAGGAAAAAATAAACAAGCAAAACTACTTTCAAAATCCAGCAGCATTTCCCAAGCTTACCTGAACACACAACCTTTTCTTTGAGGGATTCCTGTTGACATCCTGGGAACTGGAATTCTGTGAACTTTAGTTTGGGAAATGCTGTTCTAGCATCTTTAGGACTTTTTAACCTAGGAGAGTTTCTACTTGTAGGTCCTTTTGACTGGTCTTTCTTGATTTATAAAATCTTAGTTGGAAATAGGATGTGGTGACACGTCTTTTAATATACTAATCTTAAGATATGGTCCTTTTTTTTTAAAGAGCAACTTTAGGTTCACTGCAAATTTGAGTGAAAAGTTGCTCCCATATACCCCTCCCTCCTAACACACACAGCCTTCCCCTCTATTAGCATCCCCCACCAGAGTAATACAAACAGTGACCCTATATGAACACATCATTATCACCCAAAGTCCATAGTTTACATTAGGCTTCACTCTTGGTGTACATTCTGTGGGTTTTGACAAATGTGTAATGACATGTATCCACTGTTATAGTATCATACAGAATACTTTCACTGCCAAAAAAAATCCTCTATGTTCTGTCTATTCATCCCTTCTTCCCTGAAACCCCCCACCAACCACTGATCTTTTTTACTGTCTTCATAGTTTTGCCCTTTTACCCTGGCTGCTTTTATAGCCTAATCTTGTCATTTATACCTAGTCTCACTTTCCACACCAGGTTTATTCAGCGTAGCCCTGTCACCTTGCTGCGGAGCCAAGTGGTCATCCCTATCTTACAGTGGGCCATTGCCTCTACTACCCTGGACCACCGGGATGCCAATTGTAGTGTCATGAGGTTTCTACGAGACCTCATTCATACAGGGGTAGCCAATGATGTAAGTATAAAAATGATACCATTTCTACTTAACAGCTTTTATCTCCTATCTCTTTGTCATTCCTTAGGAGAAAACCAGCATCCCAGTATTTCCTTACTTGATCTATATTGGTAGACATATATCATAGTGGATCATTCACTAGCCAAAATATCAACTAAGACACTTGTGCTGGGTGCTTTAGGCTATATAAAGCAGTCTAAAACTGTTCATGCTCCCAAATCATTTGGTGTCTAGTTGAAGAGAGAAACAAGTTTAAAGAGTTAAGTAACAACAAGATGCCAGTGTTTGGTGTTTTTCATTTGTTTTTGAAACAGGGTCTTGCTCTGTCGCCTAGGCTGGAGTACAGTGATGTGAATCTCAAGGGATCCTCAGCTACTGAGTAGCCAGGACTACAGACATTCAACACCATGCCTGGCTAGTTTTTATATTTTTTGTAGAGATGGCATTTCACCATGTTGCCCAGGTTGGTCTTGAACTCCTGGCCTCAAGTGATCCTCCCACCTTGGCCTCCAGTATTTGATTGTCAGATGAGTGATAAAAGTCATGATTGGTATGAGATCAGACGAGGGAAAGCTCTAGACCAAAAAGAGTTGGAATAACTTTATGGAAGGGGAGGGATTTAAATGAAGCCATGAATTAGAGGTAGAATTTTGATGGATTAGAGAGGCAGATAGTCATACTGCCTCTAAGCCAAGATCAGAGCAAGTCAGAATAGTACTAAGTTTGTTAGTAGACAACTAAGCAGTGGGAGTAGTAAAGTGCTTCACAGGAATTTCGAAGGTAGGTTTGATTAGATGTGGAGTAGAATTGTAGACAGGGGAGAGCAGTGAAGAAGTAAGTATTCTGCATTCTATTTAGGCTATTCATTTAAGAAGTTTGGCAGTAAAAGAGAGAAGAAAATAACTAGAAGGGAAAGGCAATTTAAAAAATATTTTTCTCAAGGTATTAGAAATACATGTGTATTTAAAGACCACAAGAAGGGCCAGGCGCAGTGGCTCACGCCTGTAATCCCAGCACTTTGGGAGGCCAAGGCGTGCAGATCACTTGAGGTCAGGAGTTCAAGACCAGCCTGGCCAACATGGTGAAACCCTGTCTCTACTAAAAATACAAAAATTAGCCAAGTGTGGTAGTGTATGCCTGTAATCCCAGTTTCTAGGGAGGCTGAGGCAGGAGAATTGCTTGAACCCAGGGGATGGAGGTTTCAGTTAGCTAAGATCAGGCCACTGCACTCCAGCCTGGGTGACAGAGCAAGACGCTGTCTCAGAAAAAAAAAAATTAAAGACCGCAAGAAGAAAAAAAGGGTTTTTTTTTTTTCGATAGAAAAAATTAGATCTCTGATAGACGTCTTCAATTCTAATTTCAGTTGGTTTTGTTTTGTTTTGTTTTGTTGTGACTTGGGGTTCCGGCTGTGTTACCCAGACAGACTGTAGTGGCCATTCACAGGCGAGATCCCACTACAGATCAGAATGGAATTTTGACCCACTCTGTTTCTGACTTGGGCTGTTCACCCCTCCCTCCTTAGGCAACCCAGGAGTGGTTCCTCACTCCTGGGAGGTCACCACATTGATGCTGAACTTAGTACAGGCACCCAATTGGTATAGCATGCTCTAGCCCAGAACACTGGGTTCAAGCTGTTCCCCTACCTGCGCCTTTGGAGTGGCTGGGACTATGGTGTGTGCTGCCATGCCAGGCTGACTTAGTTTTTAAAAAAGGAAATAGGAACACAAGTTATTTTTCACATTAAAAAAAAATTAATACCATCACATAGAAGATGAAGAGAAAAAAATTTTAAAAATTGCTAACTTTAATTCTTAACCATGTTTTCTGCCTTCAAATCATGAAAAATCTAAGCATTAATCTCTGTTGAAACCCATGTTCATTCCTTGGATACTAATAAACTCCTTCATTTTCTTTCTAAAGACAAAAAACTTCTGGACTTTGTGAATCCAGCTGTCATTTTACACACACCTGCATACACACACACACAGCCACGCGTGCACACACACACACACTTTCCTATTAAAGAGAAATTACTAAAGGGGAAAGAGTGCTTGGTCTTTGGGAAGTTGAGACTAGAATTTATCTGATGTTCCTGCTTTCCTACATACAGCATGAAGAAGACTTTGAATTACGGAAAGAACTGATTGGACAGGTGATGAACCAGCTTGGACAGCAGCTTGTCAGCCAGCTGCTGCACACCTGCTGCTTTTGCCTCCCCCCCTATACCCTACCAGATGTGGCTGAAGTGCTCTGGGAGATCATGCAGGTTGACAGACCGGTAAGATTGTTTTCATGAGGAATTTATCTCATAGTCCCTAAATGTAATAGGCTTTGGTTCCTTAAGGCCAACCCTAATTTTGAAACTAGCCCTGTTTTCTGTCCATGGAACCAAATTTAGGCATATTGCCAAATTAGATTGGTAGATGAAGAGGCCCGTAAAGATCAGTAATTTATTATTGAGTTCTTTAAAGCATGTTTCTATGTCACTGTCATAGGGGGTATATTACCAGAAGTAAGTATCAAGCATTGAATTCAGTTGTGTGGCTGTCCAATGTGAAATTTGTTCACTTGTGAGAGATGCCCAAATGTCAGTTATATTAGTTACGTATTACTCAAGAAGTATTTAATCCTTTCAGACTTATTCTATAGCACTGTATTATTTCTTGGTGATACATCTAGCCAGAACATTTGGAAGCACATAATTGTCAAAGTAACCCACAATGTACAGTTGGATATATTTCCCCTTTGGATTTCTTTGAACCAGATCCTTTATCACCCACCTAAGGATGGAGTTGTTTTTTTAAAGCTATCTAATAATGCCCAAGTAATTTCAGTACTGGGCCACATGACCATAACTCAGGTTATGTGTACTGTGTGAAAGTTGAGTAGAATGGTAAAGTATAATATAACCTGAAATCATTTTTAAAATGGAATTTATAATTTTTAATATTACTGTAAAAGCAGTTCAGGAAAGTACTCATTGGGACCTAGTTAAAGTGAGCTGTCTTACAGAACCACAGAATATAAAATTGATAATAATAATATATAACAGATAGTACCTATTCCTCTCTGGTTCAATACACATGTTCCATTTCAACCTGATAGAGTAGCATATTTGTTTTTCTAAAGAAAAGTACTTTTTGAGCCTCCAGGAATCAGCAAATTTAATTCAAAAGTCCTTGACCTGAGGGAAAAAGTCTTCATACTCTGCTTAAACTTTTTTACAAATACATTTGGTTCCCAAGTAACAGAAAACTTATGTAAATCTAACTTTATGAAAACATTCTTGATTGTAAGCATATTGTTAAGTGCGAACAACAACAACAAAAAATGAGAACAAGAAGTTTGGACAGGAATAGAAACCAGGTAGCCATGTACTCTAAGGAGTGTACTGTATATCAGCCAGACACAATGGCTCATGCCTGTCTTCCCAATACTTTGGGAGACCAAGGCAGGAGGATCACTTGACGCCAGGAGCTTGAGACTACCAGCCTGGGCAACATAGACCCCATCCCTACAAAAAAAAAAAAAATTTTTTTTCTTTTTAATTAGCTGGGTGTGGTGGCATACATCTATAGTCCCAGCTACTCAGGAGGGTGAGGTAGGAGGATTGCTTAAGCCCAGGAGTTCCAGCCTGCAGTGAGCTATGATCATGCCACTGCACTCCAGTCTGAGCTGCATAGCAAGACCCTGTCTCAAAAAAGAAAAAGTTTGCTATATAACAACTATTATGTATTTTTAAGAATTAAGGAGCTGTTATGTATCCATAATTAAGAAATGCTTAGTACTTCATGAGCATTTATAATACTTTTGCTCTGGCCTATTATGGCCATAAATGAATATGATGGGAAAATATATAATGTAAAAAAAATTAGGTATAAAAGAGTAATTTTACAGCCCAAAACTATGACTGAAGTATACATTCCACTTAAGAAAGGGATGAAGAAATATTAGTGCTGACCCAAAGGACAACAATTAAACTGAAAATAAGAACCCAGAGGAAGTCTGTAGAATTTTTATTTTAGAAAGGAAGGAAGTAAAGGGAGTAGACAATTTTTGTGCATAGAAAAGGCATAAAGAGAATTCTTAGATATACTTATATAAAAAATATATAAGTAAATTAAACAGCAACAAGAGCAAGGTTTTTTAACACAAAGAACAGGCAGATATCACAAAGGAACTGAATGGATAGGACTTATTCTGAGAGAGATGGCCTTAAAATCCTTAAGATTCTGGACTCATATGTCTCATATGTATACTTTCTGACATGGTGGCTTAGTATACTTTTTGCCCCTGCTCTTTCAGGTATCTGAACCTTTACTCTGGATCACTTTTGATCTTTAAGCTCAAGAGTTTTTGGAAATCTGTTTAATTTTAAAAATATACTGGTCAAGTGCTTACACCTGTAGTTCCAGCACTTTGGGAGGATCTCTTGAGCCCAGGAGTTTGAGACCAGTCTGGGCAACATAGAAAGACTCCTCATCTCTTAAAAAAAAAAATTGTTTTTAATTAGCCAGGCATGTTGATGGACTTCTGTAGTCTGAGCTACCTGGGAAGCTGAGGTGGGAGGATCACTTGAGGCTGGAAGGTCAAAGCTGCAGTGCACTGCACGCCAGCCTGGGCAACAGAGTGAGACCCTATCTCAAAAAAGAGAGAGCGAGTGTGTGTGTGTGTGTGTGTGTGTGTTCATGTTCGCATGTGTGCATATGTATATATGTCATATACGTTATGACAGGAACAAAACAATAGCCTCATCCCGAAGAAACTTCACTTCTAAGGTGTAGAAAGTCGTTTTCTGAAATGATGCCCGCTGCCCCTTTGAAGGGAAGTCTAGGCATGCATATGCAGACTGCATCAACCCAGAGGGTTTGAAGGGCTAATGAGAGCACTTTTGTTGATTCCTTTACTTGCTCCCAAGTGTAGGGAAGTAAATGCTACTAAGGAAAATTTGTGGGGTTTTGTTAGTATCTGTAGGGTCTCAGGTGAGTAAGCTATGCTTCCTTTTAAAACTCTTACCCCTCTTTCCTATACAGACTTTTTGTCGATGGTTAGAAAATTCCTTAAAAGGTTTGCCAAAGGAAACAACCGTGGGAGCCGTCACAGTGACACACAAACAACTTACAGACTTCCACAAGCAAGTCACTAGGTGAGTGATACTGGGGGTTCTTAAGGAGGTGTGGGATGTGGGAAGAAACATATCTTTATTTCTTATGTGCCCTTGGGAAATGGACAATTTATAGTTTGTTTAACCTTGAATTGCACAAATTGGCATTGGAAGCCAATCTGGTGGGAAAACATTCACCATGCTGTGTATGTATGTACATATATTTAACATATGTGATAACTGGTATAAGATTTTTTAACGGTAAGTGGAGGCACTGTTTCTCCCAAAGGAAAATGCACTGAGCAGCTCACTCCCCGTCAGGAGATCTGTCTATATTTTTCTAAGTCCTTCTGAGTTTTCATCCACATTCGGGGGTCAGGAATGTAGGTACCTGAGTAAGGCAAAGCATTGGTTATAAAACATCAGAAAGTGATGTAGATGACAGTGAATTGGAGAATGTTCACCATGCCTAAAGATAGTCAAATTCTAATTTCAAAGAAGTTGTGTAGTCCAAACAGAACATCTGCCTGGGATACATTAGGCCCATGAGGAACTTACAATCTCTGGATTACAGCCTAAAATGTAAAGTGTGTGTGTTTTTTTTACTGTGAACATATAAATATTTTTAATACAGTTACATAGTCTTCCTAATTATTGTTTTATAGCCATAAAGGTGTTACTTGATTTCCTTATAATGCCTCTATTAGTAGACATTTAGATCATTTTTCAGTTTTTTAGTATTACAGATAATGTCAAAAATAGAGCCTTTTCCTTCTACTGAATATTTTCCTTTAAAATGTAATCACCGAATCAAAGGTTATGAGACTTATGGTCTTAATGGTAATGACAGCAACTTAAGTTGGATTTTATAGCTAAGTGTTCCTTTGCCCTGATAGTCTTTTTGTATCTAGAGTCTTTAGAGTTTTGTCTAAATTTTAGACAATGACTTATAATCATACAGTGTGGAAAGATATATGGGTCAAAGAAGGAATGTTATAGCAAGGTTAGTAGTAGTGAAAAAACTGGAAATATTCTAATTGCCCATCAATAGAGAAAAGTTAAATAATTAACAGAAGCTTATACTAGTAAATAGTCCCAAAGATGAACAAGGAAGAAGAAATATGTGATAATACGGAAAAATATACAAGATAAATTGTAAAGGTTAAAATAACAGTATTACATAACCTAACTTGAGCTTTTAAAATAATTTGAAAATTTTTTAACTGTTATAAAAATACACATAACATGAAATTTACAGTATTAACCATTTTTATAAATGCATAGTTCAGTAGGGTTAAGTATATATTCATGTTGTTGCACAACCAATCTCAAGAACTTTTTCATCTTGTAAAACTAAAACTATACCCATTAAGCAACAATTCTCCATTCTCCCCTCTCCCCATCTCCTGGCAATTAACTTCGTACTTAATGTTTGAGTCTGACTACTCTAGATACCTCATATAAGTGAGATCATACAGATTTGTCTTTTTGTGATTAGCTTACCTCACTTAGTATAATGTCCTTAGGATTCATCTATGTTGTAGCGTGTGCCAGAATTTTCTTCCATTTAAAGGCTAAATAATAGTCCATTGTATGCATATACCACATTTTATTTATCCTTTCATCTGTTGATGGCCATTTGGGCTGCTGTTGTGAGTAAGGCTGCTATAAACACAGGTGTACAAATATCTCTTTCAGCCCCTGCTTTCAATTCTTTTGGATACCCAGAGGTAGAATTGCTGGATCATATGGTGATTCTATTTAATCTTCTTTAATTTTTTTAAGAACCATCATACTGTTTTCCATAGCAGCTGCACCATTTTACATTCCCACTAGCAGTGCACAAAGTTCCAATTTCTCCACATCCTCACCAACACTTGTTATTTTCTGGGTTTTTGAGAGTAGCCATCTTAGCATTTCACACCAAGTGTGAAGTGATATCTCATTGCCGTTTTCATTTGCATTTCCCTAATGATTAGTGATGTTGAGCATCTTTTCATATGCTTATTGGCCATTTGTTTTGTCTTCTTGGAGAAATGTCTATTCAAGTGCTTTGCCTATTTAAAAATTGGGTTTCTTTTGTTGTATAGTTGCAGGAGTTCCTTTTATATTTGGGATATTAATTCCTTATCAGGTACATGATTTGCAAACATTTTCCTCCATTCTTTAGGTTGCCTTTTCATTCTGTTGATTGTGTCCCTTGATGCACAGAAGTTTTTAATTTTGTTGTCGCCTAGTTTATCTGTTTTGCTTTTGTTGTCTGTTTGGTGTCATATCTAGGAAATCATTGCCAGATTTCATGTCATGAAGTTTTCCGCCTAGGTTTTCTTGTAAGAGTTTTACAGTTTTAGGTCTTATATCAGGTCTTTGATCCTTTTTGAGTTAATTTTTGTATGTGGTATTAGGTAAGGGTCCAGCCTCTTTCTTTTGCTTGTGGATATCCAGTTTTCCCAGCACCATTTGTTGAAAAGACTGTCCTTTCTGCACTGAATGGTCTTGACATCCTTGTTGAAAATCATTTGACCATATACAGGAGAATTTATTAATGGGCTCCCTGTTCTATTCCATTGGTCTATGATGTATTTCTTTATGTCAATACCATGCTGTTTTGATTACTGTGGCTTTGTAATAAATTTTAGAATCAGGAATATGAGGCCTGCAATGTTCACTTTAAAGATTGTTTTGGTGGCCAGGCGCGGTGGCTCACGCCTGTAATCCCAGCACTTTGGGAGGCCGAGGCAGGCAGATCACGAGGTCAGGAGATTGAGACCATCCTGGCTAAAACAGTGAAACCCCATCTCTACTAAAGACACAAAAAATTAGCCGGGCGTGGTGGTGGGCACCTGTAGTCCCAGCTACTCTGGAGGCTGAGGCAGGAGAATGGCGTGAACCCGGGAGGTGGAGCTTGCAGTGAGCCGAGATTGCACCACTGCACTCCAGCCTGGGCGACAGAGCGAGGCTCCGTCTCAAAAAAAAAAAAAAAAAAAAGATTGTTTTGGCCACTTGGGGACCCTTGAAATTCCATATGAATTTTAGGGTAGATTTTTCTGTACAAGAGGTTGTTGGGATTTTGATGGGGATTGTATTGAATCTATAGATTGCTTTGAGTAGTATTGAAATCTTAACAATATTAAATCTCCAAATCGACAAATACAGTATATTGTTCCATTTATTGGTGTCTTTAATTTCTTTCAGCTACATTTTGTAGTTTTCAGTGTATAAGTTTTTCACCTCCTTGGTTAAATTTTTTCATAAGTTTTTTTTATGCTATTGTAAACGAACCAACTTGTACTTTAAAGAGCTGTTTTATTATAAATTATACACATACACAGAGGCTACTTTCTGCACAGTAAGTTTTCAGAAAGATATATAAGTGAGACTAGGAGGGGAAGGGAGGCTTTTCTTTTCGTTTCATAACTTTCTGCACTATGTGCACTTTTTTATGAGCATAAATTACACTTTTATGGGTAAAATCAGATATAGAAGGGAAAGAAAATGAACTTTAAGCAGTGGTACAAGAGCTAGTTGTCTTTTCTCAGAATTGATTTCTTAATGTCACTTTCCAAAATAGTTTACTTTCTCATCTTCTGGAATGTCTCCAGCAATTTTGTTAATGTTAAAATCCCAAACCATGGAATGCTATTATTTTATAGTTCACTAAGTGGCTTAAGTAGTAAGCCCAGTATGCCCCAGAAATAACTCACTTTTAGCCATAGATCAAGTGACATGCATGACTGAAAAATAGCATGTGACCCTTCATGACACATTTTGCCAGAAGTGGGGATTTCCCCTCCACTGGGTAGGCATATATTGACTGGGGTGACCTTAAAAATTCTTTGATTGCTTTTACTATGAATCTTCTCAGTAGAAGTAGTATTCTGTCTACAAGCTGTTTCAGGGGAAAGAAGTGTAGTAGTTGCTTCTCTCTGCTTCTGTTTTGCATTATTCCATTCAGTGCTGGTTACAGTATAAGGGCAGGATCGTATTGGCTCTAATTTTCCTAAAGCAAATGGGAACCTAGGGGAAACCCTCCAAAGATGGGGTTTGGAGTCAAGTATGTTGGTTTGAATCTTGCCACATACCCTATTACTTTGAACTTCAGTTTATTTATCAAGTGAAATAGGGTTAGTACTACCAGTCTCATAAGGTTATTATGAGATACCAAATGGAAATCTAAAGAAGATCTTGCACATAGTATGTGATCAGTGAATGTTAACTCCTTTCTCCTTGGAGGAGAAACTTCTAGAATGTCATTATGTACTTGCAAAACTAGCTGGGGCATGTCTCCTGTTGACTCTAAGGCAGCCACCCACACATTCTGGAATCCCACACATTGTAGAATAAGTCTTTGTCAAGCCCTCTTTCCCTCAGTGGGACTAATATATGACAGATAAAATAATATGGTAAGTCTGAAATCAAGGTCATAGATATCCTTTCCTAATTTAGGATAAATCTTGGGGCAAGGAAAAGAGACCTAAGTAAAGCAGTGCTGTGGGGGAAAAAAAAAACCTGTTATCTTTGTCCTGTGATATGGGAAAATAAGGTGCACCACCAACCTGACCTACTTGATCTTCCATTGCTAAACAAGTTTTGCAGCTCTTCCTATAGCAGGCTGTAACATATGTAACATAGTGGTGGGAAATGAACAGAAGTAAGAGCTAATGTAGAGGTGCTAGAGAAAGGACTTGAGATTGCTCATCCCCTCTTAGTAATTCTCTTCCTCTAGAATGCCTGTAGTAGACAAGACAGAAAGCCCTTGAACTTTCTGTCCCATGCATGACTCAGTCTCCCTTTTGATTTTAAGGTCCGTAACACCTGCCTCAACATGCTACTTTGTTTGCCATTCTGGCAGAGAGGGTGAACTGGTTTAGTTTCATTTCAGCAAGTCCAAGCCTGCTTTTCACATGGTACTGGTAATTAATTCCCTAGCTTTTTTTTTTTTTTTTTTTTGAGACGGAGTCTCGCTCTGTCGCCCAGGCCGGACTGCGGACTGCAGTGGCGCAATCTCGGCTCACTGCAAGCTCCACTTCCCGGGTTCACGCCATTCTCCTGCCTCAGCCTCCCGAGTAGCTGGGACTACAGGCACCCGCCACCGCGCCCGGCTAATTTTTTGTATTTTTAGTAGAGACGGGGTTTCACCTTGTTAGCCAGGATGGTCTCGATCTCCTGACCTCATGATCCATCCGCCTCGGCCTCCCAAAGTGCTGGGATTACAGGTGTGAGCCACCGCGCCTGGCCAATTCCCTAGCTTTTTTAGTTGGTCAACTTGAAGAAAGCTGGGACGTTTCAGTCTAAAATAACATTCTTGCTTTCCAAATGCCAGATGAACCTATCATTAACTAAGACCAATTGGGACTAGAAGAAACCCTGCCATCATTTCCATTTCTCCATCTTGGTGTTTATTCTATGACTACTTGTCACTTGCCTGGGGCTCTTCAAAGCCAAAAGGTGTTGAACATGGGAAGCATTGATACTGGAATTAGAGGCCAGTAAGGGGTTGAATCCCTAGTCAAGTCATCAGAGTTTCATTATTTTCTGTTACCTACCAGGTCATCGGATCAAAAGGATCTCATTTCTCAGCACTCCTCTAGTAATCTTATGGGGCTCGAGAAATAGTGACCATAAAAGCTTTCAGAAATATGGTGGAAGGATAGGAATTTGGGGACTAGAAGCCAGAAAACAGAATCTAAAAAATACTGGCAGTTAAAAAAGTAAATAAATAGAAAGCTAAGAAATATCAAACGTCAGAAGGACCGAGACAGAAAATACAGTCATGTGTTACTTAATGATGGGGATATGTTCCAAGAAATGTGTCATTAGGTGGTTTAGTTGTTGTGCAAACGTCATGGAGTATACTTCTACAAACCTAGATGGTATAGCCTACCGGACACCTGGTCTATATAGTGTAGCCTATTGCTCCTAGGCTACAAACCTGTATAGCAGGTTACTGTACTGAATACTGTAGGCAATTGTAACACAATGGTAAGAATTTGTATATCCAAACATATCTAAACATAGAAAAGGTACAGTAAAAATACAGTATAAAAGAGAAAAAAAAAGGTATACCTGTATGAGGGCACTTACCATGAATGGAACTTGCAGAACTGGAAGTTGTTCTAGGTGAGTCAGTGAGTGAGTGGTGAGTGAATAGGCGGCCTAGGACATTACCGTATACTACTGTAGACTTTTTATAGATACTGTATACTTAGGCTACACTAAATTTATAAAAAAATTTTTTTCATCAATAATAAATTAACCCTTGGCCAGGCGCGGTGGCTCATGCCTGTAATCCCAGCACTTTGGGAGGCCGAGGCAGGCAGATCACTTGAGGTCAGGAGTTTGAGACCAGCCTGGCCAACATGGTGAAACCCCATCTCTACTAAAAATTTAAAAAATTAGCCAGGCGTGGTGGTGGGCACTTGTAATCCCAGCTACTCAGGAGGCTGAGGCTGGAGAATCGCTTGAACCTGGGAGACAGAGGTTGCAGTGGGCCGAGATTGTGCCACCGCACTCCAGCCTGGGCGACAGAGTGAGACTCTGTCTCAAAATAATAATAATAATAATAATAATAAATTAACTCTTGCTTACTGTAACTTTTTTACTTTATAAACTAAATTTTTTTTAACTCTTGGACTCCTTTGTAATAACACCTAGCTTAAAACACAAATTGTACAGCTCATTAAAAAATTTTTTCTTTATATCTTTATAAGCTTTTTTCTATTCTTAAAATTACTTTATTTTTTTTTTTTAGCTTTTAAACTTTTTTGTTAAAAGCTAAGACACAAACACATATTAGCCTAGACCTACACAGGGTCAAGATCATCAATATCACTGTCTTCCACCTTTTTACATCTTGTCCCACTTAGAAGGTCTTCAAGGGCAGTAACACACATGGAGTTGCCATCTCCTAGGATAACAATGTCTTCTTCTGGAATCCCTCCCGAAGGACCTGCCTGAGGCTGTTTTACAGTAAATTTTTTTTTTTTGTAAGTAGAAGGAATATACTCTAAATTAATGATAAAAAGTGTAGTATAGTAAATACATAACCCAGTAATATAGTTGCTTATGATCAATTATTGTATACTGTAGATAATTGTTTGTGTTGTCCTTTTATATGACTGGCAGTGCAGTAGGTTTGTTTATACCAGCATCACCACAAGCATGTGAGTAACGCAACATGCAGTTGTTCATCTCTATTATACTCATAGGATCACTGTCATACATGCAGTCCATCATTGACCAAAACATCATTGTAGCACATAACTATAGTTCTAACATTCATGGAGCTTTTTCGTTTTTTTGAGACGGAGTCTTGCTCTGTCGCCCAGGCTGAAGTGCGGTGGTGTGATCTCAGCTCACTGCAACCTCCACCCCCTGGGTTCAAGCGATCCTCCAGCCTCAGCCTCCCGAGTAGCTGGGATCACAGGTGCCCACCACCACACACGGCTAATTTTTGTCTTTTTAGTGGAGATGGATTTCACCATGTTGGCCAGGCTGGTCTCAAACTCCTGACCTCAGGTGATCTACCCGCCTTGGCCTCCCAAAGTGCTGCGATTACAGGTGTGAGCCACCGCGCCCGGCCTCAAGGAGCTTTTTGATCCATTTCTATGGGCTCCCCACCAAGGACACTTCAGTTAAACATTTGGCTGAAGTGTTTGACACCAAAGCACTTGCAGATAGGATTGGGGCAGAAGCCAAGTTGACAGTGTCACCTGTCCCTCATTTCACCCTATCGCACTAAAGTTCTCCCACACTTGCATTTCAGTTTCAATACTTTTTCTCATGTGCCACAAAGGAGGCTGTGAAGTTATCATTTCCAAAGTCTCTGCTGGGCACAGTGACTCACGCCTGTAATCACAGCACTTTGGAGGCTGAGGCAGGACGATAGCTTGAGCCCAGAGGTTCGAGCAGCCTGGGCAACACAATGAGACCCTGTTTCTATCTGTTCTGAAAACAAAACAAAACAGAAGTCTCTTGAGGAAGGGTAAAATTTAAAACATGTAAGACATTAGGATAGCAAAAAAATCTCGGTCTCCAGCACTGTCCTAACTTTCAGGGTTTTCTGTTATCCTAGTCCCTTGTGATAACACACCACATAGCAACTTCTCTTGGGTTACAGATCTTCCTCCTTCCTGACATTGGGAGCATGAGTGATATGGGCTCACATACCCTGGCTGCCTCCTTAACAGTCAGTATTAATTTGGAAGTAAAATGAGAAATGTAACACTTAAATTGAAGCTTATTAAATCCACAGAGGTAATGGCAATTCCAATAAAGCCAAAAGACCTTTCTCATTTTCTTTCTTTTTTCTTTTTTTTGAGACAGGGTCTCACTCTGTTGCCCAGCCTGGAGTGCAGTGGCACAATCATGGCTCACTGCAACCTCAACCTCCCCAGCTCAGGTTATCCTCCTGCCTTAGCCTCGTGAGTAGCTGGGACCACAGGTGTGCACCACCACACCCAGCTAAGTTTTAAATTATTTGTAGAGACGGGGTCTCCCTGTGTTGGGATTACAAGCATGAGCCACTGTGCCTGGCCACCTGCCTTATTTTCATTACATTTTTAGGATGGAGAGACTAGAAGAAAGTTTCTAGAATGTTCTGTTGAATCAAGTCATGGAGTCTAAGTCAAGGTTCTTAATGATGTTTCAGAACTTACAATGGATGGGGAAATCTGGATGTAGGAACCTAAATGGATAGCTCTATTTTCACCTTTTCTGTTGGATCGCTTAGAGCAGTTTCCTCCCCTGGTGTTTAACCATTATGAGATGGAAAGTGTGTTTTCATCTGCATTGAATCCTTGGCTGTAGGCACTGGTATCTGAGTTAGTTGAGCCAGGGAGAGGGCTACAGGAAGGCAAGCATATTAAGAATTGCTTCCTGGCTGGGCGCGGTGGCTCATGCCTGTAATCCCAGCACTTTGTGAGGCCGAGGCGGGCGGATCACAAGGTCAGGAGTTCGAGACCAGCCTGGCCAACATGGTGAAACCACATCTCTACTAAAAATACAAAAAAATAGTCGGGCGTGGTGGTGGGCACCTGTGATCCCAGCTACTGGGGAGGCTGAGGCAGGAGAATCGCTTGAACCTGGGAGGCGGAAGTTGCAGTGAGCTGAGATCGTGCCATTGCACTCCAGCCTGGATGACATGAGCAAGACTCCATATCAAAAAAAAAAAAAAAAAAAAAAAGGAAGTGCTTCCTTCTCCACTGCTTTAGCTTTTAGCTTAGCCTTATGTTCATTTAGCAAAAACTGTTATGAAGACAGATACAGTAGAATGAAGCTGGCATCAGCTGGTTTCTTGGTGACAGTTTTGGACAAAGGGAGGTCGGGGGGCTTTTGAAAAAACAGGGTCAGTTGAATATTGGGCTATTCATATCACATAGGCATCTCCTGCTTTGTCTCTCTTTCTACATGCTTTAACCCTTTCCTCTCTCCCTCCTCCTCCCACAGGAGGAAATCCTGAGCAGCCTGTTCAACTAGAAAATCAATGACTGGTGGAGACTTAGTTGCTAGACCGGCCTTTGTAAACAAAATCTATCTTTGGAAGAGAATGAGGAAACTTATGAGAGCCGTAGCAACCAAGTGTTGTTGTAGCAGCCTACATTTATTGAATACTATTTTGTTCACTGCTCTATTTTCATAAGCACTCTGTATGTGGACGATTTTAATCCTCTAAACAGTGTTATGAAGTAGATAATATTAATAGATGAGGAAACTGAGACAAAGATTGGTAACTTGTTCAAGGGCACAGTGGAGCCAAGATTCAAACTCGGGCAGTTTGTGTCCAGAGTACACCCTTTGAAGACCACCAAGCTTATAACTTTTCTCATATATAATAATTTTTGCCCTGAATTACAGAAAGATCTGAAGCCAGGATCGCTCAGGAGACGATGGAGAGAGCTCCTAGCAGAGTTGGGACGGTTCTCAGTGTGCCCCAATGTTGCAGTTGTTTTTCAGCATATTCTGTCTTTCTCCTCAGTCAAGGACCAACCTACCTTTTCTTTTCTAGTGCTGAGGAATGTAAACAAGTTTGCTGGGCCTTGCGAGACTTCACCAGGTTGTTTCGATAGCTCACACTCCTGCACTGTGCCTGTCACCCAGGTGAGGATACATAGTTCCCAGCTTTTGTCCGGACTGTCGGACTGTTGGGGATGCCTGGGAATGGGGATAGGTTTTAATGCCTATCATGGGACCAGTCTTATAGCTAGAGTCAGGGAAGGACTCAGCAGTTTAACTGTGGTGAACAGCTGGAATATACAGGGCCCGGATTTTCTTGGGCCTGGGCAGCCAGTAATTGTCAGTGTCTTTGGGGTACCATTTTCACCTCCATAAGAAAGTAACTGTTACACAGTGCATTGAAACATTTTCTTCCCCCTTCCCCTTACAGACACTTCTAAGATGGTAAGTGTACATGGCAACAAACAAATAAGTATTTTTAACCTGGCCACTTTGGCGAAAACAACCTCAAGTTGACTGTTATATGTGGTGCCAGTCTCCTAAAACTGACCCTCCAGATGTAATGAGCAAAGAGCTTATTCTTATCACTTTTATGACCTGAATGCTGAAGTGCCAGGTTTTGACCAGGGCAGGAGGTATGAATTGAATATCCCTTATCCGAAATGCTTGGGATTTCGGAGGAAAAAACACTTTCAGAAGTGTTTTTCAATTTTGGATTTTTTGGGATTTTGGAATATTTGCAGAATGCACACCAGTTGAGCATTCCTAATCCAAAAATCCAAAATCCAAAATGCTCCAATGCTCATTCGCTTGAGGGTCATATCAGCGTTCAAAAAGTTTCAGCTGTTAGGGATGCTTGGCCCTTACAGGAGAGGAGGAGCATCTTTGGCTCCCGATGAGCACTTTTCTCCACGTGCTTTCCGTCTCCTGGTTCTGAAGCAAAGCAAGAAGCTTAGCTGAAAGGAGTGGGTAGTAGAATTTGGGTGCCAGTTTCTTGATGGAGAGAAGAAAGGTAGCTCTCCTCTAAGCCCACCCTTTGATGTCTCAAGGTGAGTTTCTTCTCCCAGGAGGCAATTCTTGATGAATCTGTAGCACTCACTGGTAGTTTCTGTGTTAAATGCATTCATAGGTAAAAGTGATGTTCAGCAGTGCCTTGCCACACCCAAAATCATTTCTCAACTTTGATTGTTTTAATGAGTAATAATATCATTTGGGATGTCCTGGTTTTGCATGGTGTCTGGGTTAGCTGACATTGATACACCTCATAAGGTTGCTCATGGACAGCTGTAGGTGTTCATGGTTAACTTTTATTGTGCCCTTACTGTGTGTCAGGGCACTGTTTTAAGTGTTTTAGATGTATTAACTAAGATAATCCTCATCTGCTTTTCTGGATTTGTTACTATTTTTCCCATTTTACAAATGAGGAAATTGAGGTTCAACAATGTTTAACAATTTGCCTGACAGTTATTCGTGGAGCCAGAATTCACATGTAGATATTCTGGTACCAGAGTCCTCACTTTGAACCACTCCGCTTAATACAGTATCCTTTCGATAGCATCTAAATTGGTGTTTTGTTTTGTTTTGTTTTCAACTGTTATTAGTAGGCAAAGCCTTCTTTCAAAATAAAATCGACATGAAGCCTGTGGGATTTAGCAGACTGAGGCAAAGCTTCCCTGGTTGCTTTGGAATGGGAGGCCTGGACCTGCTGGCTCTTTGCCCTCCTGACACATCATCCCTTGTTTCCACAGCACACTCAGCATTGGAAGCACACTGCAGACGGTGTCTCATTAAAGCAGTAGCTCCCTTGAACCCACAAGTTAAAACGCCAGACTTTTATTTATTTGTTTATTTTTTCTGAGTTCTTATTGGCAGACTTCAGAATGAGGTACCTGAGGAAATATAGAAACCTCTGCCTTAAGGTTGATTTTACTAAATGCTCTATTTTCTGGTGCAGTTATTGACTGTCTTATCTCTTTTGTCAGGAATGTCTTTTTTAATTAGAAGACAGGAAGAAAACAAAAACCAGACTGTGTCCCACAATCAGAAACCTCCGTTGTGGCAGAGGGGCCTTCACCGCCACCAGGGTGTCCCGCCAGACAGGGAGAGACTCCAGCCTTCTGAGGCCATCCTGAGGAGTTCCTGTTTGGGGGTGTGAGGGAAAATCAGCGCGGATTTTAAAAAGATGGCTGTGGCCTGCCCGGCGTGGTGGGAGGGGAGCTGGTTTCCTGGTGAACTTTCTAAAAGGAAAAATAATTTTAAGTAAAGAAAAAAGAAAAAAAAGGAAGACTAAACAGAAACCAGAACTGAAACATTCACCTGGTAGCAAATGACACATGCACGCACACACACATACACGCACAAGCGCCAGTGCGCACGTGTACACAGAAAAACAAAAGGACAAGCTTTCTGTGAAACAAAATATTTACTTAGGGATAATGTGGGGATTCACATGAATTAAATAGCTGCAATTGGAAGAAGAGGGTCAGGGTCATTTGTTCAGGTTTTCTATTGTTTTGTCCTCTCTTTCCTCTCCTACCCTTCCTTCTCTTTCTCTCTCCCCTCCTTTTAAATGCAAATGAGTAGAAATTTCTTCTACCTTCCCCAGCTGTTTCTTCCCACCTTTAGAGTTGTTTAGACAAGGAGGAGTAAGCAAGGAACTTGTTCTGCTTTCTATCGTGGTCACATTGGTGATGCTCGGGACCTGCCAGGGTCAGAATTTATGGATATCTGAACCCTGACCCCGTTCATTCTCTCAGTCCACTTCCAATCCACATCAGTTTGTTGTCTGCCTTGGAGAGAAGAGCCAAAACTGGGGTGGGCGGGTGGGTGGGGAGTGCAGGATATAAATGTGTAAGTTTTTGTTTTTTAAGGTTTTTTTCTTAGTGAATTATTCACCCACAGACATGAGAGAAAAAAAGAGGGAGGGTGTGTGGAGAAAAAATGTTTACAGGGCTAACAAGGGATGATGTGTCATTTAGTATGTTACTAAAAAGTGTGGAAATGACTTGATTTTAAGGGGAGGGTGAGGCCGAAGAGGGAAGCCCAAAGCAGATCTTAATGTTTCAAAGGAGTGCAGCCCTTCACAGCCATCAGATATGAGGGCACTGTTCTGTCTGGTGTTGTAGCCATCTCAAGAACAAATCAACAGCAACAAAAGAGAAAGAATAAATTTTTAAAATTTAACCAGTGTTTCTTTGTTTTTACTTTCATTCACTGCCTTGTAGCTCGGAAATGGTTCAGCTAGACTAGCTATGGAAGCAGCCTTTGGTACCTGATAGACATCTGGGGATGGAGTTGAAAGGGCAGGCCCCTGCCCTGATGCCACAGACCCTTCAGACTTCAGGGAAGTGGTTCATTCTGCACTTTTTATTCTCCTAATTCACACCAAAGCTCATCACGCTTACATTTTACCCTTTTGTGTAGCCTCAGTGGGAAAGGGAGTTGGGTTACTCTTTCAGTTAAACAGTGTGGTATGGTTTTTCTACTATGGCCACCCAAGTAGACAGTTTCCTGACCTGCAGATTTATTGGTCTTTAAAAAAAAAAACTTTATTGAAGTATCATTAACATAATTTGCATGTGTTTAAGGTATACACTTTGATAAGCTTTGACATAAGATACATCCATGAAACCGTTATCACAATCAGGGTAGTGAACATACTCTTTATTTCCAAAAGTTTCCTTGAACCCCTAGGTAATACCTGTTTCCTCCCTCTTCCCATCCATCCCCATTTCCACATAACCACTGGTTTGTTTTCTATCACTGTAGATTAGTTTGCATTTTCCTGAGTTTTTAATAAATGGAATCATAACAGTCTGTTATGGCAATTGGGCTTTGAGCTAATACCTGCAGAGCTGTATTCTAATGTGATAGATCTGGCAGTGTTGTTGATATACTGACACTTCTCTGCCTTTTCTTTGCCTGTCACTTTAACTTTTTCACTCCTGGGCATAAATCCTCAAGCTACAGAACAATAGGAATTGGTGAAACAAATCTTCCAGCATAACATCAGTGGTACACAGGGTTTTAATCTCTAAAGAGGCAATATTAGAAGGAGAGAAAAAAACTTGAGTGTTTATAGAGTGATATCAGATTCCAGGGATCAGCACATTACCCCAGCCATCCCTCTCATGTTCTGGCTAAATAATAAAACCTTTAAGTTTTGTCCAACCATAGGTCCTTGAAATAACCAGTTGATTTTGCTCTGTTTAAGGAATTTGGCTGTTTTCACAGGCAATTGTGTGGGGAACTGAAAAAAATGTGTGGAAGACTTAATGCAGCCCTCCTTAGCCACTGAAAAACAGCATGTGGAATGCATATCTAAAGCTATAGCTTTGCAAACAGCCCTGTGTTGTTAATGGTGTCAGAACCTCACTGCTTACTTAAGCCTTACAGATTATTTGAAAGGGCTGCTCTGAAACTTTCGGCAGAGCAAGGATGCCCATCTAGATTTTAATTTAAAAAGGAACTGTTCAGGATCAGCTCACCTAATGGAGATGCTGTGTTTCTGCATGGCATTGTCTAGTAGAAATAGGATGAGTATCTCCCGTCCATGTGGGCAGGTCAGCTAACTGCACCTGAACTTGCCTAAGTCATCTCCCCACAGAATTGTCTGTTCCGTGATAGGATTAGCCATGAAATGTTGGCCATGATTATGTGGAACACAGATCATCAGCATTGGGGCTATTTCCAGCAAGACTGTACTAAAACACAGTAACTTGTAATCCTTATGTATCTGAAGGGAATTGTTATAAAGAACAGTAACTGAGAATGCACACCTAAGACATAAAGGAAACTGTGCTTTTGAATGGCATCAACATTCATGAGTTTATTTAAATGTCTACCTTGTGTGGCCCTGATTTAAGTGAATCATAAGATGAAAGCCAAAACCAAGAGACCTTAAAGGTTCAAGATTTTGCAACAAGATGTGCCTGATTCTTTGGGATAGATTACCAGCAAATGAGAACATTGCCTTCCAAGAATGCTCTTTCAGCAAAAATGGGAAAAGCCATTGATATCTTCTACTCTACAGAGACTGAAAAGGGTACGTTTTTTCTTTTTTTCCTTTTGTTTTGTTTTGTTTTGTTTTGTTTTTTTGTTTTTTTTTTTTTGAGAGGGAGCCTTGCTCTGTTGCCCAGGCTGGAGTGCAATGGTGGGATTTCAGCTCACTGCAACCTCTGTCTGATGGGGTCCAGCGATTCTCCTGCCTCAGCCTCCTGAGCAGCTAGGATTACAGGCACCCACCACCATGACCAGCTAATATTTGTATTTTTAGTAGAGATGGGGTTTCACCATGTTGGCCAGGCTGGTCTCGAACTCCTGACCTCGTGATCTGCCCACCTCGGCCTCCCAAAGTGCTGGGACTACAGGCGTGAGCCACTGCACCCGGCCAGGGTAGGTTCTTTATGTCAAAGAGCTGAGAGTCTTAAAAAGGGTATATTTAGTTGGTTATAAGGATGAACTTGGTGGGGACAAGGAGCTTGAAAGAAGGGAGAGAAACTGCTGGGGCTAAAGGGATGCATTCATCCCCAGGATGTGGGCATCAAGGTCCTGTGGGTTCCAACTTAAGCTCCAGCACAGGCCACCAGAGCAGCCAAAAGCTATTACCAAGGGGAGCCCTAGCCTGGCTTGGGAGCAGTGAATTGTACCTCACACTGGCCTGCCTTTACCTCTGGAGTTTGTTACATCTGTCACTTCTGGATACTGTTCATCCACAGCTGGCTACTACAACACAGAGATCTGTAAGTGACAGCCAGGTTTTCATTGCTGTTTTCATTTTAGTTTTAGGAAACCAATTAATACAAATTCAGGGAAGATTTTTGGCAGTTACTCAACTGCTAGCAGTACTGGGGAAGTCAGCCCACTCGTGGTCGCGAGGGGCACCTGGCCCTTCCAAGCTTCCCCAATTCATCTACACTCAGTCTCCCTGCTCCACCATTCATCAAGGGTTGCAAACTCAAATGCCCTTAGGGACACGGAGAGCAGTGAAAGGAAGCAGGCCAGGAGAGGACCGTATTGAACTGGGAGAACATTCCCCATCCAGAGTTCCAGCTGATTTTTGCCTTTGAGGAATGTATGACAGTGTTTTCATATTTGCCAGTTTTTTGGAAGAAGCTGGAAACCAGATATGTGACATCTCCCTTCTCCTAATCTCAAAACATTGACAATTGCAAGAGGGAGTAGAACTGCACAGGCCTGTGAAGAAAAAGGTGCACACCTTTGTAAATGATTGAAAACTAAGACAAAAGGAGCACTACGTAATCACTGTACTCTAGTTGGTGAAGTTTAAGAGGATGCAGGTGAATAATACTAAAACCACGGTACCTGTGTACATATAGATCAGGGAGGATGAAGAGTAACTATGATAGAGGAACCTATCACTACCTCAGTCAGAAACAGTGATAAATCAGGTTAATAGTATGCACCCTTGATATGATGTAGTGGGAATGATGCTTCACCTCTGTGGTCTTCCATACAAAAACCATGAGAAACAGGCGGGGCACAGTGGTTCACACCTGTAATCTCAGCTGTTTGGGAGGCCACGGTGGGAAGATCACTTGAGGCCAGGAGTTTGAGACCAGCCTGGGCAATATATTGAGACCAGGTCTCAAAAAAAAAAAGCCAGGTGTGGTGGTGTGCACCCGTAGTCCCAGCTACGTGGGAGGATCATCTGAGCCCAGGAGTTCAAGGTTGCACCATGGCACTCCAGCCTGGGCAACACAAAGACCCTATCTCTAAAAACAAATGAGAAATACATCAGATAAGCCCAAACTGGGGGACATGCTTTAAAAAATGGCCAGTATTCCTCAAAACCATCAAGACCAACAACAAGAAAAGTCTAAGAAACTGTCATAGACCAGAGGAGTCTAAGGAGATGTGACAAGTGAATGTAATGTGATATCTTGGATAGTATCCTGGAACAGAAAAAGGATATCCGAAAAACTCATGAAATCCAAATAAAGAAGTTGAGTTCATAGTAATTGTCCACATGGTTTCATTATTGTCACAAGTGTGCCATAGTAATGTAAGATGTTAACAATTGGAGAAAGTGTGGGTCCATAGGAACTCTATTAGGAACTTTTCCATAAATCTAAAACCATTCTAAAATTATTTAAAAAAATCTGTACAGGCCACTTAACCATGTGAAAAGCTACTCAGCCTTGCTGATAATGAGAAGTGGCACTGAGATACTATCTCACCTGTCAGGTTGGCAAAAATCCAAACAGTGACAATATATTCTGTGGACGAGGCTGTGGGGCAAGGTATCCTTGAACATTTATGGGGGTTTAATCTATTTTGCGTTGCTGTAAACGAAGACCCGAGGCTGGGTAATTTATACAGAAAAAGGTTTATTTGGCTCACAGTTCTGATGGCTGGGCATCAAGATTGGGCATCTGCACCTGGTAAGGGCCTGGGGCAGCTTCCACTCAATGGCTGAAGGCAGAAAGTGGGCTGGAGTGTGCAGAGATGACACAGATGAAGTGAGAGCGGGTAGGTGCCAGGCTCTTTAACAACCAGCTCTGGGGGGACTAAGAGAACTCACTCACTGTCCCCACCTCGGGGGACAATATAATAAATATATTAAATATATCAGGATGATTTACATGCACTGCCCTGATATATTTAATAGCACAGGAATATACACAAGAGAGTGACAGATTTGAATGGTCCCAAATGCAGCTGCAATGCTAGCCCACCCTTTTATGGGAAAACTGATTCTGACAGTTTTCCAGACTGTGCACACATTTAAAATTCCACACCCTTGCTTCAGCCAGCTTCCTCCTGGAAGGCAAAGCCAGCCAGGTGAGTGTTTATGAAGGCCCAACTGACCCATCAGCCCAGAAGCCAGGCCCTCCCAGTGCCAATGGTCGCAAGCTGGGGGCAAGTGCTTGGGGAGTGGGCCAGTTGGCATCCGAAACAGGGCCTGGTGGAGCAGCATGGGAGCAACTGGTAGTAGTAAAAGGAAAGAAACAGCTGAGTCTGTTTTTAACATTCATTAATCCAAAAATACATAAAAATTATTTCTGCTCCAGGTTCTTGGACTCTCAAGAAGGGGGTAGCTGCCAGCCTTGAGCATCTGATATGATACCTAAGTGCTCACTCATATTATCTCAGAGGACAGGGAGATGAGGAAGTGAGTCTCAAACCAGGGAAATCAGGGCCATGCCCTGCAGAGGCCCTGTGGGGGGACTTGGCCCACAACACTCTGGCTTTTGTTGCCAGAGGAAATGGGGCAATCACAAGAGTGGGCCACCCTTAGGCAATTCCTCCTATACAGCTAGGCCCCAGGGTTGGGAGAGTTCTTTCCCTGCTCATGGCTGAATTTCCCGAGAGCCAGGCTGACCAGACCAGAGACAGCCCAGGAGAGAAAGGCCCGGGAAGGCAGGGGCTCGGGCCTTTCTCCCTCTCCTTCTTGGCCCAAATCCACTTCCAGGAAACCCAGAGGTAGGACCCTGCAGCCAGCCAGGTGCTCATCGGGGCTGTCACATCTCCACATCAGTCCGCACCGCCACCCAGGAAGCCAGGGCCAGTCACCGTCTGCAGCCTTGTTATTGCATGCCAGCTGGGTGCATAGGCCAGGGCCCCTGGCCAACACCAAGGCCTGCTCCAGGAGGGGCCTGGGCCACAGGCTGCAACCGCTGCTGGGACTGCCAGATGTGATGGAGCTCCTTGAATTGCTCCACCATGCGGTCTTTGAGGTCTGGGTTTGAGATCTGTAGCCGGATACTATCAGCTGACCAAGATAGCTCCCCTGAGAACATCTCCAGCAGCAGTCGAGCTGCTACAGGCACCACCTGGGAGGCAAAGAGGAGATGAGACAGGGAGACCTGTGGCAGGGCTGCCAGATCCAGCTGTGCATGAGGACAGCCATCAGGGGTGAGTAATAGACCGCATTCTCCGGCTCTGAGCCTTGATGGTCTCTGGCCGCCAAGTTCACACTGCTCAGGGAGCCCTGAGCCTCCAGCCTGGGGCAAGGGCCTAGCCCCAGGATTCCCCAGTTTTCAAGCCAAGGCCGACTTTGGGATAGGGGAGATGTACCTGTACAGTAATGAGCTTCTTCTCTCGGGGTTTGCGGTCAGGCCATTCTTCCCCAAAGCAGAAGAAGATCTCGAAGGGTGGTGGGGTGTTGGTCTGGCCCTTTTGGAACAGGATGAGCTCTGCATCAAAATCAAGGTCCCTAGTCAGAGGCTGGAACCATGCCCTGGGCAAGAGGCAGCCAGGAGGATCACAGCTTTGGGCCCTCACCATTGAGAAAATGCTCCAGGCTGAAAAGCTTGGTCTTGACCTCCCGCTGGATGGGGTTGGGGCATGAGTCATGGGCTGAGGCACAAGGCCCGCTCCAGAACACCTTGCACTGACACAGGCGGATGGCATAAAGGTCCTGGCCCTGTAGCTGGAGGATGAGCCCGCGGTCCAGGACATCCAGCAGCTGGTTCGTGTAGAAGCGCTGCTTGTCACTGGGGATGTCCTCAGGGCTGGGGAAGCGCACTTGCTCCAGGCTTATGGGGCCGAAGAGTTCCACCTGCTCCTGGGTGGCCTCCAGCTGGCTGTAGAAGAGCCGGCAGCCATGGGGGTTGCTGATGGTGAGGGCCCGGGGTGGCCGCCCCCGGTACTGAAACTTGATCTCCAGGTCGGTCACTGTGGGGCAGAAGGCAGGCCCATCCCGTCCTTGAGCCCCACGCCTCCCCATTCTGCAGCCCAGTGGCCAGGCCCAGCCCCATCCGCCCTCCCACTTTTCCCACCCAAGGGAGTCCAGCACCCTCCACCCTCCTTGCCAATCCTACCCCAATCCCCCAGCACTGCTTCCCCGTGCCCAGCCATGGGTCCTTACGAGGCAGCATGTGGGGGCTGATCAGCAGGTCTGGCAGGAGCTGTTCGCCTGCAGGGGGCAGGCTGGCAGGCAGGGGCCCAGGCTCCAGGACCTCAGAGAGAAGCTCCCTGAAGCCAGCAGGGTTGCCAGGGGGAGGAGCCAGGGGGCTGGGGTCTGGAGCAGGGGGACCCAGCACCACGGGCGGCTGCAGAGTGGGCGGCTGCAGAGTAGGCGGCCGCAGAGTGGGCGGCTGCAGAGTGGGCGGCCACTTGACATCCTCTTTGAGTAAAGAATAGGGTGTCATGTGGGGGCCAGACTGCACTGCATCTACAGAGAGTGCGTGTGGACGGCTGTCAGTGCCACCTCCACGAACTGCCTCCCAGGCACACCTCCTCCCAGCCCTGGGCCACCCTAGCCTCCCATCAGCCCCCTTCCAGGTACCTATGGTACCTATAGCTTCTCTGTATACTAGACCCCCAACCACCACCTCCCGGCCCCACCTGTGAGGCTCAGGCTTGGCAACATCCTCTGCAGCTGAAGGGACACCACCAGCAAGGGAGGGAAGAGATGGGAGAGAAAGGAGGACAGGTTATTCCACTGACCTGGGGCTGGGGAAATAACAGGCGAGAACTATGAGGCAACTCCCCTAGCCTCAGTTTAGCTCAGGCAAGACCCTGCCTCCGGTCCCAGCTCGTCCATCCCAGGCAGGTCAGAAAAGCCCTTTGCCTCACTTTCCTCATTTGCCTTCTGCAGGGAGTCAGACCTACCAAGCCCCAACTGCTGCGTGGGTCACACACACAGGGTAATGACAATGCCCTGGGAAGGAGCAGGTGGGGACTGTGCTCCTATCGTTCAGAATCCCAGGAGAAGAAACAAGGAGAACTATTGAGAGGGCCACGGGGCTCCATGGGAGTGGGGCTGCGGAAACCTAAGGCCGATGGGGACAGCAGAGAGCTCGTCCAGGGCTCCACCTGCCTCCTCAACCCACACTCACCTCTTCCTCTTCTTCCTCCTCCTCTCCTGCACCAAAAGAGTAATCCTCAGGGGGCTGGGAGTCTGCACAGCAGGGAGAGAAAAGCAGGGCAGTAAAGGAGTCAATGTCGGAGGAGAAGCAAGATCCCCTGAGAGGCTGCCTGTAGCTCCTATGCAGCTTCTGCCTTCCCCAAAGCTGCCCCCAACACAGGGCGAGGTGGAGGGCACAGCCACCAGGATTGGGAAAGACCTCCCCGACTCCATGGGCCATGAGACCTAGGCTGGAGCCAGAAGCCAAAACGAGGGCAATGGTAAGGAAGAAGCACCCAGGTCCCTGACTGCACGCCAAGCCATTCCTGATATGCCAGTGACCCATCCCAGCCACTCCTGGAAGCCCTGGGTGTCATGACCTAGCGGGAGCCCCCGCATCGTTTCCTGGACCACTGCCTGCTAGAGGGGCCCTTGGCCTGCCTGCACCCAAGAGCTCATGGCTGGGGGCCAGGACATTGCACAGCCTCCCAGGTGGCCCACAGAGGGCTAGGCCTGATACCTGTGGGAGCAGGGCCATTGGAGCAGACCTCGTAGATCTTGTAGGGCTGAGGTGGCATGTCCCGGGGCCCGTCGTAGATGAGGCGGAAGTCCCGGCTCTTGTTAAGGGCACAGCGCAGGTTGGCCTTCCACTTGGCCGGATCGGCTTCATCCACGCCTTCGGTGTATTTCCCTGTCTCCTTGGCCCAGGCCTGGGGCAGGAAGAAATAGCCGACCACAGAGAACCTCATCCCTGCCACAGCCCCAGTCTGCCTCCTGTCCCATAGGAGACTCTACTGTGTGGGGAGAACTTCGGCTACAGGCTGAGCCTCGCTGAGCCCCAGACCTGGTTTGCAGCGTGGGAGTCTGCCACAGTCCTGCCCCAGCCCTCAGGCTGCCAGCAAGCTACATGAAATCTAGGGGCTATGAGATGCATCCATAGTCCCTGCTCCTGGGAGGGTGAAACAGTGTGATCTCTAAGGAGGACAGCGTGCGGGATAAGGGTGAGCACCCTGGAGCCAGGCTGGGTTTGAATCTGGAAGTGCCCCCCGCCAGCTGTGTGCCAGGCCATGTCACTGCCTCCCTTTGTCTTGATCTCCTCACAGTTGCCCACCTCATGGAGTGGCAGCGAAGACTCAAGGGGTTGATGTTGGCTGGGCACAGTGGCTCGCACCTGTAATCCCAACATTTTGGGAGGCCAAGGTGGGAGGACTGCTTGAGCCCAGGAGTTGGAGTCCAGCCTAGGCAACATAACGAGACTCCTGTCTTTACAAAAAATTAGCTGGGCATAGTGGTGGGTGCCTGTGGTCCCAGCTACTCAGGAGGCTGAGGTGAGAGGATTGCTTGAGCTGGGGAGTTCAAGGCTGCAGTGAGCCATGATTATGCTCTGCACTCCAGCCTGGACGACAGAGTGATACCCTATCTCAAAAAAGATGAGGGGAGTTGATGTCCGTAAAGCACTCAGAGCTAAACCTGCACATAGGACAGGCTCGAGACACTGGAGCTGTTGGTATTATTTTGAATGGCAATTAGGTGAGGTGAGGGTTACCAACATTTCTTTCTACCTTTTAACCCAGCTATTTGATTTCTAGGAATTCATCCTAAATATCATAGAAGCATTCACACAAAATATTGCACACACAAAGTTATTCGCAGCAGTGCTGTGTGTAAAAGATGACCCAAAATACCCAATGCAACATCCATCAATGAGGGGCTGGTGAAATTACGGCCAACCCATTGAATGAAAAATACTGGGCAGCACAAAAAAAGAAAAAGCAGGAAACTGTTTATAAGCTGACATGTAGCAATCGTCAAGAAGTATTAAGTCTAGACAAATATGCAGATATCTAGCATTTCTTATGAAAAGTAGAGGAAAGGATAGTTCCATATTTGCTTACATGTGCATAAAAATCTCTCAGGAAGGCTAAACAAGAAAATGACAACACGGCTGCCTCTAGGGAAAGGCTAGGGAGGGGAGTGGGTGGTGATGAACCAGGGAAGGAGGGAGACTTTTTGCTCTAAACCATTCTATGCCTTTTAATGTTGAATTTTGTGACTGTATTACCTATACAAAATAAATGGATTAGCAAAAGAATTTTGGAAAGGTAAGGATCAAGCCCAAAAACTAAGAAAATATGTACCCAAAGTTTTAAAAAATAAGCATTGCCTTTGACCCAGCAATTTTCAACTCTAGGAAATCAACCCCCAAAATAATTGAGGATGAAAAAAAGGGAAGCATTAAGACAGCCTACATGACAATGTGGTTTTTAAGTTCAGGTTTTAAAAGCAATCTCAAGTATCTAAAAACCAAGACTCAGTGACCAAATTGTGCTAAACCATTCCAGTGGAAATTCTACAGTCACGAAAAGTGATGTGGACGTATGTTGGAAAGGAAAGCTGATCCTGATATTGGGTGAAAAAAATCCAGGCTATAAATCAAGATATTCACTTGATTCCAATTTTGCATTCCATATACACACATGTGCAAAAAAACTAAAATGTAAGCAAAAACTATTATGCGAGGTACATCCTAGCATTAAGATTATTGGAGAGAGCACAGTGGCTTGCGCCTGTGATACCAGCTACTCAGGAGGCTGAGGTGGGAGGATCACTTGAGCCCATGAGCTTGAGACCAGCCTGGGCAACAAAGTGAGACCTCATCTTTACAAATATCAAAATCAAAAAATTAGGCTGGGCACGGTGGCTCACGCCTGTAATCCCAGCACTTTGGGAGGCCAAGGCAGGTGGATCATGAGGTCAGGAGTTCAAGACCAGCCTGGCCAACAGGGTGAAACCCTGTCTTTACCAAAAATACAAAAAAAAAAAAAAAAAAAAAAAAAAAAAAAAAAATTAGCCGGGCATGGTGGCAGGTGCCTGTAATCCTAGCTACTCGGGAGGCTGAGGCAGGAGAATTGCTTGAACCCAGGTGGCAGAGGTTGCAGTGAGCTGAGATTGTGCCATTGCACTCCAGCTAGGGTGAAAAAGCAAGACTCCATCTCAAAAAAAAAAAAAAAAATTAGCTGGGCATGGTGGCATGCACCTGTAGTCACGGCTACTCAGGAAGCTGAGACTGGAGGATCACTTGAGCTGAGTTGGAGGTTGTGCTATGACTGCACCACTGCTCACCAATGGTGCAACACTAGGCAACAGAGCAACAACTCATCTCAAAAAAAAAAAAAAAGAGTATATATGTACAGTTGTAGTACATCAATTAAAAAAAAAGATTGGGCCGGGCATGGTGGCTCACACCTGTAATCCCAGCACTCTGGGAGGCTGAGGTGGGTGGATTGCTTGAGTCCAGGAGTTCAAGACCAGCCTGGGCAACATGGCAAAGTCTCTACTAAAAGTACAAAAAATTAGCCAGTTGTGGTGGCAGGCACCTGTAATCCCAGCTACTCAAGGAGGTTGAGATGGGAGACTCACCTGAGCCTGGGAGGTCGAGGCTGCAGTGAGCTGAGATCAAGCCACTGCACTCCAGCCTGGGTGACAGAGTGAGACCCTGTCTCAAAAAAAAAAAAAAAAAAAAAAAAAAAATTGGAATCTGGTCAACAGTGTGAGGCCCTGTCTCTAAAAAAAATTAGAAAATTTAAACAATTGAAAGATTGATGATGTATCTGAATCTTATATTAAAAATAGTTTGTTCCCAACACAAAGAAATGACAAATGTTTGAGATTATGGATATGCTAAGTACCTGATCTGATCACTGTGCTTATCAAATCACCACTGTGTACCCCATAAATATATACTAATTTAAAAATAAAATTTTTAGAAAGATGATGATCGTTGGCTTCCTTTAGCATATGCGTGCACTGAACAAGTCCTCATGAGTAATAGGAGTGAGACGAGCAAAGGGTGAGTAGGACGAGTTATGGGAAGGCCTTCTGGGGACCCTCAGTCCCCACGATGCTCTAGGGTGCAGGTTAGAAAAGATGTGCCCTAGGCCAGGCGTGGTGGCTCATGCCTGTAATCCCAGCTACTCAGGAGGCTGAGGCAGGAGAATTGCTTGAACCCAGGAGGCAGAGGTTGCAGTGAGCTGAGATCGTGCCACTGCACTCCAGCCTGGGCTACAGAGCGAGACTCTGTCTTAAAAAAAAAAAAAAAGGAAAAAGGTGTACCCTGTGTCTACGTCTGCATCCCCTTAGTCCGGGCCCGGCATCAGCAGCAGCATGGTAGCTGGGCGGGTGGCCAGCCTCGAGGAGCTGCCTGTGTGCGTTATGTGCGCTCCTCTTCTGGGGACAGGGTGCCCTGGAGGTCCAGCCAACCTCCTCCCCGGGGCTTACCTTGAAGATGGTGTTATCTCCGTCCTGGCTGGGACCATGCCTTGTGGCATGCCTCCAGGGGATGCAGAATAATTTCTTTTCCCCGTTGACCCATTGAAGCCCTGGGTACTGGCAGCTGTTCACCTGGGCCACCAGCCAGGGCTTCAGCCGCACGCGGCGGGGTGGGGTGGGAGCCACTGGGATGGACTGGTTCATGGCAGAGGGGTCTGCAGGAGAAAGCCAGAGGGGAGCCTCAGCAGGTCTGCAGGTGGATGGGGACAGGGTACTCAGAGGTCAAGCTATGGACCACAAAGGATGGTCTCTCCAGTCCATCTAGGTATTTAAGGCCAATTCTCTTTTCCAAGCATCAGCTTTCTTGTCTAGTGTCATGGAATTTTGTGTTTGGAGGAAGGGAAGGAGAGTTACGAGTTAGTGAATGCTGCGGGCGCGGCCCCAGGTGCCCTTTACCGGGCAGAGGCATCCATTCTCCAACTGCTAACAGCAGCAAGCAGCCCGTTGGCCAGAGAACCGCCTTCCACTACTCACACCACAGGTTAGGCCCACCCCTTGCTCTTGGGGGGCAGCCCACAGCCAGTGACTGCCTGACACCAAAAGCCCGGCTGTCTTGTCTCAAGCTGGCTACCTGGGACAGCGAGCGCTCTGTGGGATCAGCCCGAAGACAGCCTCCTGCTCAGTCTACACCCCTAGTTCGATTCTTCCCTGCCCAAGTTTTCTCACCCTCCATCCCCTGAGAGTTCCCTCCGGAGATGCCCTCAACAAGAATCTCATCTGGAGCTCCCAAGGACACCTGCCCTCAGAGGAAAGCAGTTTCTCAATATCTTTAGAGAAATCCCATCAACCAACTCAACCCACCTCCAATGACAGCAGGCACCAAACAGATGTTACCTCTCTAGGGCCATTCATCTAGGTTCTTGGTCCTCCCCCTTCTCCTCCCACTGGACACGCATTCGGGTAGCACTTAGGAAGGCCCTAACGCCTGCCGGAGCCTGTTAGGAAGGCTACAGGAAACAGAAGCCACAGCTCTAACTGCTACCTACCCAGGGGCACGAGCCCCGCCTCCCAGGCCACAGCTTCACTGCCTCCCTGGAGTCAGGCCAGAGGGACCCTGCCTCCTCCCCTTCACCTGCCCAACTCCCTCTCCAGCCCAGAACCGGAAACTCTCCACAGTCCTGAGTCCCCTTCTGTCCCTCTCCTCCCCTTACCCATGCCCTTGGCCCTTCACTTGAGACCCCTGGGTGGAAGACAGAAAGGACTGGGTCATTACACAGCACAGCCCATCAGAAGTGAATGTGTCGGTCAGCAAGTAAGGAGCAAACGTTCGAGCTGAACTCCCTGTGTCTGGGCCTGCTTTGGCCTTGCAGCATGGAGCCTCAGTTTCCCCTGAAATTCCCTGCCCAGTACCTTTTGGGGTTGCACCTGCCTAGTGCCGCCTCTGAGCTGCTACTGTCTCACATTGCAGGCCTCCCTCAGAGCCCAGCTCTGCTGCCACCAACCCAGGAGAGGTAAGGCCGGCCCTTGCCTGGCCCAGGGGCTGGGACGGGGAGGTGTTCAGAACGCTCCAGCCCTGCCCTGGCCTCAGAACACGCGGGCTCAGTTCCGCTTTCTGCCCCAGCCTCCACCCGGCCCCAGGGGAAACGAAAGTGGCTAGACCGGGACAACTCAGAAACCAGACTCACTGTGGGCTGAGGGAGGGAGCCGAGTGGGTCCCCCAGACCAAATTTCCAACCTCCCACCCAGAGCTGTTCCCCGCACCCCAAACTTGCAGACAGTTTTTGTGCATTTAGTGTGGTTTATAACATGGGTGTGCACCCACCCATAGTTGTATCTGTAGACCCCTGAGAGGCCTTGGCCCTAGAATAGAGGGGTGCCAGTCACCAGCGGCACACAATTCTGGCCGAGCAAGGGTGGACAGAGGAAGCTCTGTCTGCACAGAATCGGGGAGAGCTTCCCTAATGACCCCCTGGGCTGAGGCCGTGCAGGCGCTGGTGCCGTTGGGGAGCTCAGAGGGTCCGGCTGCCTGCCCCCTACTGTCAGTCCAGCAGTCTGGCCCTGCCCAACACGGCTGTTTAATACAGAGCAAGGTTTTGAAATGATAACTCCGACCTCAGTGTCAGAGGGCCGCGTCCATACAGGCAGCTTAGGGAGGGGTGTGGAGGAGGAGCTCCCGTGACAAGCCCGGCTGTGATGAGCGAGAGTCTGTCCACCATGCCACAGAAGGGACTCAGCCTCAAGGCTTTTGCCTGCAGCTAGGTCCACACGAGCTCTAACCCGAACAGCATCCATCCTCCTAGAAGCTCCCTTCTGCCCAGAAAAGGGCTAGGTCTAATTCAGACCACCCCAATCAAGGCCCATGACTTTGGAAGTTCGGTGTCAGAACAGGTCTGCCTGCCAGGCTCCGGAGTCTCTGGGTGAAATGTATGGAGCCCTAGACCTAAGTCAATGGACCTGAGCCCCGGAAGGTGGGGAAATCCAACAGCCTGAGGAAGTCCCTACAATTGTGTGAGGCAGCGAAGCATCCAGTGGGCAGCCCTAGAGGACCTGCTGAGGTGGGGTAAGCCCACAGCTCACCCCAGGGCCATGCTGGAGTCCCAGGAGACAGTGCCCCCACCACCACCCAGGAGCTGCAATTCATGGGCACCAGGGACCCACTAGGGGAGGAAGTGCCACAGCAGTCCTAGTAAGAGTGGCCAGACAGCAGGCGCCCTGCTGCTCCCAGGGTTGGTCTGGGTCACATGTCTCCTTGCAAACCCACACCCAGCTCAGGGAGAGGACAAGGGGTTCCCTGTACAGGCCCTGACCCCCAAATCCCACCCCTCCGGGTCAGCTGCCCACACCCTGGGCCCTGCTGCCCACCTGGTCCAGACAGGCTGAGGCTCTGGGGCAAAAGGTGCCCAGAAAGAAGCTTCTTTCAGCTTCCTCCCAGGGTCAGGGTAGGGGAAGACCAGGGTACAGGGGAAAAACCCCAAAGTAGGGCCTTTAGATAAAAAGGGGTGATTTCCCAGTGCTTCCCTTGACTCTTGGAACCCCTCAGCCCCAGCACCCCAGGCCCCATAACTACTGGGGGTGGGGGCAGGAAGGGGAGGTCTTGCCAGAGGGCCTCCTGAGGGGCTACAGTTTCCTACATCGATACAGCCGAGCCCTCTCTGGTTCTGGTCACTTATCCCCATTCTGGGCCCTCGAGGAGCCCAGGCCCAGCCCAGTCCTCCGCCCCTGCTCCCCCCTCCCCTCCGCCCCCACCCCTCCCGCGTGCTCCGCTGGGGCACACCCCCTGGGCCAGCCCGCGGAGCCACCCCCACCTCCAGAGTCGGCCTCTGGACCTCTCCTCCTGCTGCTGGAGGAGCAGCACCCCGGTCCTCGCCCTGCTGTGTTCAGCGTGGCCGCGAGGCTGGGAAAGTCCCCCACTCCAGCCTCTGCTCCCAGGTACCCGCTCCCGCCCCTCCCGGGGTCCGGAGACAACCATCTCCCCACGCATCCCGGCCATGCTAGCCTCACTTTTCCTCCACGTTTAGCCTCTTCATTGTTGCCTTCTTAAGTTCTGGGACAGGACCTGAGGAAACCAGCCCAGGAACTATTGCGCCCCATCCTTTTCCGCTGCTCGGGGGACGAGAGTCTGCCATTCCCGGCCGCGAGCCCAGGGACGCAGCCTCTACCTGACACCATCTTCCCCCAAACTCTTGCACAGTTCCTGCCATTGGCCTGAAGATCCCGGGGGATGAACGCTTTAACCTCAACCTCTTTTCCGAAAGGGTGAGGGTGGCCCGGTAAGAGCAAGGGCGAGTGCATCGAAAGTAAGGATCGGGCCTCGCTCCTCTGTGGTCCAAGCCAGCCTCCAGCGGGGCTCCCGGGAACCCCCATTCTGGGCGATGGCGAGGGGGAGGGAGAGCAGCAGAGCCGGCGCCCCCCGCAGCGCTGCCCACTCCGCCGCCTGGGTCACTGGGCTCCCCGGGCGCCAGCACCCCAAACCGATCGGGGCGTGGGAGGCGCTTTGGAAGTCCCAGGCCGGCCGGGCGCACCCTGCTGTAGGCACCCACCCGAGCTCGCTTTCCAGGCGCAGCTGGACGCGGACCCCGCCCTACTCCAGTCTTCATCCCGCCGCCCGCAGGTGCCTGGGGGGCGCGGGGCCCAGTCTAGGCCTAGACTTGGGGGCAGTAGCCGGCACCGCTCCCGCCACCCTCGGGGCGCGCCGGGCGCGGACGCAGAGAGGAGAGCGCGGCGGCCGGGACCCACCTGTCTGCGGTGCGCCTGCGTGGCTGCGCCAGGGAGCACCGGCCGGGCGGCGGGACCAAGCTGAGCTCTGCCCAGGCTGCGCCTCCCGCCGGTCCGCCAACCTGCCGGGCACTTCCGCGTCTTGCCGCCCCCGCCCCTGGGCAGCTGCTGCTGAGCTCCGGGCGCGGGCAGTGCCCCGCCCCGCCCCGCGAATCCACTCCGGGCCCCGCACTGACCTGGCAACTGCAGATCCGGGCTGAGCCTCGGGCCAGGCCCAGGGCCTCCAGGGAGATGCCAGACGGCGCGGTGCCCTAGACTGGCCACTGGCTCTTTTGGCAATCTGGAATGGCAAAACTGTCATTTGACAACCCCGTACCTCCCGCTGCAGTGCTCAGTTGGGCCCTGGGAGAGGGTGGGGTGCTTCCCCACTCTGGTCCTCCGGGGCTGCACACAAATGAGGGCGCAGTGTGGCCGACCCACAGCTCCAGGCCCTCCTCTCGCCTGCCTACACCCCTGGCGAGGGTGGCTCTCGCCCTAGAACACAGTCGCTGCCCCCAGGATCCAGACACCCCTTCCAGATGTGCTTGCAGGCGGGAATCCTCTAGTCACTCTGTGCCTTTCTCATCCTCAAACCCTGCACCTGTCTCGCCCCAGCTCCCCTAAGTCGCCTTCCAGTCATCCCAGGGGCAGCGGCGTGGTCGCCTGTCCCACCTCCTCTCACTACTACCTTGACCGTCGACCTGTGGTTCTGAACCGTTTTCGATTCCATAAAGAACCTCACCCCAGAACCTCCACCTTCACACACCTCCTGTTCCTTCTCATGGAATGTTCTTCGCTTGGTAACTCTTGCTCTTCAAAATTTCTGTTTCTGAAATTTTCAGCATCGCCTTCTCTGGAAAGTCTGCCTTGACTTCCCCTCCCAGGTGGGGTTCCAGGGTGCAAATAGCTTCCTGGTTGATTTTGCTTATGATTTTGTTATGGATTGCCAGGGGTTTGGTCCAGGTCTGGCTGCTCACCGCACAGAAAGCCTATCACTGAGACAGCGAGTATTGCCAGGGAAGACTTTATTCCGGTGACATCAGCCAGTGAGCTGTTGAGAGGGGAGACAAACCTCCAATCCATCCCTCCCCTTGACTAAAGTTAGGGGCTTATATAGCAGGGAAGGAAAACAGGAGGGACAAGGAAGAGGAATTGGTCAACAGGCAGCAGGTGTACTGATGTAAGTGTCTCAAGCTTCAGTTCTATGAGCATCTGGCTTTTTGGAAAATTCAGCGGGTTTCAATTTTGATGTCTGATTTCCACTCGAATCAGCTTACTCAGGAACCTCCCTCCTGTCTTTTCATTGTTCATTTTATTTTATTTTATTTTTTGATATGGAGTCTTGCTCTGTCACCCGGGCTGGAGTGCAGCAGTGCGATCTCAGCTCACTGCAACCTCTGCCTCCCCAGTTCAAGCGATTCTCCTGCCTCAGCCTCCCAAGTAGAGACGGGGTTTCACCATGTTGGCCAGGCTGGTCTCGAGCTCCTGACCTCAGGCGATCCACCCGCCTTGGCCTCCCAAAGTGCTGGGATTACAGGCGGGAGCCACTGCGCCAAGCAGAGCCTTGTATTTTTAACAAATAAAGTAGTATTTGTTGATGAATCAGAACTTTGACCTTCCCTCCCCTCCCTTCTCCTGGGTTGAACTTTACCTTTAACAAGTTAAAAAAAGACACTCATGTGTTAACGTTTTTTTTTTTTCTCTTCTGTATCTCTCCCTCTTTCCTGACCTTTGAAGCCCTAATATGAAGTCGAAATATCATTATATATAAGTATTTTATTATTTGTATCTGCTGAGTATTTCATTATTTCATATTTTTAAAATTTAAAGTATGGATGGGGAAAATGTGAATGGGTAGATCGTTTTATATTTCTTTCTTTAAAAATGAAATTGCTAGGCCAGGCACGGTGGCTCACATTTGTAATCCCAACACTTTGAGAGGCTAAGGCAGGCAGATCACTTGAGTCCAAGAGTTCGAGACCAGCCTGGGCAATATGGCAAAACCTTGTCTCTACAAAAAATACAAAAATTAGCCTGGCGTGGTGACACACACCTATAGTTCCACCTACTTGGGAGGCTGAGGTGGGAGAATTGCTTGAACCCAGGAGGCACACCACCGCACTCCAGCCTGGGCGTAGAAGTGAGATCTTATCTCAAAATAATAATAATAAAATGAAATTGCTATTTCAAAAGTGGCTCCCCACAAAATGGGAACCTTTTTCACTGGAGGTCAGTTATGCTTAATAGAAAAATATTCTATGCTGGTCGTATCTGGAGCAATAGCTAAGAAGAGCCTTCTTTTGTTATCAAATACTCCTCACCCATTCTGAGGGACCGTGAGACCCTAGAATTCTGCCCTCTGCCCCCTTCCCACTGTCCATCTTGCTCAGGTGAGGCCCCTTCCTTAGAGCCTCTGAACCTCAAGAAGCAGCACGGGCTGCGTGCAGAGAAGGGGCTTGCACCTGGCTTTGCTGTATTCCAGCCAAGTGGCCTTAAGTAGGACCTCAAATCTCATTTCCTCGTCTCTAAAAGGGGGATGATGTTACCAAGCCGGCAGCATTGATATGGGGCTCCCGGGATAGAGGCTATGCAGGGGCTCAGCTTGGCTCAGATCCTGACTTCCCTCAACTGAAAGAACCTGAGCCAAGAATCATCTGGGGCCAGAGACATGGCCCAGGAGAAAGGAAGGACAGAGAGCAGCACTCCAGTGTTTCCAGGATCTGGGATCCCTTGGCCTCCCAGTGCCATCCTGGGGGTGGAAGGGCAAGTAGAGGGGAAGTGAAGCCACACCCGGCCCTTGTGTGAGCACTCCCATTTCCCCTTGATGGGCCAGGAGGCGGTGGGGACAGGGAGGTCTGTCCGGGCCCCCCACTCCCCACAGTGAGATGGCCCCTTCCCCCATTTCCCCTGGCTGGAATATCACAGACTGAGGGTGTGGTAGGAGGCACCCTCCCCTGACTCGAGTAGAAGCTACGCTGTGTGAGCGAGTGTAGAGTGGGGTGGCTGGGGTGGGGAGCAGGGGGGAGGAGGGAAGCCGTGTCACCAAAGGGAACTGAAAGAAACCCAGAGGCCCACTGGGCAGCTGAACAATGCACCCTGGCTCTGGAACAGCCCCCTTCAGTGCAGCCTGGGTTGATGACAACTGCCTTTGCCTCTCAAAACCTCTACCCCAGGAAACCCACCCCCTCGGCCTGGGCTCTCAGGGGTCCCCAGGCTGACTGTCCTATTTCTCAGAAACCCCGAGTTTCTGAGAACTTGTTGGCTGGACATCAGGCTCTGAGGTCAACAGGTCTGAGTCAAATCCTCACTCTGCAATCTAGAATTGCGTGACCTAAGCAAGCCATTCACTCCCCCAGAAGCCCCATTTCCCATCTGTAAAGGAGAATGGTGACACCAGTGTCACGAATTGGCTGTGAGTCTACATTCAACAATGCTTATCGGGCATGTTGTACCTGCCAGGATAAAGTGGTGGACAATTTCTACTTTGTCTAAAAACCCCTGCCCTCCTGGAGCTTCCATTCTGCAGAGTAAGATAGACGATAAATCCTCAAGTAATGAAATCGGGTGAGGCCTTGAGGGGCACCTCACAGGCTATGGCTTTGCTAGGGACAGTCACTGAAAGGTTCAGATCTGAGGCATGACATAGTCTGATTTAGATTTTAACACCTCTTGGCCGGGTGGGGTGGCTCACGCCTGTAATCCCAGCACTTTGGGAGGCTGAGGCAGGTGGATGACCTGAGGTCAGGAGATCGAGACCAGCCTGGCCAACATGGGGAAACCCCGTCTCTACTAAAAAAAAAAAAATACAAAAGTTAGCCAGGCGTGGTGGTTCATACTTGTAATCCCAGCTACTCGGGAAGCTGAGGCAGGAAAATTGCTTGAACCCAGAAGGCGGAGGTTGTAGTGAGCCGAGATTGCACCATTGCACTCCAGCCTGGGTGACAGAGCGATACTCCGTCTCAAAAGAAAAAAGAAAAAACAAAAAAACACCTCTGGTTCTCGTACTTGAAGTGTTCACTTGCTTTGAAGTTTCTGGCACATAGAAGTAGTATCTTTTTTTTTAGGATTAATGCCCAGGGCGCCACAGCTGGGCCTTCCTCCCCATTTCTTACTAACACCGGCTCAGAGCTTTTTGGGGTGTGACCTGGAAGTCCCCCATTCAGCCAGCACTGTTACATGGACACCTCTACACTCGGAGTCTCCACCTTTCCCAATCCATGGCTCTGTCTTCACATGGCCTGTGGAGGAAGCTGCCCGGGCCCTTGCTCCAGGCCCCGACAGGTCACCTGTCCTCTCTGATGCCTGCAACCTGGCTCCTGCCCTTGTCGGTGGAATCTGTTCTGGCCCCACCCTGTCCTCCAGGCCTTGGATCCACAGCTCAAGCAAGCCCTGAAACCCACGGGAACTCCCCCAAAACTCCAGTCTCTACCTACCTCTCTCACTTAAACCCTCAGATCTTGGGATTTCACTCTTTCCTAGATTTCTCACCATCCCCTTTAAATAAACGTGCTGAAGCCCTCTCACTTTCCTCCGGGATTCCTCTCCCAGCTCAGCATCCTGAGTCTGCGCCTCTGTGCCCCTGTCCCCCGCGGGCCTCCAGGACACCGGCCCAGAGTTTCTCTCCTCCCCTACTGGCTGCACGTGGTCTGATTCAGTGCTTCTAAAACTTGCTTAGCTCAGCACTGTGCTCAAACCACTTCCTTCCCTGCTCCTGGGCTCTGTTACGGAAGGGGTGGGACATCCATCCTTCCTGCATGTCTCGAGGGCTCGCTGTGGAGCATGAGGCACCTGGACAAGGAGGAAAGGGAAAAGGACAAAGTCTAGCTGGAGACCCCAGCCTTCTAGGGCCACTGCTTTGTGGGGACAGATGCCAATCCAGCCCCACAGGCACCAGCCAAAGACCTCCGGTATGCACTTTTGTCCCAGAATGAGCCTTGTTGAAGCTCAGCATCTGCAGATGTCCCAGCCAGGCCCACGAGGTCCACCCGTCTTTGATGTGGGGTAAAGGGGGCCACCAGCCTCAGACTCTGAAGCATTTCTGAACCAGATCCATCTCAAGCCTCTGCAGCTTAGAACCAAGGCTAGGGCTGCTCCTGGGCAGGATGGTGGTCCCTCCCAGGTGGGCTCAGATGGGAAACGGGGAGAGACTAGATTCTCTCCAGGATGGCAGGGCCAGCCCAAGGGCATGGGGTGCTCTCCTCAGAGTGGTGGGGAGGTGACAGAGCTACCCTCTGTGGGGGACCCCTCCAGGGCTGACCCCAATACTCTCTGGCCTGCAGTCGCTGATGTATTAGGTCATGGGAGGGGTGTGGGGTATGACGTTCCTCTCGTGTGGCCTCTCGACACTCAACCATGAGGAGGCATATCCCGGCTGTCCCTCTCTGGCCCCTGACGGGTAGGGTGTGGGGGTGCGTTGCAAGTTGAGAATTTCAGGTGTGAGGCAGGAAGGAGAGGGAGCACTTGGGGGCTGGCAGCTGCACAGAGTTGCAGGGCCTGGTGTTTGGCTCTTGCCAGCTGCTCACCCCTGGGCCAACACTATGACCCTATGGGTCAGGCCTTGGGGGCTCTTGGTGGGGCACCCTCCAGGAGTCTGTCCTGTTCCCGTAGCCTCTGATTCTGGGAGCAGAAATTCAAGGAAGCGGAGAGCCTAGGGGCTGAAGAACCCTGGCGGGGACCATGGGCCAGGGCTCCCTCTCCTGTCTTGAGCCCTCTCAGGGAAGAAGAGGGTGTCAGGCCTCATTAGAGAGGGTTCTGGGGGCAGGTTCTTACTAGGCCAGTGTCCCGGAGCCTTGGTGCTTTGCAATTCTCCAAGCCAGGAGCCAACTGAACTCTGACGCCCATCCAGACCCCTGTGCCGGACAGACTGGGCCCCTGAGTGTGCCGGTGGACCTGTGGATTCAGGAACATCTCCACCGACCCATGCCTGTCTCGAGGGTCGGGTCTCCTCTGTGTCTCCCGGCCTGTCCTCCTCCTTTCTCTCCTGGAGCAGCACCTCCAAAGCCATGGGGATACTGACATACCCTGATAACCTGTCCAGGGCCGTTGCTAGGGAGTAGGGGTGCAGGAGAAGTTAGGAAGAAGAAAGGGCAGCCTGCTCAGGCAAGAAAGAGCTTATGGTGCCTCTTCACTGGCTCGAAGGAGGCTCTGCTTTGCAGTAGCAGACCATAGGACAGCCCAAGAGGACTGCACCAGGGGACAGTCAGCCAAGCTCAGGAGGTTGGGGCAGTTTACCCAAAGGCACACAGCAGCTAGTGACATGAGGCACTGGCACTTGAACCAGACTAAACCATCAGCGACATTTTATCCTTTGGGAACCAGACAGACCTGGGTTCAGGTCCTAGCTGGATGAGCTCGGCAAGTTGTTCAACCTCTCCAAGTCTGGGTGTCCTCGTTGTAAAATGGAACTAACGATACACCGTCGGCAACAAAGAACTGTTGCGGGGCAACTGTTCTGTTGCGGGGATCAGGCCCGGCCCAGTGCCTGACACACACTGTGGAAGTGATTATACTCAACATAGCAGTAGCTGCTCCGTAGAACATGCCCAGTGCTCTGGCGGTTCTGGGCGGCTGCCTCACCATGACCAGCCGTCCTGCCTGATTCCCTGGGGCAGGCAGAGCCAGGGAGCCATGTGGGTTCCCACTCTCCCCCAGCCCAGAGATCCATAGACCCACCCCCAGCTGCCCCGGACACGCCCTCCTTTTTTCCCGCTCCCTCCCCTGGGCCTGGGGAAGGATGGAAAGCAGCTGGCTGCTGGCGGCCTCCTTCCTCACCCCGGCCCTGGCATGTTGTCTATGTAGAGAAGGAGGCCCATGTGCCAGAAGAATGATCATGGACCCCCAAAGAGCCTGCCTGCCACCCCCTACCCCGGCTGCCTTACTACAGGAACAGGCCCAAGAGAAATCAAGAAACAGGGAACAAATTAGGGGATCGGATGTGGGGAAGGGCTGACCACTAAGGGACGGCATGAAGTGATGGGAACGGTTCTGTCTCTTGACTGTGCCAGTGTTTACACAACTCTCCACCTTTGCCGAAACTCCTAGAACCGTACACTAAAAAGAGTGAATTTTACTGTATGTAAATGTAAAAATTTAAAAATGTTTCATGATTCAGAAGATTCAAACTCTCAACGTCAAGAAGTTTTGGCTGGGCACAGTGGCTCATGCAGGTAATCCCAGCACTTTGGGAGGCTGAGGCAGGTGGATCACCCGAGGTCAGGAGTTTAAGACGAGCCTGGTCAACATGGTGAAACCCGTCTCTACTAAAAACACAAAAAATTACTCGGGCATGGTGTTGCGTGCCTGTAGTCCACCCTACTTGGAAGGCTGAGGCAGGAGAATCACTTAAACCTGTATAAAAAAAAAAAAAGGGAGTTTTTTAGGAAAAGCTTAACTAATTTATATGGTTTGTATTTTCCTTTGTACCTAAGCAAAAGACTTATATATGTTAACTGTTTTAAAGAAGTCTTTCAAGTGTGTCTAAAATAAAGATTTTAAGTAATTTTCTTTTTTTCTTTTCTTTTCCTTTTTCTTTTTTTCTTTTTTCTTTTTTTTTTTTTTGAGACAGAGTCTTGCTCGTGTCACCCAGGCTGGAGTGCAGTGGCACAATCTCAGCTCACTGCAGCCTCCGCTTCCCAGGTTCAAGCAATTCTCCTGCCTCAGCCTCCCGAGTAGCTGGGACTACAGGCACCCACCACCATGCCTGGCTAAAGTTTGTATTTATAGTAGAGACGGGGTTTCACCATGTTGGCCAGGATGGCCTTGATCTCCTGACCTCATGATCCTCCTGCTTCGGCCTCCCAAAGTGCTGGGATTACAGGCATGAGCCACTGTACCCGGCCCTAAGTAATGTTTTTTTAAATAGAAAAGAAAGAAAAAGAACAGATCCAAGAAGCATCCTTCACCAAGAGGCAAGGTAGTGCCGTCTTCTCTCCACTCTCCCTCCCTCCCTCCAGCCTGGCTCTTCTGGGCCATCCTCCAATTGTCCTGCCAGTCCCTCTTCTGCTTCCCCCACAGCTCTTGGGAGACTGAGCACTGTCTCCAGGGGTTTGGTGATGTCCAGGAGGCTCCCTGGCTACCCCAGGGACCCAGGCCGAGAGCCCACGCTCCAACTAGGTGGCTCCAGGTGAGGATCCTGGCAGGACACAGGTGATATTGGACAGAGGAGAGTTGAGTGAAGTGGACACTTGCAAAGGTGTAGACAGGGTTCTGAAAGCCACTGTGGAGTTTCCAGGCATCCAAGGCCTAGCATCAGCTGGGAACCACCTCCACCCTCAGAGGGGCCGTCCTTTGGGACCTGTGGCCCTGGGAACGTTGCAGGCAGAGGGAAGAAATCCCTTTTCTTCCATTCTGTCGCCCTCCTGTCTCTTGCCCATACCTCCTGGTGGGAGGGGCAGAGCTGGCCCGGGGACCGTGCGTGTTCTGAGTGCCCCGGGAGGCAGGCTGGTGGCAGCTAATGGGGGGAGGGAGTGCTTTCCCCCTGGCCCCTGGCAGGGCTGGGAAGGGCCTGACGCTGAGCTGGGCACCTGCACACCTGTGCGTGTGCATTCTCTGACCTGCATACCCCAGTGCAAGTCCTGGTCTGTATGTTAATCACCCCTCTTGCTCCAGGTATATCTCCCAGGAGACTCAGGGGTTTGGTGGAGGCCACGTGGGCCCACCAGCCTCGACTGTCCAAGGGTGCAGAGGCGGAGAAGGAGTGAGGCCCAGATCTCATGGGGGAAGACCTTGCAAGGGGCTCTGAGCCTTTGGGATCCAGGAGCCAGCACTGGGATTGGGGGTGAGGGCCAGGGTGGGAGGTCAGAGGCCTAGGGCAGGTCCTCTCCTCTGCGGTCTCCCACATGGATCCTCAGACACTGTACCCCCACCTCTACCTTGGACCAGCGCTTGGCAGGCAGCACCCTGCACTACTGTGTGGTGGATGCCAGGAAGCTGAGCATCACTGGGATGAGGGGCAGGGGCCTGGGGTGAAGATGAAAGGGCAGAGCTTCCCTCCCAATATGCACCCCACCCCCAACCAAGGGCTGAACCCTGGCCCCTCAAGCCCTCAGTCAGGCCCCTGTGGAAGTCTAAGTGAGTGGCAGGGCACCCTGTCCTACTGGGTGGACTCTGGTGTGTAGGTGATCCTGTGTCTTCACCTTGTCCCATGGCACACCTGCACCCTGGTCTCTGGTCTATTTCCAAAGATTTCCAGATGTGCAGAGAGTGGGTTCCAATAGGGACCCAGTACTTTCTCAGCAGGGCTTCAGCTGACCAGAGAAGGCAGAGCATTTCACCAGCCTCCACTCCCGATGCCTCCCCACATCAGATGCCCCTGCTCTGCCCTTCATCCCCTGTCTGCCTGCTAGCCAGTCCCAGCTCAGGCCTTGACACATTTTAGGATGTGCAAGGGAAGGGTGGGGCAGCTGCCATTCTCACTGAGCCCTGCCCCACAGTCTTATTGGCCCCTGGTGCAGAGAGGAGTGTGGACAGTTCAGGGGCTCACGATGGGAGGCATTCAAGGCATGGGACAGAGGTGGCAGAGGCAGTTGCCAGGGCAGCCAGACAGCAGTGGTGCCCAGACCCTAGGACACACCCTTTAATCCTCACCCCAGACCCCTGTCCTAGGGCCGGGACATCTATTCTGACTCATAAATCTGAGGTGATTCCCAGGGCCGTGCAGCCCAAAAACATGCCCATCAAAGCTACAGCCGCTGTATTGCTCACTGGGGCCACCTATGGCCATCTCAAGGCCCCAGTTCTCCTCCTTGGGGCTTCCTTGTCCAAGGCCATGCATCGCTCTTCAGGCAACTTTCCCGCTGTGGCCTCCGCCCAGGACCTTTGCTGTGGACAGCTTACCTGGATGGGACAGGAAGATAGTGTAGTACACTGCCCACAGGTAAGCCCTAGACCAAATATGATGAAAATCACTAAAAAATGTAGTTAAAAAAATCATTAAAGGAATTAAAATGTCCCACTAGAAATATTCACTTAATGTAAAAAAAAGCACTGAAGGAGAAATAGAGGAACAAAAAAGACATCACATGTTTAGAAAATGGCAGATGGAAATTCAACTATGTATATCGATAATGTGAATGGATTAAACCAGGGGTCCCCAACCCCTGCACCATGGACTGGTAGTCGTCTCTGGCCTCTTAGGAACCAGGCCTCACAACAGGAGGTGAGCAGCAGGCAACCACCTCCTGTCAGATTGTGGTGGCATTAGATTCTCATAGGAGGCCAGGTGCAGTGGTTCACACCTGTAATCCCAGCACTTTGGGAGGCCAAGGCGGACAGATCGCCTGAGGTCAGGAGTTGGGACCAGCCTAGCCAACATGGCACAACGCCATCTCTACTAAAAATATAAAAATTAGCTGGGCCTGATGGTGGGTGCCTGTAGTCCCAGCTACTCGGGAGGCTGAGGCAGGAGAATTGCTTGAACCCAGGAGGCAGAGTTTGCAATGAGCCAAGATCTTGCCTCTGCACACCAGCCTGGGTGACAAAGTGAGACTCTGTCTCAAAAAAAAAAAAAAAAGATTCTCATTTTCTCATAGGAGCTGGAACCCTATTGTGAACTGCACATGAGAGGGATCTAGGTTGCACACTGCTATGAGAATCTAATGCCTGATTATCTGAGGTGGAACAGTTTCATCCCGAAACCATACCCCCCCACCACCCACCACCACCACCCTCCACTGTGGAAAAATTGTCTTCCATGAAACCAGTCCCTGGTGCCAAAAAGGTTGGGCACCACTGGATTAAACAATCCAACCAAAAGGCAGAGATAGTCAGACCCAATTTAAAAATAAGATCTGTCCAGTTGCGGTGGCTTATGCCTATAATCCCAATACTTTGGGAGTCCAAGGCAGGAGGATTGCTTGAGGCCAGGAGTTTCAGCCTGGGTAACAAAAAGAGACCCCGACACTACAAAAAATAAAATGAAATAAAAATTAGCCTGGCATGGTGGCACACACCTGTAAGTCCTAGCTACTCAGGAGGCGGTAGTGGGAGGATCGCTTGAGCCCAGGAGTTCAAGGTTACGGCTAACGTGATGAACCACAGCACTCCAGCCTGGACAACAAAGAAAGACATCTTATCTCCAAAAAATAACAATAAAATAAAAATAAATTAATTTAAAAACACACAAAATAAAAACAAGATCCAACAATATGCTGTTTACAGGAGGCACACTTTAGATTTAAAGATGTAAATAGATTTAATAAGAGGGTAGAAAAAAATGGATATCTACCATCGTGGTGGCACACACCTGTAATCCCAGCTACTCAGGAGGCTGAGGCACAAGAATTGCTTGAACCCAGGAGGCTGAGATCACGCCACTGCACTCCAGCCTGGGTGGCAGAGTGAGACTGTCTCAAAAAAAAAAAAAAAAAAAAAAAAAAGCTAAAACCAAATATGCATCCAAAACTCAAGCTGAAAAGTAATATTTCCCCTCCACTTTGAACAGCCCTTGAATGACCTGCAATTGATCAATAGATTTTGGAGCGAGAGAGCCAGCACACTGATCAGGAGCACTAACAAGGAAGTAATAGATCCCTGGAGGGTGAAGAGTGAAGCCCCAAAACTGGTCTCCAAGGAGTTAGATACCAAGAGTCAGGAGGACGTGCTGTGGTAGGAAGCCATGCATTAAGATTTTGCCCATTCTTTTGAAGTGATAACCAAGCGTAAAATTTTTGCAAAACTTTAGGAAAGTAAATGGAGGTATTATCAGAGTCATATGGCATCTGTTGTCCTAATGTTGTATCATACTATTTCATATTAATTTAAATTTATTGTATCATGTTTCATCATGTCACCAATTGTAATTATGCAAATATTATGTACCACTAAGAAAAAAAACTGCCAAATAAACCAATACAATATTTTTATCTGTGTTTTAACTTTTCTATTTAAATGGCCTTTTGAATTTATTTAGACAAACATGTTAATTATATATAATTCTTGTGAATAAACAAGGGGAAATGTAAGAGAAATAAAAAATTAAAATTATTAAAAATTATATATATATATATATATATGATGATGAAGGGGCTCAGAAGTTTATTAGTCAAACTTCCAGGCAGATGAGTAGAGCAGAGACAGAAACTCTACCCTAAACTAGTAGTTCACAGTGACTATGCTGATGCCCAGAGGTTTGTCCTGATCAGTTCTGAAATGTCTTGCAACGAATTTCTTACAGCAATAAACCACCAAAGTTTTTGAATGATTTACTTTTTAAAATACAGAATGTTGATTTATCGTTATCCACTTTAATTAAAAATGTTAATTACTCTGGTTTGTTTGATTTCCAATGTATTTCATATATATATATTATTTCCTACATATATATATAGCAAACAGCAACCATAAGAAAACTGGTGGGGCTGTATTACTGTCAGACAGAGTAGATTTAAAATTTTTTTAATTACTGAAGATAAAGAGGGACATTTTACAATGATAAAAGTGTAATCCATCAGGAAGATGTGATAATTATAAACATACATGCAACTAACATCAGAGCCATACTTCACACAATATATAAAAATTAACTAAAATGGATCAAAGACCTATATAGAAGAGCTAATACTATAAAACTCCTATAAGTAAATATAAGGATAAATCTTCCTAACCTTAGATCAGATAATGATTCCTTTAAAATGACACCAAAAGCACAAGCAACAAAGAATAAAACATAAATTGGATTTCATCAAAATTAAAAACTTTTGTGCTGCAAAGGACACCATCAAAAAAAGTGAAAAGACAACCGACAGAATGGGAGAAAATATTTGCTAACCATATGCCTGATAAGCAACTTGTATCTAGAATATATAAATAACTGTTACAATTGAATAATAAAAAGACAAAAAGACAAATAGCTCAGTTTAAAAGTAGGCAAAGGATCTGAATAGATGCTTCTCCAATTAAAATATATGTGTCTAATGAGTACATGAAAAGATGCTCAACATCATTACTCATTAGGAAAATGTAAATCGAAACCACAGTAAAATACCACTCACACTTACAGGATGGCTATAACAAAAAAGACAGATAATAAGAAGTATTGTCAAGAATGTGGAGAAATTGGAACCCTCACTTACTGCTGTTGTGTGTGAAATGTGCAATAGTGCAGCCACTTTGGAAAACAGTCTGGCAGTTCCTCAAAAGCTTAAACATAGAGGTCGGGCGTGGTGGCTCATGCCTGTAATCCCAGCACTTTGGAAGGCCGAAGTAGTCAGATCACTTAAGGTCAGTAGTTTGAGACCAGCCTGGCCAACATGGTGAAAGCCCGTCTTTACTCAAAATACAAAAATTAGCCGGGTGTGGTGGCACACTCCTGTAATCCCAGCTACTCGGGAGGCTGAGGCAGGAGAATTGTTTGAATCTGGGAGGTGGAGTTTGCAGTGAGCTGAGATCGTGCCACTGCACTCCAGCCTGGGTGATGGAGCAACACTCCGTTTAAAAAAAAAAGACAAAAAAAGCTTAAACATAGAGTTACCATATAATGCCACAATTCTATTCCCTGTTACAGATGAAAGCACATGTCCACACAAACTTTGTATATGAATGTTTAAGCAGTATTCTTCATAACAGCCAAAAAGGAGAAACAACCCAAATGTCTATCAACTGATGAATGGATAAAATATGGTATATAAATGCAATGGAATATTATTTGTCAATAAAAAGGAATGAAGTACTGCTACATGCTACAACTTAGGCGAGCCTTGAAAACATGCTACATGAAAGAAGTCGGACACGAAAGACCACATATTGTATGATCCTGTTTAAATACAATGTTCAGAATAGGCAAATCCACAGAGAAAAAAAAATGTAAATTTGTGGTTTGCTTTGGGAGAGGATAGGGTACAGGATTTCTTTTCGGGGTGATGAAATTTTCTAAAATTGATTGTGGTGATGGTTGCACAACTCTGTGAATATATTGAATTTTTTCTTTTTTTTTTTGAGTCAGGGTCTCGCTTTGTCACCCAGGCTGGAGTGCAGTGGTACAATCATGGCTCACTGCAGCCTCAACCTCCCAGGCTCAAGCAATCCTCCTACCTCAACCTCCCAAGTAGCTGGGACTACAGGCATGTGCCACTATGCCTGGCTAATGTTTTATTTATCTTTTTTTGTAGAGACAGGGTCTTGTTATGTTGCCCAGGCTGATCTCAAACTCCTGAATTTAAGTAATCCTCCCGCCTCAGCCTCCCAAAGTGCTGGGATTACAGGCATGAGCCACTATGCCCAGCCTAAACTATTAAATTGTATACTTTAGATGGGTAAATTGTATGGTATGTGACTTATATCTCAATAAAGCTGTTACAAAAAAGGGGAGCGCCCTGAGATCACCACTGGGTGCCAGGACATCTGGTGCCCTGGGAGGGCCCCAGCTGCGGTTTTGATCCACTGGCCTCTAACTACCCCCTTGCATTGGACGCTCCTACTTCATATTACTTAGCAGCAGCAGCTGCCATTCCATGGCCTCGGCTGCTGTCTAAGGTCCTGTTTCCCTCTAAACAGTGGGGTGGGACTTATGGTGCTGTGAGGACAGGCTGTTGTCCAGAGGACCCTTGGCTAGTCTTGACCCAAGCTCCTGAGAGATAATGTCTCCTCTGGCCAGCCAGCCGGGGAAGGCAAATATTGGCAATTCAGGGCCTGACTACTAACGGAGTCAAGAGAATAGCTGACAGGTGCTGAGCTGCTCCAAAGCATAGGGCCCTTGGCAGGTGTAGGCTATACGCCCTCCTCACCCAGCCCCCAGGCTGCTCAACGCCAACAGGTTTGTCTGTTGGGGGTCTGAATTCTGCAGCCACAAATCAAGATCACAGGAGCAGGGGCCAAAGGGGCTTCTGAGTCTCAGGACCGCCCCCCAACCCAATTCCTGGGCACTGCATATGGTTTGAGGCAGTTAGAGGAGAGACCCCCTGTGTGTGCCCATCCAAATAACCCCCAGGGCCATTCTCCCCACCAAAAAAGCAGGGGAGTGCAGAGATGGCAAAGCCCAGCTCCCAGGGCACCCCTGGGCTGGCGCCCGAGGAGATAAGCCTGGATGCCGTAGCAGAGGGAAGACCCAGTGCTGTGGAAACCATGGAGAAGCTGAATTTCTCAGTGTGCCGAGAAGCCACTTGGAAGGTATGGGGCAGGTACAGGGGCTGGGGGGTGCCAGCAGAGGTCTCTATTGTGGCGGAGAGTCTGGGGCCCGCCAGAGCTGGGTTGGAGAACCAGCTCCTCTCCTCTGCCTGAGCCTCTTAAATTATCCAAGTCCCAGTTTCCTGGGGACCATCATAGCACCTACCTCCTAGCTGTGAGCACAAATCACCATTGTCCGTGTAACCCACCTGGCATGGGCCTGGTGCCCATAGAGGACTCGGCCCAGGAGTCATTATCACTGCCCTATCGGGTGCAGAGGGGGGCTCCTGAAACCGGGGCTGCTACAGGGGGAGCTTGGTGCCTCACAACTCTAGGGGGCCTTATTCACATCATAGCCATTGCGGATCTGTTATAAAACTTTCTCAGCCCGTGGAAGTAAATTGTCTCAAGAACTGGGGCCTTCAATGTCTAAATATGTGCTGCCCAGTACGGTAGTCACTAGCTACATATGGCTAGTTACATTAAAGTGATGAAATTAATTAAAATGAAAAATTCAGACACTCAGTTGCTCTAGCCGTATGACAGGTGCCAATAGCTTTATGTGGCCACTATATTGGACAGCACAGATCTAGAACATGTCCATCATCGCAGACAGTCCTACTGGACTGTGAGGGGGGGCACTGTGGAAGTTTGAGAGCAAGGCCAGGAAGGACAGGAAGAGCCGTGGTGGGAAGAGAAAATGCCAGGCGGGGAGCACACTTCCCCAAACCTCTTAGCTTCTCCGTACCCTAATAGGATCCCCAGGTGTCAGCCTTTGAGAAGTCAAAAGGGATTAAAGAAGCCCCAGGTGCGAAGAGGCATGAGGCTCTACTGGCAAGTTTTCCTCCAGGCTGCAGAACCTCCAGGCTTGGCGGGGGGTCACTGTGTGAGTGCCTGTAAACCTCCTGCCCAGTCCCCAGGGGCAGGCTGTGGCATGGGGTTCAGATATGCCATGTGGCTGGGTGCAGTGGCTCACACCTGTAATCCCAGAGCTTTGGGAGGCTGAGGTGGGAGGATAGCCTGAGTCCAGGAGTTCGAGACCGTCCTGGACAACATAGGGGGAGACCCCGTCTCTACAAAATTAAAAAATAAAGAAAACTAGCCAGGCATGATGGCACACACCTGTAGTCCCAGCTACTTGGGAGGCTGAGGTGGGAGGATTGCTTGAGCCCAGGCGGTCGAGGCTGAGGTGAGCTGTGATTGCACCACTGCACTCCAGCCTGGGTGACAGATCAAGACCCCCCCAAAAAATAAATTTAAAAAATATATATTTTAGTAAAATTTATTGTATATATTACATATAAAAAGATATACATCTTTTTTTATATGTTTATTATATATAGTTCTATATATATATATTGCAATCTGAGTGCATTGGTCTTTCTATACTGGAAACAAAAAAAACTCACACACACTCCTCAAATCCCAGCAGGTTCCATCCAACAAGGAAGTATTGGGTCCCAACCCTGAGTGTGACCCGGCCGGCCAGGGGTGTGGATTGACATTTCGTACTTGAGTGGGCAACACTGCCGCTTGGCACTGTGCCTGGAATGCAGTGAGGTGGACCTGTTGGGGCATTTTAAGGACGGGCAAAGGAAATTCCTCCCGGGAGGGGACTGGTGGGCTACATAGTCTGAATTTACGAAAGATGTCGCCAGGCTGTGAGATAAGAGTTGTGGGATTAGAATCTCAGATCTCTGATAAAAAGCACATCCCCCCGCCCACTGGGGCTGCTCAGCTGGCCCGTCAGCTTATTTCATTTATCACAACTGTCGTGATTTAAAAGATATCAAATGAAGCAGAAAAATCTAATCATTTACTAATCCCTTCTCTGCCTCCCTCCCCACAGTGACCTTTTGCTTCTAGCCACCAAACTCAGAGAAAAAACCAACCTGCTACTGTGAAGAGTGCAACCCAAAGGTGGTAAGAATGGGGAGTCCCTTATGCTGGGGTCTCCTGTGTGCCAGGTACAACACACACAGGTGTGAACCAATGTATTAAGTTTGCCCGGTCGAATTATCCCAGCTTAAGGTAGGGGGTATTACTTCATTTTACAGATGAAGGGTTTGGGCTTAGGGGTGGTTGAGTAACTCGGTGGAGCGAGTGGATAAGGTTAGCCTATCAATTAAGGACCCAGGAGGAAACAGAATTCCCCCAAAAACGATTTAGCTAAAGAGAATGTAAAGAAGGAGCTGTTCACAGATCTGCAGACATGGTTATAATGACCAGCAAGGAATGTTGAGGCCCCCCAGGGACTAACAGTAGCAGGAAACCACTGCCACCTCCCGGTTCGAGGGGACAAGAGGAAGGAATAGTGTAACATCGGGAGCCCAGGCAGAGCAGAAGGAGGTCGGGAAAGAAATACCCCAACCATTCTCCCTCCTGCCCCCTCATCCCCTGCTGGGGCCTCTCATTGGTGGAACCAATAGGAAACCAGAAGGCATGAAAGCACAGAGTGATGCCGTCTGTAGGAGACCAAGAGGGACAGGGAATAAATGGCAGAGGAGGAGAGGAGGGAGAATTAGAGGACACTCAGGGCAGTTAGTAAGTGGGAGCACAGGAATTGAATTCTGAACTCACTGACTCTGAACTGCGCCCGCCTCAGCATCATATGCTGCTACTGCGGCCATATGCCTCCCAGGGGCCCACGCATCACGGTAAGGGAACCAGCAGTGTCCCCACAGAGGGGCTTCCAGGCCAAGCGAGGACTCAAACCTGGGCCCAAGCCATTCCTTCTTTCTTTCTCTAGCCAAATCCTCTTCTTGTAAAGAAAGAGCTGTTTCTGGTCAGAAAGGCTGCACCACGGTCCCCCCAGCCCAGCAGAGAAAAACAGGCCAGATGCTTATTCCAAGCCTGACATTTGTGTGGACCTGAGCCCAGTGCTCATGTGGTTCCCTTTACCAGGAGTCTCATTTCCCAGAAGGTTCTGGGCAGGACCCTGTCTCATTCACCACTGTACCCCTGCATCGAGCACAGTGCCTGGCACCCAAAAAAGAGGCACACAGTGATCATACTCAACTGTGGAACTCAAGTGCCTTGCAAATAACACCCTTTCCTCAGGGCCCTGGGCTTTCACTTTATAGGGTGAGTTTTCCAGAAGCTTCTTTACCTTCTGTTGCAGATTTTTAAAAAATGTTAACATTGACTTTTCGGTTTGGACCTCAGAGGGAGATGATGATTATGACAATGAAAATAATAACAGATTGTGGTGCTTAAAATGTGCTGGGCACTGTAAAAAGTTTTCTGTGTGTATTATCCTACTTAACACCTGTGCTGGCCATCTCTTATGCAAATCCTCTCAGCTGTACCTCATTCCAGTTGTACACAGTTTGCAAGCAGCTCCACACAGTGCACCCTGACAGCGTCTCTCCTGAGGTCCTGGCTGCAAATCTACCTCTCTCATTTTGGAATTTCTCTGATGCACAGCATTGGATACCCTCGGGAACCCATGTGGGCACTGGCTCATGCATAACTGGGAGCAAGCTAATGCCCTGGGGGCCTCCCAGTGCCGATGGCTTCTACTGCCTGCCTGCCTTTCACATGGCTCCCCAGGTCCTGCAGGACCGGATGCTGATGCCCACCGCAGTGGTCGGCTCCATTGCATAATGCACCCTTGTATTGGCTCTCCATCCTTCCCAGTTTCACACTTCCAATCCTCCCTCCTGCTCCTGGGGATCATATTCCAAAATCAGCCTGCATGCAAGCCTTTGTCTCAGGCTCTGATTTCCAGGAACCCAGGCTAAGACAATCGTTTTTTATTTGTTTGTTTGTTGTTGTTTTTGTTTTGTTTTGTTTTTGAGACAGTCTCACTCTGTCACCCAGGCTGGAGTGTAGTGGCACTAATCTCGGCTCACTGCAACCTCCATCTTCTGGGTTCAAGTGATTCTCCTGCCTCAGCCTCCCAAGTAGCTGGGATTACAGGTGCCCGCCACCACACCCGGCTACTTTTTGTATTTTTAATAGAGACAGAGTTTCGCCATGTTGGCCAGGTTGGTCTCGAACTCCTGACTTCAGGTGATCCACCCACCACAGCTTCCCAAAGTGCTGGGATTACAGGCATGAGCCATCACACCCAGTCTGACAATCCTTAACGAGAGCAAAGACAGAAGTGCTCTTATTACCCCTGTTTCGTAGGGGAGGACCTGAGACTTAGGTTCAATAACTTGCCAAGATCATATGGCAAGTAAGGGGCAGAACCATTGGAAGGTTAAAAAAAAAATGCTCCTCTCAGGGAGGGGGAGAACGATTTGCCAAGAGATTGTAGGAGGATTTCTGGCAATGTCCAGTGCTCATTGATATTTGTGGCCACGAGTCTGCCATGGAAGCAATGGAGTGGTGAGATGCTGTCCAGCAATATTCAGGGGCTCTGACAGAGGCATGAAGAGGGCAGGTGGGGGTGCTGGGGTGTGGGACTGGGCAGAGCAGGGGGTGAGCTGGGCAAGAAGCAGCTGAGAGTCACAGTGACCAGGGATGGCGAGGAGGCTAGGACTTCTCATGACGATAACATTTCTAGGGAGAACACCTAGTAGGTCGTGCCAAGGATAGGGCCAGGCTACTTGGCTGGAGGTCAGTGTGGACAGGCCTGGCCAGGCCCCAGGATCCTAAGGACCTCAAATTGATTCCATTCTCTACAGCTTATTCCCACTGTGACTCTGAGCTTATGCTAAAAAATTGTGCTGTTTATTTGAAATTCAAATTTAACAGGACATTCTGCATTTTTATTTGCTAAATCTGGCAACCCTATCCCGCCATGAGCCAGTAACACCTCCCTGCATAGCCATGACCTCCTCTTCCTCCCAGCTCTCTTCATGTCCCTGGCACCACTGCTATCCTAGTGTCCCAAGCTCGGCCTCCACTATTCCAGGGGATCCAGCCAGTCACCGGCTCCTGCCCGTCCTTTAGAAACATCCCCCTTTCTCCAGCCCACTGCCATCCCTGGCTCCATGCCTAGACAACTGCTGTCACAGCCCCGACGCCTCTGTCTGCATCTAGCCCCCACCAGGTGAATATTCCTCAAGCGCCCCCTTGACCATGCCACAGGCTGCTTCAGCCTTCAATACCCCCCACTGCCCATAGAAAAAAGTCCTAATTGCAAGGCTTACAGCAGCCTGTTCCCACTGGCCTTCCCACATGGACTTCCTGCAACCCACCTCTCTCCACCCTGTCCTTGTGCCCAGAGGACCCTCACGTACTCCTTCTCCTTCAGGTGGAACCCCACTTTCCCATGAAGACCCAGCTCAAAGGACCCATTGTCTGTAAAGGCCCCCTGACTGCCCAGCCTCGACGGGCTTCCCCTGCCTCCTGTGCCCTCCTCTGGCAAAATACACACTGCACTGCCTTCTACACCTCCTCTTAATCTGCTCATTGGGTCTTCAATCTTGTGGTAGCTTGGCTATGAGCTTATCTTCTCAACTAGATTGGAGGCTCCCTGAGGGCAGGAAAAAGATTTTGTGCCTGTTTCCCCATGGTCTCTGGCTCAGTCCCAGGCCAGAGCCAGTATCTGCTGACTTGTGTATGGGTTCTGCACTCCCCTGGCCACTGTCAGGAGTGAGTGGGTAGGCACCCCTGGGCATGTCCCAGGCTCGCTGACTCTCAGGTGGCAGGCCGTGGCTGTGGACATGCAGGAGATGGGGCTGAGGCTGGCAGGAGGCTGACCTGGCTCACAGTGCAGGCAGCATGCTCCTGGCTCAGGGCAGGGTCCTCTTGGGCATGGCTTCTGGTTGCAAGTGATGGTCCCTTCCTGTGGGAGCAGACTGAGGTGGCTGCACAGGCATCAGAGCCCTGGAGGGCAGGGCCTCTGGAAGCAAAACCTCAGCCCAGGCGGGGACATGTCATAGGGGCAAGAGGATGAGTTGGCTCTGTGGATGTGGGCTACCCTCTGTGTAAAGGCAGAAAAGAGACATCCTGCCCCAACCCGAGTCGTCTCTTGATGTTTTTTGTTTTGTTTTGTTTGAGACAGGTTCTCAATGTATTGCCCAGGCTAGAATACAGTGGCTCCATCATGGCTCACTGCAGTCTCGACCTCCCCATCTCAAGTGATCCTCCCGCCTCAGCCTCCAGAGTAGCTTGGGACTGCAGGCGCTCACCATGACGCCTGGCTAATTTCTTTTTATTATTTTTGTAGGGACTGGGTCTCCTTATGTTGCCCATGCTGGTCAGCTTCTGGACTCAAGCAATCCTCCTGCCTGGCCTTCCCAAAGTGCTGAGATTACAGGCGCAAGCCACCACCTGGCATCCTAATGCTCTTGACCCGGGAAACCATCTCTTTCAGGTGCCAGAGCTCAACGATAGCATGGACTGGGGAAGACCTGCGGACCCTTCAGAGCTGGGGGGAGTCGGGGGGCGGGGCGCGGAGCGGAATTTGAGGTTATGGAATTACTATTTCCCTGTTCCAGACTGCCGAAGAAGCCCAGTGGTCGTCTAGGCCACCGCGCTATCTGTCTGGCGTCTCCTTACAGGCCCTGGGCCTGGCCCAATGCTCCCTCCAGGTCAGTAGTCACCGGTAAGTGCCAGCCTCCTCGAGTGGTCCCTCCGGTCGGGGCCGGCGCGGTGCAGAAGAACCCAGCGCAGCCCGGGCAGAGTCAGCTCGGCCCCGCCGCCCCACCAGTGCTCAAGGGCGCAGCCACGCAGGAGCATCGCAGACAGGTGGGTCCCGGCCGCCGCTCTCTCCTCTCCGCGTCCCCGCGTCCCCGCGTCCCCGCGTCCGGAAGGTGGTGGGAGCGGTACCGGCTGTTGCCCACCCACAAGTCTAGGCCTCAACCAGGGCCCGCGCCCCTCAGGCACCTGCGGGCGACCGGATGAAGACTGGAGTAGGGCGGGGTCCGCGTCCAGCTGCGCCTGGAGACCGAGCTTCGGTGGGTGCCTACAGCAGGGCGCGCCCCGCCGGCCTGGGACCTCCCAGGCGCCCCTCACGCCCCGATCCGTTTGAGGTGCTGGCGCCCAGGGAACCCCAAGGCCCAGGCGGCGAGGTCGGCACCGCAGCTGGGGGCGCAGGCTCTGCTGCTCCCACCCCCCCACCCCCACCCCGCCATCGCCCAGAATGGGGGCTCCCAGGCGCCCTGCTGGAGGCTGGCTTGGTCCACAGAGGAGCGAGGCCCGATCCTTACTTTCGATGCACTCGCCCTCGCTCTTCCCGGGTCACCCTAACCCTTTCGGAAAAAAAGGTGGAGGTTTAAAGCGTTCATCCCCCGGGATCTTCAGGCCAATGGCAGGAATTGTGCAAGAGTTTGGGGGAAGATAGTGTCAGGTAGAGGCTCCGTCCGTCCCTGGGCTCGCGGCCGGGAATGGTAGACGCCGGCCCCCAGAGCAGCGGAGAAGGATGGGGCGCAATAGTTCCTGGGCTGGTTTCTGTAGGTCTTGTCCCAGAACTTAAGAAGGCAACAATGAAGAGGCTGAACGTGGAGGAAAAGTGAGACTAGCATGGCTGGGATTTGGAGGAAGATGGCGAGGACCAGCGCTGGCCTTGAGCGGTTGTCTCCGGACCCGGGAGGGCGGGAGCAGGTGCCCGGGAGCAGAGGCGGGAGTGGGGGACTTTCCCCAGCCTCGCGGCCCCGCTGGACACAGCAGGGCGAGGACCGGGGTGCTGCTCTAGCAGCCGAGGAGCGTCCCTGGGGGTGAGGGTGGCTCCACGGGCTGGCCCAGGGGGTGTGCCCCCGCGGAGCCAGCGGGAGGGGTGGGGGCGGAGGGGAGGGGGGAGGGGGGCGGAGGGGAAGCGGGGAGCGGGGGCAGAGGACTGGAGTGGGCCTGGGCCCCCGTGGACCCAGTCCCCAGGGCCTGAAAGTGCACCGGCTGTGTCCACAGAGAAAACTGTCAAGACCTCCCCTCCCCCTACCTCCATCCTCCCCCTACCCCGTAGCTGTCGGGCCTGGGGCTGGGGCTGAGGGGATCCAAGAGTCTAGGGAGTCACTGGGAAATCACCCCCTTTCATCTGAAGGCCCTACTTGGGGGTTTTCCCCCTGTACCCTGGTCTTCCCCCACCTTGCCTCTCGGAGGAAGCCGAAAGAAGCTTCTTTCTGGGCACCTGCTGCCCCAGAGCCTCAGCCTGTTTGGACCAGGCAAGCAGCAGGGCCTGGGGTGTGGACAGCTCACCTGGAGGGGTGGGATTTAGGATCAGGCCCAATGCAGCAAAACCTTTGTCCTCTCCCTGAGCTGGGTGTGGGTTTGCAAGGAGACATGCGACCCAGAACAACCCTGGAGGCAGCAGGGCGCCTGCCGTCTGGCCACTCTTACTAGGACTGCTGTGGCACTTCCTCCCCTAGCAGCCCCCTGGTACCAAAGCCTTGCAGCTCCTGGAGTGAGGGGACTGTCGCCTGGGACTCCACTGGGGCCCTGGGGTTGGCTGTGAGATTTTACCAGCCCGTCGGGAGCCCTTGTGCATCCCCTCCTCATATTCCAGGTCTGGGGCTCCCCCAACAAGTTTATTTCCTTTTCCCCTAGAGCCTTTCCAGTCCTCCCCATTGATCCGCCTCCTCCCCAAAGCTCTCCCAGGTTAGTCCAGCCACACTCAGCTTCCCACATTTTAGTGCTCATGCGTCCAGAGCTGACACAGCCCATCAGGCACTTGCCTTCTGCCCTCAGACTGCTTCACACAGTGTGGGGCTCTGCCTTCCTCAGCCAGGACAGGGCATATCACCTCTCATTTGCCTGGTACCCAGCACAGCTAGGCCAGTGCCCCTCAGAGCAGGTACGTGCCGTGGACTGCACACTGGACCCTGGTTCCTCCTGCCCCCAGGCTGGGCTGGCAGGCAGGGGCCAGGCTGGGCATGGGGCAGTGGCAGCCCCTCACAGAGGCTGCCCAGGGAGCTGAGGCACAGCCCATCTTGGGCCACAAGCCCTTCCTGCCCTCAGCCTTGCTACCTCTGGCCCCCAGGTGTGTCATCAGAGATCATGTGAACGCCCTGAACGCCTGCTCGGGGACCTTGTCTGTCACCATTGATGGCCCCACCAAGGTGCAGCTGGACTGTTGGGAGTGTCCTGAGGGCCACGTGGTCACTGACACTCCCATGGCCCCTGGCAACTACCTCATTGCCATCAAGTACGGTGGCCCCCAGCACATCGTGGGCAGCCCCTTCAAGGCCAAGGTCACTGGTGAGTGCCGGTTTGGGGGAGGTCCACCCAGCCTGCAGCCCAGCCCAGCCTGGAGGGCTCCGGTGGCCACGCACATCTAGGCCATAGTCTGCCCCCAGACATCATGGTCAGTTTACCAGGGCTAGAGGTGGGCCTGGCTCTACACAGTACACGTTCTGTGGAGTCGGGCATGATCATGTAAAAATGCCATTCTTCCTCTCCATCGTGGCCCCTCACTCCTTCAGCTCTGGCCTGCGCTGGCTCCTCAGGCTCTAGCACCACTTTCTTCCCTCCTGGCTTCCCATATTCCTCCGCTCCAAGAAGACACAGTCGGTATTGAGCAAGCTTCCCCTCTTGAGGCTGTCTGTAGGATGAGTTGGGTGGGTGTTCCTTTGTAAAGTGGCTCTTACCCTGTGAGTTAGCCTGAGTTCCCAGACAAAGCCTGCAAGGATGAGGGACGCAGCATCTGAGGCCCCAGCCCTAGGGTGGAGCACCAATTGGAGCTGGCAGCTCAGGGCCCTGGCTGGGAATGGGGCTGTGCTCCTAGAGTGGCCCTTGGAGGAATTTGGGGGGGAACCTCAAATGCAGGCAGTGAGTCCCACAGGGTGGCAGTGCTGGCCGAGGGTCCCCTGCCTGGGGAAGAACGGGAAGCCCTTCTGACTAGGTTTGTGCCCCCTCCACCCACCCCTCAGGTCCGAGGCTGTCCGGAGGCCACAGCCTTCACGAAACATCCACGGTTCTGGTGGAGACTGTGACCAAGTCCTCCTCAAGCCGGGGCTCCAGCTACAACTCCATCCCCAAGTTCTCCTCAGATGCCAGCAAGGTGGTGACTCGGGGCCCTGGGCTGTCCCAGGCCTTCGTGGGCCAGAAGAACTCCTTCACCGTGGACTGCAGCAAAGCAGGCAGGTGGCGGGGGGAGGGCGTCTCCCGGGGTGTGAGCAAGAAGCCGTCAGGGAGCAGGGTGTGGGTCACAGTAGGGGACTCCCTGGTGTGAGCCTGTCCCTCTGCCTCCCTCTCCAGGCACCAACATGATGATGGTGGGCGTGCACGGCCCCAAGACCCCCTGTGAGGAGGTGTACGTGAAGCACATGGGGAACCGGGTGTACAATGTCACCTACACTGTCAAGGAGAAAGGGACTACATCCTTATCGTCAAGTGGGGTGACGAAAGTGTCCCTGGAAGCCCCTTCAAAGTCAAGGTCCCTTGAGTCCCAAAAGTGCCTCCCCAGCCTCAGCCCCCACCTCCAGCCAAACACACATTACATACACACACACACACACACAAATGTGCCACACCCAGACACACACACACAGAATCAGACACTACAAACACCTGCCTTGGGGGTGAAGTGAAGGCCCAGCCTCCCCACCCCACCGCACCCCAGGGGTTGGAGGACCTTTTCTGTGTCAGGACAGTGTCCCTCCCTGGGAATGTGATATGAGGGCCGACTGGGGCCAGGCTCAGTGGCAGAGGCTAAGACACAAGGGACTGGAAGGGGACTGTGGGGCGAGGGAAGCCCTGTGCATCCTCCCAGTGTGGTTTAGAGCTGCTCACCCTGATTCTCTCTGATTCTTTCTGTAAAATGGGGATGGAGGTGCCCCCATTCTTCATAAGGGAAGTAAAAATTGCTCATACCTCTGTGCCAAGCACCATGCATTACTAATCCTTACAAACACTCCATGAGGTGGGTGCTGTTAGAGCTCCAGTCACAGTTCAGAAAAATCAGCCACCAAAAGTGAAGTGACCAGCCAGAGGCCCCAGAGCAGAAAGCAAGAGCTCCAGGATGCGCCCTGGCAACCCTGCCAGAATCTGTGCTCTGAACCGTCCCACTACCCAGCCCCTCAGAGGACTTGCTTTCCAGAGGCACCCGGTCAATGAAAGCCACCTTCCTTAAACCTGCCAGGAATAGTGCTGCCGCTTCCTTGTTCCTCTTCTGGCTGGCTGGCCCTGGCTTTCCTCTGTGACCTCAGCTCCAGGCACTGAGGCCAGGTCTTAGCGTGGCATTGCAGCCTCCCTGCCCCCTGTGGCAAAGGCTCAGGTCCACTATGGGCCCAGACTCTGGGGCAGAGAAGCTGCCGTCTCCTTACTGAAGCTTTAAGCTTGGTGGAGAGTGGGCTGGGGAGACCTCAGTCCCTGCCTGGTCTAGGGGGAGGGGTGGCTTCCGACTTCTGGTCTTTATGACAGGGAGGGAGAGCTTTGGAAGGGTTCACAGCTCCGCCCTCAATGTTCCTTTTTGCCTGTGAGCTTCGCCTGTGAGACCCAACCCTCTGCTTCCCAGCTTCAAGGAGGAGTTTCCCAGCCTGTGGGCCCACAGGGACGGCTGTCCTCACTTCCTCCCTTTGGCCCCCTCTGCCTGCTGAGCCCAGGGCCCAGCCCTGCCCCCTACCCAGGCTCACCCCACAGCCAGGCCTGAGCTCAGGAGTGGGAAATGGGGCTGAGACCAGCCAGTGAAGGGCGGCCTTGGCATTTGGGGCCAAGCCTGGGACTGCTGGGGTGGGTAGGGGTGTTGAGTGGAGTTCAGGAAAGAAACTTATAGGGGAGAGAGGAAAACACTGGTCGTGTCCATGATTTCAGAGATCAGGAGTTCTTATTATTATTATTTGTTATTTACTGAGCATTTACCATCTCTCTACCGACTCTAAATTCTTTACTTATATAATCTCACTTAATGCTCACTGCAAGTCTATAAAGTAGATGTGGTGATCCCCAGTTTACAGATAGGGAAATTGAGGCACAGAGAAGTTAGTGGTCTAAGGCCACATGGAATTGGCTGAGCAGGGATCTAAACCCAGCTCAGTCTGCTTCTTCTGTAAACTTGTGAGAGAGAGGAAAAATCGATCTGGAAACCCTAGGGCGATGGAGTAACCTAAAAGGGCAGGGAGACTCTCTAGGATCCCGAGAGGGGTGGACTTGGGTTTATTTTCTTTTCAGGGTCTCCTCCTGGATCTTAAGCGGAGACAAGGCCTACACCCCCGTTGGGCTTCCTGCGAGCTGGAGCTGCTCTCTGGGGTCAGGACCGGCCGGGCCCGGGGCGGGTGGAGGTGTGCATGGGAAAGGCGCGCGCGGTGGGGGGTTTGAGCCCTCCCTGAACAAAGCCTGGGTGGGAGCGGCCTGTGTGTCCCCACCCCGCCTTCCCCAGCGCCTGCTGAGCCGCGACGACAGACGGCGAGCCGAGCGAGGCGGAGCTAGCATGGCCGGGGTCGGGGCCGCTGCGCTGTCCCTTCTCCTGCACCTCGGGGCCCTGGCGCTGGCCGCGGGCGCGGAAGGTGAGTCCAGGTGCGGGAGGCTTGGGGTCCGGCCAGGTGCGCCCCCTCCCTCCTATCAGCCCGGCCTGAGGGGGCCGAGAGGGGCTGGGGGCTCTGCTCTTAGCCCTGCCTGAGGTTCGCGCGCCTCCCTGGCCAGCTCCGTCCTCCCCGTCGGGGGAGCGAGCAGGGTGGGGAAGACCACGGCCAAAGCAGGGGGTTCAGGAGAGGGGGGCGGTTCCTGCAGCCGGCGGCGGGAGAGAGTGCGGCTGCCCTGGCATCTGGGAGTCTGAAGTTAATTATTTGTCTTGACGAAGGAGGGGGAGAAAAGGGGCCCGCTGTGGAAGCTGACTTTGCATCTGTGTCTGGCCCTCCCCGGAGCAGGACAGGCGGGAATGGAGGGCTCGGTGCCGGCACGGGGCCAGGGGAGGCTAAGAGGGGAACCCGGGACAATTCCTTGGGGACCAGCCAAGTTTGTGCCACTCGGAGCTCTTTCTGCAGGTCTCTCCAGGCGAGGCTGGCCCTAGCTTCACCTAGGGGTCCCAGAGGATTCAGCTTCTCCCGGGCTCCCATATCCTGCCTGCCTACTTAAGCAGAACTGGAGGAGTGGCCTGGGAGGAGGGGCCCTGGGCAGCAGGATGAGGCCCCACGGGAGTCTAGATTGGGTAGAAGGTTTCAGATGCTGAGACGCCCATCGTGGCCGCCCTCTGTGTGCTTGGGAAGGACTGAGACCGGGTGCCATTCCGGGTGACAGGATCCCCAGTAGAGGGACGGAGATGGGAAAGGGCACCTGGGGTTTGAGGGCCAGTATTCGCCCAGGGTGCGGGAACTGAGTTAGAATCCCTGATATAAGCCAGAAGTAGCGGGGCTGGAAAGGTGGGCGGTGCTTGTGATCCATCCCAGCGGGACTTGCTCCTGGGAGACTTCGGCTGTGTGATTCAGAAAGGTCGAGTGGAGAGAAGGGGCACAGATGGAGGCAGGGACGCTTTGTCTTCAGCCTTCTGAATGGAGATGGTGGAGAGAGGAGAAGGGGGGGATGTATTAGGGGACAACTCAGGCAACAAAATAGGGGAGCTGAGCCCCAGCTTTCTGGCTTAAGTAACTGGGTATGTGTGATGGCATTAACCAAGCCAGGGAACTTGGGACAAAGCAAGTTCAATTTTAGCCTAGAATCCCCTCTGCCTTTGATGGTGACAGTGGGTGACATTGTTCCCCTGTCTCACAGGCCTAGTGTCTGTGAGAAACCCTTTTAAGCCACTCCAGGCCTGGCCTCACTAATGAGCTGCCATGGTGGGAAAGACCCATCCCTCTCCCTCCTCCTCTCTCTGTTCCTATTGCCTCCGCTCCAGACCCTCAACTTCCCTGCCCATCCCTGCCTGGAGGAGGGACCTATGTCTGCCTCTTCCCCTCCTGCCTTTACTTTCTGGGCTGCAGGAGAAGGATCAAAGTGAAAAGGTGAAAGTGGCCGCCCCTAACCCCAGGCCAGAGCTCAGAGGTGCCCCGTCCCTCTTTCCTGGACATAGTGTCTTCTAGAAGCAGGGACAGGCTGTCTTCACTGGATCTGGTGTGTTCAAAGTTAGCAGGGGCCTTGCCAGCACATTTCTCACACCCTTCAGAAAATGCAGCCAAGTCCCACTTTTGAAGCCCACCCCACCCAATGTGGGAGCCCCCAGGAACCCCTGTCACAAGCCTGGAAAACCGTGCTCAGGGTTGGGGGCGGGAGCAGTTGTCCTTCCCTGAGCACATTCTCCAAAAGTTGTGGCCTTTCTGACAGGTGCAGAGAGTCAGGGGATGGGGGCTGCTCATGTTCTCCCTGAAAAGACTCTCAGCCAGACCCCAGACCCCTGAAAGCAGCTCCACCTGGCGCATGTCTGTGGCCTTCCCCTGCGTTTCAGCCTGTGCTGGCTTCCCGGCCCTGGATGGTGGGTGGGCAATTGGAGAGGGCAGGGTGCACAGGATGACCCCCTTCCCCTGTGGGTCAGAAGACAGAACCCAGAAAATGTGGCCAGGCCAGCCCCTCACCCTCAGGCCCACATGGGATTCTTGTGCCCTTCAGGTGGGGCTGTCCCCAGGGAGCCCCCTGGGCAGCAGACAACTGCCCATTCCTCAGTCCTTGCTGGGAACTCCCAGGAGCAGTGGCACCCCCTGCGAGAGTGGCTGGGGCGACTGGAGGCTGCAGTGATGGAGCTCAGAGAACAGGTACCATGGAGACAGTGCTGGTTTGCATTGGGTAAGGAGGGCTTCTCATAGTGGGAGGGAGAGAAGGAGTTAGGCTTGGAGGGGGGAGCCTAAAATAGAGCTCTTATCTGAACAATTCCCTTTCTTTCTTTCTTTCTTTCTTTCTTTCTTTCTTTCTTTCTTTCTTTCTTTCTTCTTTCTTTCTTCCTTTCTTCTTTCCTTCCCTCCTTCCTTTCTTTTTTTTTCTTTCTTTTCCTTCCTTCCTTCCTTCCATCCTTCTTCTCTCTTTCTCTCTCTCTCTTTCTTTTTTTTTTTTTTGAGATGGAGTCACCATGTGTCACCCAGGCTGGAGTGCAGTGGCACAATCTCAGCTCCCTGCAACCTCTGCCTCCTGGGTTCAAGTGATTCTTACGCTTCAGCCTCCTGAGTAGTTGGGACTACAAGTGTGCACCACCATACCCGGCTAATTTTTGTATTTTTAGTAGAGATAGGATTTCACCACGTTGGCCAGGCTGGTCTCGAACTCCTGACCTTAGGTGATCTGCCCGCCTCAGCCTCTCCAAGTGCTGGGATTACAGGTGTGAGCCACCAGGCCTGGCCAGAACAATTCTTAACATTGATTCTTTCATGCAAATGAAGAACCTCCAGGCTATTTGTTTTGTCAGTTCGTGTTTCGTACTGTTCCATGTATTTGGGGAATGTTATGGAATGCATTCTATATAAGGCATCATCAAAAATATTTTGGATGGGTAAAGATGTCTTTAATTCTTGGGGCAAGGGTTGGGTCCCCATTTTGTCCAAAGGAGAGATTGGGGCCCGTGCCCCCCTGAGAATGGTGATCGTTTGAGCTGGATGCTGACCGAGGGGGACCCATCTCTGCTCTGGAATTGGCGAACTTCTTTCTCATCCTGCCTCATTTTCACACCCCTCATCTCTACTGGAGATGGTGGGGGAAGCTGAGCCAGTGCCTGCTATTCCATCTCCTTCCTCCAGAATAAGGACCTGCAGACGAGGGTGAGGCAGCTGGAGTCCTGTGAGTGCCACCCTGCATCTCCCCAGTGCTGGGGGCTGGGGCGTGCCTGGCCCGAGGGGGCACGCTGGGAGCCTGACGCCTGCACAGCCTGCGTCTGCCAGGATGGGGCCGCTCACTGTGGCCCCCAAGCACACCTGCCCCATTGCAGGGGTAAGTGCCACCCTATCCGCCCACTGGGGCCACCTAAAGACCTGCAGATGGCATGGGGTGCTTGAGTGACACTGCTGTCTCCTTAGGCTGCAGCCAAAATGGCCAGACCTACGGCAACGGGGAGACCTTCTCCCCAGATGCCTGCACCACCTGCCGCTGTCTGGTAAGCTCCCAGGACCTACCTGGATATCCCTCACCTGTCTGCCTCTCTCCAGCTACCTGTCACTGCAGCGTGGCACTCAAGATGTCGCATAATGGGCTCTGCCTGCCACTCCCACACCTTGCCACGGTGGCTTTCAGTTGATTCCGAGTAGGAAAAGGAGCTCAATGCCCACGGACACTGGGGGGTCCCCAAGCCACTCAATTCAGACCTGGCCAACAGTGGCATGGAGGGCAGAGAATGTATTAGGTTGGTGCAAAAGTAATTGCGGTTTTTGACATGACTTTTAATGGCAAAAACCGCAATTACTTTTGCACCAACTTAATAGTTGCTTGTCCTCCTATATCACCTCCCACTCTTCCACTGCCCATCTTCTACTTCGGAACCCCCTGGCCTGCCTATTCTCCCTCACCAGTTGCCACATCCACCTTCCCCCAGTCTTTCCTTCCTCCTTCCTCCCTGAGAAAGTCTTCGGTCTTCTTCCTAGGATCTCCCCTCTCTGGGGAATGTGCTGGCACCTGGAAGAGATGGTTTCCTAGGGTTAAGAGCATCAGGAGACGATGGGAGTGGGGGCGGGATGTCTCTTTTCTGCCTTTACACAGAGGGTAGCCCACATCCACAGAGCCAACTCATCCTCTTGCCCCTATGACATGTCCCAGCCTGGGCTGAGGTTTTACTTCCAGAGGCCCTGCCCTCCAGGAATCTGATGTCTGTGCAGCCACCTCAGTCTGCTCCCACAGGAAGGTACCATCACTTGCAACCAGAAGCCATGCCCAAGAGGACCCTGCCCTGAGCCAGGAGCATGCTGCCCGCACTGTAAGCCAGGTCAGCCTCCTGCCAGTCTCAGCCCCACCTCCTGCTTGCCTTCTCTGGCCCACAGACACAGCCTGCCACCTCAGTGAGTCTGGGACATGCCCAGGGGTGCCTACCCACTCACTCTGACAGTGGCCAGGGGAGTGCAGAACCCATGCACAAATCAGCAAATACTGGCTCTGGCCTGGGACTGAGCCAGAGACCATAGGGAAACAGGCACAAAATCTTTTTCCTGCCCTCAGGGAGCCTCCAATCTAGTTGAGAAGATAAGCTCATAGCCAAGCTACCACAAGATTGAAGACCCAATGAGCAGATTAAGAGGAGGTGTAGAAGGCAGTGCAGTGTGTATTTTGCCAGAGGAGGGCACAGGAGGCAGGGGAAGCCCGTCGAGGCTGGGCAGTCAGGGGGCCTTTACAGACAATGGGTCCTTTGAGCTGGGTCTTCATGGGAAAGTGGGGTTCCACCTGAAGGAGAGGGAGTACGTGAGGTTCCTCTGGGCACAAGGACAGGGTGGAGAGAGGTGGGTTGCAGGAAGTCCATGTGGGAAGGCCAGTGGGAACAGGCTGCTGTAAGCCTTGCAATTAGGACTTTTTTCTATGGGCAGTGGGGGGTATTGAAGGCTGAAGCAGCGTGTGGCATGGTCAAGGGGGCGCTTGAGGAATATTCACCTGGTGAGGGCTAGATGCAGACAGAGGCGTCGGGGCTGTGACAGCAGTTGTCTAGGCATGGAGCCAGGGATGGCAGTGGGCTGGAGAAAGGGGGATGTTTCTAAAGGACGGGCAGGAGCCGGTGACTGGCTGGGTCCCCTGGAATAGTGGAGGCCGAGCTTGGGACACTAGGATAGCAGTGGTGCTGGGGACATGAAGAGAGCTGGGAGGAAGAGGAGGTCATGGCTATGCAGGGGGGTGTTACTGGCTCATAAGGTGATAGTGTTGCCAGATTTAGCAAATGAAAGTCTAGAATGCTTTGTTAAATCTTAATTTCAATAAACGGCATGTAAGTTTTTAGTATAGGTATATCCTATGCAATATTTAGGACATTCTTATACTAAAATTGACGTCTTATTCTTCTGAAGTTCAAATTTTACTGGGCATCCTATATTTCATCTGGAAGCCCCTCCGAGAGAGGAGTCTCAGTTGGTAGTAAGAAAGGTGGGACAAGGACTCAGACCAGTTGGGTCTGGAAATGCAGCCTGGAGTGCTGGCTGGAGATGAGGACTAAAATCTTGGGGGTTGATGGATCTCAAAGAAAAGACACACAAAGAAAAGACCCCTGACCCCCGCTCCCCCAACACACACACACACACTCTTCAGGGCACGTGGTGCCTCAGGGCCACTGCTAGCCTATATGATGTCTTTGGTGAAATTTTAAAAGGCACCCTTTCCTCAAGACACTACTTCCATCTGTTGTAAAATAATGGAACCATGCTGATGATGTGCCTATCGGACACTTTACTGCCATCTGCTGGAAAGGGGTAGTAAATATCAAAGTCTCTGATGTCTGTCACGTGAATGGTGCCCCTTTAATGTGGCACCCAGTCCTTTGGGTCTCTTACTTGGGGGTCTGGGCCTGGTTTTCCAGGCTGCCCCAGGGCCACGGGGTTGGGGAAACATGGCATCCAGGGCCCTGTGTCATCTGCACCTGCCAGGTAAAGGAATCAGCCACCACCCACATCCCTGCTGCTGGGCAGACTGCCGGCCTGACCATGCCAAGCCCAAATGTGGGGGCTAGGCAGGGCTGCTACTGCCACTGCCCAGGCATCAGGGCTGAAGCCTGCTAGGCCTGCAGAGTAAGCCAGCTCTGGCAAAGGAGAGGGATGGAACAGGAAGGGACGAGGAGGGAGAGCAGGAGAGAGAGAAAGAGGGAGGATGGTGGGGGAAGGGAGGGCTGGCTCAGTGTCTGCCCTGCAGACAGGAGCCGTGCAGTGCCAGGGGCCCTCGTGTTCAGAGCTCAACTGCTTGGAGAGCTGCACCCCACCTGGGGAGTGCTGCCCCATCTGCCGGCCCGGTGACCTCCTGCCCTGTCCTGCCCTGCCCCGCCATCCCTTCAACCCCAAGGGTCCAGTACCTACTTGGGGTCATGCCTTACCTCAAGTGATGTCCACCCACCCTGCTGCCTGGTGACCCACTTGTCATCCTGCCAACCTTCCCAGGCTGTGATTATGAGGGGCAGCTTTATGAGGAGGGGGTCACCTTCCTGTCCAGCTCCAACCCTTGTCTACAGTGCACCTGCCTGGTGAGTCCACCTGTCCCCTCTGCCCAGGCCCTGCACCTCCCTGGACACCTGCCCTGCCCTGGGCCCTGCCTGCCACTCCTCCAGCCCCCTCACATGCCTCCCGAGAGGTGGAGCCAGCTAGGTTCTCCCTCCATCCCTGCCCTGTGCCCCCCTCCTCCGAGGGTGCCCAACACCCGCCCACCCAGCCCTCTGCGGGAGCCAGACCTGAAGCCTCACAGCCACTGGTGCATTACAGAGGAGCCGAGTTCGCTGCATGGCCCTGAAGTGCCCGCCTAGCCCCTGCCCAGAGCCAGTGCTGAGGCCTGGGCACTGCTGCCCAACCTGCCAAGGTGAGAGCCCCTGGCCCCTCCCTGGTAGAGCCACAGGTAGGTTGTCGTGCCATTTCTTGAATTCCAGAGCCCACCTTGCCGGCCTCCAGTGGGTTTGGTCCGTGGCGGAGCTGGAATGCCTGAGCTCAAATTCTGCCATTGCCACCTAGTGCTTGTGTGACTCTCTTCCTCAATTTCCCCATGTGTAAGGTGCAGATAATGATATTCCATGCCTCATAGTGCAGCTTAATAAATGTTTGCTTTCTACTTTGTGCTCCCCAATCATGAGACATGGGGTCAGCCCTCAGGGATGACCCCTAGAGTGTGACACTGAGTCATACACTAATGCAAAATCTTGTAACAGCCAAGGGCAGGAATAGAAGCAGGCACCAGCTAGTGTGCGAATTCAGAGGAAGGAGACCGAATCCAGCCTGGGCACAGGAGGGAAAGCGTCCTGGAGGCAGCTGGTCCCCAGGTGGCCCTTAAGGATAAAGAAAAGTTAGCTTGGTGAAGGGCTGAGGAAGGCAGTGAGCCTTCTAGGAAGAGGGGAGAAATCAAGCACAGGCGTGGCCCTGACACGGAGGGTGAGTGTGCAATGTTGGCTGGGAAGGTGTGAGAGGTGACGAGGGGCCAGAGATAGGTGGGGCACATGGGTGTGGCTATGCTCTGTCCACGGAAGACCAGAAAGGGCGGGCTAAGGAACTGAGGCCTCACCCTGCCTGGGGCACTGGGAGCCACTGGGGAATCTAGGCAGAGATCTGACCCCATCTAGTCTTGGCTCGGGAGAGAGCCCTCAGAGGGCATGTGGACAAGGAAGGCGGGCAGGCTGAGGCTGGGGTCCAGGCCAGCTCCCACCAGGCCTCCCTCTTCTCAACCCCTCAACCCTAGGCTGCACAGAAGGTGGCTCTCACTGGGAACATGGCCAAGAGTGGACAACACCTGGGGACCCCTGCCGAATCTGCCGGTGCCTGGTGAGTCCTGAGGCTGCTCCTGGTCTGTCCCCCTCCCTGCCCTCAGGCCCACTGTATTCATTTGCTCATTCTATGGAGTACTTCGCAGAGGTGTTGAGAGGGGACCCAGTGGAGAAGACCTAGGCGCTGTCTGCTGGGGGCTGTGCAGGCGGGGGCTGGGCAGAGCTCATCTGCGTGCCCAGCTCTGAGCCCAAGAGGTGCTCAGCCCGGGTTAGTGAATGAACTCAAGGAGCTCACAGGCTAGAGAAGGAGACCGGGCAGGATATGGCGAGCGGCAAAAGCTCCAGAGTAGGGGAATCACGGTTTGACCTGAGGCATCTAAAACTGTGCTGTCCAATTCACAGCCACTACTACCTGTGGCTACTGAGCACTTGACATGTGGCCAGGTTCAAAATGAGATGTGCCATAAGTGTAAAATACATGCCAGATTTCAAAGACTTCCTATGAAATAGGGGAATGTAAAATAGTAATCCATTATATGTTGATTACATGTTGAAATAACAGTTTGGATACATTGGACCAAATGAAATATGTTGTTAAAATTAATTTCATCTGTTTTGTTTTACTTTTAAATATTTGTGAGGCTGAGCATGGTGGCTCATGACTGTGATCCCAGCACCTTGGGAGGCTGAGGCAGGAGGATCACTTGAGCCCAAGAGTTTGAGACCAGCCTGGGCAATGTAGCAAGACTTTGTCTCAAAAAATTAAAAAACATTAACATTTGCTGGAGCACTTAAAATGACATAAGTGGTTAACATTGTATTTCTACCGGGCAGCACAGATCTAGAACATCTTCATGGGTGGGGTGGTGTTTACTTAGGCCTCAAAGGGTAAGTAGGATTTGAGCAGGGAAAAAGAGGGGAACGTACCCCAGATATAAGGAATAGCCTGGGGGAGGTAGGGACATGTAAGCCGTGAAGGCCAGGTGGGGGCACCTGAGGAGGGCTGTGTTTCATGGGAGCTTCCTGACAGCTTGCTGAGGACTAAGGACTCTGTGCGAAAGCTACAGGGCACCCAACCCCACTGCAATTGTTACAGGAAAGGGGTCCCAATCCAGACCCCAAAAGAGGGTTCTTGGATCTCGCGCAAGAAAGAATTCAGGGCAAGTCCATAGAGAAAGGTGAAAGCAAGTTTATGTGTTTTTTTTTTTTGAGGCGGAGTCTTGCTCTGTCATCCAGGCTGGAGTGCAGTGGCGTGATCTTGGCTCACGGCAAGCTCCGCCTTCCAGGTTCACGCCATTCTCCTGCCTCCGTATCCCGAGTAGCTGGGACTACAGGCGCCCGCCAACACGCCTGGCTAATTTTTTGTATTTTTAGTAGAGACAGGGTTTCACTGTGTTAGCCAGGATGGTCTCGATCTCCTGACCTCGTGATCCGCCCCCCTCTGCCTCCCACAGTGCTGGGATTACAGGCGTGAGCCACCACGCCCGGCCAAAAGCAGTTTATTAAGAAAGTAGAGGAATAAAAGAATGGCTACTCCATAGACAGAGCAGCCCTGAGGGCTGCTGGTTGCCCATTTTTATGGTTATTTCTTGATGATATGCTAAAAAAGGAGTGGATTATTCATGCCTCCCCTTTTTAGACCATATAGGGTAACTTCCTGACATTGCCATGGCATTTGTAAACTATCATGGCCCTGGTGGGAGTATAGCAGTGAGGACAACCAGAGGTCACTCTCGTCGCCATCTTGGTTTTGGTGGCATTTAGCTGGCTTCTTTACTGCAACCTGTGTTATCAGCAAGGTCTTTATGACCTATATCTTGTGCTGACCTCCTATCTCATCCTGTGACTTAGAATGCCTAACCATCTGGGAATGCAGCCCAGTAGGTCTCAGCCTCATTTTTATCCAGCTCCTATTTAAGATGGAGTTGCTCTGGTTCAAATGCCTCTGACATTTTCCCTCTCCCTTTTATAAGAGAACCCTTGATCCTAAGGGGTGCAGAGGGACAAAAATCCATCTTTTGTAATTTCTTCAGGCTGAATAGGGGCAATGATATTCCTGCCTAACTATTAGGGTCTCTCTCTCTTGTGTTCAGGGTACAGAGGTGCTTAATCAGAAAGCATCGGCATGGCGAGGGCCATTCATAACTCTGAGTTCCAACAAAAGTTGATATCTGGAAGATTAATAAAAGTTTAATTTAAGAAAACGTTGAGTAAGCTTATCCTTATTCCTACCCAAAGAGTACAACAGAAATATATTCCACAAGAGTAAAGCAAAATCAGTAAAATTATCTCAAGTAAATTAAATCAGAAGGCTTTCCATGAACTGGGCAACTGTTGGAACCAAGCTGATATGGGGTTGCTAGATGATTCCAGTACATGCCCAGAATTAGAATATTGACTCCAGATTTTTACATAACCTGTCCTTTTTGTTTCTTTTGAGCAGCAGCCAGAGAGCTCTGGTTGGGTCACAGGAGCAAGCAATCAGTCTAAATTGCAAAAACTTAAAAACAACTGCTGAGACTAGAATTTAATAACAAGTATACCATAGTTCTTGAAATATAATATTTCTGTCTCTAGTTTCCCATTTTTACTAAAGACTAATCATGGTAACACTGACTTGCTTTATTATATTTGGCCTGATTATTTGTATAAAGTGCCGCAAGAATGATTATTTTTTATATAAGCTCTTTGAAATTGGCTTTGATGGAACTCTGTTTCATAAAGAATCTCAGATAAGATTTTTTTTTGAGCCAAGCCTTGCCATGGGTTTGTGCCCTAAAATACCTATGAGTTGAGTAAATTCCTCTCCTTTTGAGGTTCCAAGATAACTTGGGGCTCCTGGGCCTGTTAGAAAGTGACATTCTTTACTTACCACAGGTCAGAAACCCTGTACAGAGACTGTGTAGGCAAGGTATGAGGCCGGTTTCTCCAAGGGGCATTTATTGGCTCTACAAGTCAAATTTGATTCCTTAAGGAATCATGATTCCTTACATGATTCCTTAAGGTATGCCATTCCAGTCGAAGCCTTGGTAAAATAGCCAGTTTCTCCAATTGTGACCTGTTACAAAAGAAAACAGATTCTTATTGCACTCATGCAAATAGCTATATTGCCATAAATTAAGAATACTCACAAATAGTTTCCAAATTCTGGATAAATTAGGTAGAGAGAAATAAATATGCTCCAATTTTGTTCACAGGAGTATACTTTACTCAATTGCCAAAAGCTGTAAATAGCTCAGAAAAAGTGTCCTTGACTATGAAAAACAAAACAAAGGATCAGCAATGTTTTGAGCAAAAAGTCAAATAGATAATGTCAGAGTCCATGCAGTTAACTTCTGTTTGATACTCATGAACATTTCAGCTCAGCTCTCTGAGTTCTGAAAGTTTTTTCTTCTATTCTGATGTCACAATCTCCAAAGTTATCAGAAAACCTGCATTTAAGAGCACCTGTTGAAGTCCTATAGTTGGTTATAAAACCACCTTTTAAAGAGGGTTAAAACAAGACAACAATTGTTTATGGATGGCAAAAAGTTTTAGGACAGCCGCTATTAAAGCCACAATTGATAAGGAAATTTGGTTACTCTTGTGGCATATAATAATTTCACATAACAATTATAATTATTAATAACATACACTAAGTCATATCAGCATTATAGGAGTTTCTTATAATTTTGGAACACATACCAGTAACACATTTATACAAATACAGCCCAAAGAAAACCAAATACCATTTCATATTTGACAATACTTCCCATATGACTTTTATACCAAATAAGCCAAATGTCACTGTTGCACGGGTGCATTATTGATGTCAAACCCAATTCTTAATAAAACCTTATAGACAAATATATTTCTTAATCAGTTTGACTATAAGGTAAGATTTTTATAAATGTTTTATAACCCTTTACAAATTTTTGTTAAAGAGCAGATTACAAGCAGGTTTTGCTTTAAGAAAAACCTGTTGTACTTTTATTCCAATGCTCAATTTACAGAAAAACTGAATAATACCCCTTTAACTTTAACCAATATGTTCACACACAATTTCTTTTACAAGATTAATTTTTCACAAACCTTCCACAACTTGCTCAAACCTTCAGCTTTATTCTATCTAACTTAAAACAATCCTTTAACTCTCTAAACTTAGGCTAGAAACCCACATTCCCATGACTTTTTATAATCTTTTACCAAAAGCACATTCTACTTTTCTTACATGCCTTGCATGTAGAACTGCTTTTTCAGTAGTCTCAATTACATGTTACAGTGTTAATCCTTAGCAACTTTTACTTTTGGTGAAAACCTTGGTAAGTTCAGGATTTTAACTATGTACTAGGTGTGGAGCCTAGCCTAGGACACACCAGGCAGAAGTGCAGAATAAGGTCTGACATTTTCCAGCACAGCTAGGGGTGTGGCAAACTCCACATGTCCCAGGCCTTACCTAACTGTAAAGCAGGCAAGTTGTATAGTTAAGAGTCATAGTGGGGCTGGGTGCTGTGGTTCACACCTGTAATCCCTGCACTTTGGGAGGCCAAGGTGGGCAGATCACTTGAGGTCAGTGGTTTGAGACCAGCCTGGGCAACATGGTGAAACCCCATCTCTACTAAAAATACAAAAATTAGCTGGGCATGCTGGTGCATGCCTATACTTCCACCTACTCAGGAAGCTGAGGCAGGAGACTGGCTTGAACCCAGGAGGCAGAGGTTGCAGTGAGCCAAGATCGCACCATTGCACTCCAGCCTGGGTGAAAAGAGTGAGACTGTCTCAAAAAAAAAAAGAAAAAAATAGTCACAGTGGCATTTTATGACACATTTAGGAGGCCTAACAACCTTTAAATTGTACAACATTTCTTGCATAAATTCCCTTTCATGAATTCTTTCATGACTCACACAGACAATCTACAATATGCTTGGGACTTTCTGACTTGTCCTAAACATTCCTCTTTTTAAACAACCAGTCATTTTACTTTAGGACAAGAGTTTACCACACAAGATCCTTTCTTATATAAAATCTCTTTGCTTTATAACCTTCTTTGCATAGCTAGGAGACATGGCTAATTCCACATGTCCCCAGGCCTTATCTAGAATCTAAAGCTCCAAAATAAATTGGATAATTTTCAAAAGTCAAAGAAGCAGGTTATGACCTTAAAGCATTTAGCAAACCTAATATCTGACCTGCATAATTTAGACCAAATGTCTACATTTTTGAAGATATTTTTATTTTATCAATAATCTTTAAAACTGTCCTTATTTCCCAAAGATTACTTAAGTCACATGAACTAAAAGGCATTAGACTTTTTACTTTTCTGACAAAATAAGCTCTTATTAAACCAATTAGTTAAAGCTCTTTTCTATATAAACATCACACACACAACACATATAAATACACAGACGAAAGAAGATAAAGGACTCATCCTCTAAGTTGTGAGCTGAACCCTGAACCCAAGTCACCATTGTGATGGCAGAGACCAAGAGAAAGTACTGCCATGTGGTTACAAGGTCAAGTTCCCAAGGACATACAAGACAAGGGAAACCTTATCCAGTTATTTTTCAGGGACTTGCAGCAAAGTTTGTAACTGACAAGTTTGCTGGGCTGTCTTGCAAAGCAGGCTTACAGGTGTCCTAAGCCTGTGTTCTATTCTAAGGTACCTTTCTTTATGACAGAACAATACAGAAAGACACACAAAGCATACCAGATTCACTATAGCTTAAGACTAGCTCACACATTCTTCTTTTCCATTAATCAAAACTTTGCAGAGGAAATAAACAGTGATTATTACTATTCATTCACCCAGCTTGCAGTGGAGGGCACAGGGGGACACATTGCCTGAGGCAGAGTGGGAAAGGCAAAGTGCTCAGGGAGGCCAGAGAAAGACCCACCTATTGCTCAAAAGTTTGGATGGCTGTGTATCGGTAGAGAAGGGAATTTTTTTTTTTTTTTTTTTTTTTTTTGAGATGGAGTCTTGCTCTGTCGCCAGGCTGGAGTGAAATGGCGCCATCTCAGCTCACTGCAACTTCTGCCTCCCGGTTTCAAGTGATTCTCCTGCCTCAGCCTCCCAAGTAGCTGGGACTACAGGCGTGTGCCACCACGCCCAGCTAATTTTTGTATTTTTAGTAGAGACGGAGTTTCACCGTGTTGGCCAGGATGGTCTCAATCTCTTGACCTCGTGATCCGCCCTCCTCGGCCTCCCAAAGTGCTGGGATTACAGGTGTGTGAGCCACCGCGACCGGCCATGGAGGGATCTTTTTTGGCAGTCCTATTAGCTCTTAAGTTTTCCCTTTTAGGGAGGAAAAAGCTCCGCATGTCCCACGATCCTGTACTTGCCTAATCCTGTCACCCATAGCCGTCAGCAAAGAGTACAAGGCAGATTAATCCCAAGAGAATAGCAGTTAACATCCCGTAGTGCCAAACCCATTCTTAACCGGGAGGGATTTTACCCAGAGGGGCCTCTAACCCTCTAAATATTAGAAGGGACTGTAACCCTCCCCAGTTGGGCCTCTATCCCAAGGTCCATCAAGCATCCTTGCCTTTTATTAAGAGAGGCCTCTAATTCCCCTAAGCTGGGCCTCTAACCCAATCCCATTATTTACCCGGGTATATGCACCCCACTTACCCACAGTCCGCCAGTCAGTGCTGCAGCCTATTTCCTTCTGGTCGGGGGGTTTCTTCAGTATTGTCCCTTCCATGGCTCACCAGAAAGATATTACCAGACCCCACCACTTACCAAAAATTAGCCTTTGGGTCGGGGGTTTCCGCACTATCATCCCTTCAGTGGTCGCCAGAAAGATGTTACAGGAAAGGAGTCCTGATCCAGACCCCAAGAAAGGGTTCTTGGATCTTGCACAAGAAAAAATTCAGGGTGAGTCTATAAAGTGAAAGCAAGTTTATTAGGAAAGTAAAGGAGTAAAAGAATGGCTACTCCATAGACAGAGCAGCCCTGAGGGCTGCTGGTTGCCCATTTTTATGGTTATTTATTGATGATATGCTAAACAAGGGGTGGATTATTCATGATGCCCCCTTCTAGACCACATAGGGTAACTTCCTGACATTGCCATGGCATTTGTAAACTGTCTTGGCACTGATGGGAGTGTAGCAGTGAGGACGACCAGAGGTCACTCTCATTGCCATCTTGGTTTTGGTGGGTTTTGGCTGCAACCTGTTCTATCAGCAAGGTCTTTATGATCTGTATTTTGTGCCGACCTCTTTTGTCATCCTGTGACTTAGAATGCCTAACCATCTGGGAATACAGCCCAGTAGGTCTCAGCCTCATTTTACCTAGCCCCTATTCAAGATGGAGTTGCTTTGGTTCAAACGCCTCTGACACAACCACGTCCTCCCTCTCCCCACCCATGAGAAGTCATTGGCTGCTCAGACCCTGATGGGGCTGGAGGCAGTGAGCCCAGTGATGTGGGTGTGAATTCAAGGCATGGGGTCTTTTGGGGTCAGGCCATGGGGTAGTGGCAGTAGCCACCATGCTAAGTACCAGCTTCTAGAGGTAGATGCCACACCAGCCCCCTTGTTTCCTTTCATCCCACAACAAGCCTATGAGAACAGGACTATTTTTTCAGGTCCATTTTTTTTCAGACGAGTAAACTGAGTCACAGAGAGCTTAAGTGACATGCTAGTTTATGTATCTGTATGAGTTTCCTGGGCTGCTGTAACAAAGTGCATAAGTGCATACTGGGTGTCTTGAACAATGTAAATATATTCTCTCACAGTTCTGGAGGCCAGAAGTGTGAGATCAAGGTGTGGGAGGGTTCCTTCTGGGACTGTGAGGAGGAATCTGCTCCAGCCTCTGCCCTCGCTTCTGGTGATTTGCTAGTGAACTCTGGCATTCCTTGGCTTCTGCAGCACCTGAACCTCTGCCTTCTCTTTTCCATACCATTCTCCCTGTGTGTGTCTGTGTGTGAATTTCCCCTTTTTAGAAGGATATTGCCTGGAACAGTGGCTCACACCTGTAAACCCAGCACTTTGGGAGACCAAGACAGGTGGATCACCTGAGGCCAGGAGTTTGAGACCAGCCTGGCCAACATGGTGAAACCCCATCTCTACTAAAAATATAAAAAATTAGCTGGGCATGGTGGTGCGTGCCTGTAATCCCAGCTACTTGGGAGGCTGAGGCAGGAGAATCGCTTGAACCCAGGAGGTGGAGGTTACAGTGAGCTGAGATCACACCATTGCATTCCAGCCTGGGCAACAAGAGCAAAACTCCATCTCAACCTGCAACCTGCAAACCTGCAACTTGTTTTATCAGCAAGTCTTTTTTATCATCTCAAAAAAAAAAGATACTAGTTATATTGAATTAGGGACCCATCCTGCTCCAGTATGACCTCATCTTAACTAATTACATCTGCAATGACCCTGTTTCCAAATAGTGTAACAGGCTGAGGTGCTGGGGGTGAGGAGTTCAACATATGGATTTGGGGGCGGGGACACACAATTCAACCCATAAACACATCTAATAAGTGGATAGCTGGGATTCTAATGCCATTTCCACCTCTCAGTTGAGCCCTGTCGGCCCCTTCCCCTGTTCATTCTCCCCACCAGGAGGGTCACATCCAGTGCCGCCAGCGAGAATGTGCCAGCCTGTGTCCATACCCAGCCCGGCCCCTCCCAGGCACCTGCTGCCCTGTGTGTGATGGTGAGTCAGTGGGTAGGGCAGAGGCCTGACCATGGTGGGCAACCTGGAGAAAATTGATGGGTGGCCCTGCTCGGGGGCCCATGAAGGCCAGGAGAGGGTGGGGAGGGGCCCCTGAGGAACATCTAAGGCCCCCCTTCCCAACAGGCTGTTTCCTAAACGGGCGGGAGCACCGCAGCGGGGAGCCTGTGGGCTCAGGGGACCCCTGCTCGCACTGCCGCTGTGCTGTGAGTGTGGCTGCCTGGCAGGGAGGGCCTGGCTCCGGGGCCTGCCTCTGGCGTGCTGACCAGGCCCTGTTGGCAGAATGGGAGTGTCCAGTGTGAGCCTCTGCCCTGCCCGCCAGTGCCCTGCAGACACCCAGGCAAGATCCCTGGGCAGTGCTGCCCTGTCTGCGATGGTGAGTGGGGGCCGGGGTCTCTGCGGGAGGGGCAGGCCTTGGCTGCAGAGAGGCTGTAGGTGTGGGGGATTTGCTTCTCTTGGACCTAAGCCCCTGTTACCCTGTTCCCAAAGTGAGTCCTCACCACACCTTCTCATGGCAAACTGGCACCATGCTGGGGCCTGCGCTTCTGTGGCATAGCTGTGGGGGGCAGGGGGCTGCTGGCAGGGCGCCCTGGAGAACTCGGCTGGGTCTTCTTTGTCAGGGTGGGGGTTGGACACCTCAGGGTGACGTGAAGCTTCCCCTCTGCCTCCAGCCCTATACCCCCACGCCCCTGTCATCCCATCCAGGCTGTGAGTACCAGGGACACCAGTATCAGAGCCAGGAGACCTTCAGACTCCAAGAGCGGGGCCTCTGTGTCCGCTGCTCCTGCCAGGTAGGCGGTCCCTCCGCTCACACCCAGATCTGCCTCATTCCTTCAGGGTGTCTCACCTGCTTCCCTCCTAGGCTGGCGAGGTCTCCTGTGAGGAGCAGGAGTGCCCAGTCACCCCCTGTGCCCTGCCTGCCTCTGGCCGCCAGCTCTGCCCAGGTGTGTGTGAGAGGGGGAGGAGCAGCTGCTATGGGCGCTGCCTCTGAGGGCTGCAGAAGGAGGGTGCTCCTTCCCAGGACGGGGTACGGGTTGCTAAGTCCACTAGCCATTCTACAGTGTCAGCGGGGATGGCGAAGGTGGGGTCCCTGTGTCCTGGGAAGGACAGGGATGGGTGGGAGGTGTGTAGGCTGCCATGTGACAGCCCCCTTACTACAGCCTGTGAGCTGGATGGAGAGGAGTTTGCTGAGGGAGTCCAGTGGGAGCCTGATGGTCGGCCCTGCACCGCCTGCGTCTGTCAAGATGGGGTACCCAAGTGCGGGGCTGTGCTCTGCCCCCCAGCCCCCTGCCAGCACCCCACCCAGCCCCCTGGTGAGTGCCTGGGCTGATCCTGGCTTTCTTCCCCTGCATTACCCAGCTCACCCTGACCAGCCTGCCCCACCCAGGTGCCTGCTGCCCCAGCTGTGACAGCTGCACCTACCACAGCCAAGTGTATGCCAATGGGCAGAACTTCACGGATGCAGACAGCCCTTGCCATGCCTGCCACTGTCAGGTAACTGCCCAGCCTTGCTGCTGCCCTGCTGAGCCCCTCCTGGGCATGCCCCGATTGCTCTCTCCCCTGCTCTCTCGCAGGATGGAACTGTGACATGCTCCTTGGTTGACTGCCCTCCCACGACCTGTGCCAGGCCCCAGAGTGGACCAGGCCAGTGTTGCCCCAGGTGCCCAGGTATGTGGGCACTCACTGGGCCTGAGGGGATCAGGGCCCCAGAGGCTGCTGTCCCACAGCCCCATGGGCCCAACAGGTACCTTAGAAAGCAATGGCCTTCTGAATTGTTTCAGTCTTGTTTCAGAGCTTAGAACTCTCTGGAACTCACGGGGTGTGGGTGGGAGGGAGAGTAGAGAGATTTGTTTATTCCTGCCTGTACCTACACCACCCTCTCCTCCCATGCTCCATTTCCTCTTCTAGTAACTACTGCCCCCCGCCCCACCACGCTAGGGCCCCCACCCCCCTACCCCCCAGGTAAACCCATGTATCTACCTGGATAACACAGGTTCATGAGCAGGCACTTGAGCCTGCCACGTAGGAGGCCGGGTGCTGGGATGCATGGGACACGTCCCTGCCCGCATAGAGAGTCTGTGTGAGGGCGTGTGTCAAACACAGGTACACACATGTGTAAGCACTCCCCTTCTTCCCCTCAGAGACACACATCTGCCTGCAGGTGAATGACCCCCAATGCGCACGCACACTCGTGTGTGCTCACAACGATACACATGCCTGCACACATGTGCACATGGCCACTTCCTCCTCTTTCCCCTCGAGTCAGCTTCCAAGTGGGCACTTGTGTGGCGGCTCTGGACTCCAGGGCTGGAGGGACTGTCAGGCTTTGCCCTCATACCTGCCCCCACCATCCACTGCCCAGACTGCATCCTGGAGGAAGAGGTGTTTGTGGACGGCGAGAGCTTCTCCCACCCCCGAGACCCCTGCCAGGAGTGCCGATGCCAGGAAGGCCATGCCCACTGCCAGCCTCGCCCCTGCCCCAGGGCCCCCTGTGCCCACCCGCTGCCTGGGACCTGCTGCCCGAACGACTGCAGCGGTGAGGTGGGCGGGTCAGGGCGGCCTTCTGGGATGGGATGGCATGGCCCCCGGAAGGCAGCACGCCCTGGGGCAGTCGCCCTCTCCCAGGCTATAGCCCCTCCCTCCCCCAGGCTGTGCCTTTGGCGGGAAAGAGTACCCCAGCGGAGCGGACTTCCCCCACCCCTCTGACCCCTGCCGTCTGTGTCGCTGTCTGGTGAGTCTGCACCTGGGTGGGAGGCGCCCAGGGGAGTGGAGGCGGGACTTGCAGAGGCCAGGAGAGGCCCGCCCAGGTGGGAGGGGTGGGACCTGGTGGCACTGGGTGGGAGGGGTCTCCTCGGCCTCCCCCAACTAACCCACTGACCCGTGGTGCGTCTGTCGGTCCGTAGAGCGGCAACGTGCAGTGCCTGGCCCGCCGCTGCGTGCCGCTGCCCTGTCCAGAGCCTGTCCTGCTGCCGGGAGAGTGCTGCCCGCAGTGCCCAGGTAGGGGCCGCACCCCTCGGCTGCTCCTCCCTGGGGGTCCCCTCGGAGGCCTGTTCCTGGGCCCCTTTGATGCGCTGTCTCGCCGCAGCCGCCCCAGCCCCCGCCGGCTGCCCACGGCCCGGCGCGGCCCACGCCCGCCACCAGGAGTACTTCTCCCCGCCCGGCGATCCCTGCCGCCGCTGCCTCTGCCTCGACGGCTCCGTGTCCTGCCAGCGGCTGCCCTGCCCGCCCGCGCCCTGCGCGCACCCGCGCCAGGGGCCTTGCTGCCCCTCCTGCGACGGTAACGCCCTGGCGGTGCCCCTCCCGGCCACCCGCGTCCTGCCGCCCCGCCCCGCCCCGGAGCGCCCTGCCCAGTCCCCTTCCTCCAGGCCCGCTCCGCCCACGTCGGGGATCTTGTTAGGAATGTAGTGTCCGGTCAGCATGGCCTGGGAGCCAGCCGGCACGGCCCTCCATCCCCCACGGCCCCCAGCCCCCCACGACACCCATCCTCCACGGACCTCAGCCTCCACGGAGCCCACGGCCTCCCCGCCCTCACGGACCCCCAGCCCCCACGACCTCCAGCCCCCACGGCCCCCACGACACCCGTCCTCCACGCCCCTCAACCCCACGACCACCAAGTCCCCACAGCCCTCTAGTCCCCACGGCCCCCCAGCCCCTGCCCTTCTCCCCAGGCTGCCTGTACCAGGGGAAGGAGTTTGCCAGCGGGGAGCGCTTCCCATCGCCCACTGCTGCCTGCCACCTCTGCCTTTGCTGGGAGGGCAGCGTGAGCTGCGAGCCCAAGGCATGTGCCCCTGCACTGTGCCCCTTCCCTGCCAGGGGCGACTGCTGCCCTGACTGTGATGGTGAGGGTCATGGGATAGGGAGCTGCCGGGGTGGGATGCGGGAGACCAGAGGGCTGGGTCAGAATAATCTTTACTGCCCTAGGGTGGATCTAAAATATTTATTACAGTAAGAAAAAGCCCCGAGGCTGGGAGCCCTAGCTGAAGCCTGTGACCCCGACAATTTGGGAGGCTGAGGCAGGAGGATCACTTGAGCCCAGGAGTTCAAGACCAGCCTGGGCAACATAGAGAGATCTTGTCTCTACACAAAAAATTTAAAATCAGCTGGTCGTGGTGCCTCTTGTAGTTCCATCTACTCCGGAGGCTGAGGTGGGAGGATTGCCCAGGAGTTTGAGGCTACAGTGAACCGTGTTTTCACCACTGCACTCCAGGCTGGGTGACAGAGTGAGACCTTGTCTCAAAAAAAAAAAAAAAAAAAAAAAAAAGCCTGACACTAAAGCCTGGATCTTCTCCTGCCTCTGTTGCTATTTGCCGTGTGGTCTTGGGCAAGTTACATAGCCTCTCTGGGCCTAAATTTGGCTCTTGTAAAAAGACCCAGTCCCCCAGTCCCCCTGTCTTCCCTCACTCTTGTGCGATCTTGGCCATTTTGGCCACTTGCCCTTACCAACTGTAATTTTATTTACTATTTGCCTTCCAATTAACTCACTTATTAATTTAATTTGATTTAGAAAGGAGTTTTATATCACACTGTAAGTGGAAAATTAGACTTGCCAGGACCACATTACCATAAAAATGAATATAATTAAAATTATAATGTTGTTAAATCCTTGTCAGATACTTTTGCCCACCAAGGCTTTGAGCCTGAAATTCACCCTTCTTTTTTAAAAAGGGAGGTGAGCAAATGGCAGAGGTGCCAAGAGCGGGCTGTCACCACCCTGGGACCCCACCCCTTCCTGGATTCATCAGTGGGCTCGGAAGAGCGTGGGAAAGGCGCTACCTTGGGTCCACACCACCTGAGTCAGCTGGGGCTACTCCCAGCTCTCCGGGTTGGGAAACTGGTGCCTCTGGCAATGGCCTGCTGAGTATTTAACCCCAGGGGCAGCAGATTCCTTGTGGGTGTTTTTCTACAAATTAAACAGGAAGGTTTTTTGCAGGATAAAGGGGAGAAAGTTTGCCTTTTGGCCAATCCAAACCCCGCCCCCCTCACGACTGCTTTGCCCCCTGGGCTTGGCCTGTGACCCCCCAGCCCCCACGCTAGATCTTTGAGATCTTGGATGCATAACAGGCCCAAGCTCAGAGCCTATGACCACTGCCCTCTCATCCCTTTCTGTCCCTCCCCTCGGCCTCTCTGTCTCTTCTCTGAAAGGCTGTGAGTACCTGGGGGAGTCCTACCTGAGTAACCAGGAGTTCCCAGACCCCCGAGAACCCTGCAACCTGTGTACCTGTCTTGGAGGCTTCGTGACCTGCGGCCGCCGGCCCTGTGAGCCTCCGGGCTGCAGCCACCCACTCATCCCCTCTGGGCACTGCTGCCCGACCTGCCAGGGTAGAGCCACACCTGCCCTTCCATTCCCCCTGCTGGGGCTCCCGGGGTGCCTTTCTCACCGATTCCACTTTCCTCCCAGCCCTCCCACTGCCTGCCGCTCCACCATACTTTTCTCTCACTCTCCGACTCCCTCACCTTTGATAGAGGTCCCGGGCACGGCTGTGTGTTTGTATGTATGTGTGTGTGTATGTGTGGCTCTGTGTGTGTGTGGCTGTGTATGTGTGTGTGTCTGTATGTGTGTGTGTGTGTCTGGCTGTGTGTGTGTGGCTCTGTGTGTGTGTGGCCGTGTGTATATGTGTGTGTATGTATGTGTTGCTGTATGTGTGTATGTGTGTATCTGTGTGTGGCTGTGTGTGTTGGCCTGTGTGGGTGTATCTGTGTATCTGTGTGTGTGTGTTGCTCTGTGTGTGTGTGGCCGTGTGTATATGTGTGTGTATGTGTTGCTGTATGTGTGTATGTGTGTATCTGTGTGTGGCTGTGTGTGTTGGCCTGTGTGTTTGGGTGTATCTGTGTATGTGTGTGTGTGTGTGTGTGTTGCTCTGTGTGGGTGTATCTGTGTGTGTGTGTTGCTCTGTGTGTGTGACAGTGTATGTGTGTCTGTGTACGTGTGTGTGTGACCGTATGTGTGTCTGTGTATCTGTGTGTGTGGCTGTGTATCTGTGTGTGTATGTGTGACTGTGTGTATATGTGTGTTTGTGTGGCTGTGTATGTGTGTGTGGCCCTGTGTGTGTGTGTGTGTGTGTATGGCTGTAGCTGTGTGTATGTGGGTATGTGTGTGTGTGTCTGTATTTGTGTCTGTGTATGTGGGATGTGTGTGTGTGTGTGTGTATGTGTGTGTGTGGCTGTGTGTGGGTGTGTATGTGGGGGGGTCTCTGTGTGTGGGTGTGTGTGCATCTGTGTATGTGGGGATGTGTGTGTGGCTATGTGTTTGTATGGCTGTGTGTGTGGGTGTGTATGTGTATGTGTGTGCGTGGCTATGTGTATGTTTGTGTGGCTGTGTGTAGGTGGGTATGTGTGTATGTGTGTGTGTGTGTGTGTATGTGGCTGTGTATATGGGTATGTGTGTATGTGGGTGCGTGTATGTGTGTGTGTGGCTGTGTGTTTATGTGTGTGTGTATGAGAGTGTGGGTGTGGCTGTGTGTGTCTATGGCTGTGTGTGTATATGGGTATATGTGTGTATGTGTGTGTGTGGCTGTATGTATATGTGGGTGTGGTTGTGTATGTATGTGTGTGTGGCTGTGTGTGGGGGGGTGTAGGTGTGGCTGTGTGTGTATGTGTGGAGGGGGAGGGGCTGTGTGTGTATGTGACAGTGGCAGTTCTGTTGATGGCAGGTTTTCTGTTGCACTCCCACCTGCTGTGTGTATATGCGTGTATGTATGTGTGTGGCTGTGTGTGTGTATGTGGTTGTGGGTGTGGCTGTGTATATGGGTATGTGTGTGTGTGGCTATGTGTGTGTCTGTGGCTGTGGCTGTGTATGTGTGGAGGGGGAGGGGCTGTGTGTGTGTGTGACAGTGGAGGTTCTGTTGATGGCAGCTCTTCTGTTGGACTCCCCGCTCTGCCAGGATGCCGCTACCATGGCGTCACTACTGCCTCCGGAGAGACCCTTCCTGACCCACTTGACCCTACCTGCTCCCTCTGCACCTGCCAGGTGAGGCAGCCCCTTTAGGACCTTGGTAACCTTTCCTCCCTTGATACTCCTCTCTGGCCAGGAAGAGGCTGTCTCCTCCACTCAGGTGGCAAGGGCTACACTCTGCCCTTCACATCTCATGGGACAGGACTGGGCTCAGGTGTCCCGGGCCAAGGGAGGGTGTTTGGGCCCCTGCAGGCTCAGTAGGGGCTCCAGCCCTGGGGAAATGTGCAGTCCAGTTGAGGGTGTGATGGGCCTCTCTCCCCCAGGAAGGTTCCATGCGCTGCCAGAAGAAGCCATGTCCCCCAGCTCTCTGCCCCCACCCCTCTCCAGGCCCCTGCTTCTGCCCTGTTTGCCACAGTGAGCTGCCTTCCTCATGCGCGGCCCCCATGCCCTTCCCCGCCTCTCCCTCCCCCTTCCCTTCCTGCCAGGCCTAAGGCTGGGCCGAGCAGGGCAGGGTGGCACAGGCCCCCCACCCAGGAGGTGTGTCCCCCACAGGCTGTCTCTCTCAGGGCCGGGAGCACCAGGATGGGGAGGAGTTTGAGGGACCAGCAGGCAGCTGTGAGTGGTGTCGCTGTCAGGTATAGCAGGAGGTGGGGGGTGTGGAGTGACAGCTGGACCATAGCACCTCTGGGCCCCAGCCTAGGCAGCGAGCCAGTGTCCCTGCATCTCCTACAGGCTGGCCAGGTCAGCTGTGTGCGGCTGCAGTGCCCACCCCTTCCCTGCAAGCTCCAGGTCACCGAGCGGGGGAGCTGCTGCCCTCGCTGCAGAGGTATGGCCGCCTGTAGCCCTACCCCTTGCTTCAGCCCCTTGGCCCTGTGTCCCTCTGTCCACCCCACCTCCCTCCCCTCAGCCAGCTCTTCTCCCACCTCCCTGCCCCAACAACTGGCCCTTGCATACACCCTTGCCACCTTCAGCTTCTCCTACCTCTCCCTGTCCGGGACTGCCCAGACCATCCCTCTTCCAGGTGCTGGTTAGAGTTCCCTCAAAGCTGCCTGTCTTGGGCTGGGTGCAGCGGCTCACATTTGCAATCCCAGCACTTTGGGAGGCCAAGGTGGGAGGATCACTTGAACCCAGGAGTTTGAGGCTGCAGTGAGCTGCATTTGCACCACTGTGCTCCAGCCTGGGCAACAAAGAAGACTCTGTCTAAAAAATAAAACAAAAAGCTGCCCCTCTTCCTAACCACACCCCATTCATCATCATCATCATCATCACCACCATCATCATCATCATCAAGATACCTGACATTCAGTGAGCAGGTAGCATGTGCCAGGCCCTGAGCACTTTACGTGTATTATCTCATTTAATCAGCACAACAACTTACCAGATAAGCACTCTTAGTCCTCCTATTTTACAGACGAGAAAGTGGAGGTACAGAGAGGTAGAGAAGGTGGCAGAGTCAAGATGGACACTTGGACCATCTGGCTCTGAACTTGAGCCTTTCTTAGCCTGCCCACTGCCCCCTCGTCCCACACCCTGCGCAGTGTGGTGGTGTTTCTACAGAACCACAGAACTGTCATAGCATTTCACTTGCTCTGGGAGGGAGGCAGGACAGAGGAAATCCCCATTTAACAGATGAGGAGACTGAGGCCCGGAGAGACTGAGTTACCTTGGGCACATGGTTAGCGATGGAGCCATTCACCTGGTCCACATGCATTTATGACACAGCTGCTGCATGCCAGGTCTGTGGCCGGTGCGGGCTGCACTGGGCAGTGCCTGCTGCCTGGAGCTTGGTCTTGAGAGCAGGTAGGAACAGAACAGGATTAGAACCCAGGTGTTCTGAACCCCTCCCAGTGCCTTTCCCCTCCACAACAGACAGGAGTTCTGCCCCATCGCACCTTCCCGCCATATCCCTGCAAACTCACTCCTGGCGCCACGTGCCTAGCTGACCACTGAGGGTGGGGGCCAGGAGCAGATGTCCAGATCTCAACCTCCGAGCTCGTCCCTGCCCACTTTGCACCACAGGCTGCCTGGCTCATGGGGAAGAGCACCCCGAAGGCAGTAGATGGGTGCCCCCCGACAGTGCCTGCTCCTCCTGTGTGTGTCACGAGGGCGTCGTCACCTGTGCACGCATCCAGTGCATCAGCTCTTGCGCCCAGCCCCGCCAAGGGCCCCATGACTGCTGTCCTCAATGCTCTGGTACTGGAAGCCTGGGGCGGGAGGGGAAAGGCGAGGAGGGAGCCCTGGGCCCACACCTCCCTGCCGCTGCTGGGCCGGGTGGCAGAGACAGGCAGTTGGAGAAGTGGCCTCCGTCCTTGTGCACACTCCACTCCCTGGGATCAGGGGGAGGCTGGAGATAGAGGACTCCACCCCTGCCTCGCTGCCAGCCTGAAGGACCCCTGGTCCCGTTCTGCTCTCACTCCACCCCAAAGACTGTGAGCATGAGGGCCGGAAGTACGAGCCTGGGGAGAGCTTCCAGCCTGGGGCAGACCCCTGTGAAGTGTGCATCTGCGAGGTAGGTGAGGGCACAGTGGTGGGGCTGGGGCACCTCGTCGGGGGGGAGTGGGCAGCATGGGATGAGGCCCAGCCAAGCTGGTCACTGCATGGAGCAGGCACTCTGGGGGCCAAAGGAGTGTATCCCTGTGGCCAGGAGACAAGGCAGGGTTGGGGCCAACAGGGCCAGGAGGTCTGGGTTTAGACAAGGAGCGCAGGTTCCAAGTGTGCAGGAGGCCGTAGGTGGCCCCCCTGGCTGCAGTGCAGGGCGGGTGTGTATGGCCGGAGAGCCACCTGGGACGTGGCTAGGGGTCATATTGTGGAGATTCTATTTGCAAGGCCATGGAAGGGCTTGGAGCAGGCAAATGACATCACAGGTCAGGGTACTAAGCCATGGGCCTGGGGAGGAGGATGGCATGAGCCTGCCGGAGGATCAAAGGTCACATGAGGGCTCAGGCCCAAGTGACTTAAAGGAGAAGGAGACATCATCTCAGAGACTAGGGCATGGGGTGAGGAGCACGTCTAGAAGACACTGAGTCTCTCTTCAGCCTTGAGTTCAGGGCCCAAGACATGTCCCGGAAGAGGCTGCAGCAGGCAGAGGGAGGGGCCGGAAGTCCCGGCCAAGGGCAGCTCTGGGTTTTTGTGGCCCAGGACCCACCGCTGCTCACTCATTCTTGTAGCCACAGCCTGAGGGGCCTCCCAGCCTTCGCTGTCACCGGCGGCAGTGTCCCAGCCTGGTGGGCTGCCCCCCCAGCCAGCTCCTGCCCCCTGGGCCCCAGCACTGCTGTCCCACCTGTGCCGGTGAGTCCAGGGATGTGGGGGTAGATGAGATATGAGGTTAGGGCTGCCACCCCCTGCCGCCCTTCCTCACCAGTCCCAGCCCCAGATTCTTCCTGACTCCAGTGGACTGTTCTGGAACCCTATGCCTGGCCGGCGAGGGCTGCACCATCCCTAAGGGAACTGGGGAAGCTGACAGGAACCCTTTGCCTCTCCGCAGCTGGGTGCAGTTTGTGGAGCATCTTGGCCAGCAGGTGGCGCTGCAGGGCGACAGTTGTGCTGAGACGTGAGGCCCAGGCAGGCAGGGGGTAGCCCAGCCACAGGGGTGGGCGAGCTTTTTTTGTTGTCGTTGTTAGAGTAAAAATTTATTAAGATTGGGGGGAAAAGTAAAGAAACAGTTTTATTTTTATTACAAATATTGAAAGATGGCCAATTTCTGTCTCCTGGATTTAATAGTTGTTTACCTAACACAGCCATTTTACATTTGTTGTGGAGGGAATTTTTTTCTGTTTCTGGTCCTATACCAACACTGAAATGATAACCTACCTTTGCAATACAGGTGAACGTTATCCTTACATAGAAAAAACAGGCCGAGGTTGGTAGCTCACGCCTGTAATCCCAGCACTTTGGGAGGCCAAGGTGGGAGGATCACAAGGTCAAGAGATCGAGACCATCCTGGCCAACATGGTGAAACCCCGTCTCTACTAAAAATACAAAAATTAGCTGGGCATGATGGGGCATGCCTGTAGTCCCAGCTACTCGGGAGGCTGAGGCAGGAGGATAGCTTGAACCCGGGAGGCAGAGGTTGCAGTGAGCTGAGATGGTGCCACTACACTGCAACCTGGCAACAGAGCGAGATTCTGTCTCAAAAAAAAAAAAAGAAAGAAAAAACATACTTTTTTTTTTAATGATAATCCTATTTTCTCCAATTTGGTTTTTTTATTTGGGTTTTGGTTTTTTTGAGACGGAGTCTCGCTTTGTCGCACAGGCTGGAGTGCGGTGGCACAATCTCGGCTCACTGCAACCTCTGGATTCGAGGGATTCACCTGCCTCAGCCTCCCGAGTAGCTGGGATTATAGGCATGCGCCATCAAGCCTGGCTAATTTTTGTATTTTTAGTAGAGATGGGGTTTTAACATGTTGGCCAGGCTGGTCTCGAACTCCTGACCTCAGGTGATCCACCCGCCTCAGCCTCCGAAAGAGCTGGATTACAGGTGTGAGCCACCTCGCCGACTTTTCTGTTTTTTGTTTGTTTGTTTGTTTGTTTGTTTTTTATGGTGGTAAGACACTAAAATGTACAATCCTAACCATTTTTAAGTGTACAGTTTGTGGTATTAAATACGTTCATAATGCTGTGCAGTCATCCCTGGCATCCATCAGGGAGGGCTGCTCTGATCAACACTTGCTAGGGGGTGCTTCAGGGGAAGGGAAGAAGACTAACATTGATTAAGCACCTGTTCCATGCCACAGACTGTACTTGGTGCTCTTAATAAAGTCTCTCGCTTCATTTTCATAGTTACCCAGTGAGGGAAGTATTATTAATCTCTTTTTACAGATTAAGAAACTGAGGCTCAGAGAGGTGGATTAATCCAACCTAATAAGCACAGGCACTGAGTGCTGGCATCAGGATTCGAACCCGGGATGCCTGGCTGTGTGCTTCCCTGCGCAGTTGTAGCCACACTGTATTACAGATAGCGGGAGGGAGAGCAGGCCGCAGACTGGCCATTTTTAGTGACCTCAGGCTAAGGAAGCCATGGTTGGTCTGTTTCCAGTCACCTTGCACCCCCACCCGGCCCCAAATAATAGCCTAGCAAAGTTTCTTTTAAAACGTGTAAACTTGACTGAATTGAAGAGAAAGAGGACTTATCCTCCCTGGAGTCAAGGTGCTGGGATATGGGTATGCTCAGGAGTTCGAGTTAGAAACCTGGGGACACAGTGCATGGGGACAGCTGGGATTTCCAGCCCTGTGCCCCTCTTTCTGTCCCGCACTCTGGATTCTTGTCTTCACAGAGGCCTTGAGTAACTGTTCAGAGGGCCTGCTGGGATCTGAGCTAGCCCCACCAGACCCCTGCTACACGTGCCAGTGCCAGGTGAGCCCTCCTGCCTTGGGGACTCACAGAGCCCCTCTTCTTCCTTCTCTGTGGGCTGTGGCTGCCACTCCTCTCCCGCAGCAGCTCCAGGGCTCTCCATTCGCCCTGACATTTGCCCACTTGTCCTGACTGTCACATCCTGCCTATGCCTTACTCCTCCACCAGCTCCCTGAGATCTGCCATTCTCTACCTCTTGTGTTCACATGGGCAGGACCTGACATGGCTCTGCATCCACCAGGCTTGTCCTGAGCTCAGCTGTCCCCTCTCAGAGCGCCACACTCCCCCTGGGAGCTGCTGCCCCGTATGCCGGGGTAAGTGCCCAGCCTTGGCCTCCACCCTCAGAGAGGAGCCCAGGGGGAACACAGGAAGGGGAGGCATTCATGGGCCAAGCGGGCAGCCCAGGGTTTGTACTCGGTTTCTAGAACAGAATGCAGGGTTCATTCTTTTCTAGAAATGGAGGGGGGCTGTTCTTGAGGTGGAGAAGAGACCCATGAGGCAGGGGGAAGCTGGGATGAAGCCTAGATTCTCAAGGTCTGGCCTGATGCCTGTCAGGGGGCTCAGGATCCCCAGGCCCATGAAGAGGGCATTGCACTGCTGAGCGGGCAGCTGGCCCAGAGTGGGGTTCCAGCCTCTGGCCCTTTGGGCTCCTAGGACCCTAGAGACATCCTGAGCTCTGATGTGAGGCCTGATGTCTAATAGGCCCTGTGGATATTGGCTGAAGAAATCAACACCATCAGGGTGGTAGGGACACGGAGTGGGTGCTTTCCTGCCGTGAAATGCTGGGTAAGCTCCAAGGAGGGAGGATACAGCAGGAGGGACAGTGCCTGCCCATCCCATGTCTCCCCCCTCAGAATGTGTGGTGGAGGCCGAGGGCCGGAGAGTGGCAGATGGAGAGAGCTGGCGGGACCCCAGCAATGCGTGCATCGCCTGCACCTGCCATGTGAGCTGGGGTGGGCCTGGGAGGGTGGAGGATCTCGCAGATGGATAAAGGGAGGAGTGTCCAACACTCCACCAGCAGATATGGGGTCTTTAAGGGTCAGGGGCATCCCTGCACCGGGGCATGGAGCCGAAGGCTGGATTTCATTCCCCTCTTGAACTGTGAAGAATGTATTGTGGGAGGGGCAGGCAGAAGTCCATGCCCAGAGGCCCCCAGAAGCATGAGGCTGGGGACTCCGGCCCTGCAGAAAACCCCAGAACAATGATGTCTGTCCTCAGCGGGGCCATGTGGAGTGCCACCTCGAGGAGTGCCAGGCCCTCTCCTGCCCCCATGGCTGGGCGAAGGTGCCCCAGGCTGACAGCTGCTGTGAGCGATGCCAAGGTGCGCAGCCAGGGTGATGGGGGAGGGGTAAGCCAGACCTTCTGGGCATGTGGGAGGAGCAGCTGACCCTCCCAGCTCCTATCCCTTCAGCTCCCACCCAGTCCTGCGTGCACCAGGGCCGTGAGGTGGCCTCTGGAGAGCGCTGGACTGTGGACACCTGCACCAGCTGCTCCTGCATGGCGGGCACCGTGCGTTGCCAGAGCCAGCGCTGCTCACCGCTCTCGTGTGGCCCCGTGAGTGCCGCAATCTAAAATGGTGGGGAGGGTCAGGGTGGGGGCACATGGTACCGCCATCCTGGTGTGACCAGGCATCAGAGAGGGAGGCTGGGCTCCTGCCGCCAGCTGGGAGCTGGGGACAGTGCTGTTCCCAGTGCGACCACGATGTGGTGCCCTGACCTCACTCACAGGGAGCCTGGGAGCCAGAGTCCTGGAGATCCCTGGAGACTCCTGGGAGATGCTTGGTTTTCTGGGAGGGTCTGCGAGAGGCATGGCGGGGAGGGCGGTGTGTCTGACAGTGTCTGGGGCTGAGTGCAGGACAAGGCCCCTGCCCTGAGTCCTGGCAGCTGCTGCCCCCGCTGCCTGCCTCGGCCCGCTTCCTGCATGGCCTTCGGAGACCCCCATTACCGCACCTTCGACGGCCGCCTGCTGCACTTCCAGGGCAGTTGCAGCTATGTGCTGGCCAAGGACTGCCACAGCGGGGACTTCAGGTGTGCATCCCCTGTCTCTCTTCTCCCCAACCCCTACACCCAGCCCTGCTGACCATTGGCACCTGGGACTTTCCTGCCCACAGTGTGCACGTGACCAATGATGACCGGGGCCGGAGCGGTGTGGCCTGGACCCAGGAGGTGGCGGTGCTGCTGGGAGACATGGCCGTGCGGCTGCTGCAGGACGGGGCAGTCACGGTGAGCAAAGCCGAGGAGTGGAGGAAGGTGGATCCTGTGCTGTCCACCCATGTGCCTCGACATCACCCCTCCTCCCACCTCCTTTATCCTCCAGGTGGATGGGCACCCGGTGGCCTTGCCCTTCCTGCAGGAGCCGCTGCTGTATGTGGAGCTGCGAGGACACACTGTGATCCTGCACGCCCAGCCCGGGCTCCAGGTGCGGCTCCAGGGCGAGTCTGGGTGGGCTGCCTGCTGGGAGCTTCAGTCCTGTTTAGGCCTCTGTATCTGTAGAGGGGGTGGGGATGCCAGCTACCTCCTAGCCAAAAAAGGCAAGGAGTGGGGTACAGGGGTGTGAGGGGAGGTGGATCAGGGTCAGAGATCTCCCCAGGCAGTCAGAGGAGTTCTGAGTTCTGAGCCCGATTTCTAATCTCGGCTCAGCCTCTTAAGCCACCACCAGCCTCCTCTGGGCCACAGATTTCTCGTCTGTAAAGTGGGGAATGGGAAGGGTCAGTGGCAGTGGGGAGGATGTCAGCTGAAGTCTCCTGGGGGGGTGTCTCAGGTTCCTTCCAACTCTCATGTGGAAGAGTAATTTGCCCCCTGCCCCCAGCAGGAAACACAACTCGTAAATTCGTAGAATAAGGGTGTACACTTCTAATCCGGACCCTAATTGTGCTTTGTCCTCTGCAAGGCCCGAATGCCCATGAGAAAGTGAATCCCCGGAAGGGGGTTGCATTTCACCTGGGGCCCAGTGCAGGGATGGCAGCAGGAGAAGGTGCCCTCATGCAGGAGCTGTGGGCAGCTCCTCCTGTCATCTGTCTTTGCCCAGGGCTGGCACAGAATGTATCCACTTGGCCTTGGCCAGGGTGGTGTTTCTTCCAAGGGGAGCCTCCACCTGTCCATTCTCCTCCCCTACAGCACTGGCCGCACTGAACACAGTGCCTGGGGCCATGATGGACCCTGGGCTTCTTAAGGCCCCTGTCCTTCCCTGCTCCCCAGTCTCAGGCCTCTCCACACAGGTGCTGTGGGATGGGCAGTCCCAGGTGGAGGTGAGCGTACCTGGCTCCTACCAGGGCCGGACTTGTGGGCTCTGTGGGAACTTCAATGGCTTTGCCCAGGACGATCTGCAGGGCCCTGAGGGGCTGCTCCTGCCCTCGGAGGCTGCGTTTGGGAATAGCTGGCAGGTGAGTGGTACAGGAACCGGGGATGGGGATTAGGGGAGACGCAGCTGAGCATGAGTCTCAGAGCAACCCTCTGGCATGGAAAGCAGGGAAGGGGGGCGAAGTCACACAAGATAGGCTTTTGGGCTTTCAGGGAGGTGTGGGGGCTTCTTGCCTGTCTTGGTGCTGGAGAGGTAGGGTGGCTTGTCAAAAGAGGCCTCATTGGCCGGGCAGGGTGGCTCATGCCTATAATCCCAGCACTTTGGGATGCCGAGGTGGGTGGATCACCTGAGGTTGGGAGTTTGAAACCAGCCTGACCAACATGGAGAAACCCCATCTCTACTAAAAATACAAAATTAGCCCAGCCTGGTGGTGCATATGCCTGTAATCCCAGCTACTCGGGTGGCTGAGGCAGGAGAATCACTTGAACCCAGGAAGTGGAAGTTGTGGTGAGCTGAGATCGTGCCACTGCACTCCAGCCTGAGCAACAAGAGCAAAATTCTGTCTCAAAAAAAAAAAAAAAAAAGAAGGCTTGTTACCTGAACCCTCAAGCCTTGCTTTGCCACTCACTGGCTGTGTGACCTTGGACAAGTGCTGACCTACTCTGGCCTTGGTCTGTCCTTCTGTAAAATGGGGACAAAAAGAAGGTAGACAGTACTTCATTTGCTGTTCTTTTAGGGAGGTTTTGGGGACTAAAGCAAATGACTGGGTGGGAAGTGCTTTGAAGAGCACGGCATGCAGAGGCCAGCTGCCAGTGGTGCTGTCACGTCAGGGCTGCTCTCCCCACCCAGGTCTCAGAGGGGCTGTGGCCTGGCCGGCCCTGTTCTGCAGGCCGAGAGGTGGATCCGTGCCGGGCAGCAGGTTACCGTGCCAGGCGTGAGGCCAATGCCCGGTGTGGGGTGCTGAAGTCCTCCCCATTCAGTCGCTGCCATGCTGTGGTGCCACCGGAGCCCTTCTTTGCCGCCTGTGTGTATGACCTGTGTGCCTGTGGCCCTGGCTCCTCCGCTGATGCCTGCCTCTGTGATGCCCTGGAAGCCTACGCCAGTCACTGTCGCCAGGCAGGAGTGACACCTACCTGGCGAGGCCCCACGCTGTGTGGTGAGGGGGTGATGCCCGCTGCAGGTTGGGGGAGGCTCAGCACAGAGAAGAAGGGCAGCCCGGAGGGCTCAGGGCAGGACCAGGCCGGGTATGGCGAGTCTCGCAGGGGTACGCACAGCAACTGGGGCAGTTTCAGGTGCCTTGGTAACCCCGCCTCCCACTCCCCCTGCAGTGGTAGGCTGCCCCCTGGAGCGTGGCTTCGTGTTTGATGAGTGCGGCCCACCCTGTCCCCGCACCTGCTTCAATCAGCATATCCCCCTGGGGGAGCTGGCAGCCCACTGCGTGAGGCCCTGCGTGCCCGGCTGCCAGTGCCCTGCAGGCCTGGTGGAGCATGAGGCCCACTGCATCCCACCCGAGGCCTGCCCCCAAGTCCTGCTCACTGGAGACCAGCCACTTGGTGCTCGGCCCAGCCCCAGCCGGGAGCCCCAGGAGACACCCTGAGCCAGGACAGTGCCTGATAAGGGTTCATCAGGCCAGGAGTCTCCCCTTGGCGAGCAGTTCCCACCCTGGTTAGGGCTATGGAGAGAATGCCCTGCCTGGACACTGGAGCCTGGGCCCCTGCCCTGCAAAGACCCCCGCCATGTTGAGTCACCAGCAGTAAACTCTAGGCCTGCCCGAAGGCTTCCTTGTGTGTGTGTGTATTTCCTCCTGGTGCTGGGACAGAGGCTGGGCTGCCAGGAACATGGGGTCCAGTGATCAGTGGCCGCAGAATCACGGCACCATGCTTACTCCTTGCACCTGCATGCCTGGGCTGCCCCACCCAGCCACTCCCTGGTGCTGTCTGGGAAACCCTGCAGTGGGTAGAAGGAGGACCCTGGTGCCCTGGTCTTAGCCCTGTGCTCATTCTGTGTAGCAGGCATGACGTGTGGCCCCATGTGGTACCTTCTGTGGATCCATGTGGGATCCTGCAGGGGCTGAGGAACCACGGAGAAGGGGCTGCATCAGAGAATGGCCTCCCCCTTCCTTGTGGCTTGGGGATACTGAGTGTGCAGGCACCTTCTGGGCCACTCTGAGAGCTAGTGACACAGGGACCCTATGCCTGGGGTGAGAAACAGAAGCAATAGACCACAATGCAGTGTGGACATGTACCTGCGTGTGCACACAGAAACACACATCCCTCAGAAACCCAGATAAGCACGTGCAATGCATACCTGCCTGCCTTCACAGCCACACCCACCCTGGGCAGACATATGGGCAGTAGACACTGGCAGCATGTAAAGACGTCACTGTAGGGAGGGAACATGGGTTTTGAGATAGAAAAAGTCCAGAATTCAAGTTTTCTTTGCTGCCTACCAGCTCTGTGACCTTGGTGTTTTAGGGACCTTGGTCATGAGGTCAGGGGACTCCATCCTCATTGCTCCCTGCTATTCCAACAGGGAGTGAAGGGCTTTGTGCTCAGGCAAGGACGCAAAAGAGCGCCAGGTTGAATTGGAGGCCACTCAGCCTGATTGCTCTTTCATTGACGCTGTTTTCTCTTCTGGCCAAGAGGAGGGTCTGCTCTGTTCTCTCACGGAATGGGGACAAAGTAGCCAGCAGGCAAATCTGCTCACGACAGGGCAGGATGTAAAGATGGCAGAGCTCCTGCACTCAGCCCCTCTCCTGATTAGATAACTTAAATGACCTGTCTATTCATCTGCGAGATGAGGATGATAGTAACAAGCGTCTGGTATGTGTTGGGGAATGAACAGTGATGCATGGACAGCACTTACTAGGTGGACAGCATGGATAAGCATGTGGGTAGTGCTCGCTGGGGCAGGGCCTCTTACCACTCGCCTCTTGCTGATGGACGGCCTGGGCTCCCGGGACCATGTCTTCCCAGAGGGTATCACATCCATCCATCTCCAGAAGAAAAAAATGCTGCCACATGTTAAGACAAGCTATTCCTTTTTTTTTTTTTTTTTTTTTTTTTTAAGAGACAGGATCTTGCTCTGTCACTCAGGCTGGAATACAGTGGCACGATCACAGCTTACTGCAGCTTTGACCTCCCAGCCTCAATCAATCCTCCCATCTCAGCCTCCCAAGTAGCTGTGACTACAGGCGCGTGCTACCACTTCTGGCTAACTTTTTTTTTTTTTTTAAGAGGTGGGGTCTTGCTATGTCACCCAGGCTGGTCTCAAATTCCTGGGCTCAAGCCATCCTCCCACCTCATCATCCCAAAGTGGTGGAACTGCAGATGTGAAGCACCACACTTGGCCTAGGAGAAGTTGCTTTCTGAGTCAGTCTTCTTGCCTATAAAGTGGGGATAATAATAGAGCCTGCTTCATAGAGTTGCTGCAAGGAAGGATTATATGTACGAAGCATCTTCATTCCCGCACAAGCTAAACTGTTGGTAGCGGCTGCTGTTGCTACCCATATTGGGCATATTGTGTGCCCAAATAATGCAGCTGTGTGGTTGATGTGCATATGTATGCTTGTACAGTATATGTCAAACAAATGCTCACTGGGGGCTGTAAACAAGCATATGCGTATACCTCCCTCTTTCGGGGTCACACTGCTCACTCCACGCTGCCACTTGTAGGGCCATAAAAGCCATCTCAGAGACAGGTCAGAGTCTATGAGGCTTGGCCGCCGTCCAGCCAGGGCTCAGGTGTCAGGCCCTGCATGATTGAGATCAGAGCCTTTGTCCTTCCTTGCTCCTGGCTCTTGGTTTCCTGTCCTCCGCTTCCCTCCAGGCTCCGCATGGTGCAGGCAGCCACCCCGGGGGCCTCAGGGCTCCCCTGCAGCCCCAGACAGGCCTTGGCTTTGTACCAGTATCTCTTCTGGTGCCCCGCAAGCCCAGGCCAGCTCAGGGCTGCACTTTGGCAGGTGAGGGAGGGGCACTGCCTCAGAAGGAAGGAGACAGGCGGGGACCTGACACCATCTTGCCCCTCCAGGTGCAAGAGGGCCGCGGGTATCCCCCAGGGCTGGAGCTGCCCCCTGTACTGCTGCAGATGGAGTGGAGCCGGCGGGCCCAGGAGCAGGTAAGGGCTGGCTGGGGGTGTGGCTGAGGCCAGGGTGGGTGCCCCCTCACGCCCTGGCACCCCATCTTCCTGCAGCTCCTGTGGGACTTGGAACTGCTGACTGGTGTGGAGCTGGGCCTCTTCTGGCCACCCCAGGCCCAGTTTTTCGGTCCGAGGGGCCAGGCCCAGCAAGCATGGAGCCAGTGCTGTCAGCCAGGTGGTAGCACAGGTGGGGACCCTGAGCAGCCGGTGAGTGGGTGAGGGGGCACGGCGGGGACAGAGGTTCTGGGAACACTGGGGCCCTGCTGTGGTGAGGGCAAGCGGAAGGGGCAGGGTTTTAGAGACAGGGCTGGGTTTGAATCTCCACACTGACCACCCCCGTGGGCTCTGAGTTTACCTTTCCTCAGCTAGAAAATGCCCACGAGGCCAGGCGTGGTGGCTCACGCCTGTAATCCCAGCACTTTGGGAGGCCGAGGTGGGCGGATCACCTGAGGTCGGGAGTTCGAGACCAGCCTGACCAACATGGAGAAACCCCGTCTCTACTAAAAATACAAAAATTATCCAGGTGTGACAGCATATGCCTGTACCTGTAATCCCAGCTACTCAGGAGGCTGAGGCAGCAGAATCAGTTGAACCTGGGAGGTGAAGGTTGCAGTGAGCCGAGATCGCACCATTGTACTCCAATGTGGGCAACAAGAACCAAACTCCGTTTCCCCCAAGCCCCCCGGCCAAAAAAAAAAAAAAGAAAAAAAAAGAAAACGCCCACAAGAAGAGATCTTTCTCTAAGGGCTGTCGGGAGGAAGAGTGGACTCATGGGCTATGCCTGGCACACAGGGCCTGCTCTTTCCAGGCAGGCCGTTATTCTCATTCCACAGTTAACAACTGTCTTGGTCAAATCACCTGTGTGGTGATATCTGGAAGCCTTTCCATGTTACCGCAGCGTGGGAGGAAAGTAGCCTGGCAGGGCCCCAGAGAGCAAAGGCACTGATGCCCAGTGTGCGCCTGAGACACAGGGGCTGAGAGCCCCAGCCGCTGGCCCCTCCCTCCAGGGCTGCAGCTGGGCTGAGCCTCCAGGAGGGGGGTGCTGTGGTGACTGGGCCCAGAACAGAGCTGGGAATTAGGAATGTGGGTCCCAGTCCTGGCTCAGCCACCAGCTGTCTGAGTTACTTTGGGCAGGTTGGTAGCCCTCTCTGGGCCAAGGCACTCTCCACTGTAGCAGGAGGGGTGTTCGTGGTGCAACTTAGGAAGGGTTCAGCCGACGTCGCTGGAAAGAACTGTGGTCTCATCTGAGGCTCAACCGGGCAGGAGGGATCTGTTTCCAAGCTCCTTTGCATGGAGGGGAAGCAGGGGTCACAGAGGGCATGAATTCCAGGAGGCAGGGATCATTTAGGGGCCATTTTAGAGGCTGGCTGCCACACTGGGGGATGGAGCCCTGTGGACTAGGGTGCCCCCAAACCTTCCAAAATTCTAGGCTGCATCCTCTACCCCAGGACAGGGACTCCCTGAGCCAGAACCATCAGCTCCTGGAGGGGTGAGTCTCCCCGGGGAATCCTGCCTTTCCCTCTGTGAACTGGGCTCTTTCCCTGTCACCTTCTGCAGTCCTGCCCGGTGCCCCTCATTACGCCTCCTGGGCTCTTAGTTGCACCCATGGTTGCCCCACAGCCCTTGGAAAGGTTAACCTCCAAACTCCAGCTCCCAGGATCTGGTGATGGGGGAGGAGGGAGGGTACTGGGGGCGGCCACCCGGGACTCAAGTGTTTGGATGCTGGGGTGGGGGTCTCGGGAGACTGGCAGGCAGACTCCCTCCCATTCCAGAGCCGATGGGCCCAGAGAGGTGCATCAGAGGTAGCCCTTGAACTCCTGTAGGGGGCAGGCCGGAGACCTCTCATCAGCCCCAGATCTGGGTGAAACCGGGAGTGGTGCAGACCAAGGGTGGGAGAGCCCTGGAGGACCTGCAGAGCCCACACGCGGTACGTCATCAGACAGCCAGGAGGGCAGGGGGCCCCTGGGGCTGGGGCAGCCAGACTGGATTGGGATGAGGCAGGAAAGTCCTCTCCCCAAGTCGCAGGACTTCATTCTTCACTCATTCGTCATCTCACACTTCCTGATGGGAATGCCGGGACACCCAGCGATGGCAAGTAGGTTTTATTTGATGTGCCAATTCCACCTGGTTGGTACCAGCTGTCTTAGGCACTGTGTCCAGTAGGATTCTGATGCTAAACTGGGGTTCAGGGGAGAAAGTTCAGGAATGAGCATCACTGGCTGCCCGGGGATGAGGGAACAGAATACCAACTCCAGGCCACCTATTTGCCACCCTTCAGCCAGGCACAGGCCACCTGTTTGCCACCCTTCAGCTGGGCAATGGAGATATACAGAGAACAAGGAGACTAGGTGCTTGTCTTTAGATCACAGGCTAGAAATAGCATGACAATAAACAGGCAGCGGAATGGATACTGTGAGCCTTGAGCCTATTAATTTAAATGAAACAGACTCTCAAATTGTTTGTTAAATAATAGATCTAGCAAAGCCATAAGCTTTTTATTGTTCCATCATGCACATGAGAGAGAAGAAAAGTGCCAATAATTATTTTCTGATGGACAGAGAAGTTTTTACAAGTATTTTACATCTTGAGAAGACAGGGATATCAATTATAACATTATTACCAGAGAAATAAATTTTCTAGTAAGACAACAGATGAGAATTACAGAAGTGGGAGGTTGGAGATTGTTTTTGCAGTTTGTGGCAATTATTTCTAAAGGCCCAGGAGTCTCCTTTGTTTAAAAAACTCTTTGAAAGATGCGTTTTCACAGAGAGTGCACCCATTTGGTTACTGTTAGGAATATTCACACGTCTGTATATTGCACAAGAGAACAAGATGCAGTATTCTTGGGAAAGTTCTCAATTTCAGACCTTATGAAATCCCTTTTAACTGGTTTTTATGGATGCAGAACAGCTCTCCTTCCTCCACAGCTGCAGGGGAGCGGCAACACATCATCTCTTTTTTTAGATTTCTTTTGTTAATTATGAACACTTGCAGTTTTTAGGCCAGGCTCTGGCCTAAAATTTCATCTTGAATTTCCTTTGATTTTGCTGTCAGAAACAAAGAAAAGGCTAAGGAAGGTTTTTCTGAATAAGAGTAAAAAGTAAGACGCCCAGAGCGGGTTTCTTCTCTGGGCCTGATGGGCACACCAGGGCAAAGTGGGAGTGGCCGGTGCTGAGGAACCCAGGCACCCAGCACCGTGACCCTTCTCACTCCCAGGCCTCCTGTGGTGGTCTTGAGGAAGGGGCTGTGCAGGTCCCTCTGGAGTGGTCTGCCTTGGCTGGGAGGATGAGAAAGATGGGGCAGGCTGTTGGCAGGCACACCTGACAGGTGCATGGCTGGCTGATTGATGAACTGTGACAGCCTGAGGTTCAGACAGCGCCCTCAGGGCACCCCTAGCCATGCACTGGGACTCCCTAAACTTCCTGGCTCTAGTCTAGGTGAACTGTGCATGAGGGGCTGGGACATGAGCTCCCAATACTGGTCTTTCTTCCTCAGGCTCCTTACAAGAGCTCAACCCCACTACCAGGAGGAGTTTTGGGGTGCCAGGTAGCTCAGAGTGCAAGGTGAAAAGGTCAAGGGTCTCAGGTTGGGGATGGCAGGGGTGGGTCTGCCTGGGAGGAGGCTGCTGGGGTGAGGAGGAGGCTCTTCAGTGAAGCACCTTCCACACTACATAAAATGGCTTTAACAAATTCAGGAATCAGGCAAAGGCTGGCCCCTGGGGTCTGCAGGTTCCCTCTCAAACCTGGGCCCAAAGTGCTTTTCCTTTCCAGGACCTGGCCCAGAGGGAAGAGAGGAGTGAGGCAGAGCCTGAGACCCAGAAAAGAAAGCTCACTCCCGGGACCCCTGGGCCGGGGGACCTGCCCTCCCAAAACCTGCCTTCCCAAGATGCCCTTGAAGGGCTGGGCTCGGACCCGCACCTGGGCCAGGAGAGAGCAGAACTTCAAAGACCACCAAGGATGGACACCCCTGAGTCTGAGAGGAGGACCCTCAGGATCAGAAAGCGGAGACCCCTCAGCGTAAGAGAGCCGAGGCCTCCTGGGGCGAGATCAAAGATGCTCCTCAGAGTCAGAAGGTGAAGACACACGGGGGCCAGAGCCCAAGGGCTCCTCAGGGTCAGAGGGAGGAGTCGAAGAGAATTTAGTCCTAAGTGCCAGGGAAAGGCGAGTCCCCAGAGTCCAGGGAAGAAGATGCTGCGGTCTTGGGAAGGCAATATCTCACAAGCCTGGGAGGTGGCTCCCGGAGAGGCCACTGTGCAGCCCCCAGAGGAAGGCGACCCCCATAGCCATCCGAGGGACTCCTGCGGGTCCCTGAAAGCACAGACTCCAAAGCCTGTGGGCAGGGAGAGCCCAAACCTCCGGAGAAGGACTACCACGCTGACGCAGAGCATGATCAAAGGCGAGCCACAAAGGTCGGCACCGGCGGTGGCAAAGCTGGGGGCCGCCCGGGAGGGGGCGTGGGCTGCGCTTACCCGCCCGAAGCCCCCGGCCCGGCGGCGGCTCCCAGGTCGCGGAGCCGGAGCCGAGATGCCAGCGACCCTGCGCGCCGAGGTATCCGGGCAGCAGGGGCTCCTCGGGGCTCTCCGGGGCCCCCAGGCCTGGAGCGCGATCCGCACGGGCTGCAGGGCCCTGGAGTGGGCCCCGCACCGGGGGAGCAGGAGGTGGGCCAGGCTTGGCTTCCGGGTGCCCTCCGGGGTCGGGTGGGGCGGCCCTGAGCGTCCCAAGGCCTTGAAGGCCGCGTGGCCGGCGCCCCTCAGCACCGCCAAGGCGCCTGCGGGCTTAAGCGCGGCGCAGCAGGTGACGGCTCTGCAGCGGCTGCTGGAGCTGCACAGCGCGGCCAGGCGGCAGCGCCGCCGGCGGGACCGTGAGCAGCAGCGGCTCCGGGTGTGTCCCCACGCCGGGATCGGGGCCTGCCTGGAGCGGGCGGGGCACCGAGGGGCGGCCGGACGCTGACTGCCGCCTCTGCAGGTCCTGGAACGCCTCCACATCGCCAGGAACCGCCACTGCCGGGTTCACCCCGTGGGGCTCCCGCCCAGTCCGGCTCAACTCCCGCCACAGGCAAGACCCCTAGAAGGCGGTGGGGCCACAAGGAGCCTGCGCGGGGCAGGGGCCGAGCTTAGCGCGCCCGGGTCCCTTTGAAGTGAGCGCACTGCACTCTGGCAGTGACTCGGCGGGGCGCGAGGGGCAGGTGTGCCAGGTGCTGCCCCGCCCGCCCCACTGAGCCGCGGACGCTCAGCGCTCCGCACCGCCAGGAGGACGCGGCTGGGCGGCGGCGCGCCCTGCGGGAGCAGCTGGAGCAAATGCATCGGGAGAGGACGGAGCGGCTGCGGGCCCTCGGGGCCAGGTGAGGGGCGGGCAAGGAGGGGTGTGGCGGTGGCAGGAGGCCCCTTTCCCTGGCCTCCGAAATGACAAGCCGCTCTCTCCCCAGGAACACCCAGAACTTCCTGGAACTACTGTGTTCCCCTGGTGCTGAGGATCCCGTGCCTGCGAAGTAGTGCTCGCCCTTCCCAGCACCCTCTGGTCATTGCTGAGTCCTCAAAGGGATGATTAAAGTGATGAGGGTTACGGAAAAAGCAAGAGGGCAACTTGCAGGTCTGATAGTTTCAGAAAGGCCTGAATGCAACCTCAGGGACAGGGAGAGCAGAGGGGCACAGACACACACAGCAGCTTTGCCCCACCAGGAGGCCTGTTATTTCTTCTTCCCTCCCCTAAGCCCACACCTGGCCCACGGTCAGAGGGCCAGGTCTCGGGGATCAAGCAGTGCGAAGGCCCCGTTCTTGCGGAAGAATGACTCAATGCGGCACATCTTGCAGGAGACCAGTTCTTGCTTCACTGGGGGGCCTGGGAAAAGATGTCAGAGGCCAAGCATGGGTTCCTGAGGGAGGGACACGCAGAGCATGGGAGCCCTGTCTGTCTGCACAGCCCTAGGAATCCGTCAGTGGAGTAGCCACTTTGTGGGAAGAAATAGAAAGTGCTTTGGAGGAATGGGAGCTATGGGCAAATACTGGGAGCTGGCTGGATGCCAGGATACAGCAGCCATCTGCCATCATTACCCTAGCTTCAGGATCCTCTACCTGCAGGGAGGGGGGCCACCCTAGCCTGCTTGTCACAGGGACAGACTGTGGAGAGATGAGATTTCCTTCGGCCTCCTGCTCCCCGCTTCTAGGGCTCGCCTCCTGCTTTTGTTAGAAAGTTATTTCCCTGACTTCCCCTTTAGGGGCCTGGGGGAAAGGGATGTTTGGGGGCAAAATCTCAACTGAGTCAATCCCCAACCATCCACCTTTTCTGCAAGACACTCAAGCAGCTGGAGAAGGGTACAGGGCTGAGGAGTCTCACTTGACATTCATGAGCACAGACAGCAATGGGACGTGCAGCAACATCGCCCAGCAGCCCTGCCTGGCACATGCCTGTTCCACACCTTTCCTCTTCATCTCTAGTTACTCCACTGCCTCAGCTCAGCTCCCTCCCCGCTGATGGCCTTGACTCAACCTCACAGAAAAAAGACTCAGCCGAGATGGACAGGCTTCCTGCCAATGACATCCCCTACCCGCTCTGGCTCAGCCCTCCTGCCCCCACTCCCATCAGATTCCAGCAACTTGAGCTCCCTAGGAGATCTCATGGATTTAAATAGCACCTATAGGCCAGCCGGTGGCTCATGCCTGTAATCCCAGAACTTTGGGAGGCCGAGACAGGCAGATTACGAGGTCAGCAGTTCGAGACCAGCCTGGCCAATATGGTGAAACCCTGTCTCTACTAAAAAAACAAAAATTAGCTGGGCGTGGTGACACACGCCTGCAGTCCCAGCTACTCGGGAGGCTGAGGCAGAAGAATCTCTTGAACCTGGGAGGCAGAGGTTGCAGTGAGCCAAGATCGTGCCACTGCATTCCAGCCTGGGTGACAGAGTCAGACTGTTTCAAAAAGAAAAAGAAAAAAAAAAAGCACCTATATTCCAATGACCTCCGAATTTGCATCTTCAGCTCTGACTTCAATCCAGACTTATAGACACAGCCACCCTACAGACACTTCAAGCATAACATAGCCAAACACACATGGCTAAATAGGACCTGTTCATGCACGCTCCAGCCCTGACCTCTCCCAGTCTTCCCTGTCACTGCAGCTTTAGCTAAACAAACACCTGGGTGATTGATCTCTCTTCCCCTTATTCTCACATTCTATCCATGGGTGAGTTCCACCGAGTCTTCCCCCAAAACATCCTGAATTGATTTCAGCTCTATTGCTGATCCCTCAGGCCACTACCACAGGATAACCAAACAGATGCCCAACTCATGTGCCAGATTCTACCATTTCCCCTGAAAAAGCCACTGCCTACATACAGGTCAGGGTGACTTTTTAAAAGGTTCACCAGTGTCACTCTTGAAATCTGCTTAGAACCCTCCATCAGCTTCCCTGCACAACAAATAAAATCCAAACCCATCCTTATCATCTGGCTCTCAGCCTCGGGTCCTCAGAAAGGCCTTTCCTGACAATCCAATAAATAGCAGCACGTGGCCGCTGCCTCCCTGCCCACCGCCACTCCCTAGTTCTGTGGAACGTGTCGACACTTCTTGGCCATCTCCTTGCTCTGTTTATAGTCTGGACCCTTCACCAGGATGCCCACTCCCTAGCACATGGCTAGTGCTCTGTTTTTGAGGTGATTTCCAAGAGGTTGGGCTCACCCAGCTGCCAGCCATACGTGAAGCTGGTGGTGATGGGGAAGAGGTATCGCGTCTCTGGCATGTCCAGTTTTCGAGTGTTGAGGTAGCGGTACCGCCCCTGGAAGTCGTGGGAGATGCCTTCATACAGCAGGGCTCGGGTGATAGGTGGTACCGGGTACATTTCCGACTGAAAAGGCGCCTCTGGGACAGGGCTGGGCACCTTGGAAGGGGCTGACTTGGGGGCGGGTGGGGGTGAGAGTGGGGCTTTGGGGTGCAGGGTGGGCAGTTTGAGGGGCAGGCGGGCTGCAGCCTTAGCCTTCTGCTTGGCCTTCACCATCGACCCATACTTGCGGTACCATTCACAGCGCAACATCTTTTCCCTCAGATATTCCTCCTTCCAGAAGTTCTGCCGTAACGCGTCTATGTTGAGCTGCCGTGACATGGTGGCCAGGGAAGGAGTGGCACCAGGGTGGCCACAGCTGAGGGGTGAGCACAGCAAGCAGAGTGCTTCTGACGGCGAGTGGCTGCCCAGGCACAGTCACCTGGCAACCATGCCTCACCTCACACAGGGCCAGGGTTCTACTTGCCATGCCCCCAGCAGACCCCATGAGCCTGGCTTCCTGAGGCAGCCTGAGGCCAGGGCCCACTGGTTAAGAGCCCTGCTCCCCCCAAAACTCCCGCAGGGCCCTCGCGGGATCTGGCATCACAGACTCCCAGGTTTCGTGTGCTTTCTGCTTCTGTCCTTTGGATCTGGCCCCCTTCCCAGCCCAATGCCGAGCAAGGTGGGGGAAGCAGGAGCTGGGCTCAAGCCTCCTCCCATTCCTCCCCAGACCAGAGCTGGTCTTCTCTGATCCAAGGACCAGTCCTTGAGTTCTGCCTCCCGGCACAATCCTCCTGGGCCACCTCTTCTATGCCTGTCTTTGGCAGCACCTTTTCCATCCTTGCCAACCGAATCTGCCCCATGGCCTCACCCCACACATGTCCTTTCCAGCACCCAACCCATCTGGAGAGAAGCAAGAATATGACTTTAATTTAACATCAACAATGACACTGTGTAACAGCACAGGGAAGAGGTAGTGGAGGGAGATGGTCAGGCTTCCTGTTCCTTAACCAGCAGAGCCCCAGCAACCTAGAAGCGCCTCACCTAGCCTCTTAATGGAGTGGGAAGGAGCAGGGAATTGGAAATCAGAGGCTCAAAAAGTAAAGAAGGCTGATGGCAAGCCTGGGGAGAGGCCTGGAAACGAGGGAAGGGCTGAGGGCTATGAGGAGTCCCCTAGCGCAGGTCTTCGGCAGTGAACATGCCCCTGGCCCTGCGCAGGATGGAGTCCTTGGCGGCGTCATATGGGTGCTCCTTGGAGGGGATCTCCAGGACAGCGGGGATGGACTGCTGGTGGGCGTCCAGGGCATGCCGCACCATCTCTGCGATGTACTGGTTGATGAGGATGATGCCAATGTCATCCCGGTTTAGAAATTGCCTGTGGGGAGAGATGAGAAGGGAGTCCAGGACAGCTCTGGGGGCTGCCGTCTCTCCTACCCAGGCAGCCCTCTCCGAGTTGTTGGGCTGGGCTGTGGAGGGGAATGAGCATGACCCAGAGGGCACAGAGGACAAGGGGAAAGGCTGCCACGCTCAACCCTCTGTCAACCCTACCTAGAATCAATTTCATCCCAAAGCGGAGGGTCACGCTGATTAGGGTTGGCTTCTACAACACTGCCCGGAAGGCTTCCAAGTGAACTGGTAATGAAGATTGATTAGGGTGCACACTGGTGTATTCAATATGCAGTGATGTGTCAGAAAGGGGAAGGATAAGATTATATGTATGCAGATCCCTTTTTATGTGCAGATACTGAAGGCCAGCTGTGATGGCTCACGCCTGTAATCCCAGCACTTTGGGAGGCCGAGGCAGGTGGATTGCTTGAACCCAGGAGTTTGAGACCAGAATGGGCCACATAGTGAGACCCCCATCTCCCTCTCTCTCTCTCTCTCTCTCTATCTATATATACACACACAAAAAAATGGCTGGATGTGGCGGATCTATCTATCTATCTATATATATACACACAAAAAAAAAATGGCTGGATGTGGCGGCATGTGCCAGCTACTTGGGAAGCTGTAGTCCTAGCTATTTAGGAAGCTGAGGTGGGAGAATCACTTGAGCCTGGGAAGTCGAGGCCGCAGTGAGCTGCGATCACGCCACTGCAATCCAGCCTGGGTGACAGGAGTGAGACCCTGTCTCAGAAAAAAAAAAAAAAAAAGACACATTAACTTTTAAAAAGAAAACAAATTATTTAAAAATAGGGCTGATGAGACCACTGAAGGCCTCAAGGTCTATCCTGATGAGGGTGGTGGAGGGGTCAGAGGGAAAGTTTGGCATGAACTAAGATCACAAGCTAGGAAGAGGACACCTTGATGAAGGAATCACACTTTCTGCACAAAAAGAACCTGGCCTTGTGCTCCTTCTCTCCTGTGGTCACCCACCCATTCATTTGTTTATTTTATTTTTATTTTTTTGAGACAGGGTCTCCCTCTGTCACCCAGGCTGGAGTGCAGTGGTGGATCTCGGCTCACTGCAGTCTCCACCTCCCAGGTTCAAACAATTCTCCTTCCTCAGCCTCCTGATTTCTTGGGATTACAGGCACCCGCCACCACGCCTGGCTAATTTTTGTATTTTTAGTAGAAATGGGGTTTCACCATATTGGTCAGGCTAGTCTCAAACTCCCGAGCTCAGGTGATCCACCCGCCTCGGCCTCCAAAACTGTTGGGATTACAGGCGTGAGCCACTGCACCCAGACTCATTCGTTTATTTACTGATTAAAAATTACTTACTGAGCACCCACCCCCTGCCAGTCACTGGGTTAGATTTGATCTCTGAGGTCCCTTTTGGTTGGAAACATAAAAAATTCTTGAAGTAAAATTTGTCCTTCTCCCATGATAACTTGGGTCACTTTACCAGACAGCTTAGAGAATGGCAGATAACAGCCTCCCAGGTCAGGGACTACCTAATACACCAGGCAGCAGGAACCAGTCTCAGCCAGCAGCCCTGGGCTGGACTGTTTGGGGGAAACAGGTGAGTGGTTTATTCCTGAGACTTGGTACAGGGGCCCTGGAGAAGGGGTGAGGAATAAAATAGGAGGCTGGTATCCTTAATTCCAGTCACCAGGACCCCTGGTGGATTAAAAGCATGCCTGCACCCACACTCTGACCTAAGGCAGGCAGTGAGGGCTTGAGTGCAAGGTCTTAGCAGAAGGCTCTCACAGTCCCGACATTTCTGCCTACTGTGCTCAAGACTACAAGGAAATTCCGAGGCCGCCTGAGGAGACCTGCCAAGAGTGTGTACCTGGCTTACCGGAGGCAGAAAGGGTTGAGATTGGGTTCAAATTCTAGCTCTGCCTCTGCCGACTCGTAACTTTAGTGTGTGCCTTACCCTCTCCGAGCTTTAGTTTTCTCACCTGTGAGTAGGACAAAAATCATCCCTGCCTTACGGGACGATGGTGAGCCTCTAAAGGAGGAGAAAGCAGAACAAAGTCCAAGCCCACTGTCTAGGCTGTCACGAGCTCTGTTCCCCTTCTTTCATGACACACGATCATGTGAGGTGGGGGGGCTCGTGGACCTGATACAGCTTCTGTCCCACCGAGCCCCAAACGGGGACTTGGGGCGCGGAGGCCTCCGCTCCGGAAGGGCGGAAGGACTTTCAGGATCGTCCCCTCACCCCCGTCCGGGCAGCCTCCAGCCTCGCCCCGCACTCCACCGAGCAGCAGAAGGGCCCGTTCAGGCCTCGCGCGGTACCGTACCGGAAAGTGTCTTCGATCTCATTGATGGTTGTATCCTTCTCCACCACCAGGAAATTGGGATGGCGGTTCTTGTTAAGCTCCCCTATGCCGCCCAGCAGGAAACCAGTCACCGTGTCCTCGTCTCCGATCACTGCGATGAGCTTACCCCTCCCCGCCATCCCTGCAGCCGGGCAGAGCTCACCCTAGAGCACCAGAAGCCACTGAAACCCCGCCTCCGCCGTACGGCGCCCCGTCGGCCTCAACCCCCACCCTTCGAGCATGCGCAGTCCTCCCAGCCGCATTCCGGGACATGCGCATTAACAGCAACACGGCCTCCATGTGAATACGCCTGCGCCGTAAAGACAGGCCCGAACCAGGGGACTACGATTCCCAGAAGACCGCGCGGCACCACGTCCTTCGCGGGCATTCATTCGTTCATTCACTCGTTCCTTGGTTCATTCGTTCAACAAGCGCTTTGGACCTGACGCTGTTAGACGCCGAGACCCCAGAGAAGAGACGCAGTTACTCATCTCAAGGGCAGGGTCTGGGTCTTTATCGTGTATGTATGTGTGTAACTATGACACATAGTTAACAAGTAACACACGTTTGTTCAGTTAAAGGAATGCAAAAGTTAATGATGATACTGCCTAGTGAGGTGGAAAGTCAAGGGAACAGGCGACTACAAAGCTGTGTGTTAATGGTTAGAATGTGAAAAGTATATGGAAGCACACATCCATGGTAACTAACCCATGGAGAGAGGGGGCGTCCAAAGAACCCTTCCCCAAGAAGCTTGCTTCAGATCTAAGCTGAGACCTGAAGGACCTGCAGGATGAAGGGGATAGAAGTGAGGACAAGACGGTGTTCTAGGCAGAGGAACAGCATGTGCAAAGGCGTACTGACTAGAGAGCGTAGGGCCTTCAAGGAAAGTTAAATAATTGGTAAGGCCAGGCATGGTGGCTCACGCCACACCTGTAATCCCAGCACTTTGGGAGGCTGAGGCAGGTGGATCACCTGAGGTCAGGAGTTTGAGACCAGCCTGGCCAACATGGCGAAAACCCGTCTCTACTAAAAACACAAAAAATTAGCCGGGCGTGGTTGTGGGCGCCTGTAGTCCCAGCTACTCGAGAGGCTGAGGCAGGAGAATTGCTTCAACCCGGGAAGCGGAGGTTGCAGTGAGCCGAGATTGTGCCATTGCACTCCAGCCTGGGTGACAGAGCGAGACTCTGTCTCAAAAAAAAAAAAAAAAAAAAAAAAAAAAAATTAGCCAGGCGTGGTGGTGCACACTTATAGTTCCAGGTACTCGAGAAGCTGAGGCAGCAGGGCTTACTCAGGAGTTCAAGGTTACAGTGAGCTATGATCACGGCACTGCACTTAAACCTGAGCAGCAGAGCGAGACCCTGTCTAAAAAAAAAAAAAAAGGATCTGCAGGCTGGGCGCGGTGGCTCACGCCTGTAATCCCAGCACTTTGGGAGGCTGAGGCGGGTAGATCACCTGAAGTCAGGAGTTTGAGACCAGTCTGGCCAACATGGTGAAATCCCATCTCCACTAAAAATACAAAAAAAATTAGCCCAGTGAGGTGGTGTGTGCCTGTAGTCCCAGCTACTCGGGAGGCTGAGGCAGGACAATTGCTTGAACCCGGGCAAGGGAGGTTGCAGTGAGCTGAGATGGCGCCACTGCACTCCAGCCTAGGTGACAGAGTGAGACTCTGTCTAAAAAAAAAAAAAAAAAAAAAAAAAGATCTGGAAGTTATCCTGAGGACAGTTATCCTGAAGCTGCTGAGGGATTTCAAGTAAGAGAGTGCTATCGCCAAACTTACGTTTTAGAGCTGTCACTCACTGTTGACTGTGCTGTGTGCAGAGGCGAAACTGAGGGAGGAGAAACCAAATTGGGAGGCCACTGTGAGAGATAATGGTGGCCAGGACTCAGGTGGTGATAATGGGAAACGCAGAGAAGTAGGTAGAGCCGAGAGATATTTAGATATTTAGGACAAAACTGGTTTCAGAGTGGATGTGTTTGGGGAGTGAGGTAGAGAGAGAGACCTGGGTGATTTCCAGGTTTCTGGCCTGTGCAGCACATGGATGGGAGTAACATTGCCAAGAAAGTGACCTCTGTAAGATGAGCAGGCTGAAGGGGAAGGAGCCACTCTTTCCTCCTCCCTTTTAACAAATCAGCACTCCCGGTGTCTGGCATGGGGTTTGTGAGTTTGGAGTGCTTGAGACGTGCCCGTGGTCTGGTCTAGCGATTGTATGTGTGATAAGCTTGGGATTCGGGCACACCTGGGTTTCAATCTGTGCCCCACTACTTAAAGGTACGGTTTCAGACTCATCACTGAAATTCCCAGGGCCTTGGTTTCTTCAGATGGTAGTAGCCCCACCTCATAGGGCTGTTATGAGGATTAATGAGGAAGGGCCTGTAAGGCTCAGCACCCAGGGCCACACTGTGGCTGGCTGGAAGCAGGCAGGCTGGAGGTCTGTGAGCTTATCAGCCACACACAGGTGGAGGCAGCCGAAGCTGAGGGGGAAATTAGCACATCTAGGGGTGAGGGTGAGGGTGAGGGGGGCAGAGAGTGAGGATGGGTGTGTGGGAGGGTGTGAGGGAAGAGGGAGGAAGCACAGAGCCTGGTGAGAGAGGTGGGGAGGTCAGGGATTAGGAGTTGGGGACTCGTGGGTTTTTCTGCCAAGCCCACCACCATGTGCTGAAATGCCCAGGTGGGTCTAGATTGTGGGATCAGTTGAATGAAAGACTTCTTTTCCCTGCTGCAGCTACTCAGCTGCTCATTTATTCATTCATACCCATTCACTCACTCATTCACACCCAGGGCCAGGGAGCTCCATCTGGTGGGGAGCCGTGGATACATGGCCACAGCTCAGGGTCGTAACTGCAACTAGAGATGTGTCCCAGGGCAGTTTGGGAGCTGGGGGCACTGATCCAGGAGGGGTAGGGAGGGGTCCAGGAAAACTTCCTGTTGGCCAGGAAGATGAAGAGGGTGGGGAGGCAAAGGTGTTTCCGGGCAAGGGCCCAAATTACAGCATGGGTGCCCAGAGGTAATGAAGGGGGGTTGGAGGTGGAGGGCACAATGGAGAGTGGGCCTGCTGCCCAACTCATATGGCTGGGGAGGCTGCTGTCTGAACCTGGGTGGCCCTGGAGACCTTGTCAGGAAGAGGAGACTTTACTCTGGAGCAGGAGGGAGTCACAGATGGCCCTAAACCAGAGAGGGGCATATACTATCTTTAAAGTGACCCCCCCGCCAAGCTGCAGCATGGAGGGGAGGTTGGAGGGAGCTGGCCAGGGCAGGGCTGTTGCAGGAGTTCAGGAGGGAGGCCCTGTGCAAGCTTAGTGCTGGAAAGGGGCATGAAACAGGCCAAGTTGATTCAGGAACTGACTAGGGGGAAGGTGCTGAGTCTGCAGGTGGTTCTGCCTGCCTGCTGGTTGAGGAATATTCCTGTTTGAGTCAGTGCTCACTGTTTTAAAGTCTTAATTTGAAAAACATCCTTGAGGTCAAGCTGAACTGAAACTGGCCTCCCAGGGGTCCTGGGACAGTACTGTAGAACACAGTATCCACACCCTGTACTGTCCACGAACCCTCCCGCTGGGACCCCTTCCCACATCCCCGAGCCCCCACCCCCGGTTCTTTCAAGCACTCTGCCAACATCCCAGACCTCACTTCTGCCCCAGGACCTTTCCCTCGACTGGGTCAATCTTCCAGGGAACAGCCAGGCCGCCTCTGCCTCCCCAGGGCCCGGTTTTTCGTGTGGCAGGCCAGAGGGCAGCCAGCCACACAGAGCACACCCCCAAGGAACAGCCAACCCTCTGCGACAGCCGCACTTTATTTGGAGTTTTCCACCTAAGCAGCTCCCAGCTGAGCTGCATGACATGTGCAAAAGTCCCCTAGAAAGCTGGGCCTCGCAGTGTGTAAAAAAGGCCCCCCATGGGGCAGAGCCGTGCAACCATTTTAAAAAAAGAGACAGTGAGAGAGAAATCAGGCCCCCTGGGAGCCTGGCTTGGGTGGAGTGCACATCGCTCAGGCCGGTCCATGTGCCAGGCCACTCCTGCTGGTTCGGGGGCTGTTTTCTTCTCTGATTGTGCTTTCCTTTCCAAGTCCTTAAAACTCTGGGGTTGTAGCCACCAGAGAGACCAGACCAAGTCCTCGGGGTCAGGAGGGTATCTGGCCGGCGGTGCAGTTTGAGGGTGACCTCACACACAGACACCCACAACACAATGCTCCCCCACTGCTCAGCCCCGCCAGAAACTCAGGGCTTCCCTGGCCTCGCAGCCCTCGCCAGCCCCTTGTGTCCCAGCCTCTGCCCCTGAGCCTGGCCCCAGTCGGCCCTCATGTCACATTCCCAGGGAGGGACACTGTCCTGACACAGACAAGGTCCTCCAACCCCTGGGGCGCGGTGGGGTGGGGAGGCTGGGCCTTCACTTCACCCCCAAGGCAGGTGTTTGTAGTGTCTGATTCTGTGCGTGTCTGGGTGTGGCACATTTGTGTGTGTGTGTGTGTGTGTGTAATGTGTGTGTGGCTGGAGGTGGGGGCTGAGGCTGGGGAGGCACTTTTGGGATTCAAGGGACCTTGACTTTGAAGGGGCTTCCAGGGACACTTTCGTCACCCCACTTGACAATGAGGATGTAGTCCCCTTTCTCCTTGACAGTGTAGGTGACATTGTACACCCGGTTCCCCATGTGCTTCACGTACACCTCCTCACAGGGGGTCTTGGGGCCGTGCACGCCCACCATCATCATGTTGGTGCCTGGAGAGGGAGGCAGAGGGACAGGCTCACACCAGGGAGTCCCCTACTGTGACCCACACCCTGCTCCCTGACGGCTTCTTGCTCACACCCCGGGAGACGCCCTCCCCCCGCCACCTGCCTGCTTTGCTGCAGTCCACGGTGAAGGAGTTCTTCTGGCCCACGAAGGCCTGGGACAGCCCAGGGCCCCGAGTCACCACCTTGCTGGCATCTGAGGAGAACTTGGGGATGGAGCTGTAGCTGGAGCCCCGGCTTGAGGAGGACTTGGTCACAGTCTCCACCAGAACCGTGGATGTTTCGTGAAGGCTGTGGCCTCCGGACAGCCTCGGACCTGAGGGGTGGGTGGAGGGGGCACAAACCTAGTCAGAAGGGCTTCCTGTTCTTCCCCAGGCAGGGGACCCTCGGCCAGCACTGCCACCCTGTGGGACTCACTGCCTGCATTTGAGGCTCCCCCTCAAATTCCTCCAAGGGCCACTCTAGGAGCACAGCCTCATTCCCAGCCAGGGCCCTGAGCTGCCAGCTCCAACTGGTGCTCCACCCTAGGGCTGGGGCCTCAGATGCTGCGTCCCTCATCCTTGCAGGCTTTGTCTGGGAACTCAGGCTAACTCACAGGGTAAGAGCCACTTTACAAAGGAACACCCACCCAACTCATCCTACAGACAGCCTCAAGAGGGGAAGCTTGCTCAATACCGACTGTGTCTTCTTGGAGCGGAGGAATATGGGAAGCCAGGAGGGAAGAAAGTGGTGCTAGAGCCTGAGGAGCCAGCGCAGGCCAGAGCTGAAGGAGTGAGGGGCCACGATGGAGAGGAAGAATGGCATTTTTACGTGATCATGCCCGACTCCACAGAACGTGTACTGTGTAGAGCCAGGCCCACCTCTAGCCCTGGTAAACTGACCATGATGTCTGGGGGCAGACTATGGCCTAGATGTGCGTGGCCACCGGAGCCCTCCAGGCTGGGCTGGGCTGCAGGCTGGGTGGACCTCCCCCAAACTGGCACTCACCAGTGACCTTGGCCTTGAAGGGGCTGCCCACGATGTGCTGGGGGCCACCGTACTTGATGGCAATGAGGTAGTTGCCAGGGGCCATGGGAGTATAAGTGACCACATGGCCCTCAGGACACTCCCGACAGTCCAGCTGCACCTTGGAGGGGCCATCAATGGTGACAGACAAGGCCCCCGAGCCGGCATTCAGGGTGTTCACGATGAACTCTGATGACACACCTGGGGGCCAGAGGTAGCAAGGCTGAGGGCAGGAAGGGCTTGTGGCCCAAGAGGGACTGGGCCCCAGCTCCCTGGACAGCCTCTGTGGGGACTCCTGGCTTAGGAAGCAGGGCCCCTACCTCTGGAGCAAAGCAGCACCAGACTAGTGGCCAAGCACCCCCAGAAGTCACCCTGTTCCCCAGCTCCAGGCACTCACCGGTAGTGCCTCCCTCGAGCCCAGGACCGTAGGCTGACACCAAGCCTGGGTCCCCAGCCTGGCTCTGCTCCCCAACGCGGATCTTGAAGGGACTTCCAGGGATGTGGGCACCGTTGAACTTGACATCGATGGAGTGGACGCCATTCTCGTGGGGGATGAAGCGGATGGTGTGCTTGTCTGTGGATAAAGGGTTGGTGGCTTAGCCTCCATCCTTCCCCTCCCCAGAAGGCCCCAGCCCGGAAGGGAGTTGGCAGGGGCAGGGCCAGCTCACCACTGTCCAGCTCAGAGACGTAGCACTCCTCCACAGCCCCCGAGGGTGTGTGCACCCGGGCATCAATCACGCCCCGGGCACCGTTCAGCTGCACGGCAAAGGACGCTGGCTGGTTCACCTTGAGCCCCGTCTCCTGCAAAGGCCACGGAGGATGCTCAGACTCCTGGGAGGCCGGGGCTGGAGCAGTCTTCTCTGAAGCCCCACACGGTGCTCACTGTAAGCCCAGCCCAAAGGCTGCTGCCACCCCATGCCCAGCCTGGCCCCTGCCTGCCAGCCCAGCCTGGGAGCAGGAGGAGCCAGGGTCCGGTATGCAACCCTATGTGTGCACCTGCTATCCTAGCTGTGCTTGGTGTGTGGGAGATGACAGACGATGTGCCCTGTCCTGGCTGAGGAAGGAAGGGCCCCACTCTGTGTGAAGCAGGCTGAGGGCGGAGGGCAAGTGCCTGATGGGCTGTGTGGGCTGGGGGTGCCAGAGAGCTCTGAGGTAGGAAGCTGAGTTTCACTGGCCTGGCCTGGGAGAGCTTCCTGGAGAAGGTGGACCAACAGGGAGGACCAGAAGAAGCACAGAAGGGCTCTGGGGGAGGGATTGGAGCCTGCATCGGGGAGCCCAGTTCAGGAGTGGGAGGAGGAGATGCACAAGGACTCTGGATGGGCCAATGTGACCACCCTGAGGGGCAGCCAGGAGGCGCGTGGGAGAAGGAGGTGGGGTGAAGCCCATTCTGTGCGCCTTATGCAGAAGCTCCTTTACAATGTGTCCCCTGGACACCTGGCCCCCTGGTTTGCATGTTTCAGTGTGACTTGCTGAAAGCCTTCCTTGCACATGTCCGCTGTGACAGAATGAAAGGAACACACCACATCTCTAGAAGTCAGCAGCAAGAGAAAGCAAGCCAGGCCCCCAGCGGCCTGAAGAGGATGCAGCCCAGGCTCTGCAGCCCATAGGCATTCCCTTTAGAGGAGCCTCTCACACCCTCTGTGCAAACTGGTTTACTCTTAGTTTGTATAGATTTTATGCTCTCATTCTTATAAATGTTGTCATCTAGCATTCTTACAACAGAAGGTGGAACAAACTGTAACAAGAAATGGCAGGTGGCAGTAGGACAGGCAGACACACCCTGAGAAAGGCAGAACGAGGCGTGGCATGCCTGAGTGCACGGGCAAGCCCCCAGGGTGGGAGCCCACCGTCCCCAAGGGCCCTGCCTCGTGCCTTATGAGAAGGGACTCCTAACTGGCCCTTCCAAGGTCACTGCTAAATCCCTGGCCCCATGGACCTGCTGTCCTCAACTCCTGCCCATCTCTCAGATAGCAGAAACCCTCCACCCCCACCCTGGGCACAAACCTGGAGGCTGGTGACAGTGAGACGGCGAGCGTCATCCGAGAGGGAGGCCACAGGCACCACAAAGGGGCTGTCTGGGATGTGCTCATCATTGAACTTGATGGAGACCTCATAGTCACCTGGGGAGAGAGACCAGTCAGCACAGGTTCCGGGATGGAGGTTGGCAGGGCGGGAGCCTCCCCACCCTGGCCTTATCCCAGGAAAGGCTCTGTGGTCAGCGCTCAGATCTGGAGGCAGACACATGTTTCTGAGGGTGTGGGGTAGAGGGAGACGGGGCAGAGGAAGAGCAGGGGGCTCCGGGGAGGGGAGTTCTGTGGCCCCAAGCATCTCCTGCCTGGCCAGTGGGCAGAAACCCAGTCTGGAAGGTCAGGCAGGCCCAGCCCCACTGCCAGTGTGGACGCCCACCTGGTTCCTGGACGACATAGGAGACGCCGCAGGAGCCATCTTTGCGATCCTCAAATGCAATCTCCGCTTTGCTAGGACCCTCCACAGCAATGGACAGGCCCCCAGCGCCAGCCTCCCGGGTCCAGATGCTGAACTCGGCTGGGGACAGGCAAGGTAGTGGACTTCAGCATCATCGCCCCTCACACTGGCTGCCCTGACTTCATCCCCACTCCTGGCCACCTGCCCCTTACCTGGCACGCCGGCCACACCTCGCTCCAGCCCTGTGCCTCCGGCCCGCACCTTGTGGGCACCACCTTCACCCAGCGGCCCCACAGTGAACTGAAAGGGGCTGCCGGGCACGTGCTGGCCACGGTACTTGACAGCGACCGTATGGGGCCCCATTTCCTGGGGCACAAAGCGCACGCTGTAGGCGCTGTCCTCGCCCTCGACGATCTCTGCGGCTTCCACCTTGCCCGATGGGCTGGTCACCTGTGCAGTCATGTCCTGAGAGCTGGCCTCACCTGCAGGGTTTGGGGGATGTCAGGGCAACACTGGGATTCCTCCTAGCCCTGGCCCTTCCCTCCCCCATCAGTTAAACCTCCTCCTCTGCTCAGACCTGCCCTGGCCTTCGGGGCCAGTCTGCCAGCATCAAGCCTGGTCCGCAGCACCCTCCCATCCCGCCGTGAGGACCCGGCCGGCCCAGTGTGCGGTGCTCACCCTCCTGCTGCCGGGTGATGCTGCCGAAGGATCCCAGGCGCTCCCGGCCCAGGAAGTCCCCAAACACAGCAGGGAAGGGGTCCCCGCCGACCTGGGTGGACTCCTCCACCCGCACCTCGCGCTTTGTCTCCCCGCCCCGCGTCTTGCTGATCTCCGTGCGCTCCGTGCGGGTGTAGGTGTGGCTGCTGCGTGTGAAGGTGCGTGTCAGGCGCTCCTGGGCAGACACCATCTGGAACCAGTTTCCTGTGTGGTCAAGGGAGCCAGGGTGAGGGAGGGAAGCGAGGGGTGAGGAAGCAGGGTGGAGGCCCGACAGGTGGGCTCTGGCCCGGGCCAGCCCTCTCCCACCACCCGCCCCACCCAGGGTCCTCCAGGCTTCTACCTGGGATCTTGAGGTTGAGGTCACAGGTGCTGCCGATGGTGGCGATGGAAGGTGCCTGTCTCCGCCGGGTGATGCTCTCCTTCATGCGGCCCTCGCCGGTCACCTTCACAGTGAAGGGGCTTCCTGAAGTGGGGACAAAGGGTGGGTCAGGAACCTCAGAGCCCCAGCCTCCTGGCCTCCCTGTCTCTCGCCACCGACCTCTGCCCAGAGCCTTACCAGGCACGTGCTTGTCAGCAAACTTGATGTTGATGATGTAGGTGCCGGGCTCGGTGGGGCAGTAGGTGACTTTGCATGTCCCGTCCTCCATGTCCTCACAGTTGATGTCCACCTTGCTTGGGCCTTCAATACTCAGCCCCAAGCCCCCATAACCTGGGGGAAAGCAAGGAACACATCTCCCTCAGTCCTAGGCTGGCCAAGCCACAATGCTTTCCTCTCCCCAGACTGCAGGCTCCACCCAGAATGGGCACCGATGTGTGTAGTGACCACTAACAAAAATGGCTCAGTGGGAGGAGCGGGGGCACCACGGGACAGGCGGTCTGGAAAATTCCCTAAGGTAAGCCTCTTGGATTCCAGTGAGCAAGGGAGGGACAGAAACTCAGGACAGCTGAGCTTTCTCTTAAAAGGGAGAGAACTGATGCGGGGCCATTCACTTTCCCGCAAGGGGCCCCAGAATGCGAATCCTGACGCAGACTGGTCAGGAAGTTTCAGGGAGGAGAGAGTGCGGCCAAGGGGGTGCTGGGCAGGACGAGGACAAGTGCCTGTGGGAGGCACCCGCTGGAATGGGGGCTCTCTGGGGCAGGAGGTACCTGCATTGCGAGTGTCCACGATGAACTCTGCCACCTGGAATGTGTGTCCCTCGGAAAGCCCCTTGCCCCAGACCCGCACCTTGCTGGCGTCCCCGATCTCAGATGGCCCCACCAGGATCTTGAAGGGGCTGTTGGTGACATGCTTGCCACTCTTGCGCACGCTCACCACGTGCTCCCCGACCTCCTTGGGGGTGAAGGAGATCCCTGTGGAAAGTGGGTGTTAGGCAGAGCATCCTGTGGGCCCCCACCCCTGAGGTCCCCGTGAGGCCCCACGCTCACCAATGTGCCGGTTGGGCAGGCGCTTCAGCAGGCAGGGCTCCTCGTTGCCCGAGGGGGCACGGATGCTGGCGGTCAGCTGGCTCAGATCACTCTCGGTGATCTTCAGTGACACGTCCGTGGAGGTGCCCACATTCAGCTGTGAGGTCCTCATGGAGTCATCACCTGGTGGGGGAGTTGGGGCATCAGGCTGCTATGACTCCAGGCAGGCCCTGCCCTCACAGGGCTCAGGAACCCTCCTGAGCAGCCCCCCCTGGACTCAACAGACACGGGGGGCCACTCCCAGGTGCACGGAGGCCCAAGGCCTGGAAAGTGCAGTCTGCACTCACATGTGAGCTGCCAGAGACTAAGAGGGGCCTGTACCCCAATTCCACTGTGGCTGCCTCAGTCCTTGTGGGCTAAATCCCTAAAGGAAACCTCCTGCATTTTAACCCTGAGTCACATGATGTTGTGATAACAAAACACTAGACTGGACCGCCCAGACCCCTTCCTCGCTGTGTGGCTGTAATCATGTTGCTTGGCCTCTCTGGGACAGGGGTTCCTTATCTATCAAAAGGATTATCCGTGCCCTAACTTCTTAAGAGTGACTTCATGCTGGGCGTGGTGGCTCACACCTGTAATCCCAGCACTTTGGGAGGCCGAGGCAGGTGGATCACAAGGTCAGGAGATCGAGACCATCCTGGCTAACACGGTGAAACCCTGTCTCTACTAAAAATACAAAAAATAGCCAGGCATGGTGGCGGGCGCCTGGAGTCCCAGCTACTTGGGAGGCTGAGGCAGAAGAATGGCATGAACCCGGGAGGCGGAGGTTGCAGTGAGCCGAGATCGTGCCACTGTACTCCAGCCTGGGTGACAGAGCAAGACTCCCTCTCAAAAACAAAAACAAAACAAATGACTTCAAAGACTAAATGAGGCAATGTGTTTTCAGGCACAAGGAGTGGCTGACTGCTTCTTAGCTGCCGTGGAGAACAGAGTGTTTTTACATTTATCAAAATATGACCCCTCACACCTTGAAGGGCCTCTGCCCTAATGTCACGAGTGACTTGAACGGGCTGGGCTTGCACATGAGTGCACTGTATGCGGTGTGTGTGCCTCATGGGCTGTACATGCCCATACACCCGCCTCACCTGTGATCTTGGCTGTGAAGGGGCTCCCCGGGATGTGCTTGTCATCGAAGCGCACGATGATGCTGTAGTCTCCAGGCGCAGTCGGCAGATAGGACACGGTGCAGGTGCCATCCTTGTTGTCCTTACAGGTGATCTCTGCCTTGGATGGGCCCTCCACGGCCAGTGACAGACCCCCTGTAGGTGGAGGTGTGGCCAAGATCAGAGGTCCTGCCCTCACCCCTGCCCCTGGTGAGTCTCCACCCCAGCCTGCGACCTGCAGCTCCCTCACCTTCTCCAGCATCTTTGGTGACAATAGTGAAGGTGGCTGGCTTGTTGACCATGCCATGGCTCAGGCCTGGCCCATAGGCACTGACATGGCGGCTGTTGATGGCATCCACATAGAACTGTAAGGGGCTCCCTGGGGATACAGAGAAAAAGGGGGCTGGGTCAGCATCAGGGATTATCTGAGCCCACCTTGGCCCCAGCACCTTCCAGCAGCCTCCCTGCCAACCCCCTCCGTCTGTGCCGTAGGGACCCAGCTGGTGGAGGTCTGCTTCCCACCAGGGTATAAGCCTCCCTGGGGCCTCGCCTGGTGTCTGCACACAGCGGGTGCTCAATAAATATTTGTTGAAAGAGGGAAGGCAGGACTGAAGCTACGGCCTGCTCCTCTCACCCAAGCCCCAGCCCAGCCCAGCCCCTAACTCACCAGGGATGTGGTTGCCGTCATACTTGATCCCCATCTGGTGCAGGCCTTTCTCAGTGGGTGCATACCTCACCGTGATGGTGCCGTCCTTGTTGTCGGTGATGTTGGGCCGTGCCGTCTTCCCCGAGGGCATCCGCACCTCTCCTGCAGGGCAGACACAGTTACGTGGAGACCCTGGTTTCCCCCACTGCAACCTCCCTGCTGTCCCAGGCCTGGTCCTGAGTGCTTCTGCTGCCACCCGAGAAGCCAGGCATCAAGAGACAGCCTGTGGCAGTGGCCTGAGCCCTGAACTGGGGACAGATGGCTTGCACCTGAGTTCTGGCTCTGCCCAACTTGCTGTGTGACCCTGGGTAGAGCTCACTTCCTCTCTCTGGGCCTTTGTTTTCATCATTAAGACACAGGACTGGGCCTGGAAGAGGGTTTCTCCCCTCAGCCCTCATGCCTGGGAGCCACAGGGCAGTACCTGTGAGCTCCCCTTTCTGCACCGCGAAGGGGATGACCAGGTTGAAGGGCCTCAGCATGGACTCCATTGGCTCCACAGGCACCACTGGCTCCTCTGTGGCCTGCAGCAGGTGAGAGGGAACAGTCAGTGACTGGGGAAGGCCCAGGAGTTTGACCCATGCTATGACTGAAGCTGGAGAGTGAGGAAAGAACAAGGTAGTTAATCATGAAACCAGCGTGGCAGGAGAGGTGCGTCAGCTGCAAGAGAAGGAGTGCTGTGCCCAAGTGGGGTTCCATCTGCCCAGCCTAACTCTTGCCTGCTCCCCAAGAGGCCCCCAGACCATGTCCCCGCCCTGGCTGCAGAGGAGTAGAGAGAAGAAATGAAGGAAGGGGAGGAGGAGGAGGACATCGCCTGGTGGGAGGCGCAGTACCCAGTGTGTGGGGCGGGCGCCGGGCCGGGGAGGAGCGTAGGGCTGGCGCAGCTGTGGCACTTCAGAGGGCTCCTCCTCGTGCGGCAGGGGGTCACACGCCTGGGGAGGCAAGGCACGGGGGCACAGGGTGTGGCAGCCTCACAGGCCTAGGGGCTGACTCAGAGAATGGCCCAGGAACCTGAAATGCTGGGTGATAATTTGGGTGTTCATCCTCCTGCAGGGCAGCCTCTGGGGAGATGGAGCTGGGGATGGTGGAGAGCACAGCGGGTTCCTCCAGAGACAGCTGACAGCACTGGGCAGGGGGCAGGGCCATGCTCTCCTCCCACTTCGGGGGTGCTGTGGGGAAAGTTAAGGCTCCATCCTGGAGCACTCTGGCCCCAGGAGCCCTCAGAGAAGTGGGATTCCTTGGGGACAGTTATCTGGGATCCCTGCTGCTGCTAAAAGGGCCAGGCCCCCCTCCCCAGCCATCTAGTCTTGCTGTGGCTACAGAACTTACCAGCACGTGGAAGGGGCTGTTGGGGATGTGCTCACCCCCGAAGCGGATGGTGATGACGTACTTGCCCGGCTCGGGCGCTGTGTAGTAGATGTCAAAGGTACCGTCATGGTTCTCAACCACATCCACATCGAGCTCTGCCCCATCCGGCGTGGACACCGTGCATGTCACCTTCCCCTCACCGGCTGCCTTGGCATCCACCGTGATCACCGTCTCCTGCCCAATCTGGATTCGAGGGCCCAGGCAGGCACCTGCCATGCGGGAGATCCTGCTCAGGGAGCTGGTGGGCTGGAGCCAGCCCTCTCTGTTCCCGCTGCCCGCCCCCTACCGCCAACCACCCTGGCCCACACCAAGAAGAGGAGAGAAAGGGCACTCACCCAGGCCATGGCCTCCAATGGACACTGGAAAGAGAGAAGAGTGTGAGGCCAGGCGGTGCTCAACGTGGGCTGGGGCATTGGGCGGGGGTGAGGGAGGGAGGGGCCAGGGCTAGGGCATGTGTGCTCTCCGACCAGCAGACCCCTGGGGACCAGGCCAGGGTTCTGGAGGGGCTTTGAGGGGCTGGGTGGTGAGCAGGGCACGGGCAGCGGGTGGGCACCCACCTGTGACGAGGCACTTGCTGGCATCCCCAGTGGGCAGAGCATGGATGCGGAAGGGCGAGTAGGGGATCTCATCACCGCCATACTTGATGGTGATGGTGTACCGGCCACTCATGTCCGGCAGGTAGGACACAGTGTACGTGCCATCCCCATTGTCCCGGATGTTGGCCTTCTTGGGCTTACCCTCGGGGTCCTGAGGGAGAAGCAGAGGTCAAGGCCCGCCTGTGCCTGGAGCATGACCTGCGGGGTGGGATGCACAGAGACTCACCAAGATCTGGACAGTGAGCAACCCCTCGCCCGCGTCCCGTGCGTCGATGGTGAACTCCACAGGCAGGCTGGCAGGGATGCCAGAGGCGTTGAGGCCTGGGCCGCTGGCCCGCACCTTGCTGGCATCATGAGCTGGGAGGACCTTGATCTTGAAGGGGCTTGAGGAGCAGAAGGGATAAACAGTTGGCTGGGTGGCATGGACGGGGCGGTGGGGGGTGATCTCATCTTGAGCCAGAGTCCTCCCCATAGACATGGGCAGGAGGGAGGACTGTGGGGCAGGGAGGAGGGACCAGTTCCCAGAAGCCGATGACATTCCATGTCTGGGGGTGGGGGCACTCTGGGACTCCCTCGACAGAGCCAGGGTACGTCTCCATTCCCCAGGAAGGTGCTGTGGGAGGGTCCAGGAGGAGGCCCTGGCCCAGGCCTCCTGCACTCTTCCTAAGGCGCTAGGTTTGCCGTAAAAGCTCCTGGGGCAGGAAAGCCTCACAGCAGAGAGCCCCGGGGAAGAGCGGGATGGGGTGGCGAGACTGGACGAGGCTGAGAGCTGGGAGAGGCTCTCCCAGGGGACTCCAGCAGTGATCCTGAGTGCCACCCCAGCAGGAGCACCCCAGAGCTCAGCCGCAGCACAGGAGCCCAGGGCTGGTCCTCACCTGCGTGGCACCTCCTGGTCAGCATACTTGACGGCTACCGTGTAGGGCCCGTCAGTGGCTGGGGTGTAGTGGACAGTGTGGGTGCCATCTCCATTGTCCCGCACCTCCACAGGCTCGGCCACACCTGGGCAAGGGGCACAGGGTCAGCAGAGCCTCCGGGCGTCCCGCCCCACCTCCCTCCTCCCTGCCCCGGCCATTCTATACCTGTGGGGCCCAGCACAGCCACCTGCAGGGGCGCCCGGCCAGCTTGACTGCAATCCACTGTGAAGGTCTGAGGAACCCGGGCCCTGACACCAGCCCCCAGCCCTGGCCCTGAGCACTTCACCTTCCCAGGGTCCACCACATCCTTCACTGGCACGCGGAACGGGCTCCCTGTGAGGAGAAGGACATTAGACCCTGCCCACCAGCCCTGATGGGTCCCCCTGATGCTGAGGAGCCTCGGAGGAGGAGGCCTTCCCTGCCTTTGAAATGCCCACAGGGAAGCCAGACCAACATGGGAAAATGGCTAGGAACTTGCTAAGAAAACACACACAAGAATAAATGAACTTGACTGCAGACTGAGGCTGGGCAAACCTCACTCATGTGGGTCCCAGGCCTGGAAGAGAAGGCCTTCCTAAATTAATAAAATGTGAAAATAAAATGTTTTCAAAAATGAAATGTATTTCTGACACTGTGGCTGAAATAATAAAAAGATGGGAAATTAGATAAGGGAAAAAATTTCCAATTTCAGCAGTCCCAAGTCATACAATATTTGAAGACATGACCTGCCCGGGCAGCTGGGTCTGCAGAGGGCAGGGGAGTTCTGCAGACGATGCGTGCAAGAAGGCCCAAGGCTGGCCTGAGCCGCCAAGAGGAGTGGACTGTGTCTGAGTTTCTGGACACACAGTGAGTGGTGGACCTGCAAAGCCAAGGTCTTGAGCTCCAGACAAGGGGCTAGGAGGCCAGAGTGTGTTCCTGTGATTGACTAGGGGGGCTGTCACATCAACCCTCATTGCCTGCCTCCTCCACGTCCTCCCTCTGGCCGGGCTCCGGCCCCAACCCACTCTAGGCTGTCCTCTCTATGAACATTCTTACCCAACTTCCTTCCAGTTTCCCCCTTGTGGGGCGAGCATCCTGCACCCTCCCTTGTCTTCCCTGAGACCCCGACCACTCTCTCTGCACACCTGGGATGGGCCGCCCCCCGAAGGTGATGTTGACGTCATAGTCTCCAGGAGTGAAGGGGATGTACTCCACGGTGCAGCTACCATCCTTGTTGTCCTTGCAGGACATCTTGGCTTCCGAGGGACCCTCGATGGCTAGGCCAAGGCCCCCGGTGCCCGCTCCCCTGAGAGATAACATCCCCCCATCAGCTTCATAAGACCAGTGAGTGAGGATGAGGGAGTAGCTGAATGGGGGGACAGGGAGGAAAGAGGGCAGGCCGCTGGGGACCCAGCTGAGGAGAAACGAGCTACAGGGGCCAATCTGGGGTCCTGGAGGGGGTCTGCTCCTGCCTCACCCCTGAGAGAGGATGGGGTGGGGCTGAGGCCCAGGCAGAGGGATGAGCGAGGAGGGCCAGGGGCTGGGAAAGGGTGGTCACAGATTTAGGCTAGCAAAGGGGGAGGATACCTGGTCTCCACAGTGAATCGGTTGGCCTTGTTGACCAAGCCACCCTCCAGGCCTGGCCCGAAGGCTCGGACGCGGGTGGGATCACAGCCCTCGGTCACGCCCACTCGGAAGGGGCTCTTGGGCACAGCGACCTCATCATACAGGACCTCCACCAGATGCACGCCTGGAAGCCAGCCACAGGGGCATCAATCAGGGAGTGTGCGCCCCCACCACCCCTCCTGCCCCGAGGGCAATATCATCAGATCCCGGCCCTGCCCACTTGCCCAGCCCTGCCCACTAGCCTGGCCCACCGGCCCTCACCCTCCTCGTAGGCGGTGTACTGCACTCGGTAGGTGCCGTCCCCATTGTCTGTCACATAGGTGTCTGTCTTGGCCCCCGAGGGGTTGAGCACACGAGCCGTCACGTGGTTGCCGCCTGTGGCTGTTAGGGATCTTGCATCCACAGTGAACTCAGTGGTCACCTCCCGCAGGACACCTGGAGCCCAGGGGTGGCGTGTTCAGCAGGGGTGGGGGCAGCCTTCACACAGATGCTCCCTCTCCTCTCCCCCTCCTTTCCCTCTCCTCTCCCTCTCCTCTTCCCCTCCTCTTCCCCTCCTCTCACCCTCCTCTCCCCCTCCTCTCCCACTCCCCAACTCCCAGGCTGCTCCTCTAATCGGAGCCTGGGCCCCACACCCTCCCCTGCACCTCTGTGAGCTCCAGCCTCTGCCTTCACTCCCTTCTCCATGTAGTGACATTCTCTGTTCACTTGAGTCACCCACCAGGCTGTGGGCCTGGGTCTTGCATCCCTCTGCCGTGGCCCATGCCTAGCCAGGGTCTGGCCCCTGGCAGATGGCCCATTCCCACTTACTGTCTTCTGACTCTTGTCATCCTCTACCCCAAAGCTTTCCCCGTGCCCCCGTCCAGAGCAGAGTTTTAGCTTTTTGGATCAGGGTACCCCTTAAGCACATGAAAGAAGAGATCTCTCCAGAAAAACGCCCAGAGGCAGGTGCAGTTTTGCCACAAGAGCAGAGGCCAATCTCCACCCCCGGTCTTCCCCTCCACTCCTTCTCTGGGGTTTCTGGGCCAGTAAGGACTCTGGGGCTGCTCCGAGAGCCCTCCCTTCACCCCAGGTTGCTCTTCCAGCTCTCAGCTCTTCTTCCCTCCCTCCCACGGACTACCCAGCTCCTGCACCTGCCACTTGACCTTTCTTGGCTCCTCCTGTCCACTCACCGTGTGGCTCAACACCAGGCCCTGAGACCTTGACGCCACTGGTATCGACCGCAGGCTGCACATGGACACGGGTGGGGAATTTGGGCACGGGATGCCCGCCATACTTGATGGTAATGGTGTAGGTGCCAGGGAAGGCAGGGCTGTAGGTGATGTGGTAGGTGCCATCCGCGTTGTTGTGGATCAGCACCTCGGCCTTGACCCCGGCATCCGACAGGATCTCAATGGTCAGCTCCGCCTCGCCTGCCTCTGAGCAGTCCACAGTGAAGGTGGCTGCCTCACCGACCTTGCCGCGCTCCAGGCCCGGTCCACTGGCCCGCACCTTGCTCGGGTCAAACACAGGCCGAATGGTGGCTTTGAAGGGCGAGCCAGGGATGTGGGCCTCAGCAAACAGGATGTTGATGGTGTACTCGCCAGGCTCCGTGGGCAGGTAGCTGACAGCACATGAGCCATCACCATTGTCCTGGCACTCGATCTTGGCCTCGCAGGGGCCCTCTACGGTCAGCCCCAGGCCACCTGTGCCAGCCCCCTTGGTGTCGATGGAGAATGGCGCGGGGGTGCCTACCAGTCCACCCTTGAGACCCGGGCCATAAGCACAGACCTAGGGGAAGAGGCAGGTTGTGGGTTCCCTGCACCTGGCCTCCTCATCCCAGCCTTCATGGCCCCCACCCAACTCATCACCTCCAACTGTGGCTGCTACTGTGGACTGAGTGCTTATAACAATCCCAGGTGATGACATTGAGGCAGCGAGATGAAGCAATTTGCCCCAGTTAGTGGACCTGGGATTCAAGCCCAGGTGTGACTCCAAGGCCAGGCTCTTAATAGCTAAGTTGTCTCCAAGGCAGGTGGTGGGGTGGGGCTGGCCTCAGCCCCACACCCTTGGCTGTGCCCACTCCAGGCACATAAGTCCCTCTGGCCTCTGCCCCCTATGACTCATCTATCTTCCCAACAAGTCCCCAACTCCCAGCCCCAACCAGCTCCTATCTCCTCACCTTGGAGGGATCAGGGGGCAGGACACCCTCCACAGCAAACGGGCTGCCAGGCACCGGGTGACCATCGTAGGTGATATCCACCTTGTAGGGCCCCTCCTCCGGGGGCATGTAGCGCACAGCCTGGGCTTCCGCTCCACCGCCTGGCTCCAGCTTGCAGGGGATGGGCCGGCGAGAGGGCGAAGTCATCCGCACATCCAGTTGGCCCTGACCGCCAGCCCCTCGTGTGTTCACAGAGAATGCTTGTTCCTGTCCCACAGCCACCTCTGCGTGGAGGGCAAGTGACACCATGAGGAGACTCCGGTCCACCCTACCCGAATACCCCTCACTCCCAGGGTGGCTCTTGCCCCACTTACTGCTATTAAGGCCCTGAACTTTGATTTTGCTGAGGTCCAGCGGGGGTGCCACATTCACCACAAAGGGGCTCTTGGGGACAGGGTCCCCGCCATAAGTCACTGTCACTGCCATGTTGCCCTGTTGGGTACAATGGTAGGTCAGAACTGGATATAAGGCAAGGTCCTACAACATCCTGGTGGTGAATATGGGCTCTGAAGCTCAGATCCACCATGAGAGTGAGGGCAGGAGGCAGGAAAGGCGTGGAGGATCCAGAACTGGTCCCATGGGACTGGAGGAGGGAGACCCAGGGCTCTGGCGGGCCGGCCGGGCGGTAGCATGGGAGGGGCAGAGCGCACCTGCTGGACAGCGGTGTACTTGACAGTGTAGGAGTAGTCATGGTTGTCTATGATCTCAAAGTCCCGCACAACCTCGCCCTTGGCTGTCCCTGCAAACTGCACATCCAGCTTGGCCTTGCCGGCTCCCTTGGTCAGCACCGTGAAGTGGGTGGGCTTCCCGACTTCCACACCTGAGGACCCACCCAGAGATGTGGTGAGGGCCTGGCAGCCACCTAACCCCAACCTCGAGCCAGTCCCAGCCCCTGCCCAGACACTCACCTGTGCGATTCAGCCCAGGGCCCTCGGCCTTGACTTTGCTGGCATCGTGGGATGGGTCCACCTTGATGTGGAAGGGGCTGGCGGGGATCTCCTGGATGTGGAGGAGGCTCAGTCAGGGCTCTCGAGGGGAACACACCCCTGCTCTCAGCTAGATGCTGGCTCAGGACACACCCAGGGGACCCAGCATGGACAGGGGCAGCCTCCAAAAGGGCCCCCTTTGCTTCCTCTGAGGCACCCTGCCTCACACAGGTAGGGCTCCACCATGTCTGCGGAATCATCCCTCCCTGTTCCCAGTGACAGCATCTCCAGCTGCCTTCTGGAGCTGGCAGGTGCATGTCGCTGTGAGTACCCAGGAGCTTAGGTACCTGGTTGGCAAACAGCACCATGATGGTGTAGCGGCCCGCCCCTGGTGGCGTGTACTTGACGGTGAAGGTGTCGTTGTCATTCTTGATGATGTCGAAGTCAATGTCAGCCTCTGCAGGGCCCACCACGCCTGGGGCGCACTTGATGCCGATGCTCACGTCGCCTGCAGAGAAGCGGGCACTGCTGTGAGTTGGGCTCAGCCCCCGACTCGACTCACCCCCGCCCCCTCCCAGACCCACCCCTTCCGGCTGGGCGCACCTTGCCCCGCCTCGCTGCAGTCCACCGTGAAGTAGGTGGGCTCATTGGCCTTGAGGCCTGTCTTCTCCACTCCGGGGCCGTACACCTTTACCCGCTCGGGGTGGCTGCCCTCGCCCACGTTCACCTGCGGGAGGGGTCGCAGCTCAGCGTGGTGCCCTCCCTCAAGGCTCATCCTCCTGCCCAGCGCACCCGGCCCAGCCTCAGTGGCACCAGCCCAAGCCTCAGTCCCAGCCTGAGCCCAGGGACAACAGGGACTCCAGCGAGGGTTCCGCCCTCCCTCAGGGACCCCTGGTGGTGGGCACGGGGCAGGCCGGGAGGACGCACCCGGAAGGGGCTCTTGGGCACGTTTACGCCTCCCCAGGAGATGATGATGGTGTGCTTAATGGGCTTGGTGGGCACGTAGGAGCAGCGGAAGGTGCCGTCGCCGTTGGGGATCACCTTGATGTCGATGGGACAGCCGTCGGCGTCCTGTGGGCATCACCCAAGCAAAGTTCATAGCTGTGGCCTCTGCAGAGCGCCCTCTGCTGGCCGCAGGTGAACCCAGCGCCTCCTTTCCCACCCCCAACACTGGCACTCCCGCCCCCACACCAGCCACTGAGGCCACCAGAGCCCAGGGCCACGTGCTCTGGCGGCCAGAGCCCACCCTGGGAGCCTGACTCAAGGCCATCTGTATGGCTTGCTCTCCCAGCCTAGGTTTCCTCAACTCTGAAATGTGTTGGACAGGAAGAGTGTGGGCTAAATTTATGTTCCTAAAACTGAATCATGAGCCTTTCAAAGAAGAATCACCCTCTTAGATCCTCAAGAATATGTTCATTAACCTCTAGGGGTCAATGGACACCAGTCTGAGAAACTGACTTGGGAAACCAGTGTCTTATTCAATGAAACAATCTTTCAATTACAAATTAGCACAAAAATGACTCTTTGGTAAAATACGTTTTTAGGTTATCATCGTTAAGAAAACACAAAATTTAAAATTTTCCATGGTACTGATGGGCCCATGAGTATCAGTCCTGCCTGATCTTCTGTGATGCTGTCATTTCCTGCTGGGAGGCCTCTGCCTCTGGCCTGGCCCTGCCTTCCAGGGTCCCTGCCATGGGTAGTAAGGGCAGCAGAGACTGGACAATGACCTACCTGGGCATAGAGCTTCAGGTCTCCCTTGCCAGCTGCACGAGCATCAATGGTGAACTCAGCGGGCTTGTCCACGATGCAGCCGGTAGGCTCCAGGCCAGGCCCAAAGGCCTTCACCTGTGCGGAGGGAAGAAGGCTGAGTTGGGGAGGGGAGGAGAACCAGCTTGCCCCACCCCCGGGGCAGGTGTGTGTGAGCTGGGACCACACCTTATCTGGGAAGCAGTCAGGTGGGGCGGGCAGGATGTGGGCAATGAAGGGTGAGTCTCGGATGTCCTCATCGTCACAGATGACGTGCACAGCGTACTCCCCAGGCTCCGTGGGCCAGTACCGCACATCGCAGGAGCCATCCCCCTTGTCGTCACATTCGATCTTGGCTTGTGAGGGCCCCTCGATGGAGAAGCCTGGGGCAAGGTGGGGGAGGGTCGGGGATCCAGCATCAGGCAAGACCCTTCCGTCCCCCAGCTCCCCTCTAGCTGCCCTCATGTCCTATCTCCCTGCTCACCCCAGCGCTCCCCAGCATGCGCACTGCACCCATTACCCACAGTGTCCCCTGCTGCCCTCCCCCGCAGCACTCCCTCCTCCTGCCCCCCAGCCACTTACCCAGTGTCCCCACCTCGGTGCCAATGGCTTCCACCACAAAATCGGCTGACTTGCCCACCTGGCCAGTCTCCAAACCAGGACCCCAGGCCCGGACCTTTTGCACTCCTGCCTCTGGGCTCACCTGTACCTCAAAGGGGCTGGGCAGAGAGGGAGCTGGTGTCCATGCCAGGAAGTGCCCCCCAAAGTCCCTCGCAGCCCAAACTCCATCTCCCCTCAAACTCCCTCGCAGCCCAGTGCCCCTCGTCCCTCCCTGTGATGGCCTAGACAGGACAGCATGGGGGGCGCAAGGTACTCACCTGCGAGGGATGGCGTAGCCGCCCCACGTGATGGTCACCACATACTTCCCAGGCACCACCGGGTAGTACTCGCACTCGAACACACCATCCCCAGCCTCCCGCACCTTCACTGGCTCCTCTGTGCCCTCTGAGGAGATGGGGGCAGGGTGGGGAAGAAGGCAGATCAATATCCTTGAAGTCCCAGCTCCTCAATCCCCTCAAGGAGCCATTGGGACCCCGACCCAGCCCGAGGGCAGTGCTGTAGTGAGCAGTGCTGCAACTCAGGGCAGGGAACACTTGTCATCCCTGTGCATAACACCCCGTATAGCACTTAGGGTGGAGAGAATCATTCCTGGCTTGTAGACCAAGAAACTGAGGCAGAGAGGAGACAATGAGCCTGAGATTCTGGGGTGCCTCTGGTCACTGTGGAGCTGTGGTGCTGGCTGTCACTGCCCTCTGGGAGTCAGAACCACTGGCCATACTTCCCTTATGATCCCCCAGCCCCACCCTCACGACCCTGGGCTCTGGCACTCACTTGGCCCCTTGACCGTGACCTTGAGCTCCCCGCTGCCGGCACCCTTGGTAAACACCTTGAAGTCAGCCACCTCTTTCACGCGAACACCCTTGGGCTGCAGGCCTCGCCCAGAGGCGCGGCAGGCGTTGGGGTTACAGGCTAGGGGAGGAAGAGAAAGGAGGTTGGGGGTGCTGAGGGGCCTTGGACCACTAGCCCCCACCTCCCTGTGCACAGTCCTTCTAACCCCTCCCAGGCACAGGCAGTGGCCCACGGCCCTGCTCTGGAGCCCTTTGTGTCCCCAGCACAACCGGGGCTGCCGGGCTGGAGCTGGCTACAGGCCCCAGATCAGGCAGGTTACAAGAAAGTTTCCGAGCCAGTGCCACTGGGGAAATGCATGGCAGAGCCTGGGCTGAGAGTGGGCTCAGAGAGACAGGGAAGGCCCCTTTACCCAGCCCAAGGCCATCCATCTAGAGCCCTCTGGGCCTCTCAGGGCACCAAAGCAACCTTAGGATCTAAGTCATGCCACAAAACATCCAGCAATGCCACAGAACAAGGGCTACTTCATAGAACTCGAAGCCTGCCATACAACACAGGCAACGTGTGGACATCAGCCTACCACAGACCGTGGCCAGTGGCAATGAGCCCAGGCCTTGCTATGGAACACAGGCAAAGGAATGGGAATCTCAGCCTGCCACAGAATCCAGAAAAATGGCATGGGACCCACAGGTGCTACGAAACAGGACACGACACATATTCCAGGACTACCATGACCATAGGCGATGGCACTGCCCAAGGGGTACCACGGAACACAGGCAATGGCTCAGAGCCCAGATTTCATCATAGAAATCACCAGGCAAGTGGCAAAGACACTAGACCTGCCACAGAACACAGACAACGGCATGGAACCTGGGGCCTGCCACAGAATGCCAAGGAAGGGGGGGCGATTCCACACGGCCCGGGCCATGCCACACAGCACAGGTGAGGCCAGTCAGCTGCGGCCATGCCTGGCCCCGCCTCCACTGGAGAGCATTAATGTGGCATCACTCTCGGCCTGGTGGACGATGGGCACTGAGTGCAGGGAGAGAACAAGTGGGGCAGTCACCACCTGAGGGCTTGGCATGCAGGCAGTACTCCCTAGATATGCCCCCACCCATACAGCCCCGTCACTTCCGCTCAGCCCTCCCAGGGTGGCACATGTTCTGGGACCCTTCACTGTGGCCTCCCAGCTGTGCTCTTAGGAACTCCAGCCACCTTGGGGGTGGGATGGAGGACTCAGGGAGGGGGTCTCTGCAGACCCCCGCCCCAGCTCTTCCTCCTGCCCCTTGCAAGCCTCTGGCTTTGGTAAGGGCTACCGTGGGGAGCAGTGAAGGGCCCTTACCTTCCGACACATGGACAGGGAAGGGACTGCGGGTGATGGGGGCACCCGCAAAGGCCACATGCACGGTATGTGGCCCCTCCATGGCAGGTCTGTATGTGCAGCGGAACGTGCTGTCACCCTTGTCCTCCAGGGCCACCTCCACTGTGTCCCGCCGGCCCTGTGGGTCCACGATCACCACAGCAACATCGCCAGTGCCGGCCCCTGCCGAAAACAGAGGCTGTCAGCACCACTCTGGACACACACAGCTGCCCCGGTGCCCTCACCCTGAGGCTGCCCACCCTCTGGCTGGCATCCCTGTCCCAGCCTCCCCCCACCCCCACACAGCCCCACATGGTCAGGGGCTTTCCACCTGCACCCCCTGGGGCCCGTCCTACCCGCAGTGTAGATGTCAAAGTAGGTGGGTTTGTTGGCCACATTGCCCACAGGTTCCAGGCCAGGGCCACGGGCTGACACCTTGTTGGCATCTCCCAGGGCCATGCCCACGTTCACCTCAAAGGGACTGCGTTCAATGTTCTGGCCAGCAAAGAGCACGGTCACCTAGGGGTCAGAGGTCAAAGGTTAGCTTCTAGGGGAGAGCAGTCCTGAGAGGGGGCAGAGGGGCACAGCCAGGCCAAGGAGGGTGAGAGGCGGGCAGCTGGGGCTCTGGGCAGGCGCGAGGTACAGGCTGAGAGAGGGGTCCATGCAGCCGGAACCAAGGATGTGAAGAGCAGCGCAGGCAGGGGGGCCTAGAGGGAGATACCTTGTGTAACCCAGCGACCTTGGGCACATAGGAGACAGCATAGGTGCGATCCTTGTCATTGTTGGGAACCACCTTAGCCTATTAGGAAGGAAAAAGATTGGAAGCCTCTCCAATGACCATAGCCCCTCCTGACCCCACAGTGCCTTATGCACCCCAGCCCCACTCAGCCCCCATGGTGACACCTTCCCCAGACTGCACAGCACAGTGTGTGGCTCTGGCAGTCACCTCCGGGCCATTCCTGTTGTTGGCCCCACGCTCTCTGGTTCCAATCCCAAGTGAATCCCTCTGTCCCCAGCGGCCTCTGCATACCTCCTCGGTGTGGCCTTCAGGGTCCTCGATGTAGACCAGCACCTCGCCCACGCCCGCGTCCACCGTCTGCACGGTGAAGTGGGCAGGCTGCAGCACGGTGTTGCCCTGTGGCTCGATGCCTACGGGGCAGGAGCAGAGCCCAGGTTACTCAGGGAGAGCCTACATGTGCCCAGCTGCCCAGGAGGGCCGCCAGGGGCTCACACATACCAGGCCCATAGGCGATGGCTTTCTTGGGGTTCAGCTGCTTGGATCGAACAGGGGCACCAGGTTTGAGCTTGGCCTTGGGGAACTGGGACAGGTAGGTCATAACAGAATGCTCATCCACGTTGGGGTCCACAATCTCCTCAGGGGCAATGACCTGCGATGGAAAGGAGTGATGTCACATGGCGCCCTCTTTTCCCAGCAGCCCCAGTCTCCCCCTGCACCCTGGCCAGGTAAACTTACAGACCCAACCTCTGCCCCTGCCCCCTTTCCCCCCTGCCCCATCTGCGCATGTACCTGGGGCACCCCAAGCCAGTCGTCGGCCTGCTGCATGGCCTCCCGGGCGTTCTCCACGGGCTGGTTGGGGTCCCAGGCCTCCCAGTCGGGGCAGAGACCTGGAGAGGTGATGGAGGGAGACGATGGTGAGGGGCAGCCAGCCGGCCAGGATGCAGGGCATTTGTTCACCCAACACCCTCAGAGGCTGTGGCTTTACACCCCTTCCCACCAGCTCTAGGCCTTGACCAGCCAGGTTCCTGCTGACCCCATCAGCTTCGAGGCCCCTCACCACGTAGGAGCAGGACAGCCCTCTCCACCACCAACAATGAAGCCTTTCTGCCCTGGCTGACGCAGCCTGGCACCAGCCCTGCTGGCCGGCCTCCTGCCTGCCCAGGCCCCAGCTCAGACCTTGAACCCCAAACCCTGGGAGGGTACCCCCTCTCGCTATCTCTTGCCTCATTCAGCTTTCTCAGGGGTGGGCAGAGGAGGTCAGAGTGCCTGTCCCACATATGCCCCTGACCCATCCCCCCTAGAAGGCCTCCTCACAGCTGCCCCGAAGCTCTAGAACTCCAAACGCTTTCCACACCAGTCTTAGGGTATGAGACTCCCTATTCCTTCTAACTGCTCACTTGGGGAAACTGAGGCATTAAAGGGCCTGTGAGGAGAGAATGACTTCTCCTCTGCAGCCCTCAGGAGCCCTGCCTTCCTAACAGGAAGGACGCTGAGGCAGCCCCAGATCACTCCTATGAACGGTGCAGGTGAAGGGGCGCTTGGTTTAGGCCAGAGCTGGAGGAGGGGGACGGCACACCGTTTCGGGGAGGGGGCCGGCTCAAGGCTGGAATCCATGACTGGCTGGAACAGCTGAGCTCACTGCTGGCAGCCACACCAGTTATGGGCCATGGCTCAGCAGCTGGGAATGCTTCCCAGGAGGCTGTGCCCCCGCCTCCCACCCTCTGCTCCCCGGCTGACCCCAGGGTGGAGGAGGATTCTCCCGAGGGGCTGTGACTCCTGGAGAAAACCTATCTTTTCAGGAGATGAGGGGCAGAAAGGGAGCTGTCCATGGGGTACGCTCTAGCCAGTGATGCCTCAGCTTTTTTCATGGCCCCTGAGCTGTCCCCACTTGACCAGGCCAGGACCTACACGGAGAAGGGGCAAGGCTGGCTCACCTGCCACCAGGCAGTGCCCCACTGGCCTCATCCCACATCATCCTGAGCCTCAACCCCTTCTCAAAGTCATCCCAGGGTCTCCCAGAGAAGAGCCTTCTCTGGATCTAACTCCTGGTCTTGCTACAAGTCCTGGTCACCACACTGCCTCTCTCTCAGCTCGGCAGGAATAGTGCCTCGTGGCACAGTAAAAAATTCATGGGGCAGGGAGTCCAGGCCCTGGGCTCTAGGTGGTTCTGCCACAGATAAGCTGTGTGATCTTGGATAAGTCACCAGCCCTCTCTGGGCCATAGTGTCCTTGTCTGTAAAATGAGGGGTTTTAAACCTCTTCCTGCCTCTGCGGAATCTGGCACACTCATCAGGTAGGGCCTGCCACCAGCCAGCGGAGAGCCACAGCTGGAGGAGGACAAACCCTGCAGGGGATCCTGGCCCCCAGGCCCCAGGGTGTGCATTCTGACAACCACACGCCTTGGCAGCCCCAGCTTGTCCCCTCTGTCTTTGGGAGCTAAGGGCTCCATGCTGTGCTCACTGGCCCACTCACCGGGGGCGCAGTTGTCCACCAGGGCGCCCAGAGCTTTGCCGTCCTGCCAGTCACGGTTGAAGTTGGTGATGGGCAGCTGGGGCACCTTGTTCTGGATCCAGCCAAGCAGCCGCTGCTTGGGCGTCTGTTTGCGGGCATCCTCATCATCTTCATCCTCCCACATGGGCATGGAGATGGAGTAGTGCAGGATCAGCGTCCAGATCAGGCCCAGGATCAGCTTCAGGTTCCCATCCACGATGGCCTTGCTGTCTGCAGAGGGGAGGGCACAGACGGGCTCAGGGGCGCCCCACCCTCCACTGCCCCAGAGCACCCTCCCTCACCTGCGCAGCTCCTCGGGCCAGAGCTCTGGGGTCAGGCCTCTAGTCTCTGCCTACCTGACCCTCTCCCTCCTGCGAGGCCCCACTCAGATGCCAAGTTCTTTATGGGGCCCTTCCGGTCAGAAGGCTGCTTCTCTGTGTTCCTGTGGTTCTGGAAGGTACCCTCACCTCAGCTACAGCAAGTGAGTCTGCCTCCTGTCTATGTAATTACCTGGTTTCTTTCTGGCCTTGTGGGATTGTAAGGCTCCCAGGGCAGAGCCTTTTTGTTTTGTTAACAGTTCTACTGAGCTATGATTGACATACAGCAAACTGCACATGCTAGAGAATGAAGTTTGAGAAGCTTTGACACTATGGATATATCACGAAGCCGTCACCACAGATGGAGAATAACGAAGGTACCATCCATCACTCCCCAAAGTTTCCTTGCACACACCCCTTTGTGAGCCCTCCCTCCTGCCGTCCTTGTCCCTCCATCCCAAGCAACAACTGATCTGCTCTCTGTCACGATAGATTACTTTGTATTTCCTAGAGTGTTATATAAATGGAATCACACAGTATATACTCTCTTTTTTTTTGGTCTGGTTTTTTTCACTCTAGACACTAGGTTTTATCTTTCTACAATGAAGGTCTTAAACATAGTAAGGTCTCAATAAATATTGGTTGAATGAATATTTTAAGAACTGAAATTGGAGTGGGGTAGGACAAGTTTCCACTCACACTCTACCCCGAATGCCAGAAAGGGCTTTAGAAACCAAGGGGTTCTGATAGTGGGGCAGGGGTGGGTGGGTGGGGTCCAGTACATTCTCAGTTAAGTCTTGAAAGTCATGTTGTCAAAGGCTGGGGGCCAGAGGGACTCCAGCCTCAGGAGCTGACACACTCCACCCATCACCTCCTTTGAGGAATCCTTTGAGCCAGAACTGGTTCCTCAAGATTTGGGGGGGGGGGGCGCCTAGATCCCCCTTAACAATCAGAAAGAAATATCCAGAAGCCTGGGGTGGCCTAGCATGTAGATAGATCTTTGGAATTCAGCTTACTTGTAAAGGGCAATGAAGTTCTGAAATCTATCAGCTTCCCAAAGCACTGCTTTCAGGAGGCTGGAAGGGGGTGGAAGACAGTCTTGTTTACTGATGTTGCCCGAGAGATGGGAGAGGGTGGAGTGGAGCCTTCCCCTTACACATCTTCTCCCCTCCACCCTTCCCCAGGTCTTGGGGAAAGTGTTAGGAGACCGAGAGCCTGGGAAATCCAGGGCATCCCCTGCCCCACTCCCACCTGCCCCGGGAGGGGTGCCTCAGTCTCCCTGTCCCTCTGGCTGGGGCTCTGGCCGCCTGGGCTCCCCCACCCTGTCACTGATTCATCCTTCCTTCCCCAGCAGCTCCCCAGCCCACCCCCTTCCCCTGGCTCCACTGCAGCACAATGGTTTGGCAGCTTTCAGATTCCATGACACACTCACTCCCTGCCTCCCGGTGCTTTCTCTCAAACACACAGGCTCCAACACTTTCACACAGTCTGGATGCCCCAGTGCCCCCAGCCTCTCACAACCCCGACAGCCTCCAAAGCTCACACGCCCAGAAGTACTTCTTGCAAACTGGAGCCAGACCCCTGGGCAGGAAGCCTTGAGGCTGCAGGGGTTGGGGGGGGCGGTGTGTATATGGGGAGGGTGGTCATTCATATTTGCTGGAGAGGGAAGTTTCTCCCCAGCAACTGGCCCTGGGCCAGACAGCAAGTGGTCCAGGCTTGGGGCAGGAGAAGGGCAGTGGGGCCCCAAGTCCCACTCTGGAAGCAATGACCTCCCTCTCCCTCCTCCCTCTCGGAGGCCAGGCAGAGGAGAGGAGCTCAGCGCCACCAGGGCTCACCAAGCCACTTCTCCATCTGCCTAGGGATACCCCCAAAGGAGTGGGAGGAGCCAGACAGCTAGTTCCCGAGGCCACCCCAGGCCTCAAATGGAGGGGGAGGAGAGGGCTGGGCCTAGGGAGGTGCTGGGACAGCTGCTGCCCCCTCCCGCCCCTCCCTTGGTTGTTGGCTCCAGGAGAAGGAATAGCAACTGGGGAACAGCTGCGAGACAGAGCTGCCTCATAGGCCTCTTTGTTCGGAGGGAACGAGGGGCAACGGGGGGCCAGGACAAGGTGGTGAGGATATGAAGGGCACAGCTCCTTTAACCTGGGCTCAGTGCCCCTTCTTCAGGTGGGCTTGGATCCCAGCTGCTACTCCAGACCCTGACTTCCCTCCTGGAAAGAGAAGTGGGGAGTCTTTCTGACACCCCCTGAGGTGCCCAGATGCTCGATTTCGGTGCTGAGACAATACTCAGAAGGTGGCCCCATGGATAGCCCCTTTCCACCACTAAATGGAGTAGGGGAGCTAGCAGAAGCAGGATGCCCCTGCCTCGTGGGCAGCCCCTTTGAACCTCCTCATGGTGGGGCGCCCCAGCTGGTCGCTGCCGGTGTCCCCTCCCCTCCAGCCTCAGCCTGGGGCCGGCAGCTGAATTGCTGACAGCTTATCTCATCAGCGCCAGTGAGCCACTTGGCCCAAATGGGGACTGCCTCCCCTTCCTCCCAGCGGGAACCAGGGAGCTTCCCTCCCACCCTCAAACCAGCTTTTGCTTCTTCCCCTCTGCTCTGAGCCAGCCCCTCCTCTGCTGAGCCAAGGGGGCTGGAGCCAGGCACCGCCACGGGGGAGGGGAGAGGTGTGCTCAGGAAGGACGAGGCCTGGAGAGGGGCCGAGAGCCCCCGCAGACTGGAGGGGAGGGGAAGGCTGAGCGGTTTCCTATATGTCTTGCCGAAGCCTCCGGCTCTTCCCCCAGACCCCACCTGGTACAGTCAGTCCTGCCTTTCAAAACCCAGCCTGCTGAGGATGCCGGCCCAGGACTGACTCCTCTCTGACCCCTCAGCCTCCATCACGTAGCCCTCAGTCTCACTACACACTCCAGGCTCCCTCCCCCACCCCCTGCCCTCAGCCTTGTCCTTCTGGAAAGCTCAGAGACATCTGCTGTGTCACGGAGGCAGGGCTATTTCCAGGACAGGGCAGGCGGGTGGGGTGGGGGGGCAGTATTGGGGCAGGAGGGGGTAAGGGCTAGGGAGGGGACTGGACGGGGCAAAGGGCCCTGGGCTGACCTCAGCTGCTATATCAGGAGGCCTAGAGATGGCCCCAAGGGAGAGTGGGGCTGACAGACATCAAGTCATCTGGAGAAATCTCAGGGAACATCCTGTGTGGGGCCCACCTGGCCCCACATGAAACTCCCCTCCTGGGGCCGTGGGGTGCACCGTCCAAGGACCTCGTCCTGCAAATCCCAGCAGGGTTCTTAAGAGCTCTCCACAGGGGTGGGCGGGGGGATCTTCCCCAGGCCCCCAGCCTCAGGGATGACTGCAGGACTCTGAGGGCAGGACAGCCTCCTGCCACTCCAAGCCCACCCTTGGCGTCTCTGCTCCCAAGACTAGAGTGCCTCCCCGCCCCCACCCTGCACTACACACCTTCCAAATCTGGTTACACTCAAAGACTTCCTCCCTTCCACAGGCCTTTCCCTCCCTCCCCGCAGCCCAGACCGTTAGCTGCAGCCAATCCCGCGGTAGGGGGTGGGCTGGGGCAGGGCCTGGACTTGCGGAAGCCCCCTCCACCGCAGGCTGAAGCAGGAGGAGGACAGACAGGGGTTAAGTCTCCCCGCGCTCGCTCAGTGCCTTTTTAGGTTTCTGAGGCTGGGCCCTGCCTGTCCTGGCCCCCGGGCCTGAACCCAGCTGCTGAGCACATGCACGAAGAGGGCCTCCCGCGCCAGCTCCCCTCGGCCCCAGAGCCCGCAGACGCGGGCAGTGGTTGGGGACCTGTCTTCAGCCCTCTCCCAGCCCGCGGAGGGGCTGTGAAGCTGGGAAGCCACTTGTTTTGTTGGGGGCGGGGAGATGCCCCCAGGAATCAGTGACAGGCACTGGTTCTGTCCTCCCGAGTGTGGGCTAGGGTTGCCCGATGGAAGGAAAGGGAACGGTGAGCCGAGGCGGGAGGTGGGAATGTGCATGGGGAGGCGGCAGCTGGAGGGCTCGCAAACCCTAAGGCCTGGACTCCCCGGGGCACCCAGGGAGTGCTCGCTGTCCCCAGAGGGGTGTGCAGGCAGTGCCCATGGCCCTTGTCGATGGGTGGGAGGGCCGGGGCCAGGGTCTTCTCTCTATACCGGGGGGTGCCCTCCGCCCTGTCTCTCAGCTCCCCGCGCGCCCACCCCGCACCTGTGCCCCTGCCCCATGGGACGACCCTATCCCCGCAGCGCCCGTGCCCTCGCCCCCGGCACTGACCTATGGACACGAGCTTGATGTGCTCGCGCTCGAGGAACTCGAGGGCCACGGACACGTTCTCCAGCTTCATTTGGCGGAAGTTGGGGCGCGGATGGAACTTGCGGTACATGCGCTTCTGGCTGAGCACCTCGAGCAGCGCGATGAGCCGGAGCCCGTCGCTGAGGTCGCGCTGCAGGTCGGTCAGGCGCTTGCCCACGCACTTGAGGTGCTCATTGCACCAGCGCGTGAATGTGTTCTGCTGGATCTTCTTCCACGGCGCGTCCTCCGCCAGGTCCTTCTCCGTGGACGGCATCTCGTCTGTCTCATCGCCCAGGCCGAGGCCGGCGTCTGAGTAGCCGCTGTTGTTCATCATGCTGGCGCGGGCTGGGGGTGCGGCCGGGGCTAGGGCCGCGGTTTGGGCTATCGGGGGCTGTCGGGCGCTGTTGGGGCGCGACCACGGGACTCGCTGCGCTGCGCTGCTCTCCTCTCCAACTTCTCTCGCGCCGGGGCTGGCGGGGCTCGGCGAGGCTCGGCGGGCCTCCTAGGCGCTCGGCCGCTCTCTGGCTCTCTCTCCCTCCAGGGCCGGAGCGGTGCTCGGGAAGGGCGGGCTGGGCCGGGGCGGGGGGTTTAAGAAGCCCCCGGACCGCCGCCCCCCCGCCGCGCCCGCGGCCCCCGGGTCCACGTCAGAGCGCCGGCCTCCCAGGAATGCCGCCCGGCCCGCGGGTGGGGGCCGCGCCGCACAGGACGCCCCGCCCCCGCCGCCCCTCCCCCGCGCCGCCCGGGCGGCGGGACGGGGTTGAGGGCGCCCACCCCCTGGGCCCCCGGTGCCGCCGCGCTGGAAGGTGGCGGGGAGGGCCGACAGTTCTCCATCCACACCCAACACACCAAACTGTCAGGAATGAAATATGCTCCCTCCACACCCCGCACGGGCTGAAGAGGTAAATGGGGAAACTGAGGCCAGTGATTAGGGCAAAACCCACTGATCTGGTGTTCACAGAATTTTCTAGACTAGTTGGTGGCAGGCTGTTGACAGGGCCTGCGAGGGCTGGCTCCTAGCCCAGGGCATTGTCCACCTGTGGACAGGGAAGGGAAGTGTGTGTGCTTGTGCAGAGACGGCCTGAGAGGAAGCAGGGACCTTGCCCGGGCCAATGAAGGAGAAGCCTGCGGGGGGGCGGGGGGTTGTGTGTGCCTCCCAGCCATTGCTTGACTTTACAGATAGAAAAGCCTCATGTAGGGCCCAAATCCAGAGGCCCAGGAGTAAGACCGGGGCCCCTGCCCCTGACTCAGTGTCCCTGTCACCAGCCCGTTTGGCCTCATCGCCTCGGTATGAAGCTGAGCTCAGGAAAAGGGTACCCAGTGACTCACACTGTGTATCCCCCTCCCCCAAGTCTGACTCAACTGAGATGATAAGAGGGGAAGGAGAGACTCTTCCCCCATAGTGCCAGGGAGCCCCCTGGGCAACATGCCCATTTGGGCCACAGGGCAGATCCTGCCAGGGAAAGGGTGGGTCAGCCAGGCAGAAACAGGGAGAGCCCCAGCCAGAGCAGCCAGGGGGAAATGTGACCAGGTGGGTAGGCAGGACCAGGGGCAGAGTGGTCAGGGAGAGCCTAAGGGAGCCAGCTGGGATGCCCAGGCAAAGCTGCACTCAGGGCAAGCCAAAGGCTGCAGGCCTGGGGAATAGAACAGCAGGGAAACCGAGGCACCCAAACAGACTCTGGCCTGGGGTGAGGAGAAAGAGCTAGAGAACGTATTTCTTTTTCTTTTTTCTTTTTTTTTTTTTTTTTTTTTTGAGATGGAGTTTTGCTCTTGTTACCCAGGCTGGAGTGCAATGGCATGATCTCTGCTCACCGCAACCTCTGTCTCCCAGGTTCAAGCAATTCTCCTGCCTTAGCCTCCCAAATAGCTGGGATTACAGGCATGCACCACCACGCCCAGCTAATTTTGTATTTTTAGTAGAAACGGGGTTTCTCCATGTTGGTCAGGCTGGTCTCGAACTCCCGACCTCAGGTGATCTGCACGCCTCAGCCTCCCAAAGTGCTGGGATTACAGGCGTGAGCCACCGTGCTGGGCCTAGAGAATGTATTTCTATAAGGAGAGGATCCATTCTGCAACTTTGTAACATACGTGCAGCCATATCTCCCAGTTCCCCCTTTTTCAAGCCATGTGTCTTCAGCTTTCCCATCCTTCTAGACCTAGTAAGTCTAGCTGAGCTGGCTAGGAGGCCATATCTGAGCCTGAGAAGTTTCTTTAAGCCAGGGAAGGTTCTGGGCCCTTTTAGATGAATCATTATATCTAATTCCTCTTCTACCCCTAGACCTGGTGTAAAAGAAGGGATAGTGAGCATCTTTGGGGGCTCTTTCCCCCAAGGGCCAATGAGGGCACCCCCTGTTACGGAGCTGAGGAAAAAGTGTCAGGGTTCTGTGGGGGCAATGCTTATGATGACAGGGGTCTATGAATGAAATTGCCTGGTCCTTAGGTAGGGAGGGGGAGGAGTAGAGAAGGGACCAGAAAGAGCAAAAGGACCTGCTGTGTGTGGCTGGAGGTGGGGGGAGCTGTGGGGACCCTGATAGTGACAGGCGAGGTATAAATAGCCTGGGCCCTGCGGCTCATGTTCTGTCGGCTGCCTGTGACGAGGTGCTCAGGAATTCCACTCTCCTATTGGCAACCCCTTCTCCCTATCTCTAGAACTCTCATTCTCCCCAAGCCACCTTCAACTCATGGCTAAATCCACCCATCAGGCACCCGTGCTGTCCATACACTTGAGAGGCTGAGCTCTGCTGTGGAGAGAGGCCCCGCTCCTAGGACACGCAGCTGGGCCTCACAAGGGAACTGTGTATGTACAAAGGCCGACTTCTGACAGCCAACCTGATGTGCCAAGGGCTCAGGGTTCAGCAGTGCTGCCTCTGAATCCCTGGTGAGTAAACTGAGACACAGATCTGAGAAAGGATGCATTCCTCTTTGAGCTGCTGGGGAGGAGAAAGGGTTAAGGTGAGGTAGCTCGGAGCTGACAGCCCCTTTACAGACCCTAATGGTCCACAGTCCTGTTTTGCAGGCATTATCTGAGGTCCCCCAGCCAGCTGAGCGCCTCTGTTCAGGTGGAGAGGCCGGAGGAAGCCAGGGAGGGGAGAAGGAACTCCCAGCGTAGCTTCCCTTGCTTTCCCTCTGACTCAAGAGCTCGCTCCAGGGGAGGTCAGTGTGCGGGTCCCAGGGGATCAAGTGAATGGTTGGCAGAGGAGAGGAGGGTACAGAGTGCCAAAGGATGATTCCCGTCACCCCCCGCAACCGTCCTCAGAAACCTGAGCCTGTTGCTCTCCAGGATAAATCGGGGCCTGACTCAGGCCCCAGCAGCCAGTGACACTCAGCCTGACCCAGGCGCGGGCTGGTGACTCAGCCCTCAATATAGCCCATGAGCCCAGGCCCTGGGCCTGGCCAGCCAGGCTGGAACAGACCGTGCACAATGCTGGGCCCGGCCTGCCAAGTAGGGCCCCCTCCCCGAGGAGCGCTGACATGCTCCTCCCCAAGCCAGGCAGGGGCACACAGGGGGTTACAAGGGGTTTCATCAGCTGAGTATCTGGGCAGTGCTGGCTGGGGCCACAGGCTGTTTATAGCCCCCTGACTCACCACCTGCTGACCTATCTCAGGAGACCAGGTTGCCTGGCTCTTCACCTGGTCCTGCCTCTGCCGTCAAGGGGCTCTGCTCATCAGCCACCAATACTGGCCATATTTATCTTGGGCTGAGCTGAATCCAAGTGAGCGGATACAATGAGCCATGTTTGAAAATCCTGTTTTTCTGGAACCAGGGACATTTCCACAGTCACCTGTGATGATACTGGGCTGGCCAGGTCATAACAGGCACTTTCAGTGATACTGATACTGACTGTGGCTCTGACCCAGGTTCCAGGGACAGTGTGGTAGAGTGGAATGATCCATGGGCTGAATTCCAGCCTCTCTACTTCTAGCTCTGCAACCTTGGGCAAGTAATGTAGCTCTTTTGGGCCTGTTTTCTCGTCTTTTTTTTTTTTTAATGTGTGAAAATGGAAGGAAATCACAAGAAAGATGATTAGCATGGTGCCTGGCATCTAATAGGTGATCCAAAACAATTAGTTTGCTTCCTCTGATTATCTTGGAGACTAAGGGGTTCTGGTGAGAGAGGCCTTCCCCTGCAGCTCTGTGTCCACACCTCCGTGGGGACCACTGCCTGGATCTCCAGGCTGTTCCCCTCTCCCCTTCCCTGCAACCCAACATTCCCTCTGCCACAATCAGAACCGGCAGTACCTGTCATCTTTAGAACCACCCACCCTGCCCCAAAAGCAGCTGGTCCTTGACAGGAGTGGCAGCGGGTGGCTGCTCTACCTCTTGGCCTGGGAAGGGAAACCAGACAGGGCTAGGCTGCAGGGAGCTCACAGAAAGGAGGCAGTTATGCAGAGGGCAGCAGCGGGGAGAGATGGAGGCTCCTGAAGGTGCTTTGAGTCCCTGGTTCTAGCACACCTAGGCCCAAGTGCACGCCTGCCTGTGGCTTCCAAGGCATACCCCTCCAGACTTAAGATCAATCCCTCCTGTCTTTTTTTTTTTTGGTATAAATTTAGAGGGTGCAAGTGCAGTTTTGATACATGGATATATTGCTTAGTGTGAAGTCTGGGCTTCTAGTGTAACATCACCCAAATAATGTACATTGTACCCATTAAGTAATTTCTCATCCCTCCCCTCGCCCCATGCCCCGACCGCCCCCCTACCCCTCGCCGCTCCAAAGTCTCCAATGTCCATCAGTTCACATTCTATGTCCCTGTGTGCACATTATACACATTCTTTAACTCCACATTTTTTTTTTAAAGACGGAGTCTTGCTCTGTCACCCAGGCTGGAGTGCAGTGGCACAATCTTGGCTCACTGCAACCTCCACCTCCTAGGTTCAAGCGATTCTCCTGCCTCAGCCTCCCGAGTAGCTAGGATTACAGGCACCTGCCACCACGCCCAGCTAATTTTTGTATTTTTAGTAGAGACGGGGTTTCCTCATGTTGACCAGGCTTGTCTTGAACTCCTGACCTTGTGATCCACCCACCTTGGCCTCTCAAAGTGCTGGGATTACAGGCGTGAACCACTGCGCCCGGCTTTAACTCCACTTATAAATGAGAATATCCTACTGCCTTTTTTTTAAGCTAGCTCAAGTGAATGTTTCACATTCAACAAAAAAGATTCCTCTTAAAAAAAAAAAGATTCCTCTTTAATACGCCTGGGTAACAGTGTATCATTAAGACAAGGAGACAGTCCAAACCAAATGAAGAGAATGGGATTCTAAAATGAACGGAGGGCCGGGTGCAGTGGCTCACACCTGTAATCCCAGCACTTTGGGAGGCCGAGGCGGGCGATTCACTTGAGCTCAGGAGTTTGGAGCAGCCTGGGCAACATGGCAAAACCCCATTTCTGCAAAAAATACAAAAATTAGCTGTGCGCGGTGGTGAGCACCTGTAGTCCCAGCTACTCTGGAAACTGAGGTGGGAGGATGGCTTGAGCCTGGAAGGTGGAGGTTGCAGTGAGCCGAAATTGCACGAGTGCACTCCAGCCTGGGCAACAAAGCCAGACCCTGTCTCAATCAATCAATCAATTAATCAATGAAATGAACAGAGAAGGACATGTCCTAAAGGGAGGGGTTTTGTAGTCTAAGCAAAAAAGTGGGAAAAGCAGGCCCACATTCCTGTCATTAGGCAGGGTCTAGGTTCAGGTCCCCTAGCTGGGGACCACCCTACTAGAACCTGACCTCTATCCTGGCTTGTAATTCCAGGTTAAATCAGTGATCTTTGCTGTCTTAGTCCATTTGGGCTGCTGTAACAAAACACTATAGACCGGGTGGCTTATAAACAACAAGAATTTATGTCTTACAATTCTGGAGGCTAGGAAGTCTGAGATCAAGATGCCTGCAGATTCCATGTCTGGCGAGGGGCCTACTCCCTCACAGATGGCTGTAGTTTGTTTTGTTTTGTTTTGTTTTGTTTTCTTTTTGAGATGGAGTTTCACTCTTGTTGCCCAGGCTAGAGTGCAATGGCATGATCTCGGCTCACCACAACCTCTGCCTCCCAGGTTCAAGCGATTCTCCTGCCTCAGTCTCCCGAGTAGCTGGGATTACAGGCATGTGCCACCACGCCCGGCTAATTTTTTGTATTTTTAGTAGAGATGGGGTTTCTCCATGTTGGTCAGGCTGGTCTCGAACTCCTGACCTCAGGTGATCCGCCCGCCTCGGCCTCCCAAAGTGCTGGCATTACAGGCATGAGCCACTGCGCCCGGCCTGGCTGTAGTCTTACTATAAACTTACGTGGCAGAAAGGGTGAGGGATCTCTCTGAAGTCTCTTTAATAAGGGCTCTGATCCCACTCCTGAGGCCTTTGGTCTCATGACCTAATCACCTCCCAAAGCCCCCCTCCTAATATTATCACTTTAGGGGTTAGGGTTTCAACATATGAATTTGCAGGATAGGGGGCAGACACAAACATGCTTACCATAGCATTTGGCTATAAGTCCTTTCCACCACCCATACCCATGTTCTTCAGTCAACTGGTGGCGGCAGTAAAGTGGGTAAATAGCAGTCTCACTATACTGAAAAGCAAGCAGCCAGTGGCACCAGGTCAGTTGTGAAATAATTTCTTTAGGTTACAACTGAGAACATACAATCTAATATAATTGACTAGGGTGGTGCTTCTCAAATGTTACCGTGCATACGAATCAACTGGGCATCTTGTTGGAAATGCAGATTCTGCATCAGTAGGTCTGGGTTGGGGCCTGAGATCTGCCTTTCAAATAAGCTCCCGGGCAATGCTGATGCTGCAGATCTGTGGGTCACATGGACTAGCAAGAAGCTAGACCAGCCTAGGTCAGAACTGTCTTCAAAGAGGAGTCACTTAGAGCTGGGGTGCACAATCCCCAGGCCATGGACCGATACTGTCAGGAACTTGGCCACACAGCATTAGGTGAGTGGTGGCTAGGCAAGCATTACCACCTGAGCTCTGCCTCTTGTCAGATCAGTGGCAGCATTAGATTCTCATAAGGAGCAGGAACCCTATTGTGAACTGCGCATGTGAGGGATCTAGGTTGCACACTCCTTACGAGAATCTAGCTAATGCCTGATGCTCTGAGGTGGGACAGTTTCATCCCGAAACCATCCCCATCCCCTCTCCATCTGTGGAAAAATTGTCTTCCATGAAACCGGTCCCCGGTGCCAAAAAGGTTGGGGACCGCTGATTTAGACAAAGGCAAAAGAGGCATATGGCACTGTCCTCAGTTTGCCTAGTTGCAGTCACGTTTCTAGGAGGCTAGTCACAATTTCAGCACTAGCCCCATGTCTGCCAAAATGGACTTTTGATTCAGCCGTGTCACTTCTCTGGGCTGAATACAACTTGAAAATATCCTAATTCTAAATGTCCTTGCTACTCCCTGTAGGTAAGAGCTAGAGAAGGAAAGAATTCATTTAGCTTGGCAGTGCTACCACAGTATACACTCTGTACATGTGTTTCTTTGGATGTTTGATTGAATGGAACAAAGTCCTTTTGGGTGGGAGGGAGGAAGAAAGAGGGGTCCAAAGAAAGCCAGGAGTCATGGGGTCATTGTTTCCACTATGGTTTAAGAATATGCTTGGGGCTGGGCAATATGCCTCATGCCTGTAATCCCAGCACTTTGGGCAGGCTGAGGCAGGAGGATTGCTTGAGCCCAGGAATTTGAGACCAGCCTGGGCAAAATGGTGAAACTCTGTCTCTACAGAAAATATAAAAATTAGCTGGGCATGGTGGTGTATGCCTGTGGTCCCAGCTACTTGGGAGGCTGAAGTGGGAGGCACTTGAGCTCAGGAGGTGGAGGTTGCAGTGAGCCAAGATGGTGCCACTGCACTCCAGCCTGGGTGACAGAGTGAGACCCTGTCTCAAAAAAAAAAAAAGAAAAAGAAAAAAAGAAAGAAATAAAAAGAATACGCTTGGGGTCTTCTTTCGTAAGGAAACATTCATGATGATAAACTCCAATCACAAAGGTTCCACAGGAATGAAGGTAAACAGGAACACACATAAACTATCCTCATCATTCTACTTGTCCCAATTAGATCCATCTTCAGGCCTCTGTCCTGCTCTAAGCTCCAGGAGGCTGAGCTTGAAAGATTACATCACCTGGGCACCTCTGCGCTTTGTCTTCCCATTGAGTTCAGCTGATAAGGTACCAGTAGAATACTGGCAGGTGGGAGGAGAAGGTAGGGGAATATATATCCCACTTCCTCACGGCTCTGGCGGGGGCTGCACCCCATGTGGCTGCCACTCCTGCCTGGGGCCCATTTTCAGAGCTCCAGCTCTTGCTTCCTTTCCTTCCTGCTTCAGCCTGGGATGCTAACAGCTTTACACTGTTGCTAGTGCCTGGTACTTCACTATTTTTTGTTGCTTCTCCTAACTCTGCCTTTGGTACATAGTCTCTTCATTAAACTCTCTTCATGTAAAGCTTTGAGTGTGCCACCTGTTTACTGCCAGGACCCTGGCTGATTAAAGTCATCTCTGAGGGCGAATCCCTTGAGAAGTCACAAAGGCTAAGTCACGAAGGCACACACGTGGATCTTCTTAGGGCGGCCTTCTCATGTAGATAGGTGTGGGCACAGAACCTTAGGGGAGGTCTCCCCAGCCCTCAGTCACTCCATTTCTCCATGCTCAGGAGAGCACCTCAGGATGGGGTTAATAAGCACAGACTAACCCCTCTGTGAGTCAGTCGACAGCACAAGGGGCTAGCCTCATTTCTGAGGCCATCTGCAAGGTGAGAAGCCGCATTTAGGAGTCAGACCCTTATGTGAGGTACTTGGTTAAAGGGGGACTGCTCTGTTCTGGTTGTGTTGTGAGGCATTTAGCAAATAAAAATCCACAGTCTCATGTAATTCAGTTGATATTTAATTACAAGGAACTCAGGTTCTTACACAAGGCAGGAGATGGAAGTCAGCCGCTCCCCACAAGCCTTTTCAGCCTGGGTGACTGAGGCTGAGGAGATGGGGACACATGGAACATATGGGGAGGGTTCTGGCACAGTGTGTCCTGCCCAAAGCTGAGGGTGGTGGCCACTGGGGATCTGCCCTCGCGCTGGCCAAGGTCTGCCATCACTCCATGAGGCAGAACTCTGACTCCTGCTGTCGCATGTTGGGTAACACATACAGAGCCACAGCTGCAATAGCCAAGAATACCATAGGCTTCCACAACCCAAACATGTTCTGTGGGGACCAAAGAGAAACTGTGAGTGCCCAGCCTCCTGAACCCTGCCCTAAGCCAGAAGTCACCTGCCTATGGGTGCCCAAGACACCTCAGGAACATTGTGGATCAGTCTCTGTTACCTCCTGGGTAACCGGTGGAGGTAAGTGATCTCTCAGTCCTGGCACCACTAGACATGTGGCCCAACACTGTACGCACCACCTTAGGTGACCGCCTGTATTCAGGCCTCCGTTTCTCCCCATGGGCTGAGAATACTAGCTCCCATGTGAAGAAGCAGGCTCAGGGGCCAGACTTCCAAGTGGTTGCAATGAGAAAGGACTGGATGCCATGGCAAGAAAGAGGAGGGGAAATCTGGGGCTTTGAGAAAAGCAGCAGCACCTCATTAGTTTCACTGCAGTGAAGTGAACTCAGAGTCAAGAGGATGGGGAAGGGGGAATAAGGCTGAGGGGAAATGAAGAAAGTGCACCACGGAGTGCAGGTAAGTAGGAGGTTCTTAGGCAGACAAACTTTGACAGAGAATGACATTGGTTCAAGGAAATTTAAGGAAACCTGTCACTGGGCCTAGGTCATTAGAACACTCCTAATCACCAGGTATGTTGACTGACTTCCTGGTGCATGTGCTAGAGTATGCTGAGGCTTCCAGACACTGCCGGCCACTAGGGAACCCTGCTGATTCATGGGACAAGTGGCACCATCGAAGATATCCAAAAAGCATCCATTAGGTAATATGAAAATCTTAGACAAGAAAATACATACTTGGGGAAATAGGTTTTATTTTTATTACTTTTTTACTCTACTAACTGAAAGGTAGAATTTGGATTTTGAGTCATAAGCTATGGCATAGGTAACAGAAGGATGGTTTCAAGTAAAAATGGAATATAGCCCATTAATGCTAAGAACACATTTTCTCAGATGATAATTGATCTAAAAAGAGGACTTTAAGCCTGCTAAAGAGCAAAGAAAATCTCCTGAGCTTATAGAAATAGCTACTAAGAACAACAGAAGGTATGAAATGGAAAGCCAAGCAATGTTACAGGTGGATATACAGAGTAACTCATGTAAGAAAACCAAGAGATCCGGAGGCTGAGGGAGGAGGATCGCTTGAGACCGGGAGTTCAAAGTTACAGTGAGCCATGATCATGCCGCTGCACTCTAGCCTCGGTGACAGAGCGAGACCCTGTCTCTAAAACCAAAAACAAAAACTAAGAAGGGAGCTAGCTAGAAAAAAATATTTATATGCTCAGATGCCTCTATCCTAATGTGCATTGCTAAGAATGTTAGTCTGGTGTTCTTAAAGGAGGGAGGAGCTGAAATCCTTAAATGTGACCCGTGCACCTCACACTGGGCAAAGGCAAGCTTCTACATGGGATGGGGAAAGGGCTGGTGTGGGTGTCCCAAAGGGGAAGTCGTGTCAAACTCTCCTTTTAAACTAGGTGACCTAAGTGACAAATCACCGGAATCATGTTTTTGGACGTTGAGTTGTTTGACAGAATTTTCTATGATCTTTGCAGATAATATGCAGAAATAAGGGTAGGATGACAGTACAGTTTGTTGAATGGCAGGTAAGTGACCAATGAGCTGAATAAAAGAACCCCAAGAGACGACACTCTAGAGGCTCTGTCCTCACTCTGTCCTCTGTAGATGAAGACAGGGAAGGAGGGCTTGCCACCCCTGTAGATGATGTGAAGGTGGCAGAGGAAGTGAATATTTTAAAACCACAGGGTCAAGATTAAAAACACATACACACAAAACCTTATAAGGTAAGAACAATGAACTATAATAGGGAAGAATGGAAAATTCTGCCTTTGAAGCCTCAAAATCAAATGCAGGTACAGAATGGGGAGAGGACGCTTAGCATACACAATCTGCAGAGGGGCTTATAAAAAATACATGAAATAAATAAATAATATATTAGTTACCTAAAGAGCTAATGTGATCTGAGGTTGCCTAAACACAAGTATGGTGTCTTCCTACTTGGGACCAATGAAGAGAAACTGCTCAAAATGAGGAGAGACAATAAAGGGAAGCAAGACTGGAATCTTATTTGTTGCTAATATTGAGTCCTTATAATCTGACTCGCAGCTTCCTGGCTGTTTTACTTAACTTCTCTATGCCTTAGTTTAATCATATATAAAAAAAAATAGGAGTAGCTTCTTCATGGGGTTGTTGCAAGGATTAAATCAGTTAATATACGTAAGTGATTAGAACAGTGCCTGACACATAAGACTGCATTTTGTAAGTGCGTGCTCTTTTTATTAATGATGGGGTATTTTATAATTTATAGAATACTTTCATCTACTTCAACCCATCTGGTCCTGACAAAAACCTGTGAGGAGGGCAGAGGTTCGATCATCCTTTGCTTACATTTGAAGAAACTAGAGCTCAGAGTGTGCATTTTGCTCCCTGGGACAACGCCTGTCAGTAGAGACAGACTCAACCAAGTTCTTCTGACCGCCTGGCAGCCACGCTTTCTACCACACTGTGCTCCCTCAGGTCCTGGCTGCACAGGTGCATGTTGGGGCCTCCTGGAGCTCTGGGGATAACAGGCCCCACCAGGAGAACCCTTCACCAGCAGTTCTTCCTCTCCCTCTGATTGGGCCGGGCTGGGTCTGAGGTAGTGGAAGGCTGTGGCTGAACTCTTTGGGTTTCACCCGTAGTGCCTTAAGACTTCTGGGGGGTGACAGGGGAGAAACAGTCATAGAGAGGGGCCCCGTCACTAAAGCAGTTGTGGACCAGGGAGTAAAGGGAATACCTAAAGTCAAGAAGAAAAGTGGAGGCTTGAAGATGAGTAACAGGAAAGCTGGGGAGGGAGCAGGAGGAAGGACAGAAAAGGAAATGGAGAGAAGTGCCACCAACAAATCCTCCAGTTGCCACCCTGTGCATTAAGCTACATTCCGTTCACAGGAATGTGAGAAGAGAGGGGAGTGGAGGGGGAGGCAGGGAAAGCATGAGAGAGGAGCCAATGCAGGACTAGAGAGAATACCTTATGGGTTCCAGAAGGCAGGTGGAACCCCAGGCTTCTACCTTAGGCCGTAAGACCACATTCTGCCTCCTGAATTTGGTATCCTGTTGACAGTGTACATTACATGTGTGGGAGCTGACAGGAAAGTGGCCAGAATATATCAGTCTTGATTTCCTGAGAACACACATCTCTGGCTAGTAGAAACTTTTCACTAATACCTCATTCTCTCCAGAAAACCTAGCTGGGGAAGCCAATTACCATGGAATCTGGCCCACAAAATAGATAAATAGATAACTAATAAAATTTCCCGGCATTCTGTTCTGACTTTTCCGGAGACTGGAAGTCCAGAAGCAGAGAACTGTTCAGTAGAAAGAGCAGAATACAGTAGGGGTTCGGTTCCATTTCACCAAGCTTGATGGACCAGCTTAGGTTGCCCTCCTACCAATGCCCCTGGGAGGATCATGAGGATCAGAGCTCTTCAGAGCTCCTCTCTCTCCCAACAGAAGAGGGATTCCTTATTTTGCCATCTTGGGTAGCAACAGTAGTGAGAACTTGGCTCCGGAGTTAAACCAAGACAAAGAGAGTCCAGGCCAGCCTTGCAAATATCAGCTCATCAGAAGTGGTCAGGCTAGCCATCACACAGAGGATGAGCGGGGATAAAGAAGTAGTGAGGCAGCTTTGACAGCAGCAACCAAGCTGGGCTTATCCAAGTTTTTCCCAGCCAAGGATTGAAACAAACCATGTCTCTGGCAAGCATTCCAACCTCCTATGCATTACGAAGACATGCTCAGAGATGTCAGAGGCTTTGCAGTAGCCCAAGGAAAAGTCAGAACTAAAACTCAGACCTGAGCATCACCTATTATAAAATGGCACAAGCAAGAAGCAAGCAGCTGGGAGAAAAGGGAAAGAGGAGAGGCCAGGGCAACCTGCACCCTCCCTCTATCCCTCAGAAGGAGAGGAAGCAATACCAGTACCTGCATTAGGACGACGTCTCAGCCCACCAGCACCAGAGCAAAGCCGAGATGACCACCAGGCCTACAAGAGGCAAGGAGAAGATGGGGGGATTGGGGGTAGGGGATGACTGCAACACACCAAAATGAGAAAGAAGCACGAGGAGAGACCAGGAGATGTGAGACATAAACGCATGGATCCAACAGATAATGAAGATGAGAAAACAAAGGGAAAAGAGAAAGGAATCAAGAGGTTAAAAAACAGGTAAGCTAGAGCAGTTGCATGTCTTTTCTGCTGCCTGGGCCTTGGTTCTTTCCACCGGCAGTCTGCAGGAATTGCAAAATTGAATGGGTTAAGCAGCAGCTAGGTCCAAGTCAGGCGGTGAGTCCAGTTTTCTTTCTGTCTCGTCACATACCTCTCATATCCTGTCAAGCAGGAGGTATCTGCATCTAGACCTTTCTTGTGACTTTTCCTAGGTCACTCTAGGAAGAGCCAGTCTTCTACCAGGTCACCTGTCCCTTTGTTCTAGCCTGCTTTCCATTAAGTTTCTTAGTATTTTGGGCTCTGGTCCCTTAGATCCCCTAGGAATCTAATGATATCATTGTAAGACAACATGCACCGAAACAAACTGACAATGGAGAAGGGCTAGTTCTTTCACTGCAACAATCTTCCAGAGAGAAACCGATTTTGCAAGGTGGTAATACACATGCCCTAGAGCTGCCTGCAAAAGACGCAGGACCCACGGGGCAAAGGGATCTCTCCATATATAGAAACATAGAATATATTTGAAGTAGAAAAATCAGGTCTAGCTTTAGAAATGTGGCACCGAAGGTAAAGACATCTGTGAGGCTCTGAACCAGCACGTGGTGGAATATGATGAGCTCAAGGAAACATGATAGTGGGAGGGGCTGCAGTGGTTCCGACTTTCCACATCTTAGGTAATGGTCCCCTGGCACAAGGTAAGCAGAGCACTGCACACTGGATCCTTAGCCAGTGCTGAAGACCAAATTGCTGGAAATTCCAGATATCCTCAGAGTTGACTGGATAATCCCACCACAAGAGGCTTTTTTTCTTTACCTCTGTTTAGAACAGAAAGAACCTGTAATGTAAGCTGAGGACTTACACAGGAAATACTCTAACTCTGTAGGGACTCTGAGCCCTGAGTTAAGTCCAGGGCAAGAATTCAGTTGCTACATACCTGCAGAGACGTACCAGTTATTAAAATATGGAAGTACTTCTATATTGTTGGTAAGTTACCTCTGGCATTCTGGCATATATATCCCAGGATACCTCCACCCCAACCTCTCAATGATCTAGCAACTGAAGGGTTAAGGCTAGGGATGGTCTCCTTGGACTAGTCTATGCTCCTACTGTACAGATGTGAAATATTTTCACTATCACTCTTGATCACTTCCAGGCCCCACCTTCATGTCCTGTGATATACAGAATCCAGGGGGCAACATGAGCCTACAAAGAAGAGATTATCCCCTGACACACCCCTAACAGCAACAACAAAGGTTAAACCTAACAGGGCACCATAGGAAAACTGGACTGAGTGACTTGCCCAGACCGACAGAAATGGCCTGAAGTAGACTTCACACTGTCAATGTCCTTCCTGCAGTGCCAAAAGAGGGATGAGGGAACACTCCCGACATAAGGAAGGTAACAAAGGCTACTACGTAAATGAAAGGACTCCAGAGACCCCACGCTGGTTCCCAGAAAAGGTGGTCATTGTGAGGTGGTTCCACAGCAAACGGGGCTGAGCCCATGATTTCGTGCAGACAGACTGCTCTCATCTCCCACTTCTGCATCTCCACCTCCCCGAAGGGTTGTGCCTTAGAGCGCGAGGCCTCCACTCCTGGAGATATCCATCCTTGGCAGGGCCACCCATTAACTCGGAGTTATCTGAGCCCAAGACCCCACTTCCCACTTGATCTAGGCTTTGGCTCTGGTTACCTTTTTGCTCTCGGAAAGTCTGAGGGGGTTATTTTCTTCGGGACTTTCAAGGGAAGAGTCGGCGTCATCCTCCTCCTCTTCACTGTCTTCTTCCTTCTCCTCTTCCTCTTTGTCCTCTTCATTTTCCTCCTGATCTTCTGTGGATTTAGCTTCCTCAGGATCTGCTGGCTCAGCAACTAGCTCATCCCCACACTGCTCCTTTGCTTCCTCTTTCACTTGCTTTTTTTCCTCCTCCATCTCCTCTTTCTTTTCCTCCTCTTTTGCTAGTCCATCTAATTTCCTCTGGCTGGCCTTGTAGTACAGCACTACCTCCAGACTCTGTGGGGTGGGAGTAGGGCAGGATGGCGGCTGCGTTACCTGTGAAGCTCCTAATCTCATGACAATGCTGTACTAGCTCCAGGAAACATGACTTCCAGCATGTCAGAGTGCAAGGGTGTGGCCCGGTGCTCTGGGACTGTGAGCCAATCCCCTGAGCATATGTAGAGGGCATCACACCTCACCTCTCAGGGCCACTATGTCTGTTGGCCATTAAGCCATTTCAAACAGCTACCACAACTAAAGAGTCTTGGGCTCTGCACCTAAATTGTTGCTTCCCACCCCTACAGTGACTCTTCTTTTACCCAATCCTCTTTCACTTATTAGTACATAACTACTTTGAACAAATTCCTCCCTCTTCATCTATTTGGTTCTTCTCTTGGGCATGTAACCCAGGAAGAACAGGAGCCCCAACAAATGGGGCTGGGCAAACTGAAGGAGTTGTCCAGCCTAGGGGCTGTGGTCCTTTGGGGCTGCACCTCCCGATGTGAGTTGTCTGTGTTCCACTCTCCCCATAACTTCACAGGAAAAGGGAGCACCCACTTTCCATTAAGATGGGAACCACTGTAGACACTTCAGAGATCCCAGAAGCTTCTCTACAAATCCCTTGCCTGGTTGAAAGGGTTGTGGAGGCAATGCTTCTTCCCAGGATCTCCTCCTCCTTTCTGCTTATCTGGCTACCAAGGTTACTACTCACCTTTCTGGTCTCAAGGTCGCTCTCAGAAGTATCCGAGCATGGCTTGGTCACCTTTTTCATTTTAACCCCATTGGCATTCTTGTTCATGTTCTTATTAGCATTCTTCCCCCGGGCTTCTTTGACAACAGAAGGCCTCTTCTCCCTGAGCTGGCGGAGCTCCTCCTGGCAGCACTGCAGCTGCCCCTCCAGCTGCTCCTGCACTACCAGAAGCCGCCCCTGCTCATCCATGCTAGCCTGGTATTGCAGCTGCAGCTCCCGCAGCTTGGTCTGCAGTTCTTTGATCTGTTGGTAGTGGAGGGCCAGTTACCCAGAGTTGGCTGGTTATGCAACCAGTTGGCTGACCACGCAACCAAACTCAGCCCTGCTTGGGGGTCACTGTCTCAGAAATCTCCCTGTTAAAGCCCATAGGAAGTAGACAATAAAGAAAATATTCAACGGTGGAAAATGAGCCTCTCAAATAGTTTTACAAATAGCTTCTCCTAACTTGAGGCACCTGATGATGTCCATCTAATAAGATGAAAAAAACGGCAGGGCGCAGCGGCTCACTTGCCATCCAGTGTAATCCCAGCACTTCAAGAGGCTGAGGTGGGCAGATCACTTGAGGTCAGGAGTTCGAGACCAGCCTGGCCAACATGGTGAAACCCCATGTCTACTAAAAATACAAACATTCGCTGGGCTTATTGGAGCGCGCCTGTAGTCCCAGAAACTTGGGAAGCTGAAACAGGAGAATCACTTGAACCCAGGAGGCGGAGGTTGCAGGAAGCTGAGATCGTGCCACTGCACTCCAGCCTGGTGACAGAGCAAGACTCTGTCTCAAAAAAAAAAAAGAAGGTCAAAACAATGATTTAAATGGTGTTTTCTACTGTGACTGGGGAATAACAATAGGGCTGCTACCAATTCTGAACCTCAGGGATTTATTATATAATTCTTTTTTTTGAGACAAGAGTTTCACTCTTGTTGCCCAGGCTGGAGTGCAATGGCATGATCTTGGCTCACCGCAACCTCCGCCTCCTGGATTCAAGCGGTTTTCCTGCCTCAGCCTCTTGAGTAGCTGGCATTACAGGCATGCGCCACCATGCCCAGCTAATTTTGTGTATTTTTAGTAGAGATGGGGTTTCTCCAAGTTGGCCAGGCTGGTCTCAAACTCCTGACCTCAAGTGATCCACCCGCCTCGGCCTCCCAAAGTGCTGAGATTACAGGGGTGAGCCACCGCACCTGGCCTAGAATTCTTTTTATGGGAACTCCTACTTCATCCAACCCATCTCTCTAACAGGAACAATTACTTAAAGAACTGTGTTGTACACTCCTGAAGTGTGTACTGGGCTCCTGCACCTCACCCTGGAAACAGAGGCAAGTCACATCCTGCTCCCTGATCTCGGGTTTTGTCTTCCTTGGCTGATGGCAGCACACAACCATCCCCTCAGTAGGTACCAATACTAGCCAATCTGGACCCATGTGTTCGCTGCTCTCTGAATCTCTCCCGTGTGTATACAAAGAGACCCCCACTGGACCGTGAACCCCTGGCCAGAGACAAGACTTCTGTCCCATTCCTAGGGGGTGCAGAGCACTCTTCTTGGCATTGTGAGCGATCCAAAAGGAGACATGTCCCTGTCCTTGAGCTGCTTGCAATCTAGTTGGTGCTCCTAGTTGGTGCACCGGGAGACAAGGCAAATGCACACAAAATGATGAAAGAAGATTGGCAAATGCAAAAATACAGTTCTACAGAAGTGGTCTAGAACACAAAGCAAAAGAGAACAGAAGTGGCAAAGGGAGAAAGAGAGAAATCATTCGATGAGAGAAGTCCTGATGACTAGTAAACCCCAGCTCCACGGGCACTTGGGAAATGTCATCAGGGATGGAGCAGACTGCCCAGCCTCTGAGGTGCATATTCTCCCTGCTTTGTCCCTCTCTTTAGCCTCTATGAAGTGGCCATGACCTCTATGGCTCCAGGGGCTGCCAGAGGAAACCCTGCCTCCCTGACAGTGGTTACCTCATTCTTGTCGTTCTGGGGGGCCATGGGCTTTTCAAGGCATTCCATGCACTCCTTGAACTCCCTTTCACAGGCATCCAGCTCTTCCTTCAGGTCTTTCTGCTTGGCCAGTAACTTTTCCATCTGCTCTTGCAGCTGGCTGTGTTCCTCCTGGCTTATCTGGTACATGGCCTGCACCGCCTGCAGCTTGATCAGCACTTTCACAACCATTTCCTCAAAGCGCTGCGGGGGGTGGGGGAGCAACAATAGCACCCTGAGGAGCACCTAAGCTCCGCCCTACTCTGCTGGGCCCTTCCCTGGATACCAAACAATGGCCACCAGGATCCAGAGATGCCCGCGGGGGATTACTATATTTACCCCCATAAAGAGCATCGTGGCTGTGGTGAGGAAACGGACTGAATCTTATGGGCCTCTGTCCAGATGGGGGATTCTCTCTATGAGAGGGCTGAGCGGGAGACCAGGCTGCCATGGGTAGAGGGCTTCGCTTACTTCCAATAGTTCCCCAGGTCAGTTCTGACCCCATTCCCACACTTCTTGCCCCTTCCCCTGGCGATGTATCTCTTAAAAAGACAAGAGTCCATCGTCCCCTGCCTGACCTGTCACCTGGCAACCATTACCTCCATGTCTTCAGGCTCAGCAGGTTCCTCGTCAGTGCAGCTGCTGACAAAACTCTTCTGGCAGGTGTCAGAGCTACTGGTGCTGCCGTAACTCTTCTTATAGGTAATGCTGCTGTTGCTGGTAGTGCAGTAACTCTTCCCATAGGCCTCACTGGCACTGGTGCTGCTGTCATAGCTCTTGAGAAAGCTCTTGCTGCTGGTCTGGGTGCTGGTGTAACTCTTGTAATAGCTCTCATTGTCATCCACAGTGGTATCATAAGTCTTGCGACAGTTCTCATTGCTGGGGACCATGCTACCATAGCTCTTCCCGTAGGACTCAAGGCTCATTTTTATAGAAGGGGACTGGACTTGAAGCAGCTGCATTTCTTCCAGGCAGAGCTGCAAGTCTGCCTGCAGCCTCTTCCGCTCCTCTAGGAGCCTCCCTTGCTCTTGCTGCAAGAGCTCCTGCTTCGCCTGACCGGCGTCATACATCACCTGCAGGGCCTGCATCTGCTCCATGAGCAGCTTGGATTGCTGGGGGCAGGGGTGGGGAGACAGTATCATTACTCTGACACTTCAGTCCTTCCAGCTGCACCTCTCCTGGTACAGATGTCTGAGAGCACACCTTAGAGAATGGCACACCTACATTTCCACCTCACCCCGGCCTATGTCTCTGACTTAGCCTATAGGTAACTGGCATGTATCAGTTTCTTGCTCATTTGGGAAAATCTCCCCAGGGCAGATACTCCATGATTTCCGGGCTCCCATTTCGGCTGGTTTCTGCACTTTGGTACATCCCTGTCTCCTTGGAGCAGTGCCGAGTGGGTTTCCAGAACACCCTGGCTCCCTACCACACCCTCTTCTCAGTCAGGTATACCTGTTATCCTGACCTTCAGGCTCAGTCCCCTCGCCCACCCCTAGTTCTAAAATCAGCCCCGGCCTTGAATGCGGCAATATGAAGAATTGGAATCAAAGTCTTACTATTAGTTCCTGTATCTCCTGCCCCAATTCTGAATCTGGCCTCTGGGCATGTTGGGCCTGGCTTCTTGGCTGCTGATGTCCAGGATGAGATCTGATCAGTTAAGGAAATATTTTATACCTGGTTCCCAGCTGTGTTACCCAGGCCTCCAGCCTGGACATCTGATGCCCCTGGAATATGATCCAGCCTCACAGTGTTGACTTCTGCTACTCCCTGGTTCTCCTTGTTCAGAATAAGATCTGAATGAATAGATTTGGCCTAAACCGAAACTGTCTACCTGCCCCTCCTTGCCCACGCTGAGACCTCAGAACAACTTTATCCCCCAACCCTGAAGAGAATTGTATGGTGATCTCCACCTGTGTCACCTCATCTGAATGACCTCTTGCTGGTACTTGAGAGGCATCAATTTTCTGGTCTAACCCCTGTGACCTTGCTCTGTTACTGCCACCAAAGTTCCAATGAAGATAGTGTGGTCAGTACTAAGAACCCCATATGCTAGGAATTCTTCTCTTGGAAATGAAAGGCCCCAAATTTGCCTCATAGAGAACACCAAAGGTGATAGATTTTGATAACTGAGAAGTGTACTTTTCCACTCAAGAAAAAGATGACATTTAGAGTCAGTCCAAAGGAATCCAAACAAACACCAAACTGATATTATACATCTTACTGGGAATGAGTCGAATGATCTGATGACAGACTTCTGGTCATCCCAGCTCTGCCCTGAGTGCTCATAGTGCTTCAACTGGGCACTGTGAATATCAGTGTGATAAAGGATAATGGCATCTAGGTGAGGTCCTCAGGCCGTATCTAAAAGCCACCTCTTAATGGAGCCTGTGAGTGGTCACAGCTGGTGAAAGGCAGGGCTTTTGCCTTATCCTTACCCCTGGCCAAACACGCCTTCCCAACTCTGACCCTTCGGCGGTGCCCACTCTCTCTGCCATGCTGTTGTGCTCAGGAGAACTGTCTCCCTACCTCTTGCTATGGTTACCTTGTTTCGATTACATTTGGAGGACTTAGCCAATTTGGAATCATCGGGATTCTCCAACACTTCCTGGAAATGAGACTCTTTGAAACGTCGCAGCTCTTCGTGGATCTCTAATTGTTCTTTTAATACACAGTCTTGGTTCTGTATCAGCTTCTTCTGTTCCTCCTGCATGCCTTGGTAGAGCAGCTGCAGCTCACACAGGTCTTCTAACTTGGTGAGTAGCTCCTGACTCTGAGGCGGAGTAGAAGGAAGGAGGCAAGGGATGGTGGTGGTCACACAGGAAGTCTGATGCCTCCTTGGTGCCTCATCCCCGTTGTGAACAATTCCCTGAAGAATCTCAGGGTTGACTTCACAGAGCCCATCTGGGGACGGGGGAGCCCTTCTATGGAGACCTGCTAAAAGTGGCAGTGGTCTCTTGTGTTGGGATATATTTTGTAGTTTACAAAGTGGCTTCAGGTGCATTTTCTCCAGATGGACTAAATACCTAAATATAAACTGCTGCACAGATTCCTGAGTATAAAAGGTATTTTAAGATTTAAAGCCCTTATAAGAAAAACTCTAATTGGCTCTATGGAGCTTTTTGGTTTGGGGAGAGTGGTGAGAAAGTAAGGAGTGGTTGGTAAGAGAAAAAGTTCAATCCCCACCCTTTTATTTTTCCCTAGTCACACAGGGAAGCTTCTCAGAGCAGCTTCCCCGCAGTTAGCAGCTGCCTGTGGCAGAGTTACCTTGAGTAAGAGGCCACTCTTTGGCAGTGGCAGTGTGAGCCTGTGCAGCTCTTCCTGCAGCTGGCCCTGCTCCTCCTGCATCCTCCTCTGATCCTCCAGGAGCTCACACTGCTCCATCTGCAGCTGCCCCATCTCCTTCTGGCTGGCCTTGTACTTTTCCTGCAATTCTGTCAGTCTGGACAGCAGTGTGTCACACTGTGGGTGGGGGCGGGTGTGGAGGGGGTGGTTACTCTGTAAGGTAAGCTTCTTGGGTGGCTAACAGAGCACTTCTGCGCTCTCCTGCCTCTTGTGATCCTCTCCCTGTGCAGTCACCTTGGACTGGTCACCCCAAGCCACAATGCATTCTGGCTGTTTAGATACCGATTGGGGATCCCCTGCAGGCTGCTCCTTCAGAGCAGGTTGCTCTAGACTGGTGGCTGGCCTTGCTCTAAACTTCCACCATTCCTTTCTGGGGGCAGTTTGATGGGGAATGCTATCGATGCCCCTTTCTCATTTCCCCCTTCCTCTTCTCCGGCCCTTTCCTTTATACACCATATTCCCACCCTGTTGGGAACTCTTAGCTCCTGTTATTCTCATTAACCCCAGTTGTTTTTTAATGCAACTACACTCCTTACAAATAAGGACTTAATTTCACCCTAATTTTTCCCATTTTTGCTTTCCTAATTCTCTCTTTAAATCTTTAGAAAGTATGCGCTATTGGTAAATTTGGGTTGAGAAGACTAAATCATCCCATTTCCAAAAACCCAGATCTTCTAATATCAGACAGATCTCAATGCTGTTTTACGGCTAGAGAAAAAGCAGGTGCTGTCTGCCAGCATGCTTCTCCTTTCCCATCATTTTTCCCATTAGGGGAAGAGGTGACGAGCAAGTCACAGATCACCTGGGCTCCTAAATTGAGTAGCAGTGGAAAAAGGAGGAAACGTGAGCCTGGATATAGAAAGGCAAAGAGACTGCTGAGGTGGCCCAAATAACCTTCCCAGTCCTCCGTCTCCTGAAGGCCTTTCCCCAGGGACAGGAACTACTGAGTTTTCTGGCAGAATGTGACCAACTCCACCATCGTTAGAGACTCTTGGGCCTCTTCTCCAACATGCTTCAACACCTTTCCATTTCCCATCAGTAATCAGGAGCTGAAAGTGCTCAACAGGATAAATGATAACGGCTTGCATTTTATACACTATGGAAAAGAAAAAAAATGAATAAGGCCTTATTTATCACTACCAGGATTTACTGCTAAAAGGAAGTGAGTTAAGAGTAGTATTCTCTTCCATTTAAAGAGGGCACAATTCAACCTTCCACAATTTAATTACTGGCAGGGCATGGCGGCTCATGCCTGTAATCCCAGCACCTTGGGAGGCCGAGGCAGGTGGATCACCTGAGGTCAGGAGTTCGAGACCAGCCTGACCAACATGGCGAAACCCGGTCTCAACTAAAAATACAAAAATTAGCCAGGCACAATGGCATGTGCCTGTAGTCCCAGCTACTTGGGAGGCTGAGATAGGAGAATTGCTTGAACCCAGGAGGCGGAGGCTGCAGTGAGCTGAGATCGTGTCACTGCACACTCCAGCCTGGGCGACAGAGTGAGACTCCATTTCATAAAAAAAGAATTTAACTACTTCAAAGTCACAGAATAAATCCTAGAAGAGCCTAGGTCCTTCTCTTGCCCAATCAGCACTCTGGGCACAAGACCGTACCCCTTTATAAGACCATTTGCAATCTGACCCAGAAAACTGGCCCCTTTCTCTAGTTCCAACAATAATATTTGTGTAATGGGCCCATGTATATGTTCCCCTCCAAGAATGACTAGATATCACTACAGTTCTAATACCATTGTATAAATGTCTACATACATGGAATCATGTGTAAAACTTTCAGGGGTTCAGACTGGGATCCAAAGGTATTGATCCTACTAAGCTGTGGCTCTGGCTCAAAGTCAAGGTCAGGGCAAACAATTTTGAAGTTAGCAGCATGTGGCCCTGCCTCTGCTTCCTGCCTAGGAAGGCCATCAAGCCCTTGGGTTGGGTGCCTTCACTTTTTGCCTCTGTACCTCTTCTCTCTGGAGCAAGTGCCCAGGAGCTGTCACCTCTCTGAACGACAATTACCTTATTAGCACACTTTCCTTTGTCCTCCGGAATGGGGTGGGAGGCCTTGAGCTCTTTCAGCTCCAGCTGGCAGAGCAGGAGGTCCTGCTCCAGCTGGTCATACATGTGCTTCTGCCGCTCCAGCTCGTCCTTGCTGGCCTGGTACAGCTGCTTCATCTCCTGAAGCTGAGCGTGCGTCTCTGTGTCCTGGGCAGGGGAGGCAGGCCTGGCCATCATCCCAGGCACTCCTGCTGCTGGACTCTCTCCTCCCAGGCGGGGACTAAGGGGACCCATCTTCCCTTGTCCTTCTCAGCCCCAATTTCATCCCAGCCAGGGATAGATACCCAAGATGGACCCGTCCCTGACAGGCTTGAAACACAGACCTTCCCAGTGCAGCCTTTCCAGTTAAATAAATAAATAAATAAATATAAAAATAATTTAAAAAGAAACACAGACCTTCTGGGGCTTCCTTTTTTGGGAGGTGGGGAGGCAAAGGGACTTCCTTTTTATATGCTGCTTTTCTGATTTAAAATCAAAGGAAGCTGAGAGCCTTGTGACTCCCCGAGGTCACCTTTCTCCTAAGCACCTCTTTGGCCCCCTCACTGCCAGCTCCTCCACACTCCTACCATTCCCTCTCGTCCTCTGTGCTCTCACCCTCACACAAGATGATGCCTGGCTACATCCTCCCTCACCAGGAGCTTCTTTTACCTTCTCATTGCTCTCTTTGAAGGAGGCCACCGTATCCCTGAGGTGCTGCAGCTCTGCCTCATGGCACTGCAGCTCCTCCTGCAGCTGCTGCTGCCGTTCCAGCAGCTTTTCCTTCTCACATGTGACGTTCTGGTGCTGGAGGTGCAGCTTCTGCAGCCGGCACAGTAACTCCTATGGTAGAGGGGGCTTTGGGCAGTGCCTTTGGGCTCCTTAACCCACTCACTCTTCTGTGTGAGTCACTTGAAGACACCAACAGTCTAAGATTTGCTTCTTCCTGCCCTTCACTTCCTAATGTCCTCATATCTAATGTAGTACTCGAGCAGGGCTGGAGTTCTTTACCTGTGGTGCTGCCTATGTGGTTGCTGGAATTATTTTTAACTCACTACTCTTATCCACCTTCCCCAAAACCTCAGAAGGATGCCCTTAGCACCTAAGTTGTCCCCTCACCTCTGGTTGCTGTTACCTTCTCACTCTGGTTTTCTACAAGTGTGGATTTCATGACTTTGAGCTGCCGGAGCTCAGTCTGAAGTTGCAGCTGCATCTTCAAGAGCTCGTTCTGCTCATCCTGGCTAGTATCATATTTTTTCTGCAGGGTACAGAGTCTGGACTTCAGCTCCTCATTCTGTGGTAGGGAGGATGTGAGTAGAACAGTTACTCTCAAGAAACAGCAGGTCTTTCTACGGATCAGTTGGGTTCCTTTTCAGATGCAGACATCTTGAGGAGCTCCCACAGGTCTAGGGTTTGGTTTCTTCTGTGAGATGGACACTCAGTAATGACCACCATTTCTAGAATGCAGTGCTATATGACTTCTACAGTTGGTTTCCAGCAGACTGTGCCCAGTTGCAGGGCAAGAGTCAGCAGAGCACAGCCATACTCACTGTGCCCACCCCGGTTGAAGCAGCCCCTCCATGAGGCCCTTCTGCCCCCACCCCAGATGCCTCCCCGGGCAGTGTTTACCTGGGTGACACTGTGGGAGGTCTGAAACCGAAGCACCTCATTCTGAGCACACTTGAGCTCCCTCTGCAGCCGCCTCTGCTCCTCCTCACTGACCTGGCGATGATGCTGTAGCTCTTCCAACTCACAACACAATTCCTGACACTATGTGGGAAATGGAACAGGGAGGCTTGTTTACTACAGATACCACATATGCTCCAAGAACAAGCTTGGGGAAAGCATGGCGCTCTTTGACTGGAAGATTTACATCAGGCAAGTGAGACCCCAGAGTACTATCTCCCTCCACAGTGGATGCCTATGGAGATGTTTCTACCACAGGCTGGGAGAAGGTGAAAGAAAGACAAGAAATGTGCCTGCCTTCCCCACCCTCTGTGCCCTACCTTGTTCTTCATGCCATGCATCTGCTCTTCAGCATCCCGTAGCTGCTGCCGTAACAACTGCATTTCAGGATCAGGCTCTAAGAAATCCATTTCTGAAGTCTGAGACTCTGCTGACGTCATACTCAGTGTTTGGGACTGCAGCCATCTCTCTGTTGCTCTCTGTGTCCTGCAATTCAGAACCGCAGAGCTATGCTTGAAGGGAGTTCTGCCTGGCATCACCAGCCATGCAGGCTTTGTCCTGATACCTTCATTTTAGGCCAAAGATAGTAAGGGGCCTTCTATTGTGACTCACCGCTCAGATAAACATGCTTAAAAGACTACAGAAAGTCTCCAGCCCCTCAATCTGCAAAGGTGTGTTTGGCTCTGGGAGACCCTTAGAGTGCCAGTCCAGTTAGTTTTGAGGCTAGGCCTAGTCAAGCCCACTCCAATCTGGAAGCATTGTGCCTGCCATTAGACTGAAACAAGTCTATGCAGACAATAAAAGAATCTCTTCTGATCCACTTTAGGGCAGAGCAAACCAGAACCCAGTGCCTAGAGCAGAAGTAAACTTCAGAACTCACTCCCTCTAGTCTTGAGATAATTGGGTCGGATCCCCATGTCTGCTTGTAGGTGGTATCTGTATCCTTTGGAAACCATGGAAAGGACTGGGTCTCCAGGAGCAAAGGAACGCTCACTGCCCTGGCATCTGCCTTCAGGGAAAGCCCAAGGTAAGGCAGAGTCCTGTGGAACCCCATGACCTCTCACTCTCCAGAGACAGCTGTACCTCTCACTCTCCAGATCTGCAAGCTGCCCCGTGAGGCTGCTGTTGCTCTCCTGCAGGGCCCGGTATTCCTCATTCAGGAAATGGTAGCGTTCCCGCAGCTCCTGCAGTTCTTCTGCAGAGGACAGGCAGAGAGAGATGAGACCGGGAGGAAAGGAAAGCACTGATGACCAGCCCCCAGTTTTCCTGTCTTGAAACCTGAGAGCAGAAGGTTAAAGAGCTTCTCTTTTTCTAAAGACAGAAAAAAGGTAGAGGCTTAGAAGACAGGGCCCAGGAAATTCCACAGTGCAGTGAGTCTTTCTCCTCTTCCCAATAGCTGTCCTTCTTCTCATCTGCCCTGAAGATTTACCCTGTGTGCTCATCTTCAAAGCCTCAACCGAAGCAGACTCTTGAACTTTTAGCAATTTTTGAAAGTTTAATTAACTTTCAAATTTTTACTGTATGTAAAAACTTTCAAAAGTTTACTGTATGTAAAATTTCCATTCAACTGTTTATGATTACCTTCCAATTATGCTTTTAGTACAAAAAGCTGAGAGATGTGAACTGTCAGATGTGACTGCCAGTACCTGCCTTTCAGGCATTCTGAGTTTCCTTTTATGTTCTTTATTCCCACACCAAATACATTGGTCTGGATGTGGTAAAGAATTCTTGCCAGGTGTAGTGGCTCAAGCCTGTAATCCCAACACTTTGGGAGGCCGAGGTGGGCAGATCACTTGAGGTCAGGAGTTTGAGACCAGCCTGGCCAATATGGCAAAACCCCTGTCTCTACTAAAAATACAAAAAGTAACCAGGCGTGGCGGTGCATGCCTGTAGTCCCAGCTACTCAGGAGGTTGAAGTAGGAGAATTGCTTAAACCCTGGAGGCAGAGGTTACAGTGAGCCAAGACTGTGCCACTGCACTCCAGCCTGGGTGACAGAGTGAGACTCTGTCTCAAAAAAAAAAAAAAAAAGGAATTCTTTCTAATGGCCTTTTATCTGCTGACAGGCCCATCCTAACCAGACTCACATATCATCCTCAAGCATTAGAAGAGATCCGGTTGAAATACTCCAGCACATGTCTCTAAGCACCAGTCACCTATACCTATACTTTTTCCTTTTTGGTTTTGTTTTGTTTTGAGATAGTCTTACTCTGCCATCCAGACCAGAGTGCAGTGGCACAGTCATGGCTCACTGCATCCTTGACCTCCCTGGACTCAGGTGATCCTCCCACCTCGGCCTCCCAAGTACCTGTGACTACAGGCACACACCACCAAGCCTGGCTAATTTTTGAATTTTTTTGTAAAGATGGGGTTCCGCCACATTGCCCAGGCTGGTTTCAAATTCCTGGGCTCAAGTGATCCACCTGCCTCGGCCTCCCAAAGTGGTGGGAGTACAGGCATGAGTCACCATGCCCACTTTTAAGGCTGTGATGATACAAACACCTGTATCTGTTTTGTTGCTTCATGACTAAGAATTATGTTGGCCGGGTGCAGTGGTTTACACCTGTGATCCCAACATTTTGGAAGGCCAAGGTAGAAGGATCATTAGAGCCCAGGAGTTCGAGACCAGCCTGGGTAACAGAGCAAGACTCTGTGTCCACTAGCAAAAAATTGAAAAAGAATTATGTCTCTTAGAACATTAATTCTACTGATATTTAAAGAACACTAACTTGCTCTAATTAGAACACAAGACCTATCTTACCTGCTGGAAGATTCAACACCCTAAAAGTAACTTCTAATGTTTCCTCTTAATTCTAATCAGAATTCCTTAGAATACTGCAGATTACCATATAAGGGAGGAAGGAAACTAATCTTTAATGAAAACTAACCATGCGCTAAGCATTAGACTTGATAGTTTCAGCCTCAGATTTGGTAAGTGTGCAAGTGATTTCAACATGCTTCACATTTCATTTAATTCCCAAAATAGCTCTGTAAGGTTTTTTTCTTCTTTAAATAAACTTTGAATTTTAGAATAGTTTTAGATTTACAAAAAAGTTGCAAAGGTAGTACGGAGTTTCCTGGGAGGGTTCTCACCCAATTTCCCTAATTGTCAACATCTTACATTACCATGATATACCTGTCATGACTAAGGAATCAAATATTGATACATTACTATTAACTAAACTCCATAGTTTACTTGGATTTCTCTACATTTTCCCTAAGGTCCTTTTCCTGTTTCAGGATCCCATCTAGCTATAAGGTTTTATTAACCAATTTTGATTTCATATCCTGGATATAGAAACAGGCTCAGAGAAAGACCATAACCAGACCTCCTACGTTCATCCTGCTAATTAGTGGAGCTGAGATACTGAACTCAGGTCTGTTTGACTCCAGCCCAAGCCTTCCCACTGTGCCAACCTTCTTCTCCCAGCACCATTTAATCTAAAGGCTCTTCTGAGAGGCTTGATACAGCTGGAAAAACTTGCAGTTCTTTGATTCCTTGTTGATTGCCTCTGCTTGACCTGGCCAAATATAGGACCTCCATTATACTCAGATTATAAATCTAGCCTCAGAATAAAGGCAAACTCTCTGATGTCATGAATCCTAGCAACTAGCTGGGAGACTCACTGTCTGAAAGCAGGGCTCTAGGCTTTTGGGTACCTCATGTATCACTCAGAATAACTTTTCTTCTCTAGCTGTCTTTTGTTCCGATTTGTTGCCCCCCAAAGCTTCTATTTTGAGGAGAGCTAATGGAACCTAAGAATTAGCATCCCTGCACCTGGAAGCAGGGCCAGAGGCCCCCTATAAAGCATTCCAGGCAAAGCACCATGATGCCAGGGCAGCAGGAAGAGTTTCCCAAGGTGACAGGTCCCTCTTTGCCCATCCTAGAGCTGGAAATTTTCCCAGGAAGGGTTTTCCCATAGTCAAATCAACAAAGACCCAATGACTCTCTGAAGAATTCCCAGGGTACCTCTCCATGGTGCTATTTCTTACACCACCATGGACTGGTTATGTAACATCTGGGTAGGTTTTTCCCCTTTACTGTCTTTTTAAAATTTTTATTTAAATTTTTCTTTTAGAAAGAGATAGGGTCTCACTTCATTGCCCAGGCTGCTCATGAATGCCTGGGCTCGAGTGATCCTCCCATCTTGGCCTCCCAAAGTTCTGGGATTACAGGCATGAGCCATCACGCCTGGACCCCTACAGTCTTGAATTCAACCTGGAGGTTTTTTCTAGAGATTCCCAATTCATGATCTAACACCACCTTCTACCATTTTCCTATATATTATCTCCTTTCCTCTGCTTGACTTTACTGACCCACTTGATGGCTCTCATACCTTGTAACCCAGAGTAATCTGAGAGACCTAAACTACCGGATGGTTCAGAGCTCTTCATTTCCATTTCTGCACGGAGGGAGGCGATCTCCATCTCATAATCTCCCCGAATGCGTTCCATGTCTTCAAGTTCATTCTGCATCCGGCAGAGATCCTCCTGCAGGGATGCTATGTCACTCTCATGTTCAGTTGCGGAATCCTCTGCTGCTTGCCGCAGACTCTGGATCTCAGCCTGGGCCAAATGCAATTCCTGTTCTATTTCCTTAAGTTCGCTTTCTTTCTCATGCTCTAACAGGGAAATCTCCTCCCGTAGAGAACGCAGCTCACCTGCAAAGTCCAAAGGTTGAGATGATCAAGAGGGCAGGTGAACTAACCTACCATGTTCTAGAGGCACAAAATTAAAGGGAGACTTATTTCTTGTCTGCAAAGTCCTGAAAACCTTGTCTCTACCCCATCAGAGAAGTGTAGCATCATGCCGGACGGAATAAAAGGAGTACCTAAGAAGGGAAAAGAGAGTGACTCTATGTAGTAAGGTCCAATAGAAAAGTAGATTTTGAGGCCTGGCACCAAAACAATCACTTAGTCTACTGTAAACAAAAAGTATTTCATGCTTCTAAGGAATCACCTGACAGTTAAAGACCTAACTTCATTTATAGTATTTTCTTGATGCCCTGAATCTTTCTAAAAATCCCCTGACTCAAAAAATGTATACAGACTATTTTCACCTATTCATCCTGAGAGCTCAGAAATTACAGAGCCTCAGAGTTCCCATGACCTACCTGTGGTAAGTACTGGACCTAAAACAATGTGCATTTAGAGTTCACAACTCAAATTCAAATATAAGTTCACTGCATAATAACCAAACACGGGATAATAATCTAAGTGTCAGTCGATAAGGGATTGTTTAAATTGATGATAGGCTGGGAGCAGTGGCTCACGCCTATAATCCCAGCACTTTGGGAGGCCAAGGCAGGTGGATCACTTGAGGTCAGGAGTTCAAGACCAGCCTGGCCAACATGGTGAAACCCAGTCTTCGCTAAAAAAAAAAAAAAAAGAAAGCCAGGTGTGGTGGCACGCCCCTGTAATCCCAGCTACTTGGGAGGCTGAGACAGGAGAATCATTTGAGCCCGGGAGGCAGAGGTTGCTGTGAGCCAAGATCGCACCACTGCACTCCAGCCTGGGCAACAGAGTGAGACTCGGTCTCGAAAAATAATAACAATAATAAATAAATAAACTGATGATAGTTAAATAGAATATCATGCAGCCATTTAAAAGAAAGTATCAGATCTATGGTGAAAACAAAGAAGTTTCCATATTAACTGAAGAAAAAGAGCTGTAAAATATATGCTATGATCTAATTTTTGCAAAAAATATTTTATGTATAGTATATAACACACAAATGGACAAACATATAGAAAAAGGCCTGGAAAGATCTATGCCCAAACCATAATGAGTAGTTGTTTCTGAGGTATGGGATAACATGTGGTAAGGTTTTTACTTTACATATCATATCTATCTGTGCTGTTTGGATTTTCAGAACAAGCCTATATTTTCTATTTTTTAATTTACAAAATAATGAGTTAAGAGTTCTCTGTATCTATGGAGCATCTCAGAGTTTCTAGACACATGTACCCATCTGGGATCAGAACGAAAAAGTGGAGAGAGTAAAAGGCACTGACACCAACAGTGAATTTAGGATTTGAGGGCCAGGATTAGAGAATTAATGAGGATTGGGTTGGGAGGGTCAGGATTTTCCCATAAATCCTTTGCAAGGCACATTCTCCCATCCCCTTCCCCCAACTTCTGCTCATTCTACTCACCACTCAGATGTCAACTTTTCTAGCCTGTACCTCCACTTCCTCAAAAAAAAATAAGAGAAGTCCTCTATTAAATGGTCTCATAAAACCTTGTACTTTGCTATATGTGTGTGTGTACTTAAGTCTCCCCTTCACTTGGTTATAAGCTTTATCGAGGCAGAGAGCATATCTGGTTTGCTCACCATTACAGCTCCAGGATCTAGTATTGTGCCTGAAAACGAAGCTCAATAGATATTTGATGTATTCATGCATAAGTAAGGCAGCAGTTCATCTATTCAACAAACTTTTGCTAAGTATCTCTTATGTGTACAGAACTAAACATTTGGGGTTTGGGGGGTTTTCCTTTCTGTTTTTGAGACAGTCTTGTTCTGTTGCCCAGGCTGGAGTGGAGTGGCATGATCATGGCTCACTGCAGCCTTGACTTCCTGGGCTCAAGCAATCCTCCCTCCTCAGCATCCCTAATATCTGAGACTACAGGCATGGGCTACCATGCCCTGCTTTTTTTTTTTTTTTTTTTTTTTTTAATGTAGAGATGGGGGTCTCTTTCTGTTGCCCAGGCTGGTCTCAAACTCCTGGGCTCAGGCGATCCATCTTGGCTTCCCAAAGTGCTGGGATTACAGGCATGAGCCACCACACCTGGCCCTGTTTGGATATTTTTTAAAAATTAGAATAGAATCTAGACTTTCAAAGAAGACAAATTTGGACACGCTTCATAGATAGATGCTGAGTGGTGAGGGCATCTCAGGGGAAGATCTACCCTGCTCCCCTGAGCTCACATGTGGAACTATGGGCATGTCTTTTGCCAATCTTTCCAGTTCTAGAATGATCCTAGCTGTTACGTCTCCTTGATCTATTCAACAACTATTAACTGATCCTTAACTGCGTGCCAAGGCCAAGAATCTCCTGTTAGATTCTCTGACTTCCTATTGGAAGAAAAGTCCGCTCTACCCCCACTACTGAGCAGCACAGTGAGGTCTGTCTAGCTAGGGAGACACAAGAGGAAGCTGGCCATTAGGACAAAGGCCCTAGAGTCTGGGGTGGGTGTTCTGGAGAAACAGACCAACCTCCACCTCCCTAATATGCTTTTGATGTTAGGGTTCAACTCTCTCTTAGGTGCTTCTGGCCCTAAAAAAATGGTATTGTCGGCCAAACACGGTGGCTCACACCTTTAATCCCAGCACTTTGGGAGGCTGAGGCTGGTGGATCACTTGAGATCAGGGGTTGGAGACCAGCCTGGCCAAAATGGCGAAACCCCATCTCTACTAAATATACAAAAATTAGCCGGGTGTGGTGGCTGGCATTTGTAGTCCCAGCTACTCGCGAAGCTGAGGCAGAAGAATTGCTTCAACCCAGGAGGAGGAGGTTGCAGTGGGCCAAGATCTCGCCACTGCACTCCAGCCTGGGTGACAGAGCAAGACTTCGTCTCAAAACAAACAAAAAACTCTACTGAGGAGAGAATCGCTCTGGAACCCTATTTTCGGCCGGGCGCGGTGGCTCACGCCTTTAATCCCAGCACTTTGGGAGGCAGAGGCGGGCGGATCATGAGGTCAGGAGATCGAGACCATCCTGGCTAACACAGTGAAACCCCGCCTCTACTAAAAATACAAAAAATTAGCCGGGTGTGGTGGCGGGCGCCTGTAGTCTCAGCTACTCGGGAGGCTGAGGCAGGAGAATGGCGTGAACCCGGGAGGCGGAGCTTGCAGTGAGCCGAGATCACGCCACTGCACTCCAGCCTGGGCGACACAGCGAGACTCCGTCTCAAAAAAAAAAAAAATAGAACCCTATTTTCCCAGGTAGTTCCTGCCTGCATCTCTGCTTCAATTCTGACTTTTCGCCCGTTTGAATGGAGGAACGTTCCTTCTCCAGGCAAAGGCCTTTTTTTGTACTGGATCTTTTCTTTCATTATACATGATCTAGCATTTCCTACCTTTGAAAAAAGAAAAGAAATAATCTTTTGACCCTATTTCCCTTACTTCTCTGCTTCTCTTCAAAATGACTACTGGAGTTATCGGTACTCACCTTCATCTCCCATTTCCTCTCCAAACCCAATCCAATCGGTGCCTCCATGCACTGAGATGTCTCAGGGTCCTCTCTCTTGCCAAATCCAAGACCATCTCACTTGACTTAGCAACCTGACACAGTGGATCACTGTCTCCTTGAAGCACTTTCTGCTCTGGCTTACAGGGCATGACATGCTCCAGGAGTTCCTCTCACTTTACTCTTTTGTTCATTTCTCCTTCTATACTGGACCTCTAAATACTGGAGTGTCTCTGGGACTGGACCCTTTCTCCTCTTCTGGTGTCTCTCCATGTGACTGCACCATTATTTCCCATGGATTCTAATGCCAATTATATGCTAATGACTCCAAATTTACATCTCCGGCCCTGTTTTCTCCCTGGTTCTGCCTTTATATATCCAACTGCCTCAATATATTCACTTGGATGTCCACAGTTACTTCAAACTCAACAGAGGAAAACATGTTTTAAATGGCTCCCCTAGCCCCAAAACTTACCCCTTGCCAAGTCTTTCCCAATTCAATAAACATCACCACCTTCCATCAATTTTCTCAAGGCAAAGTCATCTTTCATGTCTCTGTTATCCCCTGATCGAATTCATTAGCAAATCCCGAGGGCTTCACCTTCAAAATATATTCTGGGCCGGGCGCGGTGGCTCACGCCTGTAATCCCAGCACTTTGGGAGGCCGAGGCGGGCGGATCACGAGGTCAGGAGATCGAGACCATCCCGGCTAAAACGGTGAAACCCCGTCTCTACTAAAAATACAAAAAATTAGCCGGGCGTAGTGGCGGGCGCCTGTAGTCCCAGCTACTTGGGAGGCTGAGGCAGGAGAATGGCGTGAACCCGGGAGGCGGAGCTTGCAGTGAGCCGAGATCCCGCCACTGCACTCCAGCCTGGGCGACAGAGCGAGACTCCGTCTCAAAAAAAAAAAAAAAAAGAATATATATATATATATATTCTGAATCATCTCCATTTCTACAGCCCTAACTCAAGCGACCATCATCTCTTGACTGGACTATTGCAGTAACTTGCTGACAGGACTCACTGTTCTGAGTCACTTCCCTCCATCTTAAGTGTTTCCACTTAGTGGCCAAGTTCTCTTTTAAAAATGTAAAGCAGATCGTATCATCCCATTCCTGGCTAAGACCCTCTCCTGGCTTTCTACCACACTTAACATGAAAGCCAAACCTCTTGGCTGGCCTACAAGATCCACTGTAATCTGGCCTCTGCCTGCCTCAGAACGTTCTCTTGCCAGGGTCCTCCACGTGCACTTTGCTGCAAACACAGTGGCCTCTGTTCTGTCGCTCAAACAAATGAAGCTCATTCTCACCTCTGGGCCTTTGCAGTTGCTGTTGCTTCTGCCTGGTATGCTCCTCCCTCAGATCTTGGATGGCTGGATCCTTTTCATTATTCAGGTCTTAGCTCAAATGTCATCTTCTCAAAGATGACTTTCCTAACTGCCATATCTAAAATAAACTCCCTTCAAGACCAGCCTGGCCAACATGGTGAAACTCCATCTCTACTAAAAATACAATAATTAGCCAGGTGTGGTGGCGCATGCCTGTAATCTCAGCTACTCGGGAGGCTGAGGCACTAGAATCGCTTGAACCTGGGAGGCAGAGGTTGAAGTGAGCTGAGATTGTGCCATTGCACTCCAGCCTGGGCAACAGAGTAAGACTCTGTCTCAAAATAAAATAAAATAAACTCCCATCCCACCTCCTCTCTGTATCATATTATTATATCGTGTTCATAGCATTTATTGCCATCTGAACTTGTGTTGTTTATTTTCTGCCTCTCTCCGTTAGAATGTACTCTTCATTAGGGCAGAGATGTGGTCTGTCTCATTCACAGCTGGTCCTCCAAGTATAAAGGCACCTCATAAATAGGTGATAAATAAATTAGTCCCATTTTACAGATAAGAAATGACATCTCAGAAAGATAAGTGACTTGCCCAAGATCACACAATTTCTAAGTGGTATAGCTGGGCCCAGGAATCTAGGTCATCCCAGATCAATGCCCACACTCTTCCCTATGTGACACGTGTCCTGCCACTTTCCTCCTCTGCAAGCCCCTTCACTGACCACCCTTCCTGTATCTACCTTTGCTTACATTTTCTGTCCCCGTCTCCTCTCCTCCCCACTTACACCTCTGCTTGCTCCTGTCCAGGCCTGCTTCCTGGCCTTCCTTTTTTTTCTCCATTTATACTTTTCTTTTGGCTTGATCTCAGTTCTCCCCAGAGTCCCTGCCGTTTTCTAGGGCAGCTCCCCTAAACCTTCCGGAGGCCCACAGAAGTAACAAAAGCTGCCTCTTTATTTGGTGGTGTGGTGGAATGTGGGGCATCTGCCTTGCTGCTTCCCAGAGACAAAGGGACGTGGGTGTTGGCAAAAAGGGATTTGGGGCCCACAAGCTCAGGTCCCAGGCAGCAACAGAAGTGCTGTCATCTGTCTCTCTTAATAGGTGCAGAGAGGCCCCACCAGTCACTTCTCATTGGCTTCATGCTTTCCCATGCCATCCTTGGAGGAACCAGAAAAAGGAATCCGGCTTGGAATTCAACTTGGATCACCCACCCCTGGCACTGACCAGGAGAACAAAGGGACAGGGATGCAGTATGAAGGAGGAGGCTGAAGGGGCAAGAGGAAAGAGCCCACCAGGGACAGGAGGTGACAGGGAGGCCAAGAAATGGAAGGGGAGGACAGAAGAGCCAGGTAGATGTGCAAAGAAAGAAAACTGGGGACAGAGGAGGATGGAGAGACAAGGAGAGGAAAAGGGTGAGACTAGTAGAGGAAAATGAGGTGAAATTACTGAATTTGGTTATTTTTATCTGCTGTGCTTCAGTCAAACCCTCAGGAAAAAAGTACTTAGGTGACCACTTGGATGGCCACCTCCCTCCAGTCCAAGTCCTGGGAATTACCTTGGAGCTGCTGGATCTGCTTGGTGAACACCTCTGCCTGCTGGGCGCTGGCTAGCCGTTCATCCTCCAGGAGCCCTGCAGGGAGAGGGGCACCAGTGTCAAGCTCGGATCCAGGGGAGTGCAGAGCCTCTGGGCCCGGGCACTGGGCCCTGGCCCAGGCACTCACCCTGTAGCTCCAAGGAGTCATCCTCATGCTGCCCTGCCAGTTCCCGGGTCTCCTCCAGTTCTGCCACCAGCTGCAGCACCTGAGCCCGCAGCTCCTCCAGCTCTGTCTCCGTGAGGCTCAGTCCCCGGTGCTTGTTGACTGACAGAGAGCCAACACTGCCACCTTTCTGCACTTGTTCTTCTTCTTCTTCCACCTCTTCTTCCTCCTCTTCCTCTTCCTCTTCCTCCTCATAGAGAGCTGGGAGTAACACCTCCCCTAGGAGACACAGCCATCCCACCAAGGAGTCAGCATCAACTTCCTTTCTGCCGTCCTTCCAGGGCCCTCAAACTCACTATGCCAGGGCAGAGATGACATACTAGTGCCACCTGGTGTCCCCCAAGGAGCCCCGGGGCAAGACCTGTACTCAAGATGAGTCCTCAGGTGTGAGAGTCAAGTTGAGAAGCAGCCCCTCCACCTCCCAGGCCCTTCCTGGACCAATGTTGCACTTGGTAGCCTCCTATCACTGCCTGTGGGCAGGCTGGTGCCCGCTCAGCCATGAGACACTTGCACAGGATTACCTGCTTCTTCTAGGCTGGCCTCTGAGTAGCAGGACAAGTAGTCAAGAAAGGAGACAGTGAGCGGATCTTTCGGTCAAATGGGGTAACAGTTACAGTTTGGAGATTTCTTGAAAGTTAAAAAACAAAACAAAACTGACCAGGCATGCTGGCTCATGCCTGTAATCCTAGCACTTTGGGAGGCTGAGGTGGGTGGATTACTTGAGGCCAGGAGTTCCAAACCAGCCCGGTCAACATGGTGAAACCCCTTCTCTACTAAAAATACAAAAAAATTAGCTGGGCGTGGTAGTACACGCCTGTAATCCCAGCTACTTGGGAGGCTAAGGCAGGAGAATCGCTTGAACCTGGGAACTGGAGGTTGCAGTGAGGCGAGATCGAGCCACTGGCACTCCAGCCTGGGCAACAGAGTGAGTCTCCGTCTCAAACAAACAAACAAACAAAAACAACCAAACAAAAACTATCCAGGTGGCTTGTGAAAAATCAGCCTTTCCATAATAAGAAAACATTGCCCGTCAGCAGGTAGAGAAAGAAAATATCTGATTGTAGAGGTTTCATTGGACAAACTCGGGCGCCCTTTCAAATGTATATTATTAAATACCTGTTTGAAATTTTCTACAAGGTCCACCTTGTTTTTCCCTGCTGCATGTCACAAGGTCTCCTCTCCCCTAGCTGAGCCATATGAGGCCCCTCCTACTCTGCTGACCACAAAGTAGATTTCAGGGGAAGTTTTAGGCTGTACTTGTGTGTAAAAGAAAGCCTACCATTTTAATGCATTAAAAAAACTGGGGTTTGGTGCTGGCCCCCAGCCTCTGGTTGTGAGCACCCGCTCCTTTACTGCAACGCAGTCCCTATAAATAGCAAAATGTTGTCTGGATGGTGATTGTTTGCTTTGTTTTAAAATTCTGAATCTCTGGTCTTACTTTATCTAATATCAGCAGCCTTAGGTTCAACTGGGACCCTTCGTGCCATCTGTCCCCCTTAGGGGGAGCAGGTTTGCCCATACTGAATGTGCAACGTGCAACACTTCACAGGAAGTACTGGCAAATGGACCAGCGTCCTTCCAGGGGCCTGGTGTTGGCAGCAACTGCCAAGTCACATGGGTGTGGTGGGGATACACGTGTGTTGGGAGGATGGCCTCACGCGCCCCCTCCTAGGCTCTCTCTTTCAGGCAATAAGGTATCCTAAAGAACCAAAGCCACAGGCTTCCATTCGAAGTTAATGTTGGTGGCCCCAGAAAGACAATTCACATGCCCAGTTCCTTGCTTTTTAAAATAAGAGACAGCTTGGGATCTGGGTCGGCAGGCAGTGAGGACAAACCCCCTGCTGAAAGGCTGCTTCAAAGCTCTGTCCAACAAGGCCTCTTTCTCTGTCTGGCAGCTCCCTCGGGACACATAACCTGGTTAGCTGGGGGGTGATTGGGGTCCCGAAGGGATGCATCCTGAACTTCTGTCAAAGCCTGAGCCCTGGGAAGGGCTGGAGCTCTGAGCTGCAGGAAGAGGGGCTAAGATGAACTGAGGGAAGGGCTGTGTCCTGGCTCAGAGGCCTGGGGGTCAGAGGGAGGAAAGAAGGGAATTAAGGGAGGAGGGGAGGGGAAAGAAAGAAGCCTTTTGGGAAAACTCACCCTCCATAGCTTGCATCCCCCGTCGTTCCAGGGACCCCCAGCGTTGGCCCTTCTTCCTCTCACAGCCCTCGGAAGCCTCATAGGAGCCTAGAGTGGTCACTGTGGGTCCTGAGAGCAGGGAGAAAGGAGGGGCTGGGGGGTGGGGGGCTGGCTGCGGGCTGGGGTGCAGAGGAAAGAAGGGGACATGTCTTCCAGCTCCTCGAGGCTCTGGGATCTGTAATCCCAGTGGAGGTGCCTGACTCACTCTGGCGGCTCTGCGACTCCTCTCTCTCGGCCACCTCTCAGCCCTGCCTCCCAGCCTCCTCAGAACCCGCTGTTCCAGGACCCTCTTGCTTGCACAGAAAGAAAGAGGGGGTGTGCGTATTTAGTCCGGGGGGACAGGGAGGAGAGGGCCAAGACTGAAAGAGGGCGGGAGCCAGTGAAGAAGAGGCTGAAAGGCTGAGGTGGCCTACAGATGGAGGGAGGGAGGAGTGGGGGGCGTGCGGGAAGGGGTAGGGCTGCGACCGCTCCCCTCCCCTCTCCTCCCATTCTCTCGCTGGACCTTGCCCACCCCACCCTCGCCCCGCGCTCAGGAGTCTCCGGGGCTGCAGGAGGTGTAGGGTCTGCAGTCCCGAAGGCTGGAAGCACCGTCGGACTGAAGTGGAGAGACGCGCTGGGGAGGGACCACCAGGCAGGATGCGGCCGGTGCGCGGAAGCCTCAGTCCCAGGCCGGAAGGATGGAGACCGGGCCCCGGTGGAGGCCAGGATGGAGGGAGGAAGACTTTGGGCGGAGAAAGGGGAGCCGCGGAGGCCGGGAGCACCTGGGGGTCTGGAAGGAGGAGGGATGGAGGAGAGAAAGGAGGGGCGGTAGACAGGTGACGGAGGGGCGGCTCTGACCTGGGCCCGGGCAGCTCCAGCCCGCGGCTCCCGCGCCGGCTCCGGCGCCCGCCTCCATGACCGCTCCCGCCGCCGCCTTCCGCCTCCCTGAGCAGAAGCCGCAGCCGCGAGCCCGGGGACCCGAGCCGGGTGCGCAGGGAGGGAGGGAGGGCGGACGAGGGGGCGGGGCCTGGCCGGGCCTCCTGACACCGCCCCCCGCCGCTCGCCGCCGCCCGGAAGCCCTCCCAGCACTCGGGAGCTCCGAGCCCGTGCAGGGGGCGGCGCGGGAGGGTGAGCGCGACCCCGGATACGCCCCAAGGCTCTCCCCTAGAGAGCGCGGGGAGCCGCGGGGCCCGGACAGCGTCAGGAGCTCCTAGGCTTATGGCTGCCCCAAGAGGGAGGAGCGAGATCCCCTGGTTCTGGCGGCGGGTCCCCCCGGGGTCTGCTGTGCCCAGGGACCCTTCTGCACCAGGTGTCAGGGCCCGGTCATGCTCAGCAATGGGGACGGCAAAGGACGAGGTGGGACTGTTTCCTCCAAAAGCGCAGACACGCGCGCCCCTCCTTCCCTCCCTCCCCCGCCCGGCCGGCGCCCCCACCTAGCAGTCCGCGCTGACTCCGGCCCCAGGCCCTGCCCACCCCTGCCCGGTGGCCCCTCGGCAGCCTGGGGGCCGGAGGAGGGAAGTCGAGGCCCGGATGGGCGAACGGCAGGGCCCTGACCTCTCCGCTTTCCGCGACCCCCCACCGAGCCAGGGCCAAGGACCCTCTTAGGAGGAGCCCTCCGGTGGCCCCATCAAGCCTCAGGGCCGGAAGACCCCCTCTCCTCCGCCCTGTCTTCCCTTCCGGTCCCACACCCGGTGGGCTGCGAGCCACGCCCCCACAGTAGCCCGCTCAGAGTGGGCACGACTGATGTTCACTCTCGTGGAAGGGAGATTTGGAAGCCCAGGGGGCTTATTTCACGTCTTCAACCATTCGTTTATTCAGGCTATGACTACTGGGTGCCGGCTCTTGAAGAGGCAGTTCTCACATCTCGGCAGGTCTCGGCAAGGATAGAAGTGGGCACAGTTGGGAACAGGGGCTCCCCAGCACATCCAGGAAATGGCTGGAAGATTCCTAAGCCAGGGACACACGCGGATCCCCTCTCTGGCACATCCACTCACAGGTCGAGGGCTAGTATTGTCTGCGTTCCCCCCGCTGCAGGAAAGGGATCCGGATCCAGACCGCAACAGAGGGTTCTTGAATCTCACGCAAGAAAGAATTCAGGGAGGTCCATAGGATAAACTAAAAGCAAGTTTATTAGGAAAGTAAAGGAATAAAGAATGGCTACTCCATAGACAGAGCAGCCCCAAGGGCTGCTTTTTTTGGTTATTTCTTGATGATATGCTAAACAAGGGGTGGTTTATTCCTGACACCCCCTTTCAGACAATGTAGGGTAACTTTCTGATGTTGCCATGGCATTTGTAAACTGTCATGGCACTGGTGGGAGTGTAACAGTGTGAGGATTACTAGAGGTCACTCTCACTGCCATCTTGGTTTTAGTGGGTTTTGGCCGGCTTCTTTACTGCAAGGTGTTTTATCAGCAAGGTCTTTATGACCTGTGTCTTGTGCCAACCTCCTATCTCATCCTGTGACTTAGAATTCCTTAAACGTCTGGGAATGCAGCCCAGTAGGTCTCAGCCTCATTTTACCCAGCTTCTATTCAAGATGGAGTTGCTCTGGCTCAAATGTCTCTGACATCCCACAGGCTCCCACGTCCACAAGCCATCCCTGTTCCACGGGAAGGAAGCCCTTCTTTGCCTGGACTTCCCCCTCCTTTTCAGCTGGGGGTCACCTCCAGGTGGCCTTCTCTGACTGGCACCCCATCCCTGCCCCACTAGGCGCTTTTGTGGTGCTCGCCCCTATTTGTCTGTAACAGCACCAGGCCCTCCGGGTTGTCCGGGCTCTGCCCAGTTTCCTGAAGGTTAGGGGGATCTTAGTTATCTTTGTATTTCCAGCATCTGACAGAGTTTCTGACACAGGATAAATGAGTTAAAGGTCAATCTCCCAGCTACCCAGTTAATGCCCTGTCTTATCATTTAACATGATTTCATATTTGTGGTGTTAAATGTTGCCTATTAATGATGATGTTGCCCATAAGTCTCTCTCCCTCCCCCAACTCCTTGCTCCTTTTTTCTTCCTCTGCCTCTCTCATTATCTCAGCAGAGAGATGATGAGCAGAGATCAAGAATGTTTTCTTTGCTCCCAGATGACAAGATTCTACTCCAGATCCTGTGGCCAAGGTGACACAGTTGTGGGGAAAGTTGAACAAGCCCACCCAGACCCCTTCTGCAGAGGGTTTACTGCAGACGCCAAGCCTGTCCAGATTTGGGGAGCAGAGCATTTGTCAGGGGTGGTAGAAAGGGGCTGCACTGGGGGCTTGAGGGATGCAGTGCTCTGGGAACTGGCAAAGACTAGTTCTGGAAGCTTACTGGCTGTTCTTTCTGCCCAGCGCAGCTCCTCCTGGTTCTGCCTCCGCCAGCAGGGCCACGTTAGCGGTTGGCCTTGACTGCTGACCTCTTGGTGAATGTAGGGAGGCACAGCAGGGAAATTGTCGATGGTGACATCCAGGGTTCAAGCTCTCCTCAGGGAGCTCTGATCCTGAGTATTAGGACTAATCTCTCCCTGGCTCCTGGCATGCAGGTCACCTTTCACCCTTGATTTGGGAGAACATTTAAGAGAGACCTGAACCAGTCTATTTTCAGGAGCCAAACTTGGTCAAACCCTGGCCAGACCAGTACTGGGTTGAGGGCGGAGGGAGGCAGTTAAAAGGCGGGAGAAAAGAGCTTAAGAGATATGAGGGAGGTGGGCTGTGGTCCAGAAATGCATCTCTGAGGGGCCAGGAGTGGTGGGCATGTCAGCCAGGTGATCAACCTAGGGGGATGATCTGAATTAATCCCTGTAATCCCTGGACTCAGGGCTCAGCCTCCCTCCTAATCCCATCCCAGGAGATCATCCTCTTTGAGGACTGATGTAGCCATTTATCCCCCTTTACCCTTATTTCTAAATGCCTAGATCCTTTCATTAAAAAGAAAAAAAATATGAGTATTTGAAACATGCAGAAAAGTATGGTACAGAGAATAACGTAACAAATAACCATGCACACAGAACTGAAATCCTACAACCAGTCAGATCTTGCCACATTTGATTCAAGGTAGCCCTCTATTTATGGTTTTCCAGTTTTACCTGTATGTATGTTTTACCTTTTATGAATGTGTCTACCAACAATACATAATTGCGACTTGTGTGTTTTAGAAATTTATGTAAATAGTGTTATATTGTACACATTTTTCTGCAAACTTTTTTTGTTTTTTTTTTTTTTTGCATTTATCCATGTTGTTTCATATAGCTCCAGTTTATGAATTTTAACTACTGAAAACTCTTTCATTGCTTGAATTCACTGCAATTTATCCATTTTTCGGCTGATTGACATTTTGACTGTTTCCAGTTTTCCATATTAAAAACAGTGCTGCACTTGACAATTTCATGCATTCTCCTAGGATGGATACCTAGAAGTGGAATTTCTGGGTCATAGAGTAGGTGCATCTTAAACTTCACTAGCCGTTGCCAAATTGCTCTATTGTGTAGTTAGACCAATTTAAACACCACTGACAGTGGCTTTAATTTATCCTCTGGCCCCCACTGATTTGGAAGTTACACATTCTATTTCTACTCTTTCAGTGATTACCTCTTTATATATTTCTAAACATTCTTACTTAGCTCTACAGTGAATCAATATCACTATACTTTTTCTGAATAATAGATCTTAGAACATGTTAACTCTGTTCTTCTTTCTCCACCATCTCCCATATTTCTATCTAGTATTTTAGTTTCCCCTTCTTTCTAACCCCAGGAAGTGTCATCCTCACCATTATCACCACCACCACCATCTTTATCATCATCATCTGTCTCAAGGCTTGTTTAGATCTACTAACATATTTATAAATTTCTCTGCTCACCATTCCTTCTTATTTCAGTTTCCTTCTTATAAAATCTACCCTTTTGTGGCATTTCAGTGTAAGTCTTTGAGGGGTTAGCATTCTCAGTTAATGTCTTAAAATGTCTTTATTTCATGCCCTTTTAATGAAAATTTAGTAGGCATCAAATTCTGAATGACAGTTATTTTCTCTTAGCCTTTTGAAGATATTTTTTCCCTGTAATCTTTTGCTGCTAATAAGTGACAAAGATTTTTTTCCATAATTTTAAAAAATAAGTATTTTCTTTTCTTTTTTTTCTTTTCTTTTTTGAGAAGGAGTCTCACTCTGTTGCCCAGATTGGAGTGCAGTGGCGTGATCTCAGCTCACTGCAACCTCTGCCTCTCGGGTTCAAGCGATTCTTCAGTCTCAGCCTCCCAAGTAGCTGGGATTACAGGTGGGCACCACCACACCCAGCTAATTTTTGTATTTTTAATAGAGACAGGGTTTCACCGTGTTGGCCAGGCTGGTCTTGAACTCCTGACCTAAGGTGATCCACCCACCTCAGCCTCCCAAAGTGCTGGGATTACAGGCATGAGCCACCACGCCTGGTCAAAAAAATGTCTTTTCTATAATCTTTTTTTTTCCATTCTTTTTTTTCCCTTATAATTAATCTCCTGTTGCTAGAAGTGAGCTGCAAATATAATTGTTATCTTTGTAGGCAGACAGGCATTTTTATTTCTGGTTATTTTAAGGTTTTTCTCAGGTGTGGTGGCTCATGTCTATAATCCTAGTGCCTTGGGAAGATGGCCTGAGCCCAGGAGTTTGAGATCAGCCTGGGTGACATGGCAAGACTCTGTCTCTATAAAAATTAAAAAATAACTCCAGCCTGGGTGACAAAGCAAGACTCCATCTCAAAATAAATAAACAAATAATTAGGTGGACATGACAGCACACACCTGTGGTTCTACCTGCTCAGGAGGCTGAGGTGGAAGGATTGCTTGGGCCTAGGAGTTTGAGGCTTCAGTGAGCTATGATCACACCACCGCACTCCAGCCTGGGCAATAGAGTGAGACCCTGTCTCAAAAAAAAAAGACTTTTCTCTTTCTTCAGTATCCTGCAGTTTCTCCACAGTGTGTTTCAGAGCTCAGGACTCTTCAACCTGAGAACTGTGTCTTTCTTCCATTAAAATTTTCAACCATTATCTATTGGAATATTATATTTTCCCCATTCTCTCAGTCACATTCAGGAACTCCTATTAGATATATATTAGTCTGTCTCATTATTTCCCTCCTGTTTTTTAGCTATTCTTTCATATTTTCTATCTTATCACTTTCCCACTTTTTCATATTTTGAATTATTTCATCAGCTCTTTTCCAGTTCACTTATTCTCTCTTTGCCTGAGTCTAATAATCTACTGTTTAATGCATCACTGAGTTTTTAATGTCTTCTTTGTTATTAAGTATAATTTTCCAGTGCTAAGAGTCGTTAATTTCAATGTTTATGTCTTTCATTTCTTCATGTTGTGTTTGATTTTTTTCCCTATGGTTTATTTCCTTGTCTTTAATACTTCTACATATATTTATTATATAATGTTTTTCATGTTGTTCTATCATGTGTAGTTCTTGGAGTGCTCTCTTGTTTGCTGTGTCCACCAACACTTCCTTATGATGAATTGCTTCCTTGTCTAGTTTTGTTTCTTCTCAGCTGAACCTGTGGCTAGAATCACCCGAAAAGCAGGAACTCCACAAGGGAGTGCCCCAAACTGTTCTGAAATGGGGCTGGTTGAGATTCCAAAGACACCAAGCAATGAACATCAGGGGATTGGTCCAAAGCATTTATTAGGGGAATGTACATAGAAAGTGAGCTGCCGTGGATCCTCGGGGTAGAGAGCGAGACAAGGGATGTTCTGCCTAGGTGTGTCCACAATGAGGGAGTTTAAATGAGGTTTATGAAGTTTAAATGAGGGTTTCAGGAATTTGGCTGGGGACAGGGCTAGCTTCTATATGTTTAGCAACATGGTTGGTCTTTCAGTGTTTTCAGCAACAACCTAAACACCTTTATCAGTGCCTGTGAATGTTCAAGGCCCTAGCTTGGGTTCAAGCCTATAGGGGAAAACATTTCAGCTGGCTGGATCACAGAGCACTTAAAGCACTCTGTATCTCTCAGTCTGGACAGAGGGAAAAGCAGGGAAAGTTTATAATATTTTATATTATACAGGTTCATAATTTTTATTGTGAGCTCTTCTTCAGCACATCTTGGGTTTTTGTCATTTCGATGGGTTGGTTGGTTGGTTTGTTTTGGTGGGAGTCCTATATGCCCTGGTTATATGAAAACAGTCTTATAGAACTCTTTTTTGCTTCTGTGTGGCTGTGTGGTATTCCTAAGGATTTCAAGGGTCATAAACCAGGTTTATATTTAATTTCTCGCTTGGATTCAGCACCATGAAGACATAAATCCAGATACAGTACAAGCACTTGGTCAGACTTAGAACATCAATTTCTCAGGGTTGACTTGTATTTCCACCCCTTTTCTTGCTTCCTTGCTGGTTTTTAGTTCTCTTTTCTTTTCTTTTTCTTTCTCTTTCTTTTCAGAGACAGGGTCTGGCTCTGTTGCCCAGGCTGGAGTGCAGTGATGTGATCATGGCTTATTGTAGCCTCAACCTCCCAGGCTCAAGCGATCCTCCCACCTCAGCCTCCTAAGTAGCTGGGACTGCAGGTGCACACCACCACACCTGGCTAATTTTTTAAATTTATTTTTTGTAGAGAAGGGGTTTTGCTATGTTGCCCAGGCTGGTATCAAACTCGTAGGCTCAAGTGAGCACCCCACCTCAGCCTCCCAAAATGTTGGGATTGCAGGTGTGAGCCACTGTGCTCAGCCTTTAATCTTCTTTTCACGAACAAGACGGAGCTTTTATATTCTGAGCTTTATGCAGGGGGTTCAGCTTTAGCTCCTTGCCTCTGGTAGGTGAGGCCACATATCCTACAATTGGAAGCATTGAGACACTCCAGATCTTGGGTGTCTATCTTATCTGTGTATGACATCCACAATAGGCCGTTGTGATATCCTTCCCCCTGCCCCCCCGCCTTTTTGTTTTGTTTTGTTTTGTTTTCATTATTTATTTGTTTGTTTGTTTGAGATGGAGTCCCGCTCTGTTGCCCAGGCTGGAGTGCAATGGTGCCATCTTGGCTCACTGCAACCTCCGCCTCCAGGTTCAAGCGATTCTCCTGCCTCAGCCTCCCAAGTAGCTGGGATTACAGGTGCTCACCACCACGCCCAGCTAATTTTTATATTTTTAGTAGAGATGGGGTTTCACCTTGTTGGTCAGGCTGGTCTCGAACTCCTGACCTCAGGTGATCCACCCGCCTCGACCTCCCAAAGTGCTGGGATTACAGGTGAGAGCCACCGCGCCCGGCTTTTTTTTTTTGTTTGTTTGTTTTTACATTCCTTCTTTAATCCTGATAGCTGATAATTTCCTTTATTAAAAAAAAAAGTTGGGATTGTCCAATTTTAATTTTTGAATTCTATTTTATCCAACATCCCTGTGCGTGTTTGGGGGCACTGGATGAGGGGGTAGCTACCTTAGTCCAGTCTTTCATGTTGCCAGAAGTTCCCCTTTAGATTCTCTTTATCTGTAATACGATTCCTAACAATCCCTATATCTCTAGGGTGCATTACAGTTTCTGATTTCATCCTTCCAACAACTCTGAGAAATAAGTTTTGAGACTCAGAACTGTAACTGTCGTCCTAGCTTTTGGACTTTGAATCCAGTGCATTTCATAGCTTAGGTTTTATGTTGAGAGCTTGCCTGATCCTGACCTCCAGCTCTGGCCCAGCCCGCTCCTTGTCCTGATCTCTCTGACAGGCTGTCTTTCTGCCAAATAAAATGCAGGCCAGCCAGATGCTCTGCCAGTCCACTCTTGGTCAGTTTGGCCCCAGTGGAAATAATGGGGTACATATAGGCCATGGCTAATGGGGGGACTGACTGCCAGTTTGTCCTCAGGGTCCTTTAGCCACACACCATGAGGCTACCTTTTTGCTTCCATCCTAGAAGGGGCAGGCAGTGTATGTGTACGTGGCAGCAGAGAAGGGACAGAAAAAGTAGGGCTCGTCCGGGATTTGAACCCGGGACCTCTCGCACCCTAAGCGAGAATCATACCCCTAGACCAACGAGCCACTGGTAGTTATCTCTTGCCAGATGTGCTCTCCCTGCCACATCAGCAGCAGCCACAGCAGCAGTCTGTAGTTCTTAGAACGGGCCTCTCTCCTCCCCCTTCCAGGCTGGCTTCCAGCCCAGGCCACTGTGCTCCAGCAGGCATTGCTCCTGAGTTCTCTCCTCCTCCTCCGTAGCTCATTGCGGAGCCACACGGATGCTCCTCTGCCTGGGCCTCCAGGCAGGGTCTATTCTTCCCCGTGACCTGCCAGTTACCCCGCCAGGACTCCCAAGCAGAGTTCACGGAGGAGCTGCTGGGGAAGAGGCCAGGATCCAGCAACCACCACTTCCGTGGGGACCACCAGGGCTGGTGAGCCCATCTGGGGTCTCTTGCACTCAATTGAGAACTACTCTTCTTTCTTACTTCATGATCAGACCACCAGAAAAGCATTCTCCAAACCCATTAGACTCCCAGGTGAGGACCCAGAAGAATGTCCCAGCTTACTCTTGACTAGGTGATGTTTGCTAAATTACGCAGTTCCTTCATCTGCTGGTTGGGGAAGGTAACACCTACCCTGTCTACCTTACAGGGTGAGGATCGCATGAGACAATGTATATGAAAGCACCTTGGGAACTGTAAAGTGCTGTCAAAGGAAACGGGTTACGATGGCAACATGAGGGAGGGGAGAAATACATAGTAGGAAAGCTGGCATTTAATGCTTGCTGTGGGCCAGGCAGTGTGCTCCGTGCTTTACAGATCTTATTTAACCTTCCAGCAACCTTGTGAGAGCAGTATCACCTCACTGTAAAATAAACAATTTGCCTGAATTCAGCTTCTACTTCATGTTTATCTGAATGCTTCAACTTGCCTAAATTCAGCTTATTCACGTTTATCTGAATCCGAAGGCTGTTTTAAATGCAGTACACACTGCTACCCAGACTTTCTAAAAAACCAGAAATGGGGACTATATCTTGTCAATACCCACACGCCCTCCCCCATGGTAGCCTGCCCTGCTCATCCTACCCAGGGAAGCTGCCCAGGAAGAAGCTGCTGACAGCCTAAGGGTGGCCTAGATTGGGAGGTTCCCAAAAAGAGTGAGGGGGGTGATCACACCTCAGAAACTGGGGCCTTCTAGGAGACCCTGGTGGTCTTGGTTGGGCTCTCTGTCTTTTGTGCTTCCACCATCCCTGTACACATCCATCACACCCTGGATTCTTGCTCACTTCCAGAGGGGAGGTCTTTTGTGAGCTGAGAGCTCCACCAGGGCAGATACCTGTTTTATTGGTCTTTGGGTCTTCCCCAGTGTCTGACCCTTGGCAGTACTGCTGACAATACAGACGATTCCCAGGCATTTCTGTGTGCCCAGCCTTGTGTAAGCACTTTACCAGATTAATCCCACTTAATCCTCATAGCAGAACTGTTGTCATAGTCATCACTTAGCACATGTCTGTGGAATGAATGAATGAGTGAAAAAAGAAAATCCAAGAAGTGTGCACAAAAAAATCACTAGTGGCAACAGATATGCGTGAGTCCTCACCACTTGGCTTGAAGTAGAAATGGTAACCCTGGAGAAATCTTCCACACGCCATCCTTTTTTTTTTTTTTTTTTTTTTTTTTGAGACAGAGTCTCACTCGGTCACCCAGGCTGGAGTGCAGTGGCATGATATCAGCTCACTGAAACCTCCGCCTCCTGGATTCAAGCGATTCTCCCACCTCAGCCTCCCAAGTAGCTGGGATTACAGGTGTGAGCCACTGTGCCCAGCCCACACTCCATCCTTTCAAGCAGGATTCCTACTGAACCAATCCCTCCCTTGGATAGGTGGGAAGAATGGCCCTCACTTTAGAGAATACATTGGCCAGCATTCTTTTGTACTCAGGGGCTAAAGTTGTATGATTTCCATCGAAGTGTCTGAACCAGACAACTGGCTCTGCTAACTAATCATGGCCAGAGAGGAAAGCAACAGCTCATCTATTCTCAAACCAAAGAGACTTTTTTGGGTTGCCGTTCCCCAGCTTTAAACTGACTTATAAATAAAAGCGCATGCAACATGTCCTTCCATTACCTCAGCACACATTCCCTAAATTGTTCCTCTTGGTGAGCGTGCCAGAGAGTGATGCTGCTCAAAGCTAGGGCTCCTAGGGGAACTTTGCTGAAGATGTTTCAGAGCTGAGACCAGGGTTGGGTCCTAGCCAGTGCTTCTCTCAGAGGTGCTGTTGGAATTTGGGGCAGGATCATTCTTCTTTGTGTGGCCGATCTGGAGCTGCATCCTGTCCACTGAATACCAGTAATTCCTTCTCCACTATTGTGATGGCCATGAAACACCCCGCATGCTTCCAAAAGCCTCCTAGATGGTGGAGTCGGTGGAGAGGAGCATGGCCCTGGTGGAAATTCACTGGTACATACCTTAAATTTGCTTCCAGGCTAAAATCACTGTGTCCTTCATCTATGCAGTAGGACTTCAGGCCGTCAGTTGCTCCTTTGTCTCTTAGGGAGAATCATGGCCCTCCCTCCAGGAGCTTCCTCACTCTCTTCCTAAGTGTGGGGATGGCTTTTAGGCAGATCCTGAGTCCTCATTTTCACAAGAGCATGTCAGTTCTTCCCTTATCACTTGTCTGGAGAGCCTTATGGGTTAGTATTTAACAGACAACATTGTCACACACATCATCTCAAGCTCACTGTCACCTCCTATATATATAAAAAACAGCAAGAAGCTACCACTGGTTGCCTCTGAGAAGGTAACTGAGTAGTTGGGAGGCTGGGTGGAAAGGAAACTTCTTTTTCTCTGAATATTCTTCTTCCTTTTTTTTTTTTTTTTTTTTTTTGAGATAGAGTCTCACTCTGTCCGCCAGGCTGGAGTGCAGTGGTGAGATCTCGGCTCACTGCAACCTCCGTCTCCTGGGCTCAAGCAATTCTCCTGCCTCAGCCTTTCAGTAGCTTGGATTACAGGCATGTGTCACCATGCCCAGCTAATTTTTGTATTTTTAGTAGAGACGGGGTTTCACTATGTTGGCCAGGCTGGTCTTGAACTCCTGACCTCAGGTAATCCACCTGCCTCGGCCTCCCAAAGTGCTGGGATTACAGGCGTGAGCCACTGCGCCTGGCCATATATATATGCGGCCACACACATATATATATGGAAAAACAAATTTTCACTTGATTGTATTATATTGGGTTCTGAGCATTTGTAAGTCTAAATCTAAATCAATGGTTGGATCTCAGCTGGAGGGGAGGGGAGTGGGGAAGGGTTTTGTCTCTCAGGAGGCATTTGACAATGTCGGGAGACATTTTTGGTTATCATGACTGGGCTGGTAGTGTTGATTTTGGCATCTAGAGGAGAGGGACACTGTTCAACATCCTACAATGCACAGGACAGCCCCCAGACAAAGAATTATCTGCAATGTCAATAGTGCCAACGTTGAGAAATCCTGGTCTAAGTGTATTTCATGTGATCTTCTGTAAAGCCTTAGTGTATTAACATGTTCTAAATTAATAAGGTGATTTTCAGCCTGGGAAGAGCACTGTATAACTAAATGCACTTAAGATGCCTCTAGTTTTTATTTTTTATTTTATTTTGTTTTTTGGTTTTGAGACACAGTCCCGCTCTGTTGCCCAGGCTGGAGGGCAGCAGCACAATCTCAGCTCACCGCAACCTCTGCCTCCTGGGTTCAAGCGATTCTCCTACCTCAGCCTCCCAAATAGCTGGGACTATACAGGAGTGCGCCACCATGCCCAGCAAATTTTTGTATTTTTTGGTAGAGACAGGGTTTCACCATGTTGGCCAGGTTGGTGAACACCTGACCTCAAGTGATCTGCCCACCTTGGCCTCCAAAAGTGGTGGGATTACAGGTGTGAGCCACCGTGCCCAGTCTGCCTCCAGTTTTTCTATTTTCTCTTCCTCCTTTACCCCATGCCCCTTCCTCAGAAGCTTGCCTCCTCCTACTCCGTGGCCTCCATGACTTTGGAGAATTTTTGTCCATGGCTTGAGCACCGGTAAGACTTTGCGCTTGGGTGAGGCTCTTTTTGGTCTGAGCCCCTCAGGGATTGGGTTGCCTCCAGCTTGGGCCCATTGTCTCCCTCTGCTGTTGGGGGAACAGGGTGGGAGGGCACTGTCTGGGAAGGCGTGAGGACAGTATTAGGAGGGGCCAAAGATGTGGCCACCTAGCCTTGTACACTGGATGTAAAAGGGCCCGGGGTGTCTTGCACCCTCGCCATTTAGCCTCCCATCAGAAATGTTTGCAGAGGTGGGCACCTCAGCAGAGCCCAGCGGACAGTGGAGGCTGGCTTGTTCCACGCAGGCCAGGCTCACACACAGTCCATGTGCCCTGCTCAGGGATAGGCACCTTAAGGTGACCTCTGGCCCTGGTCCTGAAGTCCTGCCCAGGGCAACGGATGAGCAGCTCTGCTCATCTGTACAAGGCTAGGTGGCCACATCTTTGGCCCCTCCTAATACTGTCCTCACACCTTCCCAGACAGTGCCCTCCCACCCTGTTCCCCCCATGACTCAGGCAATCTGACTGGACCCTTAGCTGGCTCTCCCCAGTAACCTCCACCAGGACTCCCACCTGCGGCCGAGTGTTTGTGTGGGATGTGCATGTGTGCGCATGCACATGAGAGTGGCGGTCTTTCGGAAATAATTAAGTCAGCTGGGCACAGTGGCTCATGCCTGTAATCCCAGCACTTCGGGAGGCCGAGGTGGTCAGATCACCTGAGGTCAGGAGTTTGAGAACAGCCTGGCCAAAATGGTGAAACCCTGTCTCTACTAAAAATGCAAAAATTAGCTGGGCATGGTGGCACAGACCTGTAATCCCAGCTACATGGGAGACTGAGGCAAGAGAATCACTTGAACCCAGGAGATGGAGGTTGCAGTGACCTGAGATTGGCTCAGATCCTACTGAGGAGATGCTGGAGACAGGAGAGAACTATTTTGTTTTGCTTCAGGTTTCATTGATTTTTCTCCATTCTTTATTCATTTTTAATTTCAATGTTTTCTGCTCTGCTTTTTAGTATCTGCCCCTATTTATTTTAGATTTGATTCACCCTTTCAGCTTCTCAAGGTGAAAGTTTAAATTTTAAACATTTATTGTCTAGTATAAATACTTAAAGCTATAAATTTTTCTCTAAGTACTGCTTTAGCTGACTCCTTCAATTTCTAATACTTTTTTGTTGTTATTCAGCTGAAATTCTTTCAGTTTTTCCTTATGATTTCTCTTTTGACTCACAGGATATTTAGATGTATATTGCTTATTCATAAGTGTTTGGGGGATTTTCCAGATATCTTTTTGTTATTGATCTATCTGTAAGTTCACTGATCCTTTCTTCTGCTGTCCAATCTGCTGTTCAGCCATCTAGTAAATTCTTCATTTGACATGTTGTAGTTTTCAGTTCTGGAATTTCCATTTGGCTATTTTATTTTTCCCATTCTTCTGCTGAGATCCATTAACTCACGATGATCATTTTTTTCCTTCCAGTTCTTGAATATATTTATATCGCTGTTTGAAGTTTTTCCTGCTGGTGCCAACTTCTTGGGTCATCTCAGGTTCTGTTTCTATTGCTTGCTTTTTCTTTTGGCTATGACTCATATTTTCCTGTGGGTTTTTTTTTTCTTTCACACGCCTTTTAATTTTTCATTGTATATTAGACATTGTAGATAGTGAACTTTAGAAACTGGGTTATCTTCCATTGAGGGGTGTTGATTTTTGTTCTAATAAGCAATTAACTTACTAGTTGATCACCTTGAACCCGCTGAGGCTTGGTTTTATCTTTTGCTAGTATGAGTCAGCTTTGGCTTTGACCTTACTCTCAGAACAAATATTTAGTCCTGGGATATAGATTTTAGCTCTATGGTGTGGCCTTTTGGGAGTTTCAAGTAGAAAGCCCTAAGTGTTTACCCAGACCCTCTGACTTGGGATTCAAATTCAAACTCTTTCTCTGCTACAGTGGGTAACAGTCAAAATCTGCTTAGCTCTTTCAGACCTCCAGTGGTTGTCTTTTACTGGGCTCTTGGAAATTCCTCCATCCACAGTTCAGCAGTCAGCCTATGATTTGAGGGGAGTTTATATGCAGATTTAAAGACTTTGCCTTCTGTGGCTTCTTTCATTCCAGGAAATCCACCTTCAGCTGTTCTGGAGTCCCAAACTGTCCTCTGTCTCCTGTCCTCTGTCCTCTGACTCTTCAAGCCAAAAAAGGCTGGGGCTTTCTGCTCAAGTTCTAGCTATCCTGTGCCATTTATACTCGGGAGTACACTCAGGGAAAAAAAAAAACAACAATGTAGATGGTTCTTTTCATTGAAGAGTTGAGTTCCTTTCAGTTTCTGCCTGCTTTGGATACTTTAGGTGTTTTCAAAAAGTTGTTTTTCATATTGTGTCCAGTTTACAATTTTTTTGCCTAAGGGGGCATTCATCTAATAAACTATTCTGCCATTACTGGACCATCCTTTCACTTTTAAACTTACTTATACCTAAAGTGTGTCACTTTTAACTCATCTATATATATAGTCTCGCTCTGTCCCACAGGCTGGAGTGCAGTGGCGTGATCTCGGCTCACTGCAGGCTCCGCCTCCCGGGTTCACGCCATTCTCCTGCCTCAGCCTCCCAAGTAGCTGGGACTACAGGCGCCCACCACCACACCCAGCTAATTTTTTGTATTTTTAGTAGAGACGGGGTTTCACCGTTAGCCAGGATGGTCTCGATCTCCTGACCTTGTGATCCACCCATCTCAGCCTCCCAAAGTGCTGGGATTACAGGCTTGAGCCACCACGCCCGGCCAACTCATCTATATATTTATGATCTGCTGAGGTGGAAAAGATTCATTCATAAAGCCTAAAGTGTAGTACTGAGTACAAGTGCAGGTGGAACTTAAAGCAGAGTTGGTGTCACTGGGGTGGGCTGCACAGAAGAGGTGTTTGTGAGGTAGGCTGTGAGGGCTAGATAAGACTTCAATGAACAGACAGGAGGAAGACTGTGGCGACTTGTTGAGCTAAGGGTAGGGGTAGGCATGAACATGGCGTAAGGACAGTGAACAGACCCACCTCCCTGGCTGGAGGTCTGAGTAGGAAAGGCACACTCTTTGAGTAGATTCAACACAAAGAAATGGAGGCAGCCTGGCTCAGGGATGCCCTAGACCTCTAGGCATTGTCAAGTTGCCTAAGTCCTGTTCCATCAAGGCTGTTTACTGATGTGCTTCCAGGGCACTCCCCACTCCCAGCCCTTTCCTGCAGCCCAGGGCTGGTTCCTAGCCTCTCAGCAGACTTAAGATGGGCACCTTCCACAAAGGGGCAGATGAGTTGAGGAAAACTTAACTGATACAGTTGTGCCAGAAGCCAAAATAAGAGGCGTGCCCTTTCTATAGCCCCATTAAAAGAACAAAAAAGTGGAAGCATCTTCAGTGAATATGGGTCAGCACCTCCCAGACCTCAGGGAGTCCACTTCTGTTCATCCCAGCACCCAGCATTGCATATCCAGATTATTTGAGCCCAATCTCTTATCCTCTGAAGAACACAATCGGCTTTGGGGCCACAAAAGGTTTAGGTAGTGGTTTAGGGATTTCTAATCCCAAACTTTGTCCTTGGGAGGTTTAGGATTAGTATTGATCATTCACAGAGCCCAAGTGTTTTTAGAGGAGGGGTTTTGTGGGGTGGGAGGATCACCTATAAGAGGACTCAGAGGGGGGTGTGGGGCATCCATGAGAAAAATGTCGGAGGAAGAGTTTTATCTGTTCAAAAATATCTCTTCAGTGGGGCCGTGGGATGGGCCTCAGTACCACATTGCCCCTGTCTGGGCCTTCTACCTCCAGGCAGCTTTCATGGGCACTGTCTTCCTTATAGGGTTCCCACTCAATGCCATGGTGCTGGTGGCCACACTGCGCTACAAAAAGTTGCGGCAGCCCCTCAACTACATTCTGGTCAACGTGTCCTTCGGAGGCTTCCTCCTCTGCATCTTCTCTGTCTTCCCTGTCTTCGTCGCCAGCTGTAACGGATACTTCGTCTTCGGTCGCCATGTTTGTGCTTTGGAGGGCTTCCTGGGCACTGTAGCAGGTACTGCAGGGGAAAAAGGGGTTAGGGGAAGGCAAAGGTTGCTACTCCACTGGAGGGGGTTCCTAAAGAGGAGTCTGGGGGAAATGAGTCTGGTGCTTTTTAAAATACTGGGGTACAAAGCAACCCAGACTAGAAGTTTGGCTAAAATAGGATGTTTGAGTCTTCACTCCAAATGTCAGTCCAGCCCTGTCTCTCTGTGCTTGCTCCACCCGATCTGTTTGCCACTCTGCCAGCCAGGCTGGGTGGGGCTCTGTCTAGCCCATTATCCTCACATTTCACCACAGGTCTGGTTACAGGATGGTCACTGGCCTTCCTGGCCTTTGAGCGCTACATTGTCATCTGTAAGCCCTTCGGCAACTTCCGCTTCAGCTCCAAGCATGCACTGACGGTGGTCCTGGCTACCTGGACCATTGGTATTGGCGTCTCCATCCCACCCTTCTTTGGCTGGAGCCGGTGAGAGTGCAGGGCAGTGGTGCTGAGTTAACTAGGAGCTCAGGTTGATGTGGGTGGAAAGAGAGCTTGGGTATAACTATTTAGTCTTTGACCTCTACTTTTAAAGAGTTGCAATATGAGGCGAAAGGGCAGTGGGAGACAAGTGCTAACGTTTACTCTGCAGTTGGAATTGCTGTAGCTTCTCCCAGTCAGGACAGAAAACCCCCCTGCTTGAAGCCTTAGGGCATTCCGTGGGTTCTAAGTGGAGAACACAATCCAGGCATCTCAGCTCCCACTGCACTCTTGTGGAGAGTCCAGTGAGCAAGTGTTTGGTCCTTTGCAGGTTCATCCCTGAGGGCCTGCAGTGTTCCTGTGGCCCTGACTGGTACACCGTGGGCACCAAATACCGCAGCGAGTCCTATACGTGGTTCCTCTTCATCTTCTGCTTCATTGTGCCTCTCTCCCTCATCTGCTTCTCCTACACTCAGCTGCTGAGGGCCCTGAAAGCTGTGAGTGGCATTTGATAGTCAGGGAAGAAGGGGTTCGGGGCTCCACATGAGAAGGAAGAGTGCTCTGAAACATAAGATGCCTGGAAATGTCCATAGCCAGAGAGGGTATCTAAAAGCAGCAAAGGAAGTAGGAGGAGGGAGAATGATGGAGATCCAAAGGAACTAGGCCAGGAGATGGGACAGAAAAGAGGCAATCAGAGTGGATGCCCCCTCCCCCATCCCACAGAAAAGCATCCAGAGACCGGGCGCAGTGGCTCACGCCTATAATCCCAGCACTTTGGGAGGCCGAAGCAGACGGATCACCTGAGGTCAATAGTTCCAGACCAGCCTGGCCTACATGGCAAAATGCTAAAATGCGAAAATTAGCTGGGCATGGTGGTGTGTGCTTGTAACCCCAGCTACTCAGGAGGCTGAGACAAAAGAATCACTTGAACCCGGGAGGTGGAGGTTCAGTGAGCCGAGACTGCACCACTGCAACTCCAGCCTGGGCAACAGAGCGAGACTCGGTCTCAAAAAGAAAATTAAAAATTAAAAATTAAAAAAAAAAAAAAAAAGCATCCAGAGGGCCAGGAAAAAGAGAGATGTGATGCTTTCCGTGCTCCACCCCAGGTTGCAGCTCAGCAGCAGGAGTCAGCTACGACCCAGAAGGCTGAACGGGAGGTGAGCCGCATGGTGGTTGTGATGGTAGGATCCTTCTGTGTCTGCTACGTGCCCTACGCGGCCTTCGCCATGTACATGGTCAACAACCGTAACCATGGGCTGGACTTACGGCTTGTCACCATTCCTTCATTCTTCTCCAAGAGTGCTTGCATCTACAATCCCATCATCTACTGCTTCATGAATAAGCAGGTAAAGCTCTTTATTCACATTCCTATGGTCCAGAAGACCCTGGTTCTTTTCTCACCATTGACTTTTAACTCAGAGCACCCTGGACTCTACCCAGGTTTCTAGTAGACGAGGGAAGCCACAAAACCCCCGAGTAGGTTGGGAAGCCTTTGGTAAGCACAGGGAGGAAGGCACGGTTATCAAGACGAGAAAATAGAACCCCGGAGGAAAGAACTTGAGTCAGGAAAATGAAGTTGCTCCAAAGAACAGGATGAATGAAAGCATTTTATTGAAAAACTCGTGCAGCAAACCACCATGGCACACGTTTACCTATGTAACAAACCTGCACATCCTGCACATGTATCCTGGAACTTAAATAAAATTAAAAAAATAAAAATAAAAACTCAGATTCCTCTCAATTTTCAGTCCTTGCATTTAATAATTTCTTAATCATTTCCCTTCCAACTTTTAGCCTGCACGAGCATGTGTGAAGCACAGAAATCATACCACATGCAAAAATCTCTAAAATATCTTATCATCTGAAGGTACTGGGGGATTTCCTATCCCATCTGAAATCCGAGCTAATAAACACCAAACCCTAAGTGGCAAAAACCCTACTTTCAGATGGTATTGTTTCCTCAATCCCAGAGGTAGACTCAAAACTAATTTGAAACCTCCCTGGATAGAAGAGAATTGGCAGTCCTTTCCAGCTGGGAGCACCTGCTAGTAATGGAGGGGCCTCTGCTGACAGTGCTTTTATGAAGCAGGATGGTTTGTGAATTTACCAACAGTGAGGTCTCAGACTTGACCAGTTTAGGATTACCGTAGACCCAGGAGTAGTTCTAGACTGGAATCTAGATAGTTTTCAGGATGGGGAAGATAGATTCAAAACCACCTAAGGGCATTCTGGGTACAAAGCATTGTGCAAGGCTTTGGTGATACAGAGAATAAGGTCTTTTTTCCCATACTTCCTCATCTGCCAAGGTTATCTCCAATTGTACCTTTCTCTCCAGTTCCAAGCTTGCATCATGAAGATGGTGTGTGGGAAGGCCATGACAGATGAATCCGACACATGCAGCTCCCAGAAAACAGAAGTTTCTACTGTCTCGTCTACCCAAGTTGGCCCCAACTGAGGACCCAATATTGGCCTGTTTGCAACAGCTAGAATTAAATTTTACTTTTAAGTAAGTTTCTATTGTCTCCGTCAGAAACCAAACTACTAAAAACACAAAAAAGATGGTAAAAGGAGTGATGGCAGTTTGGGGAGTCAATTTTTCATTTTCTTACTATTGCCTTCTTGCCTACAAAGCTACTGTTTCCACTGGTCTATTTCAGACCACCCAAAGGCCATTTCAACAATCATCAGTTTCTACTCCTAAGTGGCACCATTCACAGCACTTGGAGAACTGATTTCTACATACAAGGCAACCAAAAAGGAATATGCTTTAAGTTTTCAGTGTATGGATACTTTCCTTTTTAGTAACTTTTTTTTTTTTTCCTGCTGGGGATCCATTCTGAGATGATATATGCTGAATTAGAACAAACTTAAGAAAACACTTTAGAAATGGGAGAGACATAAAGAAAAAACAAAACAAAACAAAAAAAAAAACAAAAAAAACTCAGTGGCCCCAAATATGAGTTTGAAAGAACTTTTGGATAACTGCTACAGCTTTGGCAGGAACAGCCATGTCCACAAGCCCCTGAGCAAGCACAAATTATTCCAGGTGCTTCCTCCCCGTTGCATTTGGCTAAACCTTTATATTTGTCTTAAACTGTGTGTTTACTAAAGTTAATAGTTTAATTCTCTCGAGGTTCTCAAAATGAATTTGCATGTTTTAATAACATTTGTAAACAATACCAAAATGTTAAACAAAATTGTTTTACCTTATGCTCTATAGATAAACGTGTGTGTACATTCAGAATCGCTTGTGTTTGGTATCAGATAATTATATAACGAGCAGCAGGTCTCTCCAGTTATACGGCCTAATGGAAGTAAAAAAGGGTTATGGCTGTGGTGAGAAGGATGCTAGAAAATACCAGAAAACAGGGAGAAAAGAATAATCATTTAGGAGAAGGCAGTGCTGTCTCTGAGTTTGGGAGAACTTCGAGGAGAGTTCCCATTCTGACATTTTAGAGCATCCATAATTCTAAGCTAGAGTTCTATTTCTTGGAAAATGAAGGTCATACATACCCCATAATGAATGTAAACAGTTTTATTTAGAAACAGATAGGTACCTGTTCGCATTGCAGAATATAAAACTTGGTTTACACTCTATAAAAAATAACCAATATCCAAATTCAAGAGAGCTAGCATTCACAGAACACACAATATGGGTGTGTAGCTACTGTTCACCAGCCTCAGGCTTGATTTAAACAAACAAACAAAAAAAAAATTTCAAAGGGATCATTCAAGATGACCGTATAATGCTTGCTGCTGTCTTTGCAGATTAAGGTTTGCTTTTCAAGTGCATGATTTTAACATAAGGCCTGGGCTCTCTGCACCTAGTGAGGTGTGAGGCTCTCTTGCCACACAGTTCACACTCTCACTTAACTAAGCCAGAGTTGGTGGCATTATTAAATTATCACTGGTCTTCTTAATAGTAAAAATGGGGAACCCAGAGGGCAGGAAATTTCCATTACCCTATATTGGGGCTAAACTTAAAAGAGTATATCCACTATCAAGAGCTTAGTACAAAGGCTGGGGTGAAGTTACATTATACCTGGCTTTTTACCATACCAGGGAGCCCACCTCAACATGACTGTGGAAGACCAAAGGATATACCTAGGTTCAGATTATAATAAATCACCCAGCACCACCTGAATGTATTATCCACAAAGATATAGCAATAATAAAGGTTATATATACATATATTTATCTTGGTAACCTGAGGGCTAAAAACGTGGAATACGATAATTCTTCTCAAGAGGTCCATCTGTAAGAAAGGGACCCAAAAGGACAGTGTTTGTGTTGCATAAAATATGGGTAAAGTGGAGTTGGGAACAAAGGGTGGTTTCTTTAGCTCTTTCCACATCTCTCTTTGATAAGGACTGAAACCCTGTTGATTCATGATAAACGTTTCCTTTTTTTTTTTTTTTGGCAGCGGGGAGAGGGAAAGAGGAGGAAATGGGGTGTGATGGGTCAAAGGCAGGAAAGGTAAGCCATGGTCCTCAAACCAAAGAGCCCTCTCTGTAGGTCCTCTGATCTTTGAGTGTGAGCTCAAGCTCTCCAGTGGACACAGAAAAAGGCCTGGTAGTAAGTGGTTTGCATTGTGAGGTATGAGGATCCCTGGTAAATTCAGCAGCATGTGGTTTTTGGAAATCAGCCCACAAGATAAGAACACTGCAACCAAACTCATAACTAATACTGCTAATTTAACTATTGTCCAAAAGAGAAAGGGAAGAAGAAAAAAATCCCCACTCTACTGGGAGGTTCTAGGCTTTCCTATAAGTTATCCAAATAGTCTTTTTTTAATCTCAGGGTTTCTTAAGAGAATTCCCATTCAGTGACCATTTCTTTCGTTAAAGGCACTTTCAATGACATGATTGGAAAGGAGTGAATTTTAATTGTAGTGAAACCAAGATTAATTCCTTGGCACACCTGGGAAGAAGAGGAACCGGATGGGGGCATTTACAGTGATTTCAAAAGGCAAATAATTAAGTCTTGAGCATTTCAACAGATGCACACCCAGAAAAAAAATGTATGCCCCGAAAACACTTGTATTTTTCCTTTAGTTTTCCAGCTGTTTCTATCTATAGCTCTGCAAAGAGATCACATTCACTACTTGATTGATTTTCAAGACACTGGCCCTAACTCTTCCCACCACAGCTGTGCTTGACAAAATTAGCCAACAGTCAGTCCTACAGGGGGAAAAAGAAGAAAATCAATTTGGGCCAAGCTTTCCTAGAGCAAAGGGATCTTTCCTTGCCCAGGTAATGGCAGGTTCAGTTGCTGGACCTATAGCAACTGAATGTAATATGTGGCCCCTACTACCTATGAAATGTTGGACTTTTTGACAGGCAAGACTAAGTGTTCTCTCTCTAAATATAAATTGTGGAGCATATATTTTTTTTCTTTCCTCTCTCCTGAACATTTCTTATTGATCTCAGGCTTACAAAATTAGTTAAGTGAGAATTATTAAAATCATAAAAGGGGTTGAGAAAGAGTAAAGAGCTAATGTTTGTCTACATGTGTGAGTTGAGGATCTTGATCCTTCATATCATACTCCCAACCAGAGAAAAATACAAAAATAAACACGCCATGTTAATACATAATACAAAGTGTAAATCTACAAACACAAGTGTACTAATTAGAGTTGTTCCTCAGAAGCACGGCTTCCCTCCAGTCCCTCAGAGAGGAGGAGGAATGGGGACGGGATGGTTTTCATTACGCCTTTTCATGTCTTAAAAAGTTTGTAGTAACAGTCTCAGTAGCGCAAACAATTTCATGTGAAACCAGAAGCTGTAAAAATAAATTACTTTTGAGGAAATGAGGGTTCCTCCGTAGCTCAGAACTCATCATGCCGTACTAAGGCCTCCCCAAAATCTGTGGCCTGGCTGCCAACAAATAAGTCATACTTGTCAACGATCTCCTCCTTGGTAAGCTTGCCATCCTGAAAGTAGAGATAGCAATGAATTGAAGAAGAACATATTTCCCATTAAAAATTCAGAAACACTGTTATAGAAGAATTGGGGTTAATCAGAAGTTAAGATTCTCATTTCTACTAAATTAAGTGTGAACTACTCAGCCCTCATTCCCCCTACATACATACGAAGAGGGAAGAAAACAGCAATTACACATTCCTTGTTTTTTTTTTTTTTTTTTTTTGAGACGGAGTTTCGCTCTTGTTGCCCAGGCTGGAGTGCAATGGCGCGATCTCAGCTCACCGCAACCTCCGCCTCCCGTGTTAAAGTGATTTAAGTGATTTTTCTGCCTCAGCCTCCCGAGTAGCTGGGATTACAGGCATGCGCCACCACGCCCAGGTAATTTTGTATTTTTAGTAGAGATGGGGTTTCTCCATGTTTGTCAGGCTGGTCTTGAACACCCAATCTCAGGTGATCCGCCTGCCTTGGCCTCCCAAAGTGCTGGGATTACAGGCGTGAGCCATCGTGCCAGGCCAATTAAACATTTCTTTTATCAAGAAAGTTAAAAGTGGAAGGGTGGAAAGAATATAACACAACAACTCAATGCTAGAGATAAAGGTTTGTTTCATGAGGAGAAAACTCTCCTTTTAGAGGAAAATATGGAACATCTCCTAGATAGGGATGACTACATGCATTTCCTTTTCTCATACATCTCAGGACACAACACCTGGCTACTAAAGTGACTTTGAGCAAGAACTTAAAGCAGATCAACACTTAAAAAGGCTCTAAAATAAAAAACTGAATTTGAAATTGAAGATTAGCTTAGACAAAAATATACTCAGAACACTGAAAATCTCCATCTTTAGACCGATTTTCAGCTTACTCCAAGCAGGGCAGGAGTAATCTCTGAAGCAGGTGACTGGGCTTAGGGACAACAATACTTTTAACAAAATACCTCAGATAATTAATTGATCAAGGACAATTTGAACAGGCTCCAGAGAAAAGCTGATTTATAGCCCATACAAAGGACCCAATTTAAAAAAGCCTATTTGATTTAAGAAGGAAACAACCAGCTTTGAGTAGACAGAATGGGCCTGTAATAGGTAAAGGAACAAATGAAGTAACAAAGAAAAAAAAAAATTCCTGGGGATCTAAAAATACCTGATGATGCATGCTGGGCACAGGCTACACACAAAGGCTCTTTTCTGAAGCCAAATTTCCTACAATGCTATCAGCACTGGGCAAAAGGATTTCTAAAATGAGATCAGATAGCTAGTGCTGCCCTGAAAGGTTTTAATCGCCAGATTCAGATACTTGGCTGACTTAGACTAATTAAGACCTTAAATGCTCTATGCACCTTAACAGAAACTGTTCAGGTGATCCCCTAGAAGCATACTTCAATCAAGGATAGAGCGTGTGGGCCTCGCCAGACTTACCTTGTTTTGGTCTGATTCATAGACCAGGTGCCTGGCTTCTGCCTCTGCATGATCATAGTCTGAGGGAAGGATCCAGTCTTTGGTCTCTTCCTTGTCCATCTTCCCATCACGGTTCTTATCCCGAAACTCAACAAACTGCTCTCGCTCTGTCTTTACCCATTCTGGCTCATCAGTATTCCCATCATGGCTGTACATGTCACCTGGGTACACAGACATACATACAAAAGAAGGGTTTGTCTTTTCCCCAAAACTGCCTCATGCTAATCTGGCCTAACCCTTTTTCCTCATCCATTTGTTTGGAACCCAACAGCAGCTACAAGGGTATTTTAGGCCAGACAGACCTTAGAAAGCAAGGTATTTTCCTGAGGCTTAATCACTTATCTTGCAACAAGAATATTTCCAGCTGCTGATTTTAAGTCACATGAGAGCAAAGAGTTCTTATACCTTAATAAATGCAGAAATAAGAGGAGAGAGCTACCATCAAGAAAGACTTAGACTCGTTCCCTACATTTCATTTCACCCTAAGGTAGCTAATTAAACGGGACCACTTGTTTTAGAAAGGTGTAGCCAATTACTACAAAGAGTCCATTATACCAGTGGCCTTCAGTTGGGACAAGCACGCCCCTGGGGAAACAGGAACACTGTCAAGGAGTACACTGAGAAAGGTCAGTCAAGAGAGAATCAAATTCCAGATACTCAGTTCCACATATAGATTTTTCCAAAAATTGATCTTCATAAGAATGTACCTCTGGCCATCAAGGCTTTTTTCCCATCTCCCCCCTTTCACAACTGCCCTTGTCCCACTTTATAAAAGAAAGGCATATTTTCAACCATTTTGAAACTAGAGTGTAAAAAGCTCCAAGATAATGAAAAAGAAACAATTAGAAATACTAGTGTCTGGATGGGCGTGGTGGCTCACACCTGTAATTCCAGCACTTTGGGAGGCCTAGGCAGGCAGATCACCTGAGGTCGGAGTTTGAGACCAGATCACCTGAGGTCAGGAATTTGAGACCAGCCTGGCCAAAATGGCAAAACCCCATCTCTACTAAAAATACAAAAATTAGCTGAGCATGGTGGTGCGTGCCTGTAATCCCAGCTACTCGAGAGGCTGAGGCAAAAGAATCACTTGAACCCAGGAGGCAGAGGTTGCAGTGAGCCGAGATCATATCACTGCACTCTAGCCTGGGCGACAGAGCAAGACTCCGTCTCAAAAAAAAAAAAAAAAAAAAAGAAAAAGAAATACTAGTGTCAGTCTTGAGAATGCAAATGCCTGAAAAAAAATGAATAAATTCGTTTGCATGTCAAAAGGTTTTAAATTCTTTGCTTTAAAAAAAAAAACCTTGAAAAATGGCCTAATTGAGTTTTAGCTAAGGGATCATTAAACATAATTTTTGGGCTGGGTGCAGTGGCTCATGCCTGTAATCCCAGCACTTTGGGAGGCTGAGGCGGGTGGATCACTTGAGGTCAGGAGTTTGAGACCAGCATGGCCAACATGGTGAAACCCCGTCTCTACTAAAAATAAAAAATAAAATTAGCCGGGCGTGCTGGCCCACACCTGTAATCTCCAGCTACTGGGGAGGCTGAGGCAGGAGAATCGCTTGAACCCCAGAGGCAGAGGTTGCAATGAGCCGAGACCGTGCCTGTGTACTACAGCCTGGGTGAGAGAGAGAGACTCCACCTTGAAACAAACAAAACCCATAATTTTTGATGATAGATTACATGATTTCTGGCATGTAACTCAAAAGGAGTTCCAAGAACTAAGCAATATTGCTATGACAAATCTTCCATCAACTTATTTACTAATGTAAACAAGGTCTGTTAGTACTTCCTCTAAAAAATAAAAATTAGGAATTGGTGCTGAATCCCATTTCACTCTAGGGATAAGTAATTGTCATCCATGGATATGAAACTATTTGAATAAAAATGTGTCAAAGAAATGCATTTAAAAATATATAAACATAAAACGTCTGTAATAAATGTTATTTTGTTCAATTGTGTATTAATAATTGTAATAGTAACTTAACACAGAAGACTCTAAAAACACTTAAGAGCCATATCACAGAACACCATTTTCCATATTTCAATTTACATACACAATGTTCTTGCAAATAAGAATGTCAAAGTGACTAAGGCTTCAAGATAAAATATGTCAGAATATAATTCTGTTGAGGAAGTAAACTGCAAATGAATCTAACAAATAGAAGGCTGACTTGTGAGTTTGAGATCAGCCTGGACAACATGGCAAAATCCCTACAAGAAATACAAAAATTAGCCAGGCATGGCAGCATGCACCTACAGTCCCAGCTACTCGGGAGGCTGAGGCAGGAGGATGGCTTGAGCCTAGCAGATCGAGGCTGCAATGAACCATGATCATGCCACTGCACTCCAGCCTAGGTGACAGAGTGAGACCCTGTCTCAAAAAGAAAAAGAAAAAAAAGAAACAGGAGGTCGGGTGGCTGATGTCTGTAATCCCAGCACTTTGGGAGGCCAAGGCAGGTAGAGCTCTTGAGCCCAGGATTTCCAGACCAGCCTGGGCAATGTAGGGAGACCCATGTCTATAAGAATAATAATAAAAAAAATCAGCTGGGTGTGGTGGTGCTCTTCTGTGGTCCCAGCTGAGGTGAGAGGATCACTTGATCTCCCCACCTTGGAGATCGAGGCTGCTGTGATTGTGCCACTGCACACCAACATGGGCAACAGAATGAGACTCTTGTCTTTTTAAAAAAGAAGAAGAAGAAGAAACAGGATGCGTGTAAAATGTCCAAGTTGGTTAACAGTTTATTCATTTATTTTTTTAAGACAATATCATGTGGTGACTGATAAGTAGTATAAATATCCCCAAATCCCTATAAATTTAAACAAAAAAAAGGGCAATTAAGTGATGGTCACATTGTTGCTAACCAAACGCCATAACTAAAAAAAAAAAAGTACCAAAGAAACATTTCCTTTTTAACTATTATGAAATGTAAAAAATTACGGATATTTTCTTATATACCCACAATGCCACTTTCATATTTTACAAAATCAATTCCTTGGTATCATCTAATACCCAGACTGAATTTAAATTTCTTGATTATCTTTTTAAAGTTGTCGTGTCCAAATTATTCATATGAAAGACGGCAGGTAAGAAGTTGCTATGGTATCTTGTATTTAAATTTTATAGATTTCTTTCCGAATTACTTTCAAAATGTCAATGCTTATCACCAACAGAGATTATTCTTTTTTCTTCTGAGACAGGGTCTTGCTCTGTTGCCCAGGCTGGAGTGCAGTGGTACAATAACGGTGCACTGCAACCTCAAACCCTCAGGCTCAAGTGATCCTCCTGAGTTGCTGGGACTACAGGCACACGCCACCATGCCTGGCTAATTTTTTCTTTTTTTTTGTATTTTTTGTAGAGACAGGGTTGCGCCATGTTGTCCAGGTTGTTCTCAAACTCCTGGGCTCAAGTGATTCACCTGCCTCAGCCTCCCAAAGTTCTGGGATTACAGGAATGAGCTACGGCATCCGGCCCAACAGAGACTATTCTTTACAACTGTTTAAATTTCTTAATTAAATATTTCAGATGCCAACTTTAAAACACATAAGGGAATGCTGTTGGTCAAATTCTTTCAGGAGTTATTTAAGTGAACAAGTCTGAAAATGCTTGAGTTATACGACATCTAAGTTAAGTGTACCTGCATTGCATGTAAGGTATGGGAAAACACCTAAAGAGAAATCTAAATAGTTCCTGCAAGTTCTAAGCAAAGGTAATTATTTAGTCAGTGCTGCCATTTTCCTGACCTTGAGGGTTAAGGGTAGAAGTACTCCTCTGTCTTAAACTCACAAGAGAAATTCCTCACAGCAGGACTTGCCAATTTTTTCCCATGCTACAGCACATTCAGAAAATGTAGTTTGTACGGTCCACTGGATCAGGTTCCTGCCCTAGCTGTCCTGAAAGCCAAGAAGACTTACTCACAGGATACAGATTGGAAAGTTCTGAATTAGGAAATAGACACATGCTTAAAAGATATGGTTTTAAAGGAAGCTAGAATACACAATACACTACAACGTAAGCGCATTTTAAAGCTAGGTGACCATGATAAACTATTTGAATTTCTATTTTTATTTATTTTACTTTATTTTTTTGAGACAGAGTCTTGCTCTGTCGCCCAGGCTGGAGTGCAGTGGCGCGATCTCGGCTCACTGCAACCTCCGCCTCCTGGGTTCAAGCGATTCTCCTGCCTCAGCCTCCTGAGTAGCTGGGATTACACAGGCACATGCCACCACACCTGGCTAATTTTTATATTTTTAGTAGAGACGGGGTTTCACCAGGTTGGTCAGGCTGGTGTCTAACTCCTGACCTTGTGATCCGCCCACCTCAGCCTCCCAAAGTGTTGGGATTACAGGCATGAGCCACCATGCTCGGCCGAATTTCTATTTTTAAAAGACTCAGTCTATTTGATGATTTGAAGGTATTATTAATTTTCTTGGGTTGACATTATCTTTAAAAAAATGTTTTTAGAAACACATATATATTTTAGACATATATACCTCAATGTTTACAGATGAAATGACATAATGATTGGGATTTACTTCAAAGTAAGAAGGAAGCAAGGAAGTGGATGTGGCTGAGAAAAAACTGGCTGTAAGTTGATTGTTGTTGAGGTTAGGCATAGGTACATGGGGATTCATTATACTATTCTAATTTGGGGGCAGGTGCAGTGGCTCACACTTGTAATCCCAGCACTTTGGGAGGCTAAGGTGGTCAGATCACTTGAGGCCAGGAGTTCAAGATCACCCTGGCCAACATGGTGAAACCCCGCCTCTATTAAAAATACAAAAATTAGCCAGGTGTGGTGGTGCATGCCTGTAATCCCAACTACTCAGGAGGCTGAGGCACAAGAATCGCCTGAACCTGGGAGGCAGAGATTGTAGTGAGTGGAGATCACGCCACTGCACTCCAGCCTGGGTGACAGAGCAAGACTGTCTCAAAAAAAACATAAATAAATAAACAAATAAGTTGTGTACGTCTGCAATGCTCTATAATAAATTTTAAAAATAAAAATAATTATCAGCACAACTTTGGGTGTTTTTTTTTTTCTTTCCCTATGTTTCCACAGGCACTGATGGGGCTTCTTTTTAATGCTAAATTTATGAGGCGAAGAACTTTGTTTCTTCATGATCTCCTTCAACAGGGCACTAGAAGCTGAAAGATACTGTTTGGGAGAATTTTAGATTTACAAAGCCCAGCATCCCAGATGTAAAAGTGTTTGCATTAGTTACTGACTTGTAAAAAAAAAAAAAAAAAGCACACATGCACAAGATAGTTTTGGTAGCTTCAAAATATAACTCCTCTGCCCTTGAATCTATATGATACACAGGGAGACAGAAATATCTCCTTATTTGGCCTCAATGCTTGATAAGTGATGTAGTTAACAGTTATAAAAATTCCTCTCCTTGGGAGGTTCAAATGAGTTCCTCAGTTTTAGCAATGGCAATAAAATGGCAAAAGCCAAGAATAAAAAGATAAATCATTTAAAAGTAGAAAACCCTAGTAACATCAACGTGGGCTCAGTAAATGCACCTAGGCACTTATCCACTGTCCTGATAAACTTCTCCAAAAAAAAAAAAAATCAGTTTAGGAAAACATCCATCCTATCTTCCATTGCTCATCCTTCTTTAAAAAGTTCAAAGTATGCCACTGAACCTAAGAAAAGGGAGGTAAACAGTCAAGGAGTAATTCAATTGGAATAACTCTAGCATGTAAACAACAGGTATGATAAGACAACATCTAAGTAAAGCAGTGACTTGCTCCATACAGTTTAATGACAGGTGATAGAGGTAAGGATTAAGTCTTCCTTTCAGGCTTCAAATAAACATTTCAGGTAACTATCAGAGGTCTAAAAACAAACGGGCTTATCTGAAACACAAAACCAATGGTGTGCTAGAATAAGTTATTACAAATGACAATAAGTATGTGAAATATTAAAATATCTAATATCTTTCTAAACAAAGTATTTGTAACAATGACATTTGTAGTAACAGTCTTATACTTTCCATCTTTACTCACTTTTCTAAAGAGATGGAGTCTCGCTATGTTGCTCAGGTTGGAGTACAATTGCTATCCACAGGCACAACCTCACTACTAATCAGCACAGTTTTGACCTGCTCTGATTCTGTCCCGGGCCGGTTCACTCCTCCTTAGGCAACCTGGTGATCCTCTGCTCCCAGGAGGTCACCATATTGATGATGAACTTGTGACTATAGTCCAGACTCTTGGACTCAAGTGATCCTCCTGCCTCAGCCTCCCAAGTAACCGGGTATGCCACCACACCCAGCTCCTTTACTCATTTTAATTTCTGTCACAGTAATTGGGAAACAATTTGCTCAACTACTTGGTAAGAAAGACAGCTTTTTTTTTTTAAAGCAATGAGAATATCTTAAAATTAGTCTGATGATAATAAAACAGAGCTTTACTTGGGAGAAATTAGCCTTGAAGGTGTGACATCCAAAACAATTTTTTTAAAAAAATTTAGACAACTAAAAAGGGAAATGTCAAAAGGGAGAAACTTAAAAAACAAAAGGAAAGTAGTCAGAGAATCAGAGAGAAAATATGAACAGAACACAGTAAAAAGGAATGGCTACAAGAGGGATCAGCAACTCCCCGTCATTTATTTATCCATCTTTTAATCTATTCCCTATCTCCTTTCCCTGGGTTTCCCTATGTCAGTCTGGGCTCCCTGCAACTCTTTTTTTTGTTTGTTTGTTTGAGACGGAGTCTCGCTCTGTAGCCCCGGCTGGAGTGCAGTGGCATGATCTCAGCTTACTGCAAGCTCTGCCTCCTGGGTTCATGCCATTCTCCTGCCTCAGCGTCCCCAGTAGCTGGGACTACAGGCGCCTGCCACTACACCCGGCTAATTTTTTGTATTTTTAGTAGAGACAGGGTTTCACTGTGTTAGCCAGGATGGTCTCGATCTCCTGACCTTGTGATCCGCCCGCCTCGGCCTCCCAAAGTGCTGGGATTACAGGCGTGAGCCACCGTGCCCAGCCCCCTGCAACTCTTTACCATCAGTTCCATAGAGCATGCAGGATACACTATATCTGTGCTGTTGAGGATGGTAGCCACAGGTGCTTATTAAGCACTTGAAATGTGGCTGGGATGTGCTTTAAGTATTAAAAAAAAACCCTCAATAATTTACATTAAGTGGAAATTATAGAGTTTTAGAATATTAGGTTAAATAACTACTGAAATTTCATCTGTTTCTTTTTACTTTTTAATGTGGCTATTAGAAAAGTTAAAATTACATATGGGGCTCACATTTATATTTTGATTGGGCAATGTGGCTACGGATACTTTATCACAACCCACTATCACACTGGTCTGGTTAATGATCTGGTGACAGCTAATGAGCTAGTGAGAATTGACCCTTGGAGTAAATTGTTTCTATGGGCAAATACATCTTTCTTTCTTTCTTTTTTTGAGACAGTTTCACTCTTGTTGCCCAGGCTGGAGTGCAATGGCGTGTTCTCGGCTCACTGCAACCTCCGCCTCCTGGGTTCAAGCGATTCTTCTGCCTCAGCCTCCTGAGTAGCTGGGATTACAGGCGCCCGCCACCACACCCAACTAATTTTTTTGTATTTTTAGTAGAGACGGGGTTTCCCCATGTTGGCCAGGCTGGACTTGGACTCCTGACCTCAGGTGATCTGCCCGCCTCGGCCTCCCAGTGTTGGGATTACAGGCATGAGCCACTGTGCCCAGCCAGCAAATACACCTTTCAAAGCTTCTCAGCTTTTCTAAGAAAAACACTAAAAGCAGAGACTTACCAATATACTCTTCTAGATCAATGAAACCATCAGCATTCTTATCTATATCTTCCATTGTTTCCTAAACAGGAAAGAATAAGAAGAGACTATTAAGTTGGTCTCTGAATTTGCCAGAAGAAAGTAAAGTATCTAGTTTAGGTAAACATTTATTATTCATTAAACACACTTGTACATGTATGTATGTATGTATGTATGTATGCATGTGTGTCTGTATGGTTAAAACCATTTCTAGCCAAGAAATGGTAAAACATGAGCAATTTCCTATGCTTCAATCTAAAATAACTGAGTCTTCCTGACAGAACACTGACACTGCTTAATGACAAACTATCCCATCAAGCCCATGATGATCTACCTGGTAGCCTTAGTCATGCTAAAGTCACACTAACAGGAGATGTGACCAGTGATTATGTGTTTAGCTATAGATAGTCTATGTTGTCAGTAACTGCCTTCTGTGAGAGTTCTTTAGTATCACTGTTATTACTCAATGTCTGACTATTGGTCATGGGATATTTTAAATAATGGGATTTCCCCCCATTCTTACAATATGAAGCTACCAATGAAATGGCAAAATACATTATATGACAGAAGGTATTATCATACTAAACAGAATGCCCAAGGCACCTTGATCAAGGTCACAGAAAAACAGTGACAGACCTTGGATTCTGAATCTGGCCAATACTTATATAGCATATACAGTGATATGCTATATAGCATATATATATATAAGATATGCTATATAAGGCTAAAGGGGAAAGACAGAATAAGCCACAAAAAGAGAAACTGAGTCCCTGTTCAGAATCCTTCATCTCACCCACCTGTACTACTATATCTTTCATGTAGTCATACTCCTCAGGGTGCAGGAAAGCTGTGAACTCCTCCTTGGTGGCAATGAGGTCTCCATCCTTGTCTGCCATTTTAAACCTCCGCTCATCTCTAACCATCATCTGTTTATAGTTAAATCCATCATCAGGATCTGGATCATCTAGAAAACAAAAATTTAGGTCAAATCTTAAAAGACTTTCAGAAAACATGAAAATGTGTGGGGTGGGAAATCAATTTCCAATAAAGATAAAACCATGCAAGGAAGAAATAATTGATGACACAGGTAAAACTGCAGCAGTACAAAGACATTTAGTTTTGGGCTACAGCTCCAGGCATCAGATCTCAGAGTCAGCTCCAAGTTCACATGGAACTCTGGCTCCTGAACTATGTAACTCACTGTTATGCTTCACTATTGGTATTAAGGCTACTAGAAGGCTTGAATTTTCTAGTTACATCTGGAAGGCAGTGGTGGCTCTCAAGTCCCATACTGCCTGAGTTTGAACTCTACCATTTTCTAGCTGTTTGGCCTGTGTCTTGGTCTCTTTTATCTGTAAAATGGAGCTAGCAATGGTGCCGGCTTCATAGGATTGTTGTAAGGTTTAAATGAGAAAATATATCTAAGTGCTTAGAACAATGCCTGGCACATAGTTGGCTTTCAACAAATGTCAGTTATTGCTACTTTTATTAAACATTAGGATCTCATTAAAAAGATAGAAATCAAAGGCCTTCTACCTCACATAATGGACACTTGGATTCAAGCAATAGAATGCCACCACTTTGAAGGTCACATTCTGTTTTTTTTCAGTCAACGCAGAAATCTACCAAGAGTGACAGGTATTGTTCATCCCCATTTACGTAAAATTCTAGAAAATGCAAACTAACTTAGAGTCACAGAAAACAGATGAGTGATTGCCTAGGGACGGGGGAATGGCGAGAATGAGAAGGATTACCAAGGGACATGAGGAAATGTTGGGGGGGTAATGGATATGCTCATTATCGTGATTGCAGTGGTGGTTTCACTGGTAAATACATACGTCAAAACTCATCAATTATGCACTTAAATACATACAGTTCACTTTATGTCAATAATAACTTGACAAAGGTATACAAAAAAAAAAACCCTTAGATTACAACCAAATTGAATTTGGAACTACCCATCTGTTATGACATCGAGCTACACAAGCAGCAGTTATCTAGTCTCTATATAAGAATATAGAAAAGTGAAATTTAGTTTTTTAAGCTGAAAAAATGTGGCGTTAACTGCAGAAAATAAAATTCTTTTTCAATCTGCGTTCCTGTATAAACCAAATTAAGATAACAGACATGAAGATATTTTAAAAAGTAAAAGACACCACATTAATGGTAAGAAATTATTGTTCCTGCAACATATTGATTACATAAAAAGGATATGACACTGCTTTTATAAAAAAGACCCACAGGGCCCCTTTAAGAATAACATCATTACTGCTGACCTTTGAGATTGTTCAGTCTTTCCATACTTTAAGCACAGTTTAAAGAAACAAAAACAAAACTACTGTACTATTTTGAGAGTTGAGCATTTTGAAGCTTCATTTTTTATTGAGTGTCAAAAATTCAGTCAGACAGCTTAACGAGTCATAAGGCTTTGGGATCCTGTGTACACACACACACACACACACACACACACACACACTCAAAGCCATAATAGGTTGAGATGGAGAACGTAAGGCAAACAAGCCTTTCTCAGATACTAAAGTGTCTCTTCTAAACAAGGTTTCAGGACTATGTAACATAAATAAGAAACATAACAAGACAACTTATACTTTAAGACTAGATTCTTACATAAGTGCTCTCCTCCCCTCCTTGGGGTAAAAGGTAAAAATGGTGACTGGACTCAAATAGCCTAATAGCAACATGCACATATATATATAAGGAGGGAAACAGGAAGATACAATTTTTTTTTTTTTTAATTTATAGTCAGGTCCTTGTTCTGTGTGGCCCAGGCTGGAGTGCAATGCAATCATAGCTCAATGCAGTCTTGGACTCTGGGGCTCAAGCAATCCTCCTGCTTCGGCCTCCCAAGTAGCTAGGACTACTGACAAGTATTACCACTCCTGGCTAATTTTTAATATTTTTTTTGTAAAGACGGGGTCTGGCTTTGTTGCCCTGGCTGGTCGCGAATTCCCGGACTCAAGCAACCTTTCTGCCTCGGCCTCCCAAAATGCTAGGATTATAGGCATAAGCCACTGTGCCTGTCCAAAACTTTATTTTT